>NC_000012.12:19584650-20209650 GCF_000001405.40 Homo sapiens
CGTAAGATGTGACTTGCTCCTCCTCGTCTTCCACCACGATTGTGAGGCCTCCCCAGACATGTGGAACTGTAAGTCCAATAAACCTCTTTCTTTTGTAAATTGCCCAGTCTCAAGTATGTCTTTATCAGCGGCATGAAAACGGACTAATACATTCTTCTTCACCTTCTTCAATGATTATAAGTTTCCTGAGGCCTCCCCAGCTTTGTGGAACTGTGAGTCAGTTAAACCTCTTTTCTTTATGAATTGCGCAGTCTAATACACCCTCTCTATGCATATTCCAGGATGCGGTTTCCTCTGCCCTACTTAATCACTAACACATCTTATACTGTCTAACCTCCAGAATTTTGTTGAGATTCTCTGCTGATGTGTTTCCTTTGTTTCCTGTTCTCTCTATCACTTAGAGTTTGTTGTATTTAATACCTTTGCTATCATTTTATTGTGGTTTTGGTTGGGAGAGGAAATAAAATGGCCAATCCACTACCTCGAAAATAAATTAGTACATTTATTTGCCTATCTTCATCTCCTAACTAGTCTGTGAGCTCCTTAAGGGTAGGGAAGGTTATTATTCATTTTTATATACCCAAAGTACATCAGTCACAGCCCAGCCAGAAAAATAGAAACCACAAGAAAGATTTCACCAGAGGGAATTTACTAGAGGAATTAGTTTACACATGTATTAGAGGATAGAAAGGACAAAAGGGAGCACTGGGCTCACCTGGAGATATTACTGAGGAAGCTGCTACCAACCTAGCCCTGGGGGAACCAAACAGGGGAAACTGGGATTGTCAAAAGCTCTAGAACCTCAGAGTAGGGGACCTATGTAGTGGGAGCTCAGGCCACTGAGGGGTGTTTATGACCAGGTTGTAGTTGGACCTCTAGGGCCCAGTGTTGATGTCGTAGGGATCTCTGAGGGCCAGTGATGAGGCTAGATGTGAGTTGCCAAAAATGTTCAAGCAGAAGCCAGCTGTTGCAGCTGGGGCTAAGTGCCACTGACAGGAACACTAAGCAAAGAGAAGAAGGAAGAAGGAAGGTGATTGTCTCTTTGTCCTGCCTGCCTTCCCACCTCTCTCCAGAATTTAACAGGAAGCCAGCTGGCAAAGGGGTCTCAGAAATGTAGTTTACAGAGTCCCTGTCCCAGTATGACAAAGCACAGTATGGAAGAGTAAATTTGGAGTTGAGACGCAATAGTTGAAAAAGGGCACAAAGGATCTAACACAATATATATATTTCTAGGCAAAATCTTTCTTAACAGTTTCAGACTTTATTTCTAACCATTTGTCAGTCATTGCTTTTTGTTGTTCCTTGGGGATATCAAAGGCAAACATAGAAAATTAATTACCAAGCACAAATCAGTTTTCCAGCATTGCACTGTACCCCGCAAATGCCTCAACTTTAAATGAAGAAACCAGCAACATGGTGGGAATGTAAATTAGTACAACCACTATGGAAAACAGTGTGGACAGTCCTTAAAGAACTAAAAGTAGAACTACTATTTGATCCAGCAATCCCACTACTGGGTATTTACCTAGAGGAAAAGAAGTCATTATATGAAAAAGGCACTTGCACATACATGTTTATAGCGGCACAATTCACAACTGCAAAAATATGGAACCTAAATGTCCATCAACAAACGAGTGGATCAAGAAAATGTGGTATATATACACCATGGAATTTTACTCAGCCATATAAAAGAATGAAATGATGGCATTCACAGCAACCTGAATGGAGATGGAGACCATTATTCCAAGTGAAGTAATTCAGGAATGGAAAACCAAATGTCATGTCTTCTCACTTATAAGTGGGAGTTAAGCTATGAGGACACAAAGGCATAAGAATGATATAATGGACTTTGGGGACTCAGGGGGAAGGGTGGGAGGGAAGTGAGAGATAAGACTACACATTGGGTACTGTTTATATTGCTCAGGTGATGGGTGCACCAAAATCTAAGAAATCACCACTAGAGAACTTATCCATGTAACCAAACACCACCTGTTCCTCCAAAACTAATGAAAAAAAAAAAGTTAAAAAAAAAAAAAAAAGAAAACAGCAACAAAGTGTTGTTTTCAGAGGAAGTATAATTACCAAAATGGAATGAACCATGTTTTTACCAAAACTTGCCTTCTTCTTGTGTCTTCTTATCTCCAAAAAGGTCAACATTGCCCAGCTACCAAAGCCCAACTCAGGGGGTAATTCCTACAACTTATTCTCCTTCAACCTCCACATTCCAATCACTGAGTCTTGTCAATTTCACTTCACAGAGTCTCTTAATTCCATCTTCTCTCCTCAGTTGCCTTTGCGATTGCCTCGATCTGGCCCTGATTACATTTCCTGTGGACCACTGCAGTTACGTCCAAGTGGTCTCATCTTATCTTTCTTCTTATTTGTTCTTCAGTTGATGACTAGAGTGATTTTAAAAGTTATACAGATCTGATCAGATTAATATCAAGGTTATATCCTTCTATTGATAAAGATGTTAGTGTTGCTTAATTCTTCAAGGTCATTGAGAGCAGTGTTCTAGCAAGTGTCAATAACTGATGGAAGGGAGAAAGAGAAGAGGGCTGCACATGCCTGCAGGCGTGTTTGAAATGACTGAATTTCCATTTTGTGCAAGTGCTAGAGGGTGGTATGGAGAAGTAAAGGGCAAAGATTGATCTTGATTCTGAGCATTTGAAAAAGTGAGATAAAAGGAACATGAGGTAAAGATTGGAAAGAGAAGAGAGAAGAGTAAAATTAGAATCATAACTTTTGTTTCTAATGAGTTGGCAAGCAATGGAATTTTTGCATTAATGTGAAGGAAATTAGTTTTATAAATTCCAGAAGTATCTATAACAGTTCCCTAAAAAGATGAAAAGACCCTAGATGATATTGTAAAGGAGGAGAAAAAAATGTAAAACAGAGAATGAAGTTATTGTGCTTTTTTGAGTTTCAAGAGAATACCAAAAAAAGTTACAAAAATTTTTTCGCAGTTGCTCTGCATGTGTGTGTGTATGTGTGTGTATTTAATATGAAGAGAATCACCACCATTTTCATGAGCCTATAATAGCAGTTTCTGACATCTGCAAAGCATCCTGAAATAAGAACAGTGCAGACCTGGTTGGAGGCATAAATCTGTGGAATATGGATTAGGTTTGCCTCTTATTTTATTTTATGAGACAGAGTCTGCTCTGTCACCCAGGCTGGAGTGCAATGGCATGATCTCAGCTCACTGCAACCTCTGCCTCCTGTGTTCAAGTGACTCTCCTGCCTCAGCTTCCCAAGAAGCTGGGACTGCAGGCGTGCACCACCATGCCTAGCTAATTTTTGTATTTTTCTTTAATAGAGACAGGATTTCACTATATGTTGGCCAGTCTGGTCTGGAACTCCTGACCTCAGGTGATCTGCCCGCCTCAGCCTCCCAAAGTGCTGGGATTATAGGCGTGAGCCACCGTGGCTGGCCTAGGTTTGCCTTTTAAATGGTTAAGTCTGGTACATCCTCTATTTGAAGCAAGGGAATTAAAAATAGAGAAAGAAGGTGGTGGATTGTTCCTGTAATCCCAGCTATTTGGGAGGCTGAGGCAGGAGGATCATTTGAGCCCAGGAGTTTGAGGCTGCAATGAGCTATGATTGCATTACTGCACTCCAACCTGAGCAACAGAGTGAGACCCTGTCTTTAAAAAAAAGAAAACAAAAAAGAAAGAAAGAAAATTTGGAAAATTGACAGCCAACAAAAGAAAACGTGCTTACATCTCCCTCTATTAGAAACAGCTATAAGTGAACTCATTAAAATCCAACCAAACTGAAATAAAATAAAAGAGGCAAAGTTATTTTCATTTCCTGAGCTGGGAAATTTACCTTTTCCAGCAAGACAGAAGATTGATGAGAAAGAGATTATACATCTATTCAGAATTATCTGGCACAGTGCTATAAGTATTTGAAGATGATGGTGATAGGAAGAATAAGAAAATAAAATAGCTGTTTTATTGTGATGTGAATAAAAATATTGCCATCAAAGCTTACTCAATAATGCTTTGAGTTTAGATACATTATAAAAAGTCAAAAAACCAGGAAAAGCATTTTACGGTATAAATACCTCATAGAATTAATAAAGGAAGCCCTGTATAATTTAAAAACAAAATCAAAAGGAATCCCTGAACTTCAGTTTACAGACAGGCTATAACAGATTGCATGATGTGTACACGTCTGTATGATTGGGTAGGATAGACTTCGCACAGAATCTCCTGGCCAAGGGGGGCTGAGCCCTGGTGGGGCTCACTTAGCCAGGAGGACGGAGGGCCGTTTTCCAATTTGTTTTCTTAGAGGAAATAACTTTTTATAATCCAACCCTGTCAAAGGGGGCGCTTTTCCTAATTCATTAAAAGTCTTGCACTAAGTTGGTAGTATAAATATTAATAAAGACCAAGAAGAGTCCTTGGATAGCTGTAGTAGAACATTGGTCTAGAAATACGTAGGCGCAATTTTAAGTCCTTCCTGCGTCACTAACCATGAATGTGGTCTTAGCGTCTCTTAGTCTCATTTCCTCATTTGCAAAATTAGTTGGATTACCTCACAATGTTGCTGTGAGCATTAAATGTGGTAATATATTTAAAAGTGCTTTGCAAACTCATAAAGCACCATTCAGTCTTCATTTAGTGAACATACATTGAGCACTTACTATGTGCCAGGTACTTTGTTAAGCTTTGCACATACAGAGCTGCAAGAGACATAGTCCTTTAGTCCTTGCCCTTGGAAAGCTCTGTGGGGATGCAGATTATAATGCATTACAATCTTTAATGTGAAAGATGCTATGGACTTATGGAGCATTGAGAGGCCCAAGGCCCTCTGTTTTTTGTTTTTTTTTTTCAAGACAGTCTTGCTCTGTCGCCTGGGCTGTAGTGCAGTGGCATGATCTTGGCTCACTGCAACCTCCGCTCTTCAGAGGTTCAAGCAATTCTCTTACCTCAGCCTCCCGAGTAGCTGGGATTATAGGCACCAACCACCATGCCTGGCTAATTTTTTGTGTGTTTTTAGTAGAGACAGGGTTTTGCCATGTTGGCCAGGCTGGTCTCAAACTCCTGATCTCAAGAGATCCACCTGCCTCGGCCTCCCAAAGTGCTGCAATTACAGGCATAAGCCACTGTGCCTGGCCGAGAGGCCCTCTTAATGTAAGACCCTCAGACCTCCAATGCTACTCATTAGAAATTTATACAGTTAGATGACTTCAGATCTATAGTACTATGTGTATCTGGATAGGAAAATAAAAGACACCATACAGAGCTACCTCTGCCACAAAGTTACCTTCTTGCAAATCAGAAAGAGAAATCTCTGCTAAACAGACAAGTTGCAAAACATGGCTCTTCTGCAAAGACTAGTCAGAAGAAGGCATCCCTTTTGGTGGGCCAGGGCATAGGAGGACCAGATTGGAGTCATCTCTTATATACAGGGGCCACTCTATCGGGCACAACCTCAGCCAGTAAACATGGTGGCTTGGCAGTGTAAAATACCTCAGGATACAGCATACACACATATATGTGCGTGCAATTTAGGGGGAGGAATTAATTTTGTGAACTTGGCCTATGTAAGCAGACTGATAAACTCCTGGAAGGGATGGGAGTTTGCAAAAACTAACAACTACATGCCAACTTTACCATGTGGGCACAAGAGGATTTTGTAGAGGTGTATGAGGGCCCACCAGGAACACAGAAACAATTATGGGGAGTTAGAACAGATGAAGTTTAATGCAGGAATTGGTCACCAAGGTGATGGGATTGCTGAGAAGTCAAATAGGAGATACTGAGCCAACCTAGATACTGGCAATGGCAGGAAGCTAATGTCACTCTTAGGTGGGGGTGACAAAGAGAGGAGTCAGTTATGCTGGAGTCCAGAGGCCAGGACCACTCTATGGAAAATGAGGCCACAGTAGGCCTGGGTGATGTGAGCTGACACTGCAGAGAGAGCCACTGCTGGAGATGCTGGTGAAGGCAGAGAAGGAGGGGGAGAAACCCACTGGCCTCTCCTTTCCTTTACTTCTTCAGTGTCACTCAAGTACTTCTCCTGGCTGATCCCAGATCCTCCAACCAGAAGGAACCTTGGAAATGCAGCTTGCGTGGCTCAGCACTCTGCTACCCAAAGCAGGCCGGGGAAGGGAGTGGAAAGACATCTGAGGGCTCCAGGTTGGTACAGAGAGTGGGAAGAAAATATGAGACTGAACTGAGTAACCACAAAATGACACAAAGTTCTTTTTTATAAAGCTGTATAGAAAGAAGCAACATAGGCCCATCGTGGTGGTTCATGCCTGTAATCCCGGCACTTTGGGAGGCCGAGGTGGGTGGATTACTTGAAGTCAAGACTTTGAGACTAGCCTGGCCAACATGGCGAAACCCCGTCTCTACTAAAAATACAAAAGTTAGCTGGGCATGGTGGCATGTGCCTGTCATCCCAGCTACTTGGGAGGCTGAGGCATGAGAATCACTTGAACCCAAAAGGCAGAGGTTGCAGTGAGCCGACATCGTGCCACTATACTCC
The DNA here is from genome assembly GCF_000001405.40 of Homo sapiens. Classification (NCBI taxonomy): domain Eukaryota; kingdom Metazoa; phylum Chordata; class Mammalia; order Primates; family Hominidae; genus Homo; species Homo sapiens. The sequence goes on from NC_000012.12 coordinate 19,591,152, forward strand.
AGCCTGGTGACAGAGAGATACTTTGTCTAAAAAAAAAAAAAAAAAAAGACAACATAGAGGAAGAAAACTTTGATATACAATGCAATCTCTCGGAAACTGCCCATTACCCCTGTTGTGAGACCCTCTGGCCTTTAGTTTTCTTGGATACTGAAATGAAACCCAGTTACTGCAGTTGTGAATCTGGATACCTAGTGCCAATATCAGTCATCCACTGATCCTGCTGTTTGCAATCACAATGTCTTTAGCGTACCCACTTTGCTCTCTCTCATGCAAGTATCCTGTAAGACAGTGCCATCCAGTAGAGTTTTCTGTGATGATGGAAATGTTCTATGTCTGTGTTGTCCAATAGGGAAGCCACCAGCCACATGTGGTCACTAAACACTTGAAATGTGTCTAGTGTAACTGAGGAACTGTATTTTAAATTTTATTTAATTTTAATTATTTATAATTTAAACTTAAATCTCCATTATGTGGCTAGGGGCTACCATATTGGATAGATTTTCTCTAAGGTATTGGGACTGAGTGTTTGGATAATCTCACTGGTTTATTCTACAAGGGAGAACAGTCTTTACTTTACTTTCCAGGTAATCCCAGCAATTAAACTAACTAACTCAGATCATCAGAATAGGTTGAAATTTCACTGCATCCTCAGGCTTCGTTGATAATTCTATCATGTCCTTAATGCTTCATGCAACCAGGGAGATTCCAAGCCTCTCTTCCTGATGAAGTCAGGGGAGACAGAGAGACTTGTGGAAAGGTCCCTTTGCCAATATGCATCTGGGGAGAGCACGGAAGGCAGCACTCCAATTGCTAGCCACAGAGTGGCATGGAGGCATCTGGAAGGTTCTTTTTGTTTCTGTTTTTTGGCCTCTGAGAGAGGCACAGAAAAGGCTAAAAGGGGGAATTATAACACCTCAGAGGCTGCCACCAAAGAAAATGGCCCAGACCAAAACCAAAACAATAATAACAGTAACGAAACCAGGATGACACACATCCCAAAGGATATGAGAAAGACAGAGTATGACAGTGGACCTGAAGCCTTGCTTGCATTACAAAATTATGGTTCCTCCTAGGGCCACCTGGAGTACATTTGACTCCTTTGGATGACAAGATCAGCGCAAAAAACCCTGGATGCACTGAGCTTACGTCCAAACAGAGAAAATACAAAAATGACTAAAATTACTCCCCAGAAAACCTGAGTTGCAGACAAAACAATAATAGTTATTATTGTACATAGATAATGTAGGCATGGTCAAGTGTATTCACAGCAGTTTTGTTTATAGTGGTGAAAAAAAAAAGAGAGAGAGAGAGACGGAGAGATTAGAACAATAATACAAACAACAACAGAATAAAATCCTGTCAATAGTAGAGTGGATAATTTGCAGAATTACTGAGAAAGTAGCACTATACCATAGTGAAAATATGTTCATTAGTGTGGAAGAATTTCCAAGATATTGAATGGAGGAAGCAAGTCCCAAAATAATATTTGAAAACATTATATAAGGTAGTGGACAAAGCTGAGTAATACTTGATTTAGGGATACATATGTAAGTGGTAGCAACTATAAAAAAAAAAGTAGAGGCCAGGCACGATGGCTCACACCTATAATCTCAGCACTTTGGGAGGGTGAGATGGGGGGATCAGTTGAGCTCAGAAGTTGGAGACCAGTCTGGGCAACATGGTGAAACCCTGTCTCTACCAAAAATACAAAAAAATTAGCCAGGCATGGTGGCACATGCCTGTAGTCCCAGCTACTCAGGAGGCTGAGGTGGGAGGATCGCTCAAGCCCAGAAGGTAGAGACTGCAGTGTGCCGAGATTGCACCACTGCACTCCAGCCTGGGTGACAGAGTCAGATCCTGTCCTTAAACCAGGCTGGGTGCTGTGGCTCATGCCTGTAATCCCAGCACTTTGGGAGGCCAAGGTGGGCAGATCACCTGAGGTCAGGAGCTCGAGACCAGCCTGGCCAACATGGTAAAACCCCGTCTTTACTGAAAATACAAAAATTAGCCTGGAATGGTGGTGCACGCCTGTAATCCCAGCTACTTGGAAGGCTGAGGCAGGAGAATCGCTTGAACCCGGGAAGCAAAGGTTGCAATGAGCTGAGCTTGCACCACTGCACTCCAGCCTGGGTGACAGAGCAAGACTTTGTCTAAAACAAAACAAAAAACCCCAAAAAACAAAACCAAACAAACAACTCCCTACCCCTGCAAACAAATAAATAAACAAAAAACCCCCCCAAACCCCCAAAAAAGTAGAGAAGCAAGGCAAAGCCAGGATAGTGGTTACCTCTGGGAGGCGAGGTGAAATGGAATCAGGAGACGCTCACTCGGGGCTCGCATGGCAATAGGAATGCTCTTTTTCTTAACCTGTGTCATGGGGAGAAAGTTTTTATTTTCTTCCACTTATTATTAAAGTGACCTATAATGCTGAGCAAATAGCATATGTACAATATGATACCCTTTCTGTAAAGTTTAAGATCAAGTAGAACCATATACTCTTTATGAAGTCATATTAAAAGCATACAAAATACCCCAAGTTCAGGGTAGGGGTTGATTCAGGGGAGAGAAAAGAACAAAGGATCATGCAGAGTTCACAGGGGCTTCAACTGAGGCAGTTATTTTCATTTTTTATTTCTTTAGCCTACTGGGGCTTGTTATATTTTAATATGCCTGAGATATTTCAACAGAATTATAAAAAGCTGACGCCAGTGCGGCTTCACGGGAGAATCTGCAGGTAATGCAGACCTGGAACTGCAGATGGACTGCAGAGGAGAGCAAATGAGGAAAGAGGAACGCTGGCTGACCTGTAGGTACATGACAGATGCCAGAGACAGGAAGAAGTCCACAGAAAACCTGCGTTCAGAGCAAGGAGATCGATAGGGAAGTGTTAGGCCTGCTGGCTGGGAATAATAATGGCAGCAGATGGCTGAGAGAAAGCAGAGGGGCTCAGTAGCTCATTCATTCACTCATTCATTCATTGGGCATATTTTAATGGACTGTTTCCACGTGGAAGGCTTTGTTTCACTCATCTCCTATTTTGTGTGTCTTCTTGAGCAAGTGGAGACCACACTGAAGGGATTGAAAAATTTCAAACATAATCAGTGTATGATAGGAAAGGGATTATTAAGAGACCACTTTGCATCTTGCCTTTTTTGTTTGTTTGCTTGCTTGTTTTTGAGGGACAGCCTAGGACAGGAGTTAAGGATATGGGCTCTTCAAACAGACTGCCAGGGTTTGAATTCCAACCAATTTTAGCTGTGAGCTGAGCTCTTGAGCCAGTTGCTTTACTTCTCTATGCCTTAATTCCATAGTCTGTGCAAATATGAATGACAGTATCTACCTTAGGGGTGGAGTTGTGAGGATTGAGTGAATTAATGTACACAGAGAGCTCAGAACACGTGCCATATAAGGTTTCCTATTATTATTAGTTCTAGCATCCCTAAGTTTACTTAAGTTTGAAGGACAAATTAATTAACACCTTAGAAACGACGTCAGAAATGGTCATGGCAATTGGTTACTCAAGAGGACATGAGTGTGGAGAAATGCGATGGGGTTGGAATAGGAAAGGAAGATAATGAGATATGTCCAGGTAGAGAAATAGACTGGAGATAAAAATTCAGGATCAGTAGCAGATCTCAGTGGTTGACCTTAGAAACAGATGTTAAACTCACTGGATACATTTCATTATGAATAAAAGCTTTCCCTACTACTATTCAAGCGAGAAATTTTATCTTGGCTTCATAGCTCCCATATACTTTCCTTGTAGGATAGCGTAAGTTTGGAGTTCTAGCTTGCTTCCTGTATTCCATTTCTGAAGTGACTTGAATGGACAGCACTCAACATCAAGGAGGGAGAAGATAATGTCATCTATAAAAGTTATTAGTAGCTCACATGGGACCAAATAACATAATTTGGAAAAGGGATGCAAGCTTGTTTTAAAGAAGGAAAAGCAAATTCCAGCCTGATTTCCTTCTGATTCATCACAAAAAACTTTATGGGCATTTAACCCTCTAGTTCTCTGCTCTATTCACTGATAATGAGGCCCAGAAAGTATGTATTAACATTTTGTTACTTTATATTTTTTCCAGGTTTATTTCAGTAAGTAGAGATCTGAAAATAGTATTTTTGAGGTACTTCTATACAGCATTTATTTCTTATATCTGGGATTTTTTTCTTTCTTTCTTTTTTTTTTTTTTTTTTTGAGACGGAGTCTCGTTCTGTCACCCAGGCTGGAGTGCAGTGGCATGATCTCGGCTCACTGCAAGCTCCGCCTCCCAGGTTCATGCCATTGTCCTGCCTCAGCCTCCCGAGTAGCTGGGACTGCAGGCGCCTGCCACCATGCCCGGCTAATTTTTTGTATTTTTTAGTAGAGAGGGGGTTTCACCGTGTTAGCCAGGATGGTCTCGATCTCCTGACCTTGTGATCCGCCTGCCTTGGCCTTCCAAAGTGCTGGGATTACAGGTGTGAGCCACCGTGCCCGGCCATATCTGGGATATTTTAATATCATTGAAATGTATGTAAATTCTAGATGCATATGTTACTATGCTGAGGGTCATTCAAAGCAGTGTAAGTTGATGTCGTCCTCAGGAGGCCTTGCCAATTACAGTCTGTGTCAGAGACTTGTGCTCATTTTTCTTTTTCTTTTTCCTTTTTTTTTTTTTTTTTTTTTTTTGAGACAAGGTCTTGCTCTTTTACCCAGCCTGGAGTGCAGTGGCACTATCATAGCTCACTGCAGCCTCAAACTCCTGGGCTCAAGTTATCCTTGCATCTCAGCATCTCCAGTAGCTGGGACTACATGCATGCACCACCTTGCCCAGCTAATTTTTTAAAAATTTTCTTCCCTAGAGATGGAGTCTTCCTATGTTGACAAGGCTGGTTTTGAACTCCTGACCTCAAGCAACCCTCCCACCTCAGCCTCCCAAAGGGCAGGGACTACAGGTAGGAGCCACCGTGGCTGGCCCAGGTGCTTGTTATTTTTGCACTTCTTTAGCAATACCAGCAACTTTCTGTAGCCCTAAAAGCCAAGGGTTGAAAACTAAATTTCTGGAGAAAAATAAACCTTGGATAATTTTGCAGACTGCCTAAGCTTTCCGTTTTATTTATTCAATTATTATTGAATGCCTAAGTCGGGTGGGTCATATTGATTCTGAAGACACTGAATCTAATGGTAGATTTTTGGGGGAACACTTCATTAAGCTTCTAATTTAGTTGGTTTCTTGTGTCACTATGTTCATTGTTATTGACTTTCTCTTTCTGCCTATTGATTTCTTGGACTCTATGTGCTTTTTCCAATAGTGTCAATCTGAAGTGGTTTTCTTCTAATAAGAAATGCCAGGTCACTGTCTGGGGAGCCATAGACAATTTGATGGTGATTGTGCTTGGAAGGTGTTTTAGGCAAGGAATTGGCCTAAACAGGGCCACCTCATCTTATTTTGCTTGGCTCACTTATCACTTGTTTTAGTCTTGAAACCAAGAAATCTCAATATCCATCTCAGTGTGTGGTCTCTGATTTGGAAGAAATGACTTGACAAGATTTTTAGAAACAGTAAGAGCTCCTCTGGATCATGTACTTACTCAACATCATGGAAAAATGGGACAAAATTCTTTCCGAAATTGCAGCTAATTGATAAGAATAATGAAGAGGGATGTATTGAGAGAGAGCATTTCACTGCTTGGTGATAATTTAGCTTTTAAAACTACGTTAAGAAAGAAATCACTAACCAAAGCAATAGCAGCAACTTTTCTACCAGAACAGACATTTCTAATTAATTCCTTGGCCATTAAACCCTACAGGCCAATCCAGATGAGCAATAAAAAAACAGTGAGAGAAGAGTGCTGGAGAAAGTTTTCCTTTTTTGACTGTCAGCATTAACAGTCATATTTTTTCACTGTTCTAAGTAGCAAATTGTGAGTTGCAAAAATGGCTAGGGGAAAATTTTAAAGTCTGAAATATTCATTACCTACTTACTAAAGTAGAAATTCCATCTGTGTGCCATAAAATTAAGTGATTCTAAGGAAAGTAATAGCTTTTAATATTCCTTCAGTAGGTCCTTTGTGACAGTTTCTGAGTTTGGCTAAAAAGAAGCAACACGGCTCTGATTTTCTTTCCAGAAGATGATGATTTTGGAATGGGAGCATTAATTTCCCTTTTGAATTGTGTACACAGCTACTTTCCCAAAAATACTGAAACTGAACATATCTTGTCCCTGTTTTCCTTCTGATTTCAGGACATATAATGATTTGCCTTCCGTAACTGCAGATGGGTGGGGGCCCTCCCCTTTCCCTTAGCACCCTTCTTAAATTCTTTGCTGGGATTAACATTAAGCCTAATTTGAATAGGAATTCACTCTCCTGTGTCGGGTGGCCAGCAAAACCGCAGGTTCTGCTGCTTTTCACATTAAATGGTGTCAAAAATTACTCGAGTTGAGGATGAGTGTCTTTCACTGCGTAGATGGAAAACATCTAGGACTGGACTGGATGCATCCCGGCCCAAGGCAACACCTCTAAATGTGCGTGCACAAAAACAATGCCTGACTTTCATGAGTTCTTCACAACTTATAAGATATATTGACGTAATAACTTGACATACACTATGATCTTAATGTTTATGCTCCCCCATCCCTAATTCATATGATGAACTCAAATCCCCAGAGTGATGGTATTAGGAGGTGGGGCCTTAGGGAGCTAATTAGGTCATGGGGGCAGAGCCCTCATGAATGGGATTAGTTCTTTTATAAAAGAGGCCAAGGGGAGACTCCTAGCTTCTTCCACCGTGTGAGGACACAGCCTCTAGCCATGCTAGATCTTTGATGCTGAATCTGCCAGTGCCTAAATATTGGATGTCTCAGCCTCTAGAATTATGATATATAAATTTCTGTTGTTTATAATCTACCCACTTTATTATACTTACTAAAAAAATAGTCCAAATACAATAAATATATAGTCCAAAAACAATAAATGTTTTCTTAGCTTGAATGGACCAAGAAAACATAATTGTTATTATTGTATCCTGAAACAATTGAGGTAGGCATGGCAGAGATTACTGTCTCCTCTGTACAGGATAAGGAAACTGAGGTATGAAAACAAAACTAAAAGAATTTTCCAAGTTCACTCATCCAGTAAGTGGTGGAAACAGAACTAAAACTCAAGCTTCTGAATCCTTTATTTTTGAGACAGAGTCTCACTCCGTTGCCCAGGCTGGAGTGCAGTGGCGCGATCTCAGCTCACTGCAATGTCCGCCTCCCAGGTTCAAGCAATTCTCCTGCCTCAGCCTTTCAAGTAGCTGGGCATGAATCACAATGCCCGGCTAATTTTTTTGTATTTTTAGTAGAGATGGAGTTTCACCATGTTGTCCAGGCTGGTCTCGAATTCCTGACCTCAGATGATTCACCTACCTTGGCCTCCCAAAGTGGTGGGATTACAGGCGAGAGCCACCGTGCCTGGCCCTGAATCCTTTCTAGGTTTTCTTCCTCCCAATTAAACCACATTTGTTCTATGCCACATTGGGTCATGCTAACATGGGGCTTTTTTTAATTATTATTTTTTTTACATTTAAAAAAAAATAGAGATGGGGGTCTCATTATGTTGGCTAGGTTGGTCTTGAACTTCTGGCCTCAAGCAATCCTCTTGCCTTGGCCTCCCAATGTGCTAGGATTATAGGTGTGAGCCACCGCGCCCAGCGCTATAATGGAGTTTTTAGATATCCACAAAGATGCAGCTACAGCAAAAATCAAAATGACGACAACAGATTTGGGAATGAGAATGAGGGCTCAAGGTGCAATTCTACTGCTTTACGGGACCTTGAAACTTTTAAGTCAAGTGATTTTGTTTTTCCAAGGGAAGCATCCTCCTCCCCACAAAACCCCCCAAAATGTTACACTCCAGAGTTTCACAAGCCTTTCTCTCAGTTGTGGGATAGAAAATCTGACTACTTTGTCCCAAATGAATGAAATAAATTTTTTCCTATGTTTAAAATTTTTTGACTCAATAAATTGGTTATTATTATATCTTCACTGTATGAAAAAAGAAACAAAAGCTTAGGACTTCCACATGTACCTTTTCTTTTTTTTTGAGACTGAGTCTCACTCTGTCACCCAGGCTAGCGTGCAGTGGCTCAATCTTGGCTCACTGCAGCCTCAGCCTCCTAGGTTCAAGCGATTCTCCTGCCTCAGCCTCCTGAGCAACTAGGATTACAGGTGCATGCCACCATGCCTGGCTAATTTTTATATTTTTAGTAGAGATGGGGTTTCACCATGTTGGCCAGGCTGTTCTCAAACTTCTGACCTCAAGTGATCCACCTGCCTCAGCCTCCCAAAGTGCTTGAATTACAGGTGTGAGCCACCGCACCTGGCTACCACATGTACTGTTTTTAAACTTTTCTGATTAAAACACACTGTACTGATATATTATTAGGGCAATACAAAAATTCTAAAGAATGAGATAAAAAATATAAATAACATTTCTCATATTTTCTTCTTTTATGTCTCCAGTGGATCAGTTGATTTACTGGAGTATGTGCAACCCACATTGGAAATTGCTGTTCTAAAATAGGAAGAAAATATTAATAGCAGACTATATTTATCAAGAACATATAAAACTTGTCACCTGTTTTTGTGACTCAATTTCACTAGTTCAAATCAAACACGGATTTCCAAGTACACATGTTAAGAATTAGAGCCTTAGACCTGCTTCATTCTGAAGGGAGAATTGTTACAATGAAGTAACTTGAAAAGATTAAATATATCAATATTAACCAATAATTTGGAGAATAATTCTCATTCTCCAATAATTTGGAGGTACTTTAACAAGAAGCATATAGAAAAAGTCCCTATGCATGAGGCTGTATGCCAATAACTGAGGCTGACTATAAGATTGAATGTTTATGTTCCCTTAAAATTCATATGTTGAAACCTACCTCTCAATCTGATGACATTAGGAGGTGGAGCCTTTGGGAGGTGAGTAGGTCATGAAGGCAGAGCCCTCAAAAATGGGACTAGTGCTTTATAAAAGAGAACCTGGAGACCTCCCTTGCTCCTTCTGCCACCTGAGTAAGAAGATGGCCATCTAGGCCAGGCACGGTGGCTCACGCCTGTAATCCCAACATTTTGGGAGGCCAAGGCAGGTGGATCACCTGAGGCCAGGAGTTCAAGACCAGCCTGGCCAACATGGTGAAAACCCATCTCTACTAAAAATACAAAAATTAGCCAGGCGTGGGGGCACGCACTTATAATCCCAGCTACTCAGGAGGCTGAGGCAGGAGGATCACTTGAACCCGGGGGGCAGAGGTTGCAGTGAGCCAAGATCGTGCCATTGCACTCCAGCCTGGGTGACAGAGTGAGACTCCATCTCAAAAAAAAAAAAAAAAAAAGAAGCAGATGGCCATCTATGAACAAGGAAGTGGACTCTCACAAGACAGTGAATCTGCCAACAGCTTGAGCCTGAACTTTCTAGCCTCCTGAACTGTGAGGAATAAATTTCTGTTGTTTATAAGCCAACAAGTTTATGGTATTTTGTTATAGTAGTCCGAATGGATTAAGACAGAAATTGGTACCAAGAAGTGGGAGTGTTGCTATAACAAATATCTGTAATGTGGAAGTGTCTTTGAAACTGAGTAATGGGTAGAAGCTGGAAAACTTTTGAGGTGCATGCTAGAAAAAGCCTACATTGCCATAAATAGTCCTTTGAAAGCAATGTTGATGAGGGCTCAGAAAGAAAAGAGAACAGTAGAGAAAGGATCAATCTTCTTAGAGAACACCTAAATAATCTTGAACAGAATGTTGGTAGAAATATGAAGAGTAAAAGCTGTTCTGATGAGGTCTCAGACAGAAAAGAAGAACTTGTTATTGAAAACTGGAAGAAGGTGGTCTCTATTATAAAGTCTTAAGGAACTTGGCTGAATTGTGTTCCTGTCCCAGTGTTTTGTGTAAAGTAGAACTTGCAAGAAATGAAATTGGATATTTGGCTGTGAATTTCTAAGTGAAGTGTTGAAGGAGTGGACTGGTTTCTCCTGACTGCTTATAATAAAATGAGAAAAAAGAAGTTATTTAAAGATGGGATGGTTCATCAAAAGGGAGGCAGAACTTAAAGATTTGGAAAATTCTCAGCCTATCCATATTGGAATGAGAAACCTGGTTTAAGAGAGAAAACTAAGGGGGTGGCCAAATGACTGTTTGATAAGGAGATTTGTCAACCATCTCAAAAGAAGCTACCAGCTATTCTCCAAGAGAATGGAGAACCCCTGGAGGCAATTCAGAAACCATCAGAGTTGTCCCTTCTATTGCAGGCCCATAGTACAAGGGTTGGGGGCAGGGAGGGATAGAATGGTTTCCAAGAAGAGGCTTGCTGATGCCTGGTGCCCGCAGGAGTTTGGCACACAGGCCTTGCCTCACATCAAGGACTCCATTCCCTACACTCCAGCTCTGTTCTCCTCAGCAACCCTAGGTAGCGTTCCGGTGGATCCCAGGGTGGCATGAGCTATGTTCAGCACAGCTGTCAGGCTATGGTTGTCCCCACCTAGATTTCAAAGGACGAGGCCTCCTGGTAGAGTCATGGACTAGGGACCCCAGCCCTGGAAAGCTGCAGGGTCAAGGCAGAGAACTGCCATGGGTACAGAGCTGCCTGAAGCCTTGGGCCAACCCCTGCCCAACAAGTCTGCAGGGGCCAGACTGCTGCCTCAATGGGTCTGATAGATGGGATCCATGCCCCAGTGGGCCTGGAGGGCAGAGCATCAGGTCAAAGTTTCTTCTCAAGCTCTGTTACTCCTTTCTTATTTACTGTTTTTCCCTTTTGGAATGGGAATGTTTATCCTATGCCTATCACACCACTGTATTTTGAAAGCACGTAACTCTTTCGGGTTCACAGGTTCACAGTGGACAGGATGAATTGCCTCAGGGTGGATTGCACCTTGACTCTTACCCATATCTGATTTAGATGATATTTAGAGGAGACTTTGGATTTTAGATTTTAGAATTAAAGATGGAACGAGTTAAGACTTTTGGTGCTGTTGGGATGCAGTGAGTGTATGTTATATGTGAGAAAAACATGAATTTTGCGGGGGTAAGTATGAAATGCTGTAGATTGAATGTTTAGGTGACACCAATGTTCATGAGTTAAAATCTAACCCCCAATATGATAGTATTAGGAGAGGAGGGCTTTGAGAGGTGATTAGATCCTGAAGACAGAACCCTCATGAATCATATTTGTGCCCTTATAAAAGAAACTGTTAAAAGCTCCCATGCCCCCTCTGCCATATGAGGACACTGTGAAAAGATGGTGGTCCATGAACCAGGAAGTCAGCCCTCACCAGAATCTGCTGGCAACTTGATCCTGGACGTCCTCAACTCCAGAACTGTGAGAAATAAATTTCGTGGTTTTTTTTTTTTTTTTTTTTTTTTTTTTTTTGAGGCAAAGTCATGCTCTGTCTCCCAGGCTGGAATGCAGTGGCACAACTTCAGCTCACTGCTACCTCTGCCTCCTGGGTTCAAGCAATTCTTGTGCCTCAGCCTCCCAAGAAGCTGGGATTACAGCAGTGTGCCACCACGCCCAGCTGATTTTTGTATTTTTAGTAGAGATGGGATTTTACCATGTTGGCCAGGTTGGTTTCAGACTCCTGGCCTTAAGCAATCTGCTTGCCTTGGCCTCCCAAAGTGCTGGGATTACAGCTGTGAACCACCCTGCCTGGCCTTTGTTGTTTATAAGCCATCTAATTTAGGGTACGTTATTATGGTAGCCCAAGTGGACTAAGACAAGGATCTAAAGCCTTCTCTCATGTACTGTTTTAATGACTTCCATAACTCAACATCAGAGAAAGTATCCAGAGAACATGAGAAAATTAAAGTTTTGTGGAGAATGAAAGTGAGCACATGAATAATTTCTCACCCCACGCAAAGGGTATTTGCAACCTCACTGTTTTATTTGTTCTTTACCACAGCTTTGTGATTTTGGCACATTTTTTCCCATTTCTTTTGGTGAGAAAAATGAAGCTCAGAGAGATTAAGTGACCTGTGCAAGATTGCCTAGCCAGTAAGGGTGGATTCTACGCTGCTCATGGTAAATCTGGACTCTTCTCTGTGACAGTCTGCCAAACACCTGGTTATGCATCCTTCCTTGTCATTCCTGAAGTGAAAAATGAAGGCAAGAAATGCTCCTGAAGTGAAGAATCAGGTATTTTTTCCCTCCAAAGGACTAAACCTAGTAGTGTGGCTAAGAATCCTTAGGAAACTTGGCAAAAGACCAACAGAGGCAAAGCAAATTAGTGGAAGATGCAGGAAGAAAAGTATGGAGGACTCAGTAAAAACCTTGCATGAAGATAAGAAATATAAATTATATTTTGTCAAAACCAACAGTTTTTTCAAATATAGAAGAAAGGGCAAGAGTGGAATTTGGATTTATATCCAAATTCCATCTCTCTAGGGCCTGTGCTGTTAACCATTTGCTATACTGAGACTCAGAGGAGAAAAAGAGCCTCGGCAGTGGGGGATCCTTTGACCAGATAGGACATGGTGGATTTTCATTTTTGGCTCTGTGGAAATTCTGTTGTTTCAATGCCCATACAATCAACAAATGACAAGCGAATTGATGACTTAGCTATCTAAAAGCACCTCATGGACATTTCTGCTTCCTTGTGCACTGTGTATGGAAGTGCACATCATCTTGTTCGCTGGTGATTTGTGTTTTCTGGGTTCTGATGTTCTAGCACACTCAGATAGGAAAGGCCAAGAGAACTAAAATGATGGGCGCCCTCTCCAGTTTCGGAAGGAGATAGATTAGAATGGAGGGGCAGGAAAGAAGTGGGAATCGGGTTGTCTGAGGAGGTGGAGAGAGTTCCCAGTAATTACTGGGCTACAGGTGTAGGGGTAGCTCTCTGTATCCCAGTAACTACTCAGAACAGGTAAGGGGTAGCCCCTCAATTGTTCTTAACCAGGCGTGGGTCATCCTCATCAAGCACTTGGAAATGAATGGAGGATTTTTTTTGTTGCCAATTACTTGGGTGTGCTATGATATTTAATGCCCAGGGTCAGAGAAGCTAAACGTCCTGCCATGCCTAAGTCAGGCTTACATAAAGTAGAATGATCTTTCCTCAAATGCTGATACCACCCCTATTGAAATTTACTGTGAGCTAGTCCTACTGACCTCAAAGACATTCTGGTGTCAGCAGTTGAAGAATGAGGGAAAAGCATAAAGAAGGTTTGAAAAGATTCTGGGAAGAAACTAGATGTATCTTTAATATGTTTTATTCATATGGTTAGAGTGTGTGTGTATAAGAGATAGATCTATTTGACCGGGTGCAGTGTCTCATGCCTGTAATCCCAGCACTTTGGGAGGCCAAGGCGGGTGGATCATGATGTCAGGAGATCAAGGCCATCCTGGCCAACATGGTGAAACACTGTCTCTACTAAAAATTAAAAAAAAAATTAGCTGGGCGTGGTGGCATGTGCCCATAATCCCAGCTACTCTGGAGGCTGAGGCAGGAGAATTGCTTGAACCTGGGAGGCAGAGGTTGCCGTAAGCCGAGATCACACCATTGCACTCCAGTCTGGCGATAGAGCAAGACTCTGTCTCAAAAAAAGAAAAAAAAAAAAAAAAAAAAAAAAGAGATAGATCTTTTTGAAGGGTCTTGTGTTATGTTAAGAAAATTATTAAATTATCTCATACATGTTTACATTTATGTGATCTGCTAATGTGATTTAAAATTCGGTTATTATGTTGATATGGTTTGGATTTGTGGCCCCACTTAAATCTCATGTTGAATTGTAATCTCCATTGTTGGAGGAGTGGCCTGGTGGGAAGTGACCGGATCTTGGGGTTGGCTTTTAATGGTTTAGCACCATCCTCCTAGTGCTGTCTTGTGATAGAGTTCTCACAAGATCTGGTTGTTTGAAAGTGTGTAGCAACTCCTCCTCTGCTCTCTCTCTCCTGCCGATCATGTGAAGGTGTATCTACTTTCCCTTTGCCTTCTGCCATGATGATAAGTTCCCTGAGACTTCCCCAGAAACAGAAGCCTGTACAGCCCATAGAACCATGGGCAGATTAAACCTCTTTTCTTTATAAAATTACCCAGTCTCAGGTATGTCTATAGCAGTGTGAGAATGGACTCATACAGATGAATTGTTCTTTTAATGCATTGTCAAAATTCATTTGATGTCATTTTTAAATGTTTGCATCTTTATTCATAAGTGAAATTTGCCTATAGTTTTCTTTTTTTGAATTATCTTTATTATGCTATGTTAATAGCACAATAATGCATAACATAAATAAAATGAATTGCCTGGTTGAGAATGGAGAAAATAAATTAGGAATTATTTGTACTTTAAAACTTAAATATAATTCAGCTGTTGTATTTTCTGGGCTTAGTATCTTTTAAAAAATGGCAGACCTTTACTTAGCTTTCCAGTGTTTTCTGTGATGACTGATCTGGTCAGATTTTCTATCTCTTACTTGGCAAAACATAGTAGTTTTTATTTTGGTAGAAAACTAACCATGTCCTCTAAATTTTCAAATTTATCACTGTCCCTAAAAAACAGAGGCTGAAGCAAGACAAGTGGTAAGGTTTTATTGAAAGGTGATATTCTGGGATAGAGAGACACGGAACAGGGAAACAAGAGAAAGAAGGATGGAAAGCAAATGGAAACTGGCATGTTACCAAGCTGGCCACCGCCTCATGAACTGTGAAGAATATGATGTCCACTCAGACAGGACAATACCAGACAGGCTGTACATACAGAAAAGACATGTTGGAATAGTCCACTGGAGGGGGAAAGAGAGATGGATTGCTCCATTACCTTCCTTCCGTCTCATTTCTCTCCTATTGGTCAATGTTTGCCTCATGGCGAGTTCAGTCCATGCACTTTTAGGTGGTATCACCTGGCTTCTTTGGGCAGCTGCTGCGGAGGCCACGTCCCACCCTGTGGAATGCCAATTCTTTGGAGTCTGCATTGGAGTTTAGAAGGGCAGGAGGAATCGGAACCTACACGGGTCCGACTGAATTGCGCCAAGAGGTGCCAGAGCTTCTGCAGCTTCTGGCATGATGAGAAGGCATTAGGAAGGCCATGTTTCCAGAGCCTAGCATTCACCTCAGGACAGAATGAGATAGCCAGAGATGTCAGTAGATGCGGTGGTGGTGGCAGCAGGGGCAGTTGTGTGCCTGAGAGACAGGTGAAGCTTTGGGAATCTGAGGTGACTATAACATGTCTCTGAAATAATTTCCATAGATATGCATGTATATTCTTTTTTTTTTTTTTTTTTTTTGAGACGGAGTTTTGCTCTCGTTGCCCAGGCTGGAGTGCAATGGCGCGATCTCAGCTCACTGCAACCTCCACCTGCCAGGTTCAAGTGAGTCTCCTGTCTCAGCCTCCCGAGTAGCTGGGATTACAGGCATGCACCACCACGCCTAGCTGATTTTGAATTTTTAGTAGAGACCGGGTTTCACCATGTTGTCCAGGCTGATCTTGAACTCCCAAACTCAGGTAATCCACCCGCCTTGGCCTCCCAAAGTGCTAGAATTACAGGCATGAGCCACTGCACCCGGCCTAAAGTGCTTTTCAAAAGAACTGGTACTTCCCTTAGTCTTTAAATATTTCTCAGGGCCCTGGTAAAGACCTGGAGACCTGGACCTTTTTAGGAGACAAATCTGGGGACAGATAAGTTAGTTGCATATGATAATTTTAGTTTATTATTGGGAGACAAAGTTGGGGACAGATAAGTTAGTTGCATATGATAATTTTAGTTTATTACTCTCATCTCTCTAGATCTTTTTTTTTTTTTTCCTTCTCATTGCATGATCTGGGAACTCAGCCTCATTTAGCATAGGTGACGACTGACTCCAGATTTGAGTTAAGCAACCAAGAAAACAGCTGAAAGCCATGTGGGTTACCTAGAACTCGTATATTGGATCCAGAATTTTTGGCATTTGTTTCCATGTTTATAAGTTTAGAAAATCTAAAATTATGTTCCGTTCCCTCTAATCTGTCATTCCCAGAATCCCTTTTTACATTTATTCTCCAGGTTTCTGGTGATATAAATTAGTCAATTCTTGTAATTTATTGTTGTTGTATATTTCATGGTTTGACTTTGTAACTTATCTTAAAGGGCATGTTGGATTACGTCTTTAGTCATGAGTATAGAAGCAAGGAGGAGAGAGGCTTGGGGGGAATTGGCACCCCTTGAGAAGCAACTACCTTAGGAGAGGTATTTAAAAATCAAGGCTCCTATATTGTCAGGAGCAGACTTAACTTAATGGACAAGGAAATTATTTCATCTGGCAAGAGAGGCTTAGTAGTTTTAAGGGTTTTGGATGCCATTGGACTCCATTCCAACTCTTAGGGCCCCACTCTTTCTCAATTAGCTACTTAACAGAGGGCTGTGAAAGCAACCTACTTTGCAATTGGGCAAATTCTGTCTGAGTTTCAGTAGTCTTGGCCAAACAACTGCAAGATATAGGGGACTCTTTTTTAGGGTAGTCATAGAAACCCTTTAATCGTGATTGTGCCTTGAGCTGATAACTTTAATATTGAGCTTGGAATTTTCTTTATTTAAGCTTTCCTGTGTGGAAGCAGGAGTCATTCAGTCTTGCCAACAGAAGGTTACCTCATTCCAGGTTACTGCAGGTGATCACGTAAGGAACACTTTCGTCCCATGTAAGATGAACTACCAGTCCTGTAATGATAATAGGATCGTCACTGCTTTCAAATCCAACTGAGGAAAAAAAATTAGTCCAAGATTCTTACTTCTTTGCGTGTCTGTTGACAGCAAAATGTTTGGCCTTAGTTATTCTGTGGTTTACTGTTCTTAGTTTGAATCCCTCTTGCTAGTTGTAACAGAAAGGGCTTTATTAAAGGGTGTTAGGTAGCTCACAGAATTTCTGCAACGACTAGATCATCAGGCTTTGACATTACAAATGCAAACATATTTCAAGTTCTACCAATTATATTTAAAGGAAATCCAGCCTGTCCCTCTTTCAGGGCCCTAATACCATTTCCTTTTACCCTGACAATAATTTCCAGTGAAGACAGTTTTGCAGATACATGTTATCCAGTCGTTTCCTTAATCCCTTTGGCTTATGTTACTATTATAAAGGTTAGGCAAAGATAATAAAACTAAAAGGCAAATGCCACACTCACCTTTAATTGGCAAGGAAACATTGCATAAAATGTTTTATAAACACTATCCTGTAACAACAGGATAGTAGCCAGGAATTTACATATTTGTTCTTGCTTTTCCCTAAAAAGATTGGCAATTGATTCTGATTTACCTTTGTGTAAACTTCAGCTTTTGATAGTTAGCAGACTTTTTTTGCGCTGAGCTTGAAGAGTTGGTGGTTTTACTTTTAATTTTTAAGGAAAATAACCACCCTAGTGCCTTTTGATTCTCTGGAAACCCAAGTCCTGTTTTATTAAAGCCAATTCTTCAGTAAAAGAACATTGGCAAAGGACTATTTTCTGTACTTCTTTCAAAATGACCTTGGGGTCCCATGCATAAAGTTTTTGGAATTTAAAAAAAAACCCTGGTAATTGATGATTTTAGGTTAAGTGACCAGATTCCCGGCAATCAGATCTTTTAGGCAAAGAAACTCTATTTTTTATCTCCAAAACACTCTTTAATAGAACAGGAAACAAACATGAAAGGAAGGCCTAAAGGAAGGTTGGCTGTTTATTCTGGTTATAGTGTTCAGATAATTGTTCCATTATTTGCCTCCCTTTTTTGCTAATGCTGATGCCCCAAGAACAATTATTTTGTTCTCTTAGAAGTAGACCGTGGTTTTAGAAGATTTACGCAGTGAGGGAGAGGTAAACTCATACAAAATCTTTACCTAATATGTTGTGAGTTTACTATCCCATGAGGTTCCATCTCCATCTAAGAAGCGTTTCAAGAGACTTATCTTTTTGTATTTTTTTTGAGACAGAGTTTCACTCTTGTTGCCCAGGCTGGAGTGCAATGGCGTGATCTTGGCTCATTGCAACCTCTGCCTCCCAGGTTCCAGCGATTCTCTTGCCTCAGCCTACTGAGATGCTGGGATTATAGGCTAGTGCCACCACGCCTGGCTAATTTTCGTATTTTTAGTAGAGACGGGGTTTCACCATGTTGGTCAGGCTGGTCTTGAACTCCTGACCTCAAGTGATCCAACCGCCTCGACCTTCCAAAGTGTTGGGATGATGGGCGTGAGCCACAGCGCCCAGCCTGTATTAGTCCCATTTTAGGCATTACTGCTTGAATGTTTTGCATAAAAAGTGAGTCAGTGATTCATCAGTTTTTCAGGTTATTCTATTGTCGCTTCATTTTGTAAGTTTCTGGGTTCTATCCGTAATGCTTCATGTCTCAATTGATTTGTTAGAAGAGGAAATTGGTTTCTTGAATTGGTTTGAAAACCTTTAGGATAAAAACTCAAGTTAAAAATTTTTATCAAGGACATAAATATGTACAAAGCACTGTGTTAGACTTTTGGAAACAGAAAAGAATTTATGATTTAGTAATCTTGATAGAAGCAAATGAAATAATAAACAGTTGCCTAGGTGAAGCTAATCCTTTGCTTTGAAGATTTTCAGGCTAAATCAACTCATTAAGGGCTGGTCTTATGATTATTAAAAACATATAATTACCCATGAGGTATGATAGGAGAGGTATTCTGAATATATTCACACATGTGTGCTCCATGTCCCCAGTTCCCCAAGCTCAAGGCCTTGTAATTTGGTCTAAAATTTTACAGTTAGGGATTTCATTCCTTTGAGATCTAGTAGCTTTTTAGACTTTATGAGCGCTCTATTAAAGTTCAAGACTTTTTTTTTTTCTCTTTCCAATTTTTATTTTAGGTTCAGAGGGTAAATGTGCAGGTTTGTTACATGGGCAAATTGCATAACATAAGGGTTTGGTGTGCAGATTATTTTATTATCCAGGTAAC
This sequence comes from Homo sapiens, assembly GCF_000001405.40. NCBI lineage: Eukaryota > Metazoa > Chordata > Mammalia > Primates > Hominidae > Homo > Homo sapiens. The sequence goes on from NC_000012.12 coordinate 19,610,044, forward strand.
AAGCATGGTACCTGATAGATAGTTTTTCAATCTTCACCCTCCTCCCAGTCTCCACCCTCAAGTAGGCCCAGGTGTCTTTTGTTCCCTTCTTTGTGTCTATGTGTACTCAATGTTTAGCTCCCACTTATGAGTGAGAACATGTGGTGTTTTCTGTTCCTGTGTTAGTTTGCTTAGGATAATGGCCTCCAGCTGCATCCACATTGCTACAAAGGGCATTATCTCATTGTTTTTTATGGCTGCATAGAATTCCACAGTGTATATGAACCACATTTTCTTTATACAGTTTACTGTTGATGGGCATTTAGGTTGATTCCATGCCTTTGCTATTGTGAATAGTGCTGCAACGAACATACACATGCTTGTGTCTTTATGGTAGAACAATTTATATTCCTTTGGCTACATACCCAGCAATGGGATTGCTGGATCAAATGGTAGTGCTGTTTTAAGTTCTTTGAGAACTCTCCAAACTGAATTCCGCAATGGCTGAACTAATTCACATTCCTGTGAGCTGTGTATAAGCATTCCCTTTTCTCTGCCACCTTGCTGGCATCTGATATTTTTTGCCTTTTTAGTAATAGCCATTCTGACTGGTATGAGATGGTAACTCATTGTGATTTTGATTTGCATTGATCTGACGATCAGTGATGTTGACCATTTTTTCATCTGCTTGTTGACCACATGTAAGTCATCTTTTGAAAAGTGTCTCTTCATGTCCTTTACCCATTTGTTAATGTTTTTTTTTTCTTCTTAATTTGTTTAAGTTCCTTATAGGTGCTGGGTATTAGACCTTTGTTGGATGCATAATTTGCAAATATTTTCTCCCTTTCTGTAGGTTGTTTACTCTGTTGATAATTTCTTTTGCTGTGCAGAAGCTCTTTAATTAGGTACCATTTGTCAATTTTTGTTTTTGTTGCAACTGCGTTTGGGGTCTTCATTATGAAATCTTTTCCAGGGCTGATGTCCAGTATGGTATCTCCTAGGTTTTCTATAATTTTAGGCTTTACATTTAAGTCTTTAACCATCTTGGATTGATTTTTGTATATGGTGAAAGGAAGGGGTTTAGCTTCAACCATCTGCACATGGTTAGCCTATTATCCCAGCACAATTTATTGACTAGAGATTCCTTTCCGCATCGCTTGTTTTTGGCAGCTTTGTCAAAGATCATATGGTTGAAGGTATGCAGTATTATTTCTGAGTTCTGTAACCTGTTCCATTGGTCTATGTGTCTGCTTTTGTACCATTACCATGCTGCTTTGGTTACTGTAGCTTTGCAGTGTAGTTTGAAGTTGGGTAGTATGATGCCTCCGGCTTGGTTATTTTTACTTAGTATTGTTTTTGCTATTCAGGCTCTTTTTTGGTTCCACATGAATTTTAGAATAGGTTTTTCTAATTTTGTAAAAAATTAGAATTTTTCTAATTCTGTAAAAGTTTGATAGGAATAGCACTGAATCTGTAAATTGCTTTGGGCAGTATGGCCATTTTAACCATATTGATTCTTTCTATCCACGAGCATGGAAACTATTTCCATTTGTTTGTGTTGTCTCTGATTTCTTTGAGCAGAGTTTTGTAATTGTTGTTGTAGGGATCCTTCACCTCCCTGGCTAGCTCTATTCCTAGGTATTTTATTTTTGTTGTGGGTATTGTGAATTGGATTGCGTTCTTGATTTGGCTTTCAGCTTGGATATTGTTGATATGTAGAAATGCTACTGATTTTTGTACATCATTTTTGTATTCTGAAATTTTGCTGAAGTTGTTTATCAGATCTAGGAGCTTTTGGGCATAGAGCGTGGGATTTTCTAGGTATAGAATGATATCATCTCCAGAGAGAGAGAGTTTGACTTCCTCTCTTCCTATTTGGATGCCTTTTATTTCTTTCTCTTGCCTGATTGCTCTGGCTAGGATTTCCAGTACCACGTGAACAGGAGTGGTGAGAGTGAGCATCCTTGTGCTGTTCTGGTTCTCAAGGGAATGCTTCGAGTGTTTGCCTATTTAGTATGATATTGGCTGTGGGTTTGTCATAGATGGTTCTTATTATTTTGAGGTATGTTCCTTCAGTGCCTAGTGGTGGATTAGCAGTAGGTGGGGGATACAGGTGAGTGTGTGCCAGCAAAGTGGTGGGGGGAGGCCAGGGGTGGGTGTGCACTGTGGTAGGTGAGGTTAGTCTGTGAAGGAGCTATGGTGGGGCCAATGGGAAGTGCTCCCTTCTGGCATCTGACGCTGCCCTGCAAGTGGGTACTGCTGGGCAGAGAACCTGAAAAAGGCGGGCAGACTGTGGGCTACTCAAATCAGATGGGGCCCATCCCATGGACAAGATAGCCATGTTCTGTCCAGCTCCATCAGTGAACAAAAGTCAAACCACCTGGAGGAGCTTGGCAAGCCTTGGCGGATGGGTGTCCCTAGCCAGTGCTCCACCTCAGCTGTTCCATGCCAAACCTTCTGGTCTCATCACAAGCTAGAGTTCTGTCCCTGCCACCTCTCCAAACAGCTCTGTCAGCTCAAATGTCCACGAGGGTCGTGGGCTCTCCTGCAACTACGAGGTTCTTGGTGAGAGTGGGCCACTCCTCGCCTGTTTAACTCAAACCATGCAAAGGAGTCGCTGGGGGTCAGGAATGAGTTCTGGTGCTCTGTAGTCCGGTGCAGGGTTCCCAGCTTCCTTCCCCTTCAGCCCAGAGTTTATGTCTTCCTTCGGTACACTCTCAATGCCTTTCTTATTTGATCTGCTGGGAGTGTACTGGTCTGCTTGATGGTCTTGTCTTGTGGTGGGAGATGCTCTCCTGGCAGTGACTAGTTGACCATCTTGGCTTTTTCCTGAATCAAAGTTCAAGACTTTGACTACATCTATGTGAGTTTCTAGGAGGGAATACCTTAAAGAGTTTGCTCACACCTAAGGGAGGAGAGTGGACAGCTAGCTGAGAGCAGCACTGAGGATTGAGAGGCTCTCTGGGATGGAAAGGAACCTGTTTTCTACCTTGGAACTCTTAGTCTTCCCTTCCTGAATGTGTCTTACCTGAACTTTGAATTTCTTTAAATTTTACTGCAGAACATATTGTTTGCGTTTCACATTTGTTTCCATGTTGCCATATAATTGCTCCCTAGCTCTGTTGAAAACATATTTTTGTTTTGGACGTGCACGCATGCACTTGTCTCAAACCAAACAACTAACGCAGGAGTGGAGATAGAGATGATCTCTTGGACTTCGGTGTCTAGTGCAGTAGTAGTTAGAGGTCAGAGTTCAGAATAAATGACTTTTGTGTCCTGTCTGGGAATAGAATTTGACAACGTAGTGAGTAATTTAGGAAGTGGCAAAGTTGTGTTTCTGTCTCTAAGTCCAGTATTCACTTTCATACCCAAGAAGCTGTCTGTTTTGTTTTGTTCACAGGAAGGAAATAAAAGGATCAGGGCCCAGAATATAAGCTTTACCTATTCCATAACTCATCTTAGCTTTTCTGTATGTGTGTAATACAAATTAAACCTTTATTTTCTTCTGGATATCCTAATCTCTGATTTTTCTTGGAGCTCTGGAGAGATAGCATCCTAATTGCCTAAAACTTGTTTCTCTCAGAATCTCTGTTTTTTCTTCAACCAGTAGGATTGGGCAGCATTGTGTCAGAAAAGCTGGACATTCTTGTCCAGCTGAGTCTTTGGAGGAAATGCTGTTTTTTATTGATTGACACCACTGGAGAGGAACCCCTTGGAAATGACAGATTTGGGATGTAAGGGTTACATTTGCTTTTGTTATGATGTCTGACTTTTATGATCCTTAAGACTGAACTGTTGCCCAGCCGAAATAGCTCAGTTGGGAGAGCGTTAGACTGAAGACTGAACTGTGAAATAATTTTTTATTTGAAATCAGCTCATTTTTTAAATACTTGTAGCTCTTAAAGCGATAATTTAATACCACATTAATTATGTTGCAGCAGTAATTGTGTAGGAATGCTAGGCTGTTATGATTGGTATTTCTATGATTGGTATTTATATATTCTTTCCATGAGGGTATTTATTATCAGGTTCATTCATAGCAGTGATTTAGAGTACCCCACATCAAGTGTTTTTCTTTGCATCTTTGCCTTCTCCCATTCTCTCCTTCTCCACTGTCCTTTTCACTACCCTTGTTGGGTCTTTAAGCTGAGGCTGGGGTCATACTGGTTAACGTCTTTGTGCAAATGGATCTCTGACCACATTTCACAGTGAAATCAGAGAGTTTTGTAGGTTTGTTTAATCTATAGTTGCTTTTGGTTCCTGCTATGAAAATGAACATTTAAAAAATTGGTCAACTGTCTAGGTGTGGTGGCTCACACCTGTAATCCCAGGACTTTGGGAGGCCAAGGTGGGTGGATCACCTGTGGTCAGGAGTTCCAGACCAGTCTGGCCAAGATGGCGAAAACCCGTCTCTACTAAAAATATAAAAATTAGCTGGGCTTGGTGGCACGTAATCCCAGCTACTCGGGAGGCTGAGGCAGGAGAATCGCTTGAACCCCAGAGGTGGAGGTTGCAGTGAGCCGAGATAGCGCCATTGCACTCCAGCCTGGGTGACAAGAGCGAAACTCCGTCTCAAAAAAAAAAACATAAATAAAATAAAATAAATAAATAAAAAATAAAAAAATAAAATAAAATAATTCGTCGATTATATGATGTAAATAAAAGATTTCCATCTAGCTAAGGGTTCAGTCAGCCTTAAAAAAAAATACCTTACTTGCAAAACCAGTTTCCATTCAAGAACCAGGAAGCACCAGAGAGCTTTGATTCACATGTTAATTTTGCATTAGAAGATTAATCTTCACACTCTGATTTTATTGAGGCCCAGATGAATCCCATCTCCATGACTATGGCTTGAATTCCAGGAATATAGGCATGCCTTTTTTGTTTTCCTGCTTTTTCACGGATATATTTGAAAATCACTGTGGTCTAAATGTTTAATTCTGGAAGAACCAAAGTGATAAAGAGCTGGAATTGCTTTATACTCTACCATCTGTTTTGCCATTTGTCTTCTGTAAGGAGAGCATTACATCGGGCCTCCCCACCTAGTTCTCTTTGAGGCTCTGATTTAGCACATACCAGAAAGAAATGAACCATATGCAGGTCTTTCCGGCCAGTGAGATTTTGTTGCCATTTAAAAAAATAACGGTCTTCTATTGAGCAATAAGTTATATCAGAGGGCAATTCACTGGTCTTTATTCCCAATTTGTGTACAAACTCTGTAGTAAAACATTTGTGAGTATACCATGTGGTGAAATGAAGTTACCTATTGCATAGATAGCAGGCTGTATTTGGATAGGACTTCCTTGTGTTTGCTTATTTGGTTTACCCTCAAATTGGTTAATGTTTCAAGAGTATTTTAGAAGTGAAACAAGGGAAAACCTAGAAAAATATGATTTCTAAGCCTCTTACTTCATAGGGGTACACAGCAGCCTGTGGGTTTAGCTCTATGCATGTGAACACAAAAAGAAGACAGCTGCTAGATACCATAAAATAGTTAAGTTCTCCATCTGGTTTGCAATATGGGTGAAGATTTGCTGCAAATCTGGGTTGACTGCCATGCCCCAGTTAGTTTACAAATACACTGGTCCTTTTAGTTATAGAACATGAAGAGTGGTCCTAAGTGCCCAAGTATTAAACTCTTATACAAGCATTCAGCAAAAATGGGGTAAAGATGAAAGCAATACCACTTTATTTAAAATGTGCTCTACTTAATTTCTAAAAGTCTGGCAAAGAATAGAAAAATCTTAGGTCTAGTTTAAGTTGGGGATGACAGTGAAATGAAAAGGAACACATATATTTGTGTTACAATTGAAGCTGGCATAATACATAAGATTTAGCACTTTGAATATAATGTTTTTTCATTGAGAACATTATTTTTCTTAACAAAACAACCAATATTTTTGTAATTTATAATTAATATATGACAATCCCTGTAATTCTGGTATCAGAAGATCTGGTAAAATCTAATATGTTCCGTGTGTTGTAAGATTTTTACTTTCTGAATATAAATAAAGTCATAGTATCATTGAATGCTTTTATTCATTCAAAATCAGTTATTGAAGCAATCTCTGGGTAGCTGAGGTAATGCTGGCAGTCTAAATTCAAATGTCTTCACGAATTCTCCAGAAAAACAATAGCGATTTATGAGAAAAAAGAAATCCACGCGAATCCTATGCTTGCAGTATTATTCAAAGACTGAAGGCACTACAAATTTCAGATTACTTGAGTGTACAAAAATGAACACCTATTTCCCGTAGAGTTTTCTCTGAAGCTCTGTTGAAAGACTTGTGGACTGTTGTGGGTGGGGTAAGGGGTCTAAAACATTGCACAGAAGATAGAAGAGGAAATGAGATAAAATCACTTCCAGAAATAGAAGGTCCACCCTAAATTTTTTTTTTAAAAACTGAAAAAAATTCTAAAAACCAACAGCCATGAAGCAAAAAATATATTCTAAACTGAAATAAATAATCCCAAACATGCACTTCAAGATATTAAAAGGCATCTTGAAACAGAAATTCAAAAACTAAGAATAAGAATGAGCAAAAATTGTTCTGTGGTGAGCAGGTGCATGAAATCATACTCCCAAAGGTTGAGGGAGCTGAGAGGCTGAAGAAAAGAGGTTAACAAATTCAGTTTCTCAACAAGAAATATTTTATAGGGACTCGCCAACAGAAGCAATGTCCTGGGCAATCGGGAGGTGGTGGATCCCTGCACTCACCCTCCAGAAAGTACTCTTTATAGAACAAGCAATTTACGGTAAAATGCGTGCAGCTGGTTACATCTTCAGACTTTTTTTTGCCACAATATGTGGCTACTATGTGGATTATATCAGCAGCTTTATGACGAGTAATCTACGCTCCAGGCATTGATGACCTTGCTGCAGAACACCTTGGTAGGTGGGGGTTAAACGTCTGTCATCATGGCAGTGTCCCTTCAAGATGGCACCACTGGCCCGGCGCCGTGGGTCACGCCTGTAATCCCAGCACTTTGAAAGGCAGAGGCGGGCGGATTACTTGAGGTCAAGAGTTCGAGACCAGTCTGCCCAACATGGCGAAACCCCGTTTCTACAAAAAATGAAAAAATTAGCAGGGCGTGGTGGTGCATGCCTGAAATCCCAGCTACTCAGGATGCTGAGGCAGGAGAATCGCTTGAACCCAGGAGGCGGAGGTTGCAGTGACCTGAGATCATGCCACTGCACTCCAGCCTGGGCAACAGAGCGAGACCCTGTTTCAAAAAAAAAAAAAGAAAAAAAAGAAAAAGAAAGGTGGCATCATGGCATCACTCCTACCATGCAAGAGGCTGTTCTTCTACAAAAAGAGAAATAAAATTACAGTTGTTTGAATCTAGGAAAGAAAAAGAAGAAACCCAAATATCAGACAGGAAAGACTAAATTCTTAGATATAACAAGGTACCTAAGAGAAAATATATTTGAATGAAAATTCAGCAAAAGGAAAAGTAGAAAAACAACTAAGAGAGTGAAAATGAAATAATAAAAGAAATAAAAAGGGTTAGGGTAAAATGATTGGAATGGAAGATAAGCAAAAAAAAAAAAGTTGCTCTAGGCATAACTGGAATTCCAGAAGAACAACAAAATAATGGAATAGTATAAAATAATTAAAACCATAATTCTAGAAAACCTTCTGGAAATAAAAAAAGGACTGACTTCATATATATATGTACATATGTATACACAAATATATGTGTGTGTGTGTGTATATATACATATGTGTGTATATATATATGTGTGTATATATATATATGTGTATATATATATATATATGTGTGTATATATATATATTTTTTGAGACAGGGTCTCGCTATGTTGCCCAGGCTGGTCTCAAACTCCTGAGCTCAAGAGATCCTCCTGCCTTGGCCTCCCAAAGTGCTGGGATTACTGGCATGAGCCACCACTCCCAGCCTGACTTTATATTGAAAGAATTTAGTAGGTACTTGGGAATAATGACCTGGAACAACAAACTCTGAGGCATGTCCTAGTAAAATTATTTATTTCAAGATAGAGACAAAAATTCTTCATGGCTTTTAGGCAGAAAGGTCAAAGAACAAGATAATTATACTGGCATCAGATTTCTCACAAGCAACAGAGAAAACAAGGCAACTGAACAGCCTTTTCAAGAAAATCAAGGAAATAAAGTGTGAACCAAAACTTTATATCCAATTAAGCTCTTGTTTAGCTGTCAAGGCTATAGAAAAGCAATTTTAAACATGACAGAAATGAAGGAACACTCTCCTAAGGAGCTATTTTTGAAGAGTCCACTAGAGGATGATTTTCATCCAACCAAAAATATGACTGGAAAAACTTTGACAAAAGGACTAATGGTAAGAAATTAATATCTTTCATGAATCATTTAGAGAATAAGTTGAGACATCATGCCGCTTTAGCCCTAAATACTTCAGGGTGTATATACTAATAACAAAAATTTTGTCTTTCATAACCTCAGTACAATTGCCAAAATTAGGATTGTAACATGGATTGAAGTACTGTGTACATGTATGAGAGAGAGACTGATCCAGACTCCCGGGTCACAAATCCCTATTAGCACTCGTGACTTTCTTTCGTCTGCAACCACTCTGTAGTCCTTTTTTTGGTCTTTCACGACCTTCATGTTTTTGAAGAATATAGACTAGTTATTGCATAGAATGCCCCTCAATGTGAGTTTGCCTGATGTTGGGCTAATTCATGATATTTCTTCACGATTAGATTTGGGTTATGCTTTTGTTCTTTTCTTTTTTTTTTCTTTTGAGACAAAGTCTCGTTCTGCCGCCCAGGCTGGAGTGCAGTGGTGCGATTTCGGCTCACTGCAACCTCCGCCTCCTGGGTTCAAGCGATTCTCCTGCCTCAGCTTCCTGAGTAGCCAGGACTACAAGTGCGCGCCACTATGCCTGGCTAATTTTTGTATTTTTAGTAGACACAGGGTTCAGGTGATCCACCCACCTCAGCCTCCTAAAGTGCTGGGATTACAGGCGTGAGCCACTGCGTCCGACCTAAAATTTCTTTTAGTGTTTTAAAAATCTATATTTTGTTCTAGTATTCGGTCTTTTATTGTTTTATGCATATGTTAATGCTCTTGCCCCCTGTTTTTTTTTTTTTTTTCATTTTTATTTTAAATGAGGTGGGGTTCTTGCTAGGTTGCCTCAAACCTGGCCTCAAGCTATCTTTCAAGTAGCTTCCCAAGTAGCTTCCCTACTCAAGCTAGCTTCCCAAGTAGCTGAAACTGCAGGTGTGGGTCACCATGCCTGGCTTTTTTTTTTTTTTTTTGATTTGGAGTCTCGCTTTGTTGCCCGGGCTGGAGTGCTGTGGCGCGATCTCGGCTCACTGCAAGCTCCGCCTCCCGGGTTCACGCCATTCTCCTGCCTCAGCCTCCCGAGTAGCTGGGACTACAGGCGCCCACCAACACGCCTGACTAATTTTTTGTATTTTTTTAGTAGAGAGGGGGTGTCACTGTGTTAGCCCCCATCCTGGTCTCGATCTCCTGACCTTGTGATCCGCCCACCTCGGCCTCCCAAAGTGCTGGGGTTACAGGCGTTAGCCACTGCGCCCGGCCATGCCTGGCTATTTTTATTAATTTTTTTTTTTTAATGAGATGGGGTCTGTGTCCCCTGTTTTAAAAATTTACTTTTGCCTTGGTCTGCCAGTTTTTTTTTAAACTTTTCCTTTGGTGCAGCTGGTTTGCCATTTTTTAATGGTTTCTTTGACTCTCACCTATTGCTTATATACCAATCAATGAACTTTTTTCTATTTTTACCCTTTCTCTCTATTCTCCTTCAATTTTAATTAAATTAGTAATTTATTTCTATGTCATCAAAACATACAAGATGTATATATTATGTTCCTGAGCTTATCTCCTTCTATTTTTTCCCTTAAATCTACCTTCAATGTATTAATTTTTTACCCTCAGTCCTTTTGCACAAATTTTTCCAGTCATATTTGGTTGGATGAAAATCATCCTCCAGTGGACTTTTTATGGCTCATTAGCAGAGTGTTCCTTCATTGAGGGGATTTGTATTGAGTTTGTTAAAATCCTTACTTTGGTGATTATGCTGTGGTTATGAAAGACAAAATCTTTTTAATTAGGAAATATACCCTGAAGTTTTTAGGGGCAAAGAACATGATGTCTCAACTTATTCTCAGATAATTCATGAAACACACACACACACACACACACACACACAGAAGTAAATAATAGTAATTGTGGAATCTGCTGAAAGGTACATAGAATTTCTTGGAACTTTTTTGTAAATTTGAAATGACATCAAAATTATATAAACAATAAGTGTGGCGCAGGTCCAAGTAGACAGGCAGTGGACTCATGGTGCGTACGTAAGCCCTGTGGCATGTGCTGTCTCAGGGTGACGGGCAGAGGACACCACACCCTTCGACAACCTGGGGCAAACAACACAGTGGAGGAGGAAGTACAGTCCTTACTTGCTTCACAACAAGTTGAGGTAGGAGAATCTCACCAGCAAAGTGCCCCTTGGTGCTACATTAGCGAGTCTGCAGAGGTGGTCACGGCACAGGCCTTGGAGCATAAGCTGTGCTGGGTCAACAGCTGGTAGGAAACATGAAGAGCCAGGTCAGGGCTTTCTTTGCTGTATAATTCAGAATTCCTGATGTGTTTTCCTTGTTGTTTGGTTCTCTTCTTATAATAAAGAGAACGTATGTACCAGACTAAAATAAATTTTATATGGAATTTAAAAATCACATACATGTTATTATCTAATATATTTAATAGTTTCTATAACTGCTGAATGAGTTGATTATTGCTGCTCTTGCCACAGGAGGGAAAAATGGGAAAAATGCTCTTGCCACAGGAGGGAAAAATGAGATGATGGATATGTTAATTTATTTCACTATAGTAACCATTTTACTATATATGTATCTCATAACAAGTTATAGACCTTAAATATACACAATAAAATTTATTTAAGAAACCCAAAACCCTACATCACATTGTACACCTGAAAAATTATCATATTATAATTATATAGTTATATATTATAATTATAGTTATATTTACTTTATATAAATAATATACATTTTATATAAAATTTATTAAATTAATTTTAATACATTTAATTTAATTTTACTGACTCTCTCATCCACCTAAGCCCTGGCAACCATTGATCTTTTTACTGTCTTCATGATTTTGCCTTTTCCAGAATGTCATGTATAGCAGTTGGAATCACAAAGTATGTAGCCTTCTCAGATTGGCTTCTTTTACTTAGTAATATGCATTTAAGTTTCCTCCATGTCTTTTCATAGTTTGGTAACTATGAAAAGTTTTTTATTGCTGAGTAATATTCCATTGTCTGGTTGTACTGCAGTTTATTTACCCATTATTTTACTGAGGACATCTTGGTTGCTTCTAAGTTTTGGCAATTATGAATAAGGTTACTATAAACATGCATGTGCAGGCTTTTGTGTAGATGTAAGTTTCCAACTTACTTGGGCAAATACCAAGGAGCACAATTGCTGGATCATATGGCAAGAGTGTGATTAGTTTTGTAAGAAACTGCTAAACTGTTCCAAAGTGGCCGTAACATTTTACATTCCCATCAGCAATGGATGAGAATTCCTGCTGCTCCACATCCTCACCAGCATTTGGTGTTGTCAGTGTTTTAGATTTTGGCCATTCTAATTGGTGTGTAGTGGCACCTCATTGTTTCAACTCACATTTTCCTAGTAACATATGATGTTGAGCATCTTTCCATGTGATTACTTGCCATCTTATATCTTCTTTGGCAATGTGTCTGTTCAAAAGTCTTTTGCCAATTTTTAATTGAGTTGTTTGTTTTCTGATTGTTGAGTTTTAAGAGTTCTTTGCATATTTTAGATAATAGTGCTTTATCAGATAAGTATTTTGCAAATATTTTCTCCCAGTCTGAGGTTTGTATTCTCTCTTAAGGATTTATGCTTTTTATCAAATCAAAATGCAAACAGAGGCCAGGCGCAGTGGCTCACACTTGTAATCCCAGCACTTTGGGAGGCTGAAGCTGGAGGATTGCTTGAAGTCAGCAGGAGTTCAAGACCAGCCTGGGCAACATAGTGGGACCCCATCTCTACAAAAAAATTTAAAAAAAAATTAGCCACGCATGGTGGTGCGTGCCTGTGGTCCCAGATACTTGGGAAGCTGAGGTGAGTGGATTGCTTGAACTTGGGATGTGGAGGTTGCAGTGAGCTGTGATCGTGCCATTGCACTCCAGCCTGGGTGACAGAGTGAGACCCTGACTGTATAAAAAAAAATGCAAAGAGAGAAACTATCAAATACACAAATCAGAATGTCTATAGGTAAAAGCAATCCAATTCCTTAAAGAGAAACATCAGCATTCTTGCTTTTCACAGCACAAAGGCGTTTATCCCAAGGTCTTCAATAAAGGGGATTTTATGTAATGTAATGAAGAATACTTACCACAGGCTTCTCTTTCCTATGCACCAAACCATGTAATGACCTCGCCTTTGTTTTGAAGGAACCTCAGAGCATTGACTACTGTGTGTTAAGGTTATAAAGCAGGAAGATATTCCTAGAAATAGAATTTATATAAGAAATCTAAGTTGGCCTTTGCAACTCTTCTTTTTTTGCTCTCTCTCCCTCTGCTCTTTGTCTTAACCTCGCCTTCCTCTTTTTAATTTCCTCTCTCCCCCACTTCTTTCTTTTTCTTCTTCCATTCTCTATATTTAACTATTGAGAGGAAAAGAAAAAGGAAATAGAACTCCTTGTTGAAAAGCTGTCTCAAAAGTCTCTGGAATTGTGTTCTCTCACTTCGCTTCCCAAGCGAAGGCCTTAGGCTAAAGTTAATGGCGTGGACTTCTATTCACAATCATTGCATGAAATGTGCTGTCTTCCCAAAAAACCTTATGGTAAATATAACTCCCATGTTTGCAGATGAATTTCTGTATGATCTATTAATATAGATCAATAACATAACATGAATATAGCATCTCAACATCTTTTTCTGCATTCCTTGTCTTTGCCCGTGCCAGCCATATCGGTGGGCATCTGCTCTGGATGGCACCTGAAGGGCATCTCCCTTCCTAAGGGAAGGGAGAGTGTGGCTCTGCCCTGGAGATGTGGTGGGGGTTGGACTGTAGGTGTTACTTAGGGCTATGGGAGTTTGAAACATACATGGCCATAGATACGTGGGGGTAATGAGAGATGATTAGGAGTAAGGGAGAAAGTGTCTGGGCACAAGAGAAATGGTAATTGCATTTATCAGGTTCAGAAAAAGTCCTTAAAAAGTTAGCTGCCCCATGGGATTTGTATCAGAAATCGCCTTGCCAATGATTTGCTGTAGGGAAACAAAGCTGATGTCTCCATTGTACTGCATTACTACCTCTAATGATATACTGTGTGCCTTTTAGGAAAACAAATAAAATTCAGGCCATAGGTTCACTTTAATCTTGTTCTCTGGCTGCTGGAGCTTTTATGGAAACTGTAGTTAGGGCATTTTATATGAACTCCAGAGAGAATGTCTGAAAGCACATCTCAATAACGATGTATCACCACTAGTTCTGGTGTAGAACATCTAGATAACACCTTCATACTTACCCCTGTTTCCAAACATGAGGGAAGTTTGGGAACAGCATATTGTCTCTCTGCTCTGCCCATTGGAGTAGACAACCAGGTAACTGTTAGCACAGAAGCCTCCTTTCTCCCTTCGTCCTGCAAACTTGGTGAGTCCTGGGGAGTGTAGTGAAGAAATAAATATCCCTGGATATTGGTTTAAGCCAGGAGGTGTAGTGTTGTTTTCTTTTGATAACTAACAGAATTGCATGGCCCCTTCTGTTAGTTATCAAAAGAAAAACTAACATGCAGGGGTCGTGCTGTAACGTGTAGCAATTTTGGCTACATATTCGGGGACTCATAAATGACTGTCAGCATCCAAAGCCTTGGCACCAGGTCTTGGAGGTGGCACGTGGGCCAACAAATGACATCCTAGCAATCGAGTTATCCTCCATCTTATGTTTATAGTCATTTATGCAGTATTTTGATGTATCTGACAGTAATGAAACTCCTGGCCTTTAGTGTTCTGTAATAATTCACCATATTGTTGAATCTGTAGGCAGAAAACAGACTCGGAAACATTTACTAGTGCTTATTATGCAGCAAACATCTAACAATGTCTGTCACTGCCTAAGCCACTTCCTCCACCTCTGGCCTTCTATCTTCCCTGCAACCCTCAGCCTCTGCCTGCAGCACAGTCAGTACCCAGTGAGACACCACTTATATAATGAGATGGTAGAGATGGGAGAGAAGTGAACTTAGTTACTTAACTATGCGCAACCAGAGAGAATTTGCCTCATATGGAATCGATAGAACCAGAAAGAAAACGTAAAATTTTATGTCATACTCAGGATATGGAAATTGCTTGGTTGTATTGAACATTCTCTTGAAATAATCCTTGCTTCTCCAATACAGCTGCCTTTAGTGGGTATTAATTTTGCCCACAATGACAAAATGAGTATAAATATCATATGGCAAGCAGTGTCGTGTGGACCTTTCAAAATAGGAGTTAATCGGTTAACTATCAGCAGGACTCCACTTTTAGGAAGGGCCCAACTTTCCCTAGTTGGTAACGCCTTAAGCAGAGAAGAGGTGCATGTGGTCTTGAAAAAAATGTGCACATCATCTGTTCTCTTCCTTCAGTCACTTCGGAATGTGCTGACCTTGCTTTCGTCTGTTGAGTCTTAATGAAGTATCTGCGGGGGTTTTTAGGGCCAGACAAGAAAATGCTCTGAAGGCAGATGAAAGGGAAGTCTGTGCAGGGAGCTCCAGCATAAGCCAGAGAAAAATATCTGTATCTGAAGGCAATCTTCTTTATTGCTTCTGAGCAGGCTCTGAGTGGGAGGGGAAATATCTGCTGCCTTTCAAATGGAAAGGGCCATCGTGTCAAACTCTTGTTGGCATGAGCTGTCCTATAACACCTCTGTCCCTCCCCAGCCATGAGTAAAGATAGAAACAACACAAACTAGAGCTCTCCATTGCTACCTGCCTCTTCTAAAATACCTTCAATTTGGGGGAAGTTTTGTGTTTTATCTAGAAATCAACTATTGTGAATATGTATTTGGAAATACTTGGTTTCTATCAAATATGAAATAAAAAAAATGTAATATTAGCTAGAAAGGTAATGAAAGGTACAAGTTAAACCTTACAAGAAAACACAATGCATTTTTTAAAAATTCCATTTTAGCCCAGGCACGGTGGCTCACGCCTGTAATCGCAGCACTTTGGGAGGCTGAGGCGGGAGGATCATCTGAGATCAGGAGTTCGAGAGCAGCCTGGCTAACACAGTGAAACCCTGTCTCTACCGAAAATACAAAAATTAGGCAGGCATGCTGGCACACGCCTGTAGTCCCAGCTACTCAAGAAGCTGAGGCAAGGCAGGAGAATCGCTTGAACCCAGGAGCGGGAGGTTGCAGTGAGCCAAGATCCTGCCACTGCACTCCAGCCTGGGTGACAGAGTGAGACTCCATCTCAAAAAAAAAAAAAAAATTCCATTTTAATTTTAGATTCAGGGGGTACATGTGCAGGTTTGTTACATGGACAACAATGTGTGTGATGCTGAGCCTGGGGCTTCTATCGATCCCATTACTCAGTTAGTGAACTAAACACCCAACCAGAAGTTTTTCAGCCCTTGCCCCTCCCTCCCTTCTTCCTTTTGGAGTCCTCAGTGTCTATTGTTACCATCTGATATGGTTTGGCTGTGTTCCAACCCAAATAGCAACTTGAATTGTGTCTCCCAGAATTCCCACGTGTTGTGGGAAGGACCCAGGGGGAGGTAATTGAATCATGGGGGCTGGTCTTTCCCGTGCTATTCTTGTGATAGTGAATACGTCTCATGAGATCTAATGGGTTTTTCAGGGGTTTCCACTTTTGCTTCTTCCTCATTTTTCTCTTGCCACTGCCTTGTAAGAAGTGCCTCTCTCCTCCTGCCATGGTTCTGAGGCCTCCCCAGCCACGTGGAACTGTAAGTCCAATTAAACCTCTTTTTCCTCCCAGTTTTGGGTACGTCTTTATCAGCAGCATGAAAATGGACTAATATACCATCCTTATGTCCATGTGTACCCAAAATTTAGCACCCACTTATAAGTGAGAACACACAGTATTTAGTTTTCTGTTTCTGCATTAATCACTTAGGATAATTGCCTCCAGCTGCATTCATGTTCCTGCAAAGGACATGATTTTATTCTTTTTTTTTTTTTTTGGCTGTATAGTATTCTATTGGTGTATATATGCCACAGTTTCTTTGTCTGGTCTACCATGAATGGGCACCTAGCTTGATTCCGTGTGTTTACTATTGTGAATAGTGCTGCAGTGAATGTATGAGTGCATGTGTCTTTTTGGCAGAATGGTTTATTTTACTGGTATATATCCAGTAATGTGATTGCTGGGTCAAATGGTAGTTCTATTTTTAGCTCTTTGAAAAATCTCCAAACTGCTTTTCATAATGGCTGAATTATTTTATGTTCCCACCAACAGCATATAAACATTCCCTTTTCTCCACAGATTTATGAACATCTTTTTTTTTATTTTTTTAATAATAGTCATTTGAATGGTGTGAGATTATATTTCATTGCGGTTTTGAGTTGCATTTCTCCAATGACTAGTGAGGTCGAGAGCCTTTATCATATATTTGTTGGCTGCTTGTATGTCATCTTTTGTGAAGAGTCTGTTCATGTCCTTTACCCACTTTCTAATGGGGTTAATTTTTTTTCTTGTTGATTTGTTTATGTTTCTTATAGATTCAGGATATTAGTCCTTTGTCAGGTGCATAGTTTGCAAGTATTTTCTCCCATTCTGTAAACCTACTGGTGCTAGTTAGTGAGTCTACCTAGAAGAATAAGGCCTTGCCCTTAGGGAGCCTAAGCCCAGTGAGGCAGTCACACTACCCAGTGCAGTATAAAAAGTACTGGAATGGAGTCACATACGACATGCCATTGGGAGGCAGATGAGGCAGGTGCTAAATGTATCTGGAGAAGCTTGGAAAAGTGTCCCTTAGGGAGATGCCTTTCTTAAATAGGTGTAGAACAGAGGAAAGGACATTGTAATCAGAAGAATGGATGCATGCAAAGACAATGATGCTTGCACAGATGACCTGTGCTGGAACAGTGGAAGGCTAAAGGGGCTAGAGCTTTGTGGTGGAGATGGCATGAGGTGAGTCTAGGATCTCCTGGGGATGGGTAAAAATGGGAGGTTGGGAGCATGGAGATAGGATGAGGGTTACAGGGGCATTCCTCAGTCTGAAGGGGGTTCAGTCTGAAGGGGGGCAGTGCTGGGGCACAGGAGGCAAATGGTGCCTATAAATAGCTTGGATGTTGAATAAGTAAAATAGGTTAGATGTCAGCACAATAAAAATTTATTGTTGTCTTCTATCACCCTGTATAATTTATTCAGTGGGATAAGAACCCCTTGCTTTGGGATGAAGACCCAGGCAGGCCCATGACTTTTCTGCTTGCTCGTAGTAAGTTGACCGTTCTGCTTCAGTGCAGCTGCATCAGACCAATCTGTTTCAACTTTTATGTACAGTTGTGAGTTGTTTTTCAGTTGCCATGCCCCCTGCTCCCAGTTGAAGGTCATATAATCTGAGCATGCCCAGAGAAACCAGCGTGTAACCACTAGTAGAACCTGAGCGCTCAGACCGAGGAGTGGGGACTGTATTAAGAAGTGGACATCGTCTGGCAGGAGCCCTGGTGCCACCCCATGGCAGGATCCAGTCCCTTATGCCTACTGCCATCACCTCACCGTAAGATCCAATCAGATCACACCTCATTGCCCTCTGTCTATAAAACTTGCCCCAGCCCTCAGCTCAGGGAGACAGATTTGAGCATTTCCTCTTGTCTCCTTGCTAGTCAACACACAATAAATCTTTCTCTTTGCAAAAGCCTGGTGCTTTGATGTTTGACTTTCCATTACTGTAGGCAAATGAACTCAGTTTGGTTCTGCGACATTAATTTGCATACACTCAGTCCCAATTTAGTATTTAAAAATGTCCAGTTTATTCTGGGTGTGGTGGCTCATGCCTATAATCCCAGCACTTTGGGAGGCAGAGGTGGGAGGATTGCTTTAGACCCAGAGTTCAAGACCAGCTTGGACAACGTAGTGAGACCCCTGTCTTTGCAAAAAATAAAAAAATTATCTGGGCATGGTTGCATGTGCCTGTGGTCTCAGCTGAGGTGGGAGGATCACCTGAGCTGAGGAGTTCGAGGCTGCAGTGAGCAGAAATCATGCCACTGCACTCCAACTTGGGCGATAGAGTGAAACCCTGTTTCAGAAAACAAACAAATGAACAAACAAAAAACAAATAAAAATGTCGAGTTTAATATATTAATTAACACTTAAATCTTCATTCAAAGATAAGACCACTCCCCCTCCACCTTCCAGCAGGGGTTCTTAAGAGTTCCTTCCCCAACCTTAGATGGTCTGGAGCATGTGCGAGGGAGCCAGGAGTCTCTGAAGGGGAGGCCTAGGCGAGTTCTTCTGTGGCTCTCCATTCTTCTCTTCCACTCTCTAGATGCCATTTTGACCCCAGGAGATGGTGAGTGCTTTCTGTGCCTGGATGGCGTCACCCTCTCCAGGCTTGACAGATGTTTAAAGCTGTCTTTCTTCCTTGTGACACTTTTGTGAGCCCAGCGAGTGCCCATGCATTTCACGTGGTAGCCTGTAGATGAGGATGATGCCTCCCCTCTGGCTTGCTGATGCCCCTCTGCTGCTGGTCCTCACAGCACAGCATTCCTTACAGACTTACCCTGTTGGAAGCACCTTGTCCTCCTAGGTGGTCCCCTTGGTTGGGAATTAAAATGGCTCCAAGTCCACCTTCTCTGGCCCTTGGTCCCCAGGGATCCCCAGGAGACCTGTACACATCTTCACCTTGGCAAACTCCGGGCATGTAGGCCCCTCCTATTCGGGTGCAACAGCCTCTGTCCTGCTGCTACCGGCTGCGTTATTTCCCGAGACACAAGTTGGACACACATCTCCGGTGGCTCACAAGACATTTCCTACCCTCTGAGTGGTCCCTTGGAAGCCCCACATTGAGCTTGAGGTGAAGATGGAAGTACCTCACAGGGTGAACAGGGTTCCAAATAAGTCTCATTACAGATTTTCTATTTCTCCACCTCAATCCTTCTATATTCCAGAGGCAAAGACTTCTAAGGGTGGAGAAGAGAAGGGCAGGGCCAAGAGTTTGGGAACCAGTTTTTGGACCTGCATTTGTAAATTTTGGCTATGGTCACATGGCACCTCTCTTTGAAGTTTTACAATTGTTATTTCTTGGGATATCTATGAAAATGTTAATGTTAATGTCCTATTAAGTGTGTAACAATCTGGCTGTGTGCAGTATAAAAAGCTGGCTTGGAATATGTTGGGGAAAGGGAGGAATGGCATGGGTAGTTAACATAATAAAATCATTGAGAATTCATAATGTGTTAGGTGCTGTTCTAAGCATGTTGTAAAGAATAACGATCTAAATGGTCATAACTCTGTGAGTTGATAGGAATATTCCCTCCCCTGCTTTTTTATAGATTAGGAGAGAGGTACAGAGGAGATAGTTAGCTTGCCCAAGATGGCAGAGCTGAATAGCATAGCTGGGATTCCAGTCTGGGCAGTCTGACCCTACAGAATGGACTAAATTGCTATGTATCATTGGCTGCCAGAAATTATGCTAAGTGCTTTACATAGATTCTCTCACTGACGTGCTTTTAATAACTCTATGAGGTATATGTTACTATAGTCTGTATTTTATATGAAGAAACAATCTCAGGGAGGTTAATTAATTTGCTGAAGGTCATCTAATCAATGAGTGGTGGGGCTGGAATACTAATCCAGGTGGAATTGATTCCCGAGGTTTGCTGGTCGCTGCTGCAATACTGGTTTCCTCACAGAGAATGAAGATGTGCGACTTTTCCAGGAAAATGCAAAGGTGCAGACTCTGCATCCAGACCCCCTGAGGTTCAAGTCATGACCCCTCACTTCCCAGCTGGGGGGCATTGGTGTCTGGCTCCAGAATGTCCTCTTAATTGCTCTGCTATGTAGAGCTCCTACTCCGTGCCTCAGTCAACTTCACCTGTAAACTGACCATAATAATTGTATGACAGTGTAGGGTCATTATGAAGATAAAATGAGTTAATATGGGTAAAATGCTTAGAAGAATGTTTAGTGCATAATAAATGCTCTATAAATGTTAACTGTTATTGTTACACTAATTCAAGATGGAATCAGAACATTTTGCTGGGTGCAGTGCCTCAAACATGTAATCCCAGAACTTTGGGAGGACCACTTGAGCACAGGAATTTGAGACAAGCCTGGGCAACATAGTGAGACACTCTCTACAAAACAAACAAACAAACAAAAAAATTAGCCAGAGGTGGTGGCATGTGCCTGTAGTCCTAGCTACTTGGAAGGATGAAGCCAGAGAAGAGCTTGAGCCTGGGAGATCCAGGCTGTAGTGAGCAGTGATTATGCCGCTGCACTCCAGCCTGCACAACAGAGTAAGATCCTATCAAAAAAAAAAAAAAAAAGAGAAAATTTTACTGTTACCGTGTGTCTGTTCCTAGACTATTAGTACATAGAAAGTACAAATTTAGGTTGTGGAAATTATGCTTTGTTCCTCAATGTTCCCAGGGACTAAGAACTTCCATACAGAAGCAAATTGGCTCTCTGTCAAGGTGGTAATAATTATTAGGTTTCTTTTACTGTTTGCTTATCCTGTCACCTGAATACACCCATAAGCAATTACATAGGAATCAAGAACTGCAGTTTTTCTTGTAAAGAGCAAATTTGAATAGTCAGATATCTTGCTCTGATCAAAAGCTTGGCTGAGAAAAAATGATGTTTATGAACAGGATAGAGTCTTCCCCTAATTTATTCCTTCCTTCCTTCCTTCCTTCCTTCCTTCCTTCCTTCCTTCCTTCCTTCCTTCCTTCCTTCCTCCTTCCCTCCCTCTCTCTCTTTCTCTCTTTCTTTTTTTCTCTCTTTCTCTCTTTCCTCTCTCTCTCTCTCTCTCTCTGCCTTTCTTTCTTTTTTTTTTTTTGACAGAATCTTGCTCTGTTACCCAGGCTGGAGTGCAATGGCGAGATCTCGGCTCACTGCAACCTCCGCCTCCTTGGTTCGAGTGATTCCCTACCTCAGCCTCCTGAGTACAGGTACCTGCCACTACGCCCAGCTAATTTTTTGTATTTTTTACTAGAGACAGGGTTTCACCATATTGGTCAGGCTGGTCTTGAACTCCTGACCTCAGGCTGCCTTGGCCTCCCAAAGTGTTGAGATTGCAGGCATGAGCCACTGCACCCGGCCCCCTAATTTCATCATATGGATCCAATCTGTTCTTTTGACTTAGATGGATTCATTTACTCAGGGGCAGACTATTGAGTGCACAATTCTAGATACTGGGGATACATCCAGGAACAAACAAAACAGACAAAACCACCTGCCATCAGGGAGCGTATGTTGCAGTGGGTGAGAGAGACAATGAACAAATATGTGAAATATATAGTAAGTCAGAAGGAAATAAAGGAATAGTGAAAGATAGGAAAAGAGGGGAAATGCTAGGGGGTTTGCAATTTTGAATAGAGTAGTGTTGGCCCAAAAGGAAGAAGCTGAGGCCCAAATGATAATTTAAATAGTCTACTAGACCCAAAGTGAGGACAGTTGCCCAGAAGGCTCAGAGCCACATAACCTTGGACATGAGCTTCCTTTGGCCTTTGTTACAAGTAAGTTTCTAAAGGCAAAAAGGGGACAGGGAGCGTATCAGCGGACAACTGATACAAAGTTTTTTGTCAGATATTTTCACTGGTTTACAGAAATAATATTGATTTGTGATTGGCTATCCATGGTTAAGCTATAGGGTGGGTTATAAGTGTCTGGTGTGGCATTATTAGGCTAATTTACATCTACTGTGGCAACAACAAGCAGTTTCAAGAGATGAATACACAGCTCAAAGTGGGGAGTAGAGTGTGATTGCTGTCTGATTTTAATGTCTTTCTGGGCTTGAGAGAGAGATATATATAAATATAATATTATAATAATATAATCATATTATAGTATATATAATATGTTATATATTTTTATAGTATATATAATATATATTTATATAATATATTATTATAATGATATACAATATATTATATAAATATATATTATAATGACATATATATTATATGTGATATATATAATATATATCACATATATAATATATAAATATAATATATATTATATAATATATAATGTATAATATAATATATTATTATATAATATATAATAATATAATAATATACAATATAATATTATTATATATAATAATATATAATATAATATTATAATATATAATAATATATAATATAATATTATATTATATATAACAATATATAATATATTATTGTATTATATATAACAATATATATTATTGTATTATATATAACAATATATATTATTATATTATATATAATTATATATACATAATATATAATATAATATATTATATATAATATAGAATATAATAATATATAATATATAATATAATTATATATAATATATAATTATATAATATACAATAATATATTATAGTATATTATATATAATATATAATATAATATTATATAGTATATACAATAATATATAATATTATTATATTATAATAATAATATAGCTGTTGCTGGGGGAGGGATGCTATCCTTGCACAGGGCAAATGGTTGATGATGATGCCATTCATTTATATTGCACTTTGCAGTTTAGGAAGGTCTTTACAAATCTACATGGCAGGGCCGTGTCTTATTCATCACTGCTTCCCCAGTGCCTAGCAGACATCCTGTGCTCCCTGAGTGTTGAACATTCATTTTCTCATTTCTTCTCCTACAACAAACCTATAGGACAGTCAGGCAAGAAATCTTTATTTCCATTTAATATTTATTTCATTTAGGATCATTAGGAGTGAAATCACAGAGCCGCCTGCTAAGTGGTGAAGCTACTGGACTTTTAAGTCCTGTGGGTCTTTCCCTTCTATCTTGGAAGGTATTAAGAAGCCCAGTCCTTTCCTACAGAATGATTGGCAGATAATTAACTTTTTGGTGGTGCCGTTTATTTGAGAGGTAAACGAAACCAGTAGTGCCTCATGCCTAGAATTTGAAGGCCAAATTAAATTTTCTCCTATCGTGTGTGGCTAGAGAAAATAAGAAATCCTGTTAAAGTATAAACTCAGGCATGAAACTGTTGCTCTGAATCTTGTTATCATTTAACATTGAACAAAGCGAACCAGAACAAGACATGCAAAGGCCTTTTACATGCTGCTTAAAGTTACACACCCAGGAAATCATATGCACATGTCTATGTGCACATACATTGAATTGCAAGTTCAGTGGCTTTAAATCTTCTTTCCATATGCAGAATTTTTATAAGCAGCAAATGCTACAGATGTGACTTTGGGGTTTAATGAAAAAATTTGTATGGATAACATATGTTTCCTTTATAGAAAACAATCTCAGCCTGTTGAAATTGCCTGAGTTTTCAAGTGATCGTGGAATAATTTGATTTGACTCTTAAGTCTTAGTTTCCTTCCCATTTTTTTTGGTGTGTCATGGTTCCTGGGAGAGTCTTATTTTTAATTCTGGAGTCCTGTTCTAAATAAGAAAAAGGAATACTTCTTTATTTGTAGTTGATTCTATGTAAATATGTCTTTGACAAATGTGAAAATGTTTTAGGTGCTGGGAGGTACATGGTATATGTAAAATTGTAACTTCATGTTCTTTGCTTCAACTTTGGGGGACAGATTTAATTAGCAGCCTAACTGAGTTTCTTTAGCCTAATTGAGTTTCTCTGCTCTTGGAAGAGCATGCGTTAGGGAAATTATCTTAGAATAAGTTAGAAGCGAGCCTGCAATTTTCTTGATCTTGAATGCCCTTTGGGAGAAATGGTATGAGTTAGTATTAAGTTACTCTATTTGAAGATTCATCATCTTTCAAACACACACCTTAAAGAGGCCATACATTTCTCATAGAACTTACTACAGGGTCTGATTTTATATTTTAGTCTCATCTTGGATATGCCCTAAACTCTGCAATATGTCTCCTGTAGCTTTTCTAAAGGATCAGCAGTTTGAGATTTCTAAGGAAACCAAATTAATTTTGGCAGAAATAGTTAAAGCCATGGTGAGAATGGGGTTCAAGACACTCTACCCCAAAATATGGTACCTTGCGATATTGAATATTTTAAACTGAGGGTCTTGGAGAAAATGGCAGAAGTAGGAAGGTCACTCTGATCTCCTCCCATTCTGCTCTTACCTTTCTCCCATGGAGCAGGTTATAAAACCCAGGAAGGATTTTCTGATGTTCCTCTGAAGCAGGTCATAAGCCCCTCATGGGAGAGGTATCTTCTCTATACCTGGAGAAAAGGAGCATTCTTATTTCCAAAGGCACAGGGTCACAAGAGAGGAATCTGCATGAACAGGCCTTGTTTACTTATGCTATGGAGCAAATGGGCTCACTGCCTGATGCATACAGAAGTGAAGAACTATGGCACCAGTTTTTGAGAAAAGAAGGCCTTTATTGTAAGACCAGTCAGCAAAGGAGGCAGGAGGGGGCTCAAATCTGCCTCTCTAATTTGAGGTCTGGGGCAAGTTTTAAAGAATCAGAGGGCAAGGGAAAGGATTGAAGAGTGTTGGCTGAGCGGGGTCTGATTGGAGGCCTTCACATTTCACCATTTACAGTAAGATATGTTACGGCAGATTTTAGCCCTGGATCTTCGGGGCCAACAGACCTCTTGCTTCTGAAAGAGCTATGTGTTTAGGTTCTGGTCATGTTCTAGAACTTCTTGGTTCTGAGGGGAGGGAATCATTGGTTCCGGGTGTGTTAGAGGTAAAAGCTTTTTCTATTGCACATGCCCGTGCTACAGAATTTGTAGTTTTTGGCTCTGTTATACCCAAAAGGTAACTTGACAATTTGTTATCAACAGAATAGGCCCAGTTTGGGCTGGTTTCATGGTTACACTTACACCCTTTACCCTATCACATTATTCTACCATGACTCTCCATTTTTCTTCAAAAACCTACTATAAAAAGCACTCAGATTTAACTGTTTCTTTGGGTCTTCGTTTCCTCATGAAGGGTCTCATGACACATAAAACTTATATTAAAAGCATTTGTATGCTTTTCTCTTGTTAGTCTTTCTTTTGTTAGAGGGTCCCCAGCCATGAATGTAGAAGGGTAGGTAGGGGAGAAAAAGTGATATTCTTTCTTCCCCCATTGCAAGGTTCATGGCTGACACCACCACAACAAAAGATGGACTAACAAGATAAAAGCATGGCACATTTAAAAAATACTAGTTTTACATGACCTGGGAGTCTTCAGAAATGAAGACCCAGAGACCCAGGGAAAACTGTGTTTTTGTGCTTAGGTTCAATGAGCAGTGGACACTTGTGTAGAAGAATGACTGGATAAAAAAGGGGGTATGATTTAATGTTAATAAACTAGGGGGAGTTGAGCAGAACATGTTTGTTCAGATTCTTCTTGTCCTCTCTGGGTAACATTCCATCCCTGTAGGTATAGGGCAGGACACCTGTCACATGTGGGACTTCAAAAGATGGGGGGATAGAGGAGGTCAGAGATACCTTTCTGCTTATGCACTTTTCTCAGTTTCCTTCATCTTAAAACACTCAGTATGCCAAGGTGACATAATTTGGGATAGCATTTCCTGCATCCTATCAGGTAGAAGAAAAAAAATATTTTTCCTTCAGTGACAGTTTTTGGTAAATAATAGCAAGAAAACCTTTTCTGAAGTTATAGTTAAAAATATGAGCATCACCTGAAAGTCATTTGGACAGATGCATTTAAGTTGACAAGTCTTTTTGGTTTATACTTTAATTATTATTTGCTACTTTTATTGCGTTATGGTCACCAACTGTGGCCTGGATTATTTTTTGAATTTTCCATTTATGAAGTTTTCTTTTTCACTTACTATATAGTTGACTTTTGTAAATGCTACCTGATGGCTTAAAAAGTGGCATATTATCTGCTTTTGGTTAATGTATCTTTGTATGTTTGTGTGGAATACTGTGTGTCTAATTCTAGGCAGCACAAATATATGTTGGTAGAATAACACCTGGTTTTTGGCAATATAATATTTCTCTTTCTGTAAAAATGTGTGACACTTTTGCTTGGTATAAAATTCTTGCTTGGTATAAAAACATATTCGTTAGATAAAAGATATTCGACAATCTCACTGAGAGACACGAAGGCTACTTGGGTTATGGGGAGGTATGTCATCCCCTTTGCAAATTATGAGTATTTTTGGATCATCTGTAGCTGGGGGCAGGACTCTTTCAAAGGAGAGGCGATGTGGGCTATAGTGAGGAGACACTGTTTCTCAAATTCCATGTGAATCTCTGGCCTTCAGGGGCATTTGATACGTGAACGTGGCTAAAGGATCTCAAGATGAGAAACTTGCTTCATTGTTAAAGTTATGGGCTCAGCTGTCAGGGTCATACTCTGCACAGAGCAGGAGGAAAGTTCCTAGGCATTCCTGCCTGCCAACAGGGCCAGCCGCTGGTGCTGCACAATGGATCCTTAGAAGATGAACCTGGAAGAGAAGGCAAGTAGACTTTTCAGCAGGAGTCTGCTGGGAGAAAGGAGTGCCATTCTCTCTGGTGTAAAAGAATCTTCATGGTTGGGTGCGGTGGCTCACGCTTGTAATCCCAGCACTTTGGGAGGCCGAGACGGGTGGAACACAAGGTCAGGAGTTTGAGACCAGCCTGGCCAATATGGTGAAACCCTGTCTCAACTAAAAATACAAAAATTAGCCAGGCGTGGTGGCGGGCACCTGTAGTCCCAGCTACTCGGGAGTCTGAGGCAGGAGAATCGCTTGGACTTGGGAGGCAGAGGTTGCAGTGAGCTGAGATCATGCCACTGCACTCCAGCCTGGGTGACAGAGCGAGACTCTGTCTCAAAAAAAAAGAAAAAGAAAAAGAAAAAAAAAGATTCTTCATTTGGGACTGTCACTAATATGGAAGAACGGGGATATTTACCCCGTTGACATTGAGAATGTATGTACATTTAGGTAATTTTTGACCTACTATAAATGTTTGTTAGTTTTGCTTTCTAGTAAGATATCTTTTTTGATATATATATTGGCTACTGTGATAAAAAATTTAGGGAAATAATGTCATACTATTGTGGTTGTCCAGTGGTAAAATTGTCCTGAAATTTCTTAGAAGGGTTCCTCAGGCAAATGAGATATGAAGCCACCTTAAAATAAAATCACCTGGGCCACTCTTATCTTGATTTTTTTTTTTTAGCATTAATATTTTCCTACTGTTTGAAGTCCACCATTTTCTTAAGACTTTTAAAGTGTGAAATGGCACACCTGCATCCAAAGGATTCGACCAGTGGGGCACCTGCTGCATTTAAAATCTAGGGCTCTCAAATAAATCCAGCTTTACTTAAGCCTGACCAAATAAGTATTGAAAATCTTAATGAAAAGGAGCTTGATGTTATTGGCTTATTTTCCACTTTATTGAGTTTCTGTCACAGTTGCCTGAACAATGTTCGATGACTTAATTTAATTTATTTTCTTTCTGGGGGACAGGCAGGAAAGAAATTCACACAGAAAGAGGAAGACCTTAAAGGTAAACAGATGTATGTAGAAAATTAGAATGTGGACTGGCAAATCTAAGATAATTGTACTGAAATACTGATTAGACATTACAAAAGGGGCTGAGTTCTCTGATAAGCTTACTTGAAATTATAAATACTTTAACAAATAAGTTGAAGAAAAAGTGATCTACTAGAAAAGAACACCAGCCAGGAACCAGGAGACTTGGTTTGTGTTTTAAAAAGCCCATAAATTCATGGGCTCCAGAATTTAAGCCTTAAAGGGACTACTTCCTAGCTCTGTGACTTTGGGCAGGTTGCCTTCTTTTTCTGCAAAATGGGGATGGGAATTGTAACCTACCTGATAGATATTTTTCAAGAACAAAATGAGTAAGTACATGCGAAATGCATAGAACAGTGCCTGGCAAATAGTTAAGTGCTCAATAAATGTTGAAAATTATAATTTCCAAGTAATTTAATTTTTTTTAGAGCTCAGCTTTCTCATTTGTTTAAGAATAATTCTTCCTGCCCTTCTTGTATGGGCAATAAGAAGGTTTTACCCTCATTTGTTTAAGAATAGTTTTTTCCTGCCCTTCTTGTATGGGTAATAAGAATAGTTTTTCCTGCCCTTCTTGTACGGGAATAAGAAAGATCACTTGCCTGAAAGAATTTTCTCTCCAGGAGGAGAGATAAAACATTAAAGTCAAGCGCTCAAAGCATCAGACGTCACTAAAAGACATCCGAGGTCACTTTGGTCTGGGAGGATAATGAAAGTCTTCCTAACCTTAGTGCCAGCACTGGTTGCTGAACTTGAGTATATAAAGTAATGACATTTAGAAAACAATTTTGGAAACGAAACACAGATGTCCAACTTTATTTTGCCAAATAATGGGGTTAAAAACCTCTCTCTAGGCTGGGCATAGTGTCTCATGCCTGTAATTCCAGCACTTTGGGAGGCCGAGGTGGTAGGATCATGAGGTCAAGAGATCGAGACCATCCTGGCCAACATGGTGAAACCCTGTCTCTACTAAAAATACAAAAATTAGCTGAGCGTGGTGGCGGGCGCCTGTAATCCCAGCTACTCGGGAGGCTGAGGCAGGGGAATCGCTTGAACCCGGTAGGTGGAGGTTGCAGTGAGCCAAGATCGCGCCACTGCACTCCTGCCTGGCGACAGGGTAAGACTCCGTCTCAAACAAAACAAAACAAAACAAAACAAAACAAAACAAAACAAAACCTCTCTCTCTTGCCATCAAATACCACCATTAATTTATAATAGAAGTCACTTGAATATGGAAGGAGTTATCTCAGTCCAAAGACAGTGCTTTAAATTGAATCTATTTACTTTTACGGAATCTTGTTCGGTTGTAATTTTTCTTTTACCCCTTTGACTTAGGTGGAATTTAATCATGGACCAAACAACCTACATACCAGCATTTGGGAAGGTCTACTTTTGAGAGTGAGGATTTCAATAGCCAAAGGTCATGAATAGGAAGAGGAGAAAGCATTTGAGCAAAGGCATCTGTATAAACAAAGACACAGGGCTGCAGCATTGGGACAGTAAATGCTAGCTGCTTCATTAGGCAAATCCCGAATTCCAGTGTTGTAACAAAATACATGTATTTTTCACTTACGTAAAACCTGATATAGGTCAGACAATCCTCTTTCGTCATGTAGCTATGCCATTTGGAGCATGTGCCCTCCAAGGTGACTGGCAGGGGAGGAGAGAGGTGAACGCACTTGGCTCACAACT
The DNA here is from genome assembly GCF_000001405.40 of Homo sapiens. NCBI lineage: Eukaryota > Metazoa > Chordata > Mammalia > Primates > Hominidae > Homo > Homo sapiens. Next base: position 19,639,358 of record NC_000012.12, read on the forward strand.
GCATTCACCTGGAAGTGATGCCTGTCATGAGCAGAACCAGTCAAAGGGCCCCATTCTTAGTGCCCAAGGGCCTGGAAGAGTGGACGTTTCCATGGGTATTGGTGAGCATCGGACTGACCAGCATGGTGGGAAAGTAGGAGGAAAACTGTTCAGTTGGGAGTGTATACAATTCTGGAAGGGGGTGATGTGAGGTAAGAGCTGGGAAAAAACCAGCTGTAATGATTACAGCAAGAACATGAACTCAGGGCTAAGGATTTTAAGGGTTAATAGGAATATCTTTATATTTTTGAGCGGGGACTAATACTAGACCCTTCTTCACAAATAATAGTTACCACAGGAAATAGATTTAAGGAGAAACAGCATAAATGAGGCAGTGATTCTGAAGCCAAATTTGAAAAACACTATGGTAGTAGAATTGATAGAAATTCTCAACAACTTCATGTACACAGGGGAACAGAGAAAACTAAGAAGAGGGAGACATTGAAGACCAATCTAAGGCCTCTTGTCTTGAAGGTTGGATAGATGATGTTAAATGAAACAGAATATCACAGGAAAAGCAAGCTTTGAAGAGCAGCATGATGATTGTGCCAAGTAATTCACTGCTGCACCTGCTGGGTTTTATGAGCCAGAGGGATATCAAGACGCAGATGCCCAAGAGACAAACATTTCGGTCTGGAGGGAAAGCAGAGATTGGGACTGCCATTCAGAAGATAGCTAAAGGTCTGGGAGTGAATGAGATCTCTGAGTGGCCTAAGTGCAGAGGTATAGGAGCAGGTGGCAGAAAAAGAGCCTTCCACACTACATTTGGGCCCTTTTTTTAGTGCAGACGGGAGAGAAAGTTAAGATGTGAAGAAGCCAGAGGAGTGATAAGAGAGGCCTGGGGACGATAGGGATGGAGGGGAGGGTTGGGGGTGTGGCTCAGACCTGCCTGGCTTGCTGGCATGTGGCTGGAAGAAAAAAAATCAACATGTGCTGCCAGGAATCAGTTTAAACTTTCAAACCTCAGATGAGCCTACAGAGCCTTCCCGAAATCTTCTTGTATTCTCCCTAGTGAATTCACCTTCCCGCTTCCAAAAAGGAATATTCTACACTTTCTCCTCTCTCATTAAGCCTTCAACACTCCCTCCCATTCCTTACTCTTGGTCGATAACCTTGTTTCTTGTGTCATTAAGAAAAATGGGCTGAGTGCAGTGGCTCACACCTGTAATCCCAGCACTTTGGGAGGCCAAGTCGGGTGGCTCACTTGAGGTCAGGAGTTGGAGACCAGCCTGGCCAACATGGTGAAACCTCGTCTCTACTAAAAATACAAAATTAACCAGGTGTGGTAGCTGGTGCTTGTAATCCCAGCTACTTGGGAGGCTGAGGCAGGAGAATTGCTTGAACCTGGGAGGCGGAGCTTGCAGTGAGCCGAGATCGCGCCGTTGCACTCCAGCCTGGGCAACAAGCGTGAAACTCTGACTCAAAAAAGAAAAGAAAAAAAGAGAGACAATGACCTCATCTTCCCACCACCACATCTACCCGGGGGTCCGCGCTCCCTCCATGCCTCCATGTGTGCAATGATGTCCTCCTCATCTGGTTCCCCCTGCATCACTCTGACCTCCTCTCTCCTGGATCGTCTCCATCAGCACATACATGTGTTGAAATATCTCCCATCTTGAAAAGCTCTTCCTAGCACCCCCACCCCCTCCCATTTCTACCTCACTTATCATTCCTTGATAGCAAAACTCCTCAGCAGGATTTCCCAGCTTAACGGCCTTCGCCTGGTGTTCTCTATTTCACACTAATCAATCCTGTTCTCATATTCTGCTTAGAGGGCTCTTGCCAACATCCGCAATGACATTCATCTTGCCAAATCCAGTGGTCCGTTCTTGGTATTCATTTACCTGAATGCTTACAAGCTTCTGACAAAATTGATCACTTCCTCCCTATTGAAATGCTCACTTCTGGGACCCCTAACTGCCATGGTTTCCTCTTTACCTTGCTTGGCCTTCCTTCTCGGTTTCTTTAGCTGGCTGCTCTAAACGCAGGAGCGCCCCAGGCCTCTGTCCCTGGATTGTTCTCTACCCACACTTGCTCTCTGCATGACCTTATTCAGCTATTTGGTTACATGTACTATCTCCATACACAGGACTTCCAAGTTTTCTCCAGTTCTGACCTTTCCATTGAGTTTTAGATTTCTGTATCCATCACCTATTTGACATCTGTAACGGAATGACTAATAGCAACTTAAACCCAACTGCCCAAAATAGAACTATTGGTTCCCTGCCACACCACTTCCAAGTCCTCCCAGCACTCAAGCCCTCCCTGTCTTCCAGCTCTCCATTTCCCTTCCTCCCCCACAGACCACACCATCCCTCCACTGGCTTTTGCAACAGCCTCTGGAGTGGCCTTTCTATTTCCACTCTTGCCTCTTCCCATACTTAGGATGTACTCTGTGCCATAGCCAGAGTGATCCTTTTCAAATGGAAATTAGGCCATGTTACTTCACATAAAGGTTTTCCATAACCTTTATAATAAAACCCAGCACCCCTTCTGGGGACTCCAAGGCCCTATGTGCCCTCTTCTTTCTGACCTCATCTCTCTCTGGCTACTCCTTGCTTTGCTTGTCCCGTTCTAGCCATACCAGCTTCCTCTTGTTCCTCCAACAACCAAGGATGCCTGGATGCCACAGCCTTTGCATTGCTGTTCCCTTTGCCTTACTTTCTCCCAGGTGCCTAGTGGCTCACTCCCTCACTTGCTTCATCAGGTCTCTGCTCAAATATCACCTCCCAAGAGAAGCATGCCTTGACAATCCTGTCTAAAACGGCCACTCCCTACACCCTTTCTAGCCTTTTTGTTATGTTTGGTTTTTCCTCATGGTCCTTGTCACTACCTAAATTTATATCTGTTTCCTTTTAAATTGTCTGCCTCTAATACTAGAACATGAGATGCACAAGGGCAGAATAAGGGAGAACGATCTGCTTTATTTACACCTGTGTCCAGTGTTGACTACGGGCCTACTGCTCAGCGGTACAGCTGTCTAGACTGTCTGCTCTCTTACTGTGTCTGGCACACAGCAGGAAGTCAATAAATATGTACTGAATGAATGAATGAGCACATTTTATTGTGCAGAATCTTGCAAACCACAGTGAGTGGGATATGACAGGGATAACCCATGAACAGCCTTCATTTCCCGTTTTTAAGATTTTGGCTTTCTTGTTTTTGAGAAAGGGTTTCACTCTGTCACCCAGGCCATAGTGCAGTGATGTCATCACAGCTGACTGCAGCCTTAACTTTCCCCTAGTGTATTCACCTTCTCACTTCCAAAGTGATCCTCCTGCTACAGCCTCCTGAGTAGTTGGGACCACAGGCGTGCACCACCATGTCTGGCTAATTAAAAAAAATTTTTTTTTTTTTTTGTAGAAATGGTGTCTCCCTATGTTGTCCAGGCAAATCTCGAGCTCCTGGGCTTAGGCAATCCTCCCACCTCAACCTCCCAATGTGCTGGGATTACAGATGTGAGCCACTGTGCCCAGCCTGCCCCCGCCTCTTTTTTTTTTTTTTTAACCTTTTTGTTTAACTTTTCCCTTCACCCCATCCCAATCCATCTACATGTATGCACACTTATTTGGAAAGCAGGTTTGAGGTAAAAACAAAGACCTTCACTATATTTTGCTTTGACAGAAGGAAAGAGGAAGAGTTTCTATTAAAATCTATCATATGAATAGTGTGACTTAAGTCCTGTTTCAGGAGATAAAAATAGCTTTCTGGACTGGTTAAAGTCCCCCAGAAACAATACAGTTAATTTAATTTATTTTTTTGAGACAGAGTCTCCCTCTGTCGCCCGGGCTGGAGTACAGGGGTGCGATCTCAGCTCACTGCAACCTCTGCTTCCCAGGTTCAAGTGATTCTCATGCCTCAGCCTCCCAAGTAGCTGGGATTACAGGTGCCCACCACCATGCCTGCTAATTTTTGTATTTTCAGTAGAGATGGCGTTTCACCATGTTGGCCAGGCTGGTCTCAAATTCCTGACCTCAAGTGATCTGCCCGCCTTGGCCTCCCAAAGTGCTGGGATTACAGGCCGGAGCCACTCTGCCCAGCTGACAATACAGTTAAGAACGATTTTTATTTTAACTCTTATCACTTTGTAATTTTGACTCAATCCTTTTCAGGACCATTTTTGTTAATAAATATCAAAATGTAAAAAATAAAATTCCAGTTACCACATAGATGTGTATCCATCACCTATTTGCTATCTGTAATGGGATAGGGGTAGATGTGGTAACTGGAAACATTCAGATTCCACACGCAAATTCTGGCTTCTCCATTTTTCATACCTTCATCCTCAATGGCTCCTCTTTCCCCTCCTAATTTCTCCAGCTCCTCAGCACTCCCTCAGAAAATTAAACCTTTTTTTTTTAATTGCAAGAATTGCATAACTTGGGAAAAAAGGCCGTAAAGTGTTAGAGATCATGCTGCCATCTAAAGGATGGAAACGGTAGGAGGCTTGCCTTGTTAGCAAAAGCCAGAGACAAAACTGGGAATTTCATTAGCGGAGAGGCAGGTAAGAACCACTCAGCCTGCTGAGAAAAGCTCTTGTTCTCTTCGGTGACCTAAGGAAATGAAGGTTGCTGGGTAATTAGCATAAGTGTCTGCAACAGATTTAAAGGCAGGAAATCACATTTGGATCTGCTTTTACTCCCCTTTTTTATTTTTGGTGGTTGGTGTGTGTGTGTGTGTGTGTGTGTGTGTGTGTGTGTGTGTGTGTGTGTAGTAGGAGAAGGAGATTTTTTTTTCTTCTCACAAAAAAAGAGTTTAAAAAGATTAACATGGTTGTCTTTGGGTGATGAAAATGTGGTATTTTATCCCTCTTTGTTTCATTTCTCTGAAGTGTCTTCAAAGTACATTATTACTTAAGTGATTTAAAAAATGATTTAATTTTTAAATTTAAATAGGGGTAGGAGCAAGGTTGTTCCAGAAAAGTCTATGCCTTGTGAAGATCGAATTAAAAGAAATCTTTGATCACACTGAAAATCAATTACACTGAAGAGTTAATCCGACATTTTGTGTTTTCGTTCTTTGAAGAGGCCTATTTCCTAGGCTCCGCTTGAAAAAAAAAAAGACAGGTTTAAATTGCAGAACAAATTTAAGTTAGAATTCTAGAAAATAGTTGGATAGTTCAATAATCTATCTATCTAAGCAGCCCCAGGATGCTCACAGAACTGCATTTGGGCTGACAAACGGAGAGTTTGAAGAGAGCCACACACATGCCAAATGACAGGAAAACCCTCAAAATGTTTACCAAAGTAAACATGCCTGGTCTGCAAGGCTTACAGCTGAAACAGACAGATGAAGGAACTTGAGGGTTCCATTGCTAGAGCACTTTCTGGAGGAAAACTGGAGATAATATACATTATGAACTGAGGTTGGGATTTAGGACCAATCTTTTAGTGTCTAGCCATGGAGCCTCAGGGATTTACTAGCAGAGAGGATCAGAGAAAAGCTAAGCAGGCAAGACAAGCCTGGTGTGAGTTCTTGCATTTATAGGTCTTCGTGGATTTATGTTCTACAACTGACATCTGCTGAATAATAATAATAGCTGGCGTTTGTTGAGGAGTTATTCTGTGCCAGAAATTGTGCTAAGTGCTTTGAAGATATTATGTCACTTAATCTACCTCCAAATCTGATCGATAAGTGCTAATAATATAGCATATTAAATAACATTCCCCAAAACCGAGGAATTTCATTTATTTCCCTAAATTCACACAGCTAATATGTAGGTACAGTACAGTCTGAGTCCATAAATTTAGCAACAATACTGTAAGGCCTCACTAACATCATCAATAAGTTCCTGGAAACTTCAACTTTAAGTGAAAGGAGGTACAGCAAGTCCTCAAATAGCATTTCCTTCAATGTCTCATTTTGTTACAACATTGATAAAAAAAAATTGGTTTTGTTATACATAATTTCACTTAAAGTCAGTTTCCAAGAATCTATCAATAATGATAAGTGAGAACTTACTGTACTCTGTTATCCTAGCTAGAACTTGTCTTCAGTTTTGCTTGCATAACCCCTACCGGAATTTTGATAATCAATACTTGCATACTTTTATGTTGACATATACTGTTTTTCATCATAAGTCAAAAACCTTACAAAAGATGTAATATATGTTTTAAAACACTCTTAAGAGGCTGGTCACAGTGGTTCATGCCTGTAATCTCAACACTTTGGGAAGCTAAGGTGGGAGGATCTCTTGAGGCCAGGAGTTTGAGACAGCTTGGGCAACATAGTGAGACCCCATTTCTGCAAAAAATTTACAAAAATTAGCCAGGTGTGGTGGGCCGTACCTGTAGTCCCAGCTCCTGGGGAGGCTGAGGTGGGAGGATTGCTTGACCTCAGGAGTTTGAGCTTGCAATGAGCTTTCATGGCTTCACTGCACTCCAGCCTGGGCAACAGAGGGAGACCTTGTCTCTAAAAACACAAAAAAGATGAAAAATAAAACACTCTTAAAATATTTGATATTTGAAATTGTATTTTTACCCTACTTCTCTTACAGAATTTTATCATAATGTAACATATTTTTGCACTTCTATGGTTGTTCAAGGTGATGGTTAGTTTTTGTGTCAACTTGTCTAGGCTATAGTTCCCAGTTGTTCAATCAACACTGTCTAAGTATTGCTGACAAGGCATTTTACAGATGTTGTTAACATCTACAATCAGTTGACTTTAAGTAAAGGTTAACATCTACAATCAGTTTACTTGAGTTAAAGGAGACCATCCTTGATAATGTGGGTGGTTGAATTAGTTTGTACTTGCACTGCTATAAAGAAATACCTGAGACTAGGCAATTTATAAAGAAAAGAGGTTTAATTGGCTTATGGTTCTGCAGGCTGTACAGGAAGCATGACTGGGGAGGCTTCAGGAAACTTACAATCTTGGTGGAAGGCGAAGGGGAAGCATGCACCTCTTACATGGCCGGAGCAAGAGGAAGGTGGGGGAGGTGCCACTCACTTTTAAACAACCAGATCGCGTGAGCACTCTATCAGGAGAAGAGCACCAAAGGGGGAAATCTGTCGCCATGATTCAATCACCTCTCACCAAACCCACCTCCAACATTAGGGATTATTATTTAACATGACAGTTGGGTGGGGACACAAATCCAAACCATGTCAGTGGTGATTCATCTAGTTAGGTGAAGGCCCTAAGAGCAAAAATTGAGAAAGATTTTCTGAAGATGAAAACTCAAGACTGCAACATTAACTCCTGCCTGAGTCTCCAGCCTGTCAGCCTACCCCACAGATTTGTTAAAATATAAACTAAGTCACATTCAAATTTGGGTGGACAATGAATCATAAGTTGGGCAGTTCCAGACCATAGGCAGTTCAGGGCTCCAGAAAAGGAGAACAAGGGGGAGCTTTTATATGGTGAATGTGGAAGCAAGGCAAAGCAATCATTCCAGTGGAAAGTCCCTAGCTAGAGGTGAGGTGGTGGTTTCTGACAGGCCTGGACTATGACCATTTACATCTAGTTGGGTTTCAGTTTGCTTACATAGGAACCCAGGGTGCTGGAGCTGCCGTGGTTTAATGGCCTTCCAAAAATTATTTCAACAGATTTCAGGATTCCAAGGCTCCACAATCAAATGAGTCAATTACAAAAAAAAAAAAAAAAACAAAAAACAACAACAAAAAAACTCTTTCTCTCCCTCTTTCTGGCTGTCCATTATCTTCTGTTTCTCTTGAGTCCCTGGATACATTCACCCTAGTAAACTTAAACGCAGCAGCAACAACAAATATATAAAATTGAAGTTAAAAATTACCTATAATTTTTTGTGATGATAAGGTTACTAGTGTTAAAATATTTCTTTGGCATCAAATTATCACTGTAATTATTAATAGTCTGCAGCTACTCAAAATGGTATAAATGTATTAAAACATTTGGTAATTATTTTTAAAAAGGAGAAATATATAGAAAATGCATCTCAATTAGATTCACTGAGGGGTATGTTTGTGAAACTATGGGGGCTTGATTAAAATAATTAATGTAATTGTATCTTTGGTTCTAGAACCATCTTAAGGTTTGAGATGGGTGACAGGTAGACCTTTTTTTTTTTTTTTTTTTTTTTTTTTTGGTAAATCAGGAGAAAAATGACCAAGAAATAGGAGAGTGCATTATCAGGCTGTTAACAGTTATAGGAAGAGTACCTGTAAAAGCAGAGGATAGGAAGACGGATTACTTTAAAACCCTCGGGGACCTAGTAACTTCTAAAATCTTTTTGCATCTCTGGAGCAACTGTGCCCCCCTTGGAAGGCTGTTGCTTATTTCTCTGGGTTTCAAAGTTACCCTGTTTCACTCTCAAATATCCTAGTCGTGGACCTGGTTTGAACTTAGCAATTTTGGCAAATCTCTGGTTTTCGCCTATTTTCTGGCTTCTGTTAATTTGGGTGCATTGTCATCCTTTGGCTTTCATGTCCATGCTGGGTCTGGACTATCTTCCTTATTTGTTCTCAAGGCTCCTGTTCAGGGAGTTTCCTTGGTTTCCCAGCTTTTTACCTTCACAGCTTGATGTTCTGTTATTCACATCCCCAAATGGTGCGATTGAGTATGATCACCTCAGGGGGGCTAGACAGCTGTTGGAGGCTGTGGCTGGATCCGTCTGTCAGCCATCTTGCTTTTACTGATTAGTTCATGAGGGACCAATTACATTAAAAAGCATCACATTGTTCTTCTTGGAAATCTGGCCCCTTTGTCTGCTGCAAACTGTTTCCATTTTTCCTGCTTTATTTTTATATACCTTTTGGTCTTCTGTCCCTTTTAAACTTAATTGCTTTTGTACTTCCTTCCTTGGCTTTAGATTGCTTTTGTTTTGTGATTCTCTTGATAAAAGAAAAAACTTCAGCCAAATTAACTTTAAAGGAGTTTAATTGAGCAACGAACAATTCGTGAATCAGGCAGCCTTCTGAGCAGTAGTAGGCTCAGAGAGACTCCAGCGTAGCCATGTGGTGGAAGATTTATGGGCAGAAAAAGGAAAGTGACATACAGAAAGCAGAAGTGAGGTGCAGAAACAACTGGATTGGTTACAGCTCAGCGTTTGCCTTATTTGAACACGGTTTGAACAATTGGCTACATTAATTGGCCAGAACTCAGTGTAGGCTAAAGTCTGATTATACCTCCATTTGTTATAGTTCACGAAGTACAGAATAACCTTTAGGGCAAACTTAAAATATGGAAGGAAGCAGCTTTAGGCTAAACTTGATTTAGCACTCTAAATGCCAGTAAAGATCAAACTATAAAAAATAATGTTAAAATTTACTAAAATTTTGAGATGGAAGGAACATCATAAATCATAATTCCTGCATGTGTGTGAACTAGGTTTTGGGAATGTGCAGAAGTTATTTAAGCCTAGGGGGTTTCTGAGGGTATGAGAGAAGCAACCAACATTCCTCTAGGACTTTCCAACCTAGATGTGATGTGGTGCATTACACGTGCTTCTGTCATGCTTTCCATCTTGTCAACCATGCTACTGACCCTAGTGGTTGAAATAGGATGGAAGAAGAAGGATTGGTGGTTTGCCAATATTTAACCTGAACGCTTTCTCTCTCCTGGGATGCTTTTTTTTTTTTTAATTTTTTTTTTCAAGACGGAGTCTTACTCTGTCACCCAGGCTGGAGTGCAGTGGCATGATCTCAGCTCACTGCAACATACGCCTCCTGGGTTCAAGCAATTCTCCTGCCTCAGCCTCCTGAGTAGCTGCGATTATGGGCACGCACCACCATGCCTGGTTAGTTTTTGTATTTTTAGTAGAGATGGGGTTATACCATGTTGGCCAGGCTGGTCTCAAACTCTTGACCTCGTGATCCGCCCACCTCAGCCTCCCAAAGTGGTGGGATTACAGGCGTGAGCCACGGCACCCAGCCTGGGATGCTTTCTTTTGTTCTGTAGGCACCAACTTCTTCTCCTGATGGTGGATTTCTAATCTGTAGTTCTCTTGTTCCAGTGGAATGCTCTTGCTTATTTCATCTTTAGATCCTTGCAATCAGGGGGTCTACCTCTGGCTTCTGTTTGCTGAGGTTTCATTAGCTTCTCTAGGTAGCTCTATTGAATGGGATGAAAAACAACCTCTCTGCTGGCTCTTTCTCTCACACATGAAACTCACATAGTGCCCATGCTTGTCCATGTGGTTCTTTGTGTTTATTAGAAAGAGGTGCCCATTTCTCAAGACACTTTATGGGGAAGTTGTTGTAATATATACTGGTTTTGTTAGAACAAGAACTTCTATTGCCGTCTACTAGAAAGTAAATATACAAACTTACGATGACTACCATGTGAATAAATCTTGACATTAGATGTTGTACCCTTGACAGCATACAACTTGCGCACCATGCATGGTGACCCTAGGCCCACACATTGTATAGAAGAAACACATGATTTGCCTAGATGAACTTTGGAAATGAAGGCTGATTCCAAAACAGAAGCAAACTCTTCTTTATCCAGCTTTCATCAGTTAGGAGGATTGCCTTACTCTCAGAGTAGTCTTCTTGAAGCTCTCTCTTGCCCTCATGAGGTAAGGGTCAGGTTTTCCCTAAACTCCTTTGCGATGTTGAAGCACTGGGATTCAGAGAGGGGCAACAGCTGTTCCCAAATAAATTATTTTCACAAATTCTTACCAATATTTATCAATATGCCCTTTTATAACCTTGATGTACACGAAGGATTTTAAGAGCTATTGTTAAGGAGTTTTTGGCTAACTCCTTTGCAACTTCTGCATATGGTCTCGTACTTTATCATCTATTTTTTTCCTTGCTGTTTCAGTTGTAACTTCTGTTTTAACTTATTACAAACAAAATAGAAAATGCAAATCTTTCTCCAAAGATGATAAACATCTCTCCGCTTACTCCAATGAGAATATTTTAGTATGGATAGAATTAATCTTCACTAGAAAACTAAAATTTACCGAAGCATATATCTTTTATGGGTTTGGTATAAGAGCAGCAGGGAAAATTTCTTTCAGAACAATTTATTGTGGAGAGTATCATGAGAGTCTCATCTTTGTCCTTTCTAGAAGACACTAAGGATCATGTGAAAGAGCTCCCTGAGGACAGATTAAGAGGAGATGAGTTAAAGCTGCAAATACCAAGATTTAAGGTTAAGTATGAAGAATTTCCTGATAGAGAAAATTCTTTAGCACTGGAATTAAATATCAAAAGACTCTTTCCCCAACATTGACCTCCAAGCAAACTTTGTTGGGTTGTTCAAACCACTTTGTTTCCTGTAAGTGTTCATTGATTTCTGTGAGTGGATGATGGTTGATTACACACTTCATCCGTGATTAAACTGGGAAACGTCTGTTAAAAAGATTCAGTATAGTTTCTCTTTCCATGAATATATGGAATTATATAGTGATTTTAACCTATATTGACCAAGATAACTTTGTGATCCAAATGGTCAGGTGTCATATTTAAAAAATATATGCATATAGTTTAAAGCAATTAAATATCCTTACTCGATTTCTTATGCCGATATGTAAGAGTAGCAGCTGGTCATGAGGGTCCATCTTCTATGGCTCTTTCACATGTCTGTGTGTTTTGTGAAGCAAAGCATTGACTTCTCCTTGTTATAAACTATCTTTTGAAGGGTGCTTGTATAGTATAGTTAACAGCCTTGGACAACAGACATTGTATCTCCCTCTAGAAAAGGGGTGTCTAATCTTTTGGCTTCCCTGGGCCACATTGGAAGAATAATTATCTTCGGCCACAAATAAAACATACTCACTATAGCTGATGAGCTAAAAAAATCTCAAAAAACCCTCATAATGTTTTAAGAAAGTTTACCAATTTGTGTTGGGCTACATTCAAAGCCATTCTAGTCCACATGTGACCCGTGGGCTGCAGGTTGGACAAGCTTGCTCTAGAACAAAGGGCAGATTTTCTTATTATTTTGTGTAGTAGGCAGTATAATGGCTCCCCAAATATGTCCATAGCTTAATCCCAGAAACCTGTGAATACGTTACCTTGCATAACAAATGAAAATTTATGTTACAGATGAAATTAAGAATGCTGATCAGCTAAAGGACCTTCACATACAAAGGTTATCCTGGATTATTCAGGTGGGCTCAACGTAATCACAAGGATCCTTTAAAGTGGAAGAATGAGGTCAGAGTGATGTGATGTGAAAAGCACTCAATTTGCCTTTGCTAGTTTTGAAGATGGAAGAATGGGGCCATGGTCCAAGGCATGCTGGTGACCTCTAGAAGCTGAAAAAGTTAAGAAAATGGAAAAGAAACTTCAGCGCAGTGAGGCCCAATTTGGACTTCTGACTCCAGAACTGCAAGATAATACATTTGTATCCATTAAGCCACTAAGTTTGTGCTAATTTGCTATGGCAGCAACAGGAGACTAATACACCTTGGCAGGTAGAGGTAGTCCTCCTCTGGGGCAAACATATAAGCATGCTTACTATACAATATAATAAGGATGATGTCTCTTTCCAGGACATAGGCAGGCATGCTTATTTCCTGTTATAAAATATTCAGGTTTTCTAAGTTCAGTTTTTTGTTTTTTTGTTTTTTTTTTGCTGGAACACAATTGACTGTGGATGCTGGTATTATCTAGCCCTATTTGCATCACCTTGCGGGTACTGGGGTTTGGAGGAATTGGCTCAGATGCTGATACCGTGGCTACTACTATTGTGGTGAGTAATAGCCTCTCATTTGCCTGTAATCCAGGAGTCTCACGTCTTCTCCCAGCATCCATAAACTCTAGCAGGGTAACTTGTTAGTTTGCAAGTAGGCCCTTCACGGTGTGCTCGTTTTAACGCACTTCTGCAAAATTTATTTTAAAATCTGCTAGACCAGGGCTAAGCAATTCTGTAATTATTACCTTCAAGATAGTGTTTGCTCTCTTTCCATACTTTAGAGATGAAGTGTTACGATGTCTCTCTCTAACTTAACAAAGATCAGAGATCAGCTTACAATAAAATTAGAAATAAAAAACAAAACAAGTTGTTTACCATAGTTTGAAAAGCATGTCTCTATTGACAATTTACGACTAGGGCAGGTACTAAGAAGTTCCCTGTCTTTTTTCTCATCTACAGAATTTTTTTACTGCCACATTTCTCCATTTATCTTTCTTTCTCCACGACGTGCTATTTGAAGAGAAAATCCTTGGGAATTAGTCTCTCATTCTTTTCTCATGAGAAGCACTCCCCTCTCTGAATTTTTGGTGAATTAGATTTCTCTCTTAGCTATACCATGAAGGGCCCTGGCTTTTACAGCTACTTTCTTGTTTCTAGCTTGAACTCTGTGGCAAAATTTAAGTCAGTGTGTCAGAAGTCATTTAGACCAAGGATTTTGTTTTACAGATGTGAAAACCAAGGCCTCTGATGACAAGAAGAGCTATTGCCTTATTTAAGTTTCTCCTGACCTAACTACCTAGTGTTTTGGAGGAAATTGCCTTAGCCACTGTCAGCCCCCATCTTTCTGACACAAGGCCTGGCTCAGTTGCTAGTTTGGCCTAACATGATTGCTTCCCCTCAACAGCTCTAGAAATACAATTGTGAAATTGAAATTACTGTATTTGCAGGCTGACTCTGGCCAGAGAAACTGACCTGTGGATGAGTTGAAAATAAGCTTATAACCATGCTCGTTTTATAGTTAATTAACTTAGGGCACAGGTATTGAGAACCCAACATGTGCCAGGGCCTCTTGGGTACTGGAAAAATGCCTGGAGTGAGGCTGGGAGGGAAGCTTCCTAAAAGGTTGAGGAGGACTTTATTTGGGAAGAAACTGAGGGCAGGGTTCTGGGGCCTGGACTGTGTGAGAGTTTGAGGACTCTAAGGAAAGGAGAATGTTATGGAGTTCATCTTTGATTTTTTTTTTTTTAACCAGTAACTTATCATTTTTTTCCACAGTCAGAAACGTGACTGAAACATTTCTTCCTCTTAAGAGGCATTAAGAGAAAAGGATAGATTTCCTGTTTCTTTTGCAATTTTCCTCTTTAAGAAACAGAAAGAAAAAAAGATCTTATGTCCATGCTCCTGGAAGTCACCAATAAATAATACGGGCCAGGGCTTTTTCTTTTCAGCAGTGGGCTGATTAAATCCTTATACTTGTTCTGGGTTATATGTCTGAAATTTGTGTTCCTTTTGTTCTGAGGAGTACAAAATAATCAATTCCTCTAATGGAGATTACCAGCTTGATTAATAGATAATCCTAATGTGTTCTTTGTAAAATACATTATAAATGATCTTTAAAGTTGAAGGAAAGAAGATTGGGCCATGTAGAAATTTGGTTCTCAACAGAACCTCTTCTTGATTGAAGAAATATAAGCAAAGAGTTTTATATATTTCGGTAAGGGTAGGTAGTCTATGCATTTTCTGTTCTGAGTATTACAAAAGGAAAAGGGAATAAAAGCTTCTGCATATAGCAGAGATAAACTCCAAAAGCAGGAGACCAGTGAAGCCCTGGATCACTGCACTCCTCCAGCCTTCAAGGAGCATGAAGAGGGTCCACATAACAACAGAAGATGCTTCAGAACAAATTATGAGTCCATAAGAGATAAATTAGTGTCTTTATTCATTGCAAAGGAATGGTTATTATAAAAAAATCCCTGATGCTGTCTCTCAGACTGAACTTACGTATAGGCAGGAGAACACATGTAATTTATTGACTGATAAAACTGTAGGTAAGAATACATATGACTTCTATAACTTGTATGAAAAATGAAACTACACTTAAATGTAGGAGCAGTTTATATTGTTTGATATTTAACTGGTTGAGTGGTTAACATATAATATTTAAAAAAATCTTCTTTTAGTAGGCAGTTTAATGCTTATGGTCTAATTTTTATTTGAAGACATTTTGCTGCAGCAGAAACATAGCTGTGATTCATATACCTACTCTTGATATTAGCCTGGCCGTTTGTCCTGTGACGCTTAAGCTAGTTACCACCATTTATCTGGTAACTGTTTCCAGAATTGAAGAGATGATGCCTGGAAGGAGATAAACTTCAGGAGTTCACCTTTAAGCCTAAAAAGTACCAGCAAAATGCAATGACAGGATAAAAAGTTTGTCATAAATATTTTCACAAGATGGAAGACAAGAAAGCAAAGAGCAGCATAGAAAGAATGAAGGAATAAATAAAAATAAGTGAAAATGCTGCATTTTCTCTCATGGGATAGATTTTTCAACAACTCCTGAACTATGACCTCTCAAGTTCTTTTGCAGTTCTGTTCTAAGAAGTAATGAAATACATTTAATATTCCTGTCTTTTCACAACATTAATTCATTCCTACTTTAGCCTTAAGAATTTTAGTAGAATCTATTGTTTATTCATGCGTATAAATATTGTGGAAAAATATCTTTAGATGAGTTAGTATATATGAGACACTTAGGCCAGGATTTGGCACATGTCTGTACTTCATAAGTGTTTGTTATTGTTATTTTTAACAAGAGTAAAAAAAGATCTTATGACGCATCTAATATCATTTAAGCTGTTTATGGTTACTCCTTGGAATGCCTTCTGGTCAAAAGTTTCTGCAGCCCAGCACGACATTAATTTGAATGCATTGAGCCGGTTTCCCAGAGGGCTGGATGACATTTTTGACTTTTTAGGATTTTTGAGACTTTTTCTAATGACTAAGGTCAAAATCTCCCTTTCCTTGTCTCTTGAGTTTTAGGGGGCAACCAGAGATGTTTTGAAGGAAACCAACCATTAGATGTCACTTTCTTCTCACTGCTTTTGGTTTTAGGACCTATGACCTGGGTTTAAGCCTTTTGATTTTCTTCTTTTTTTTGAATGTCTATAAATAGTCTCTATGTCAAAGCTAAACGGGAAATTTAATTTTAGATTAGTAGATAAGAGACAATACTCAACTCCTTGGAATGATGAAATTTTGGACCTGTTTTAAATTGGCCTGACTCAATGTCCCTAGTTGACTAAATTTGGAAATGTAGTATTTGTGCTTTTCTTTCTCACTGAAGTTAGTGTGGCACTGTTTCTACACCAGACACTTAGGCCTGAGTGTATGAGTGTATCCTTATTCAGGTCAAAGCTAATGAGTTTTTTTTTTTTTTTCCTTAGCAATCACTGAATGAAAAACATATTCTTCAGATATCTGTTTAGAATTGCTTTTCCAGAAAACCTTTGTGATCTTTCTCCCCCAACAGAAGGGCTCAGAAACACATAACAGTTTGAAAAAGAGAAAAAATACTGCTGCTATGGTCTGAACATTTATGTCTGCTCCAAAATTCATGTTGAGACTTAATCCCCATTGTGGTGGTAGTAGGAGGGGTGCCTTTAGCAGGTGGTTAGGCCATGGGGGCTCTGCCCTTGTGAATGGATTAGTGTCTTGTAAAAGGACTAGAGGGAACTGGCTTAAGGTCTCCTTACTCCTCCTCCTTCTGCCATGTGAGGATGCCACTGCAAGAACATGCCACTGATGGAGCAGTCCTCACCAGACGCCAAACCTACCAGTGCCTTGACCTTGGACTTCTCAGCCTCTAGAGCTGAGAGAAATACATTTATATTCTTTATCAATTGCCCAGTGTCAGGAACTTTATTATAGCAGCACAAATGGATGAAGATAACTGCCAATCATGATTTTAGGAAAGAACCTGACTCAAGAACATCTTCTTGGCCGGGCCCGGTGGCTCACGCCTGTAATCCCAGCACCTTGGGAGGCTGAGGTGGGCAGATTACGAGGTCAGGAGATCGAGACCATCCTGGCTAACATGGTGAAACCCCGTCTCTACTAAAAATACAAAAAATTTAGCCGGGCATGGTAGCGGGTGCCTGTAGTCCCAGCTACTTGGGAGGCTGAGGCAGGAGAATGGCGTGAACTTGGGAGGTGGAGCTTGCAGTGAGCTAAGATTGTGCCACTGCACTCCAGCCTGGGTGAGAGCGAGACTCCGTCTCAAAAAAAAAAAAAAAAAAAGAATATCTTCTTTCCAGTCTTATACCTTCTGCTTCCCCTCATCATTTCTATCCTGTAGAAGCCTGACACTGAGCAGTGGCCAGAAGGAGGTTTTGAGCTCTTTGAGACTTGTTTCCTTGGTGGCCATAGGCTTTGCTCTATTGAAGACCTTTAACTAGTAAAGGTTATTCGTATCTTTGGGTCTGAGAATGTGTCCAAAACCTATGAAGCACTCATCCTATATGACAGGATTAAAATGCCCACGGATGTCCAAAACCAAAAAACAAACAAGTAGCTTTTTACATTTTATTTAACCGACATTTCATCTTGCTTTTGCTCCTACTGATATGAAATGAACACCCCACAACCCTTAAAATGCTGTATTAGTTTGCTATGGCTGCCGTAATGAAATGCCAGGGACTGGATGGCTGAAACAACAGAAATTAATTTTTTTATGGTTTTAGAGGCTGGAAGTCCAAGATTCGGGTGTTGGCAGTGCTCGTTTCTCATGAAGCCTCTCTCCTCGGCTTGCAAATGGCTGCCTTCTCTCTGTGTTCTCACATGGTCTTTCCTCTGTGTGTGGGCATCTAGTGTTTCCTTGTATGTCCAAATTTCCTTTGCTTATAATACCAGTCAGATTGGATTACTGTCTACCCTTAGGGCCTCGTTTTAACTTCATCACCTCTTTAAAGGCCCTATCTCTAAATACAGTTAAGTTCTGGGGTATGGAGGGTTAGGGCTTCAACACACAAATTTGTGTGTGTGAGGGCACAATTCAGCATATGCCCCTGGTCAATAAAAAGCAACCCAGTTTCTTCTGTTTCAAATCAATTGCTTTCTGCTAAATACTCATTAAAAGTTTAAGCTTTTCTTATCTCTCAAGGGGTCTCTCCTCATTCCTCCTTCCCAAGTTGGTGCCTGGGTTCATGCAGAAGCTTAGTATCTTGAAGAGAGTGGAAGAGGCCTTTACCCTCTGGGACTTTGCTGGACTCTACCAGCTGGACCCTTATCCCACTGTGGTGACCAGGCCTTCTGTGCTGGTGTTCCTCATAGTGGGCTGGTTGGATCCTATTCTTGGTCATTCTCTTGACTGTCACTGCTAGTGGCTGTGAGATTTGCCATTGCCTCGGGAGGTAAGGTCTCTGTAGACTCTCATTTTTTTTCTCCAGATCACAGGTATCTTCCAATCATTGCGAAAGACTGTAAATTGAAAGAAAAGATTACTGCGAGTCTTTAATGAAAAACAAAGCATAGTCTAGTGTATCCTTCTAGTTATCTGGTTCCTTTCATTGTGTTTGAGCTATTTTACAGTTCTGTAAATTGTAGGAAACTAAAAGTGATGTATATGATTCTTGTCTGCAGCAATGCAAATGACTTGTATCTAGTGGAATGCAATAATTTATTGCCCTGCAGACAGCTCCATTTTGCATCTATTTGTAAATTTGTTGCAGCATTTATATATATATTCTTTGAATTCTCTTTAGAGCCAGATGTAACATCTTACCAATTCCCTCATTAATTAATGAGTTAAAAACAGTCTTTGAATTGTGTTCAGTTTGTATTTGTATGGGAGTCATTATACTTCCCTGAAAAAATGAAATTATCTTTTAAAAAGTCTATTGTTCTTAGAATTTCCATGTTACCCATGTGAGCATATGCAAATTTCAGGATCTACTGCATGCTATTCTCAAGTAATGGACTACTAGAAATGCTAGCTCTAGCTCATCTAGCTAGCCAGGCATGGAGATTTGGGGAATTTTTTTTTTTGGCAGGAGTGTGGTAGTGGTGGTGGTGGCGTTTCTGTCAGGTTGTGGCCCAGGAAGGTGGTATGTAGGCCCTGATTTCTTTCTTGGAATCTCAGGCATTATATTACGCTAGCTTTACCTTTTCAATTTTTAATATTTAATATTTTTTGGGATGGATTCTTTCTCTGTCACCCAGACTGGAGTGCAGTGGCACGATCTCGGCTCCCTGCAACCTCTGCCTCCTGGATTCAAGCGATTCTCCTGCTTCAGCCTCCCAAGTAGCTGGGATTACAGGTGCACATCACTATGCCTGGCTAATTTTTGTATTTTTAGTAGAGACAGGGTTTCACTATGTTGGCCAGGCTGGTCTCGAACTCCCAACCTCAAGTGATCCTCCAGTCTCAGCCTCCCAAAATGCTGGGATTACAGGCCTGAGCCACTGTGCCCGGCCTAGCTTTACCTTTTCAATTCTTTCTACTTCTTGCCTTGCTACTTGAGCTTTTACTTCCTTTCCTATGTACAGGAAGCTGCTTTGATGTCATAACCTGCATTCTTTCTATTTTAGTCTCATAAATTCTATATTCTGAACTTAATAAAAGATTTTAGGATTAAAACAATTTATTTCTCTGAAAGTAAAACCTGTTGATTCACTTGTATTAAAATATAACCTAAAACTTAAAATTGACTACTTTTTTTTTTTTTTTTAGAGACAGTGTCTTGCTCTGTTGCCCAGGCTGAAGTGCAGTGGTGCAATCTCTACTCACTGCAACCTCCGTCTCCCAGGTTCAAGCAATCCTCCTGCCTCAGCCTCCTGAGTAGCTGGGACTACAGGCACATGCTGCCGCGCCTGGCTAATTTCTTTTGTATTTTATTAGAGATGGGGTTTCACCATGTTGCCCGGTCTGGTCTCGAACTCCTGAGCTCAGGCAATGCACCTGCCTCGGCCTCCCAAAGTACTAGGATTATAGGCGTGAGCCACCATGCCTGGCCAAAACTGACTTCTTTTAAGTAATTAATACCATTGATTCAATGTAAGGGAGACCCCTGGGAAAACTGGGAACTAGAAATTAGTGTAAGAAAATATATTGACTTTATATTTAAAAATATTATCTACTTTTTATGATTGTGATTTTTCATCTGCGCTGAGTATTTGTTGATATATAACGCAGTGTATTCTTTGCTGTGAAAGAAAATGCTCCTATAGCAACATGCTAAGTTAATGATGTATCTCATGTGCACTTCATATTTCTGGGGAAAATTCTCTGTTAACACTTTAAATGTACTTTTATTCACAGCAAAGGTCAGTCCAGTGCCCTCACTCCCTATTAGTTTCCCTACTACTTAAAAAAAAAAAAAAAGTAAGCTTCCAGCTTTTTCTCTAATCACATTTACCCTGAGTCATCTGTTATATATCCCTTTATTTTGTAAGTTGAGCCCCTTTTTAATTTAAAATATGGTTTGATTTCTCATATAGAAGCAATGTTTGCATTTTATTGGAACACTCCTTGAAACAGTCTAAAGAATGGCTCTTTCTTGTTTTTATATAGAGCATCTGGTGAACTTTACATCATACATCCCAGCTTTGGCTGAGTTTAATATTTTGTCTTTTAATTTATCCAAAACTTACATTTTCTGGCTTCGAATCATCCCTTTCTTAAATTTATTTACTTAATATTTTCTTACATCAACAGCCAACATTTTTAGGGGGGTGGGTTGGAAGGGTATTTTCCAGAGAGAATCAAAGAAAGTTTTATTACTTAATAACCCATTGGTCAGGCTGTCGGAAGCCATGTTGAAACTAGAGTTTGGGCCATTGTCCAGGGCCACTCACACTAAAACCATACTCACATTCTGCTCAATTTGATTCCTTCCTTTGCAAAACTAGATATTGAGATGGTATGAAACTTTAGTGTTTCTCACGTATTGCTAAACCCATGCGTGCTAAATATATGACTATCAAAACTAAAAGTAATTGTCTTGGACTGTTCCTGCCACTGTAACAGAACGCCAAAGACTGGGTAATTTATAACAAAGGGAAATTTATTTCTCACAGTTCTGGAGGCTGGGAAGACCAACAGCATGGTACTGGCGTCTGTTGAGGGCCTTCTTGCTGCATGATAACATGGTGCAAAGGCAAGTGATCATGTGCGACAGCAGGATGGAGAGAGGAAATTTGGCCAAACTCACTTTTAGGACAAACCCAGTCTCTATAAAACTAACCCACTCCTGTGATAATGGTATTAATCCATTCATGAGGGCAGAACCCTCATGAACACAGAAGGCAGCCATCTGATGAGCCCTCATGACTTAATCACCTCTTAAAATCCCACCTCTTAATACTGTTACAAAGGCAATTAAATCTCAACATGTGTTTAGGAGGAGACATTCAAGCCATAGCAGTAATCCATAGTTTATAAAGTATATTGGTTTAGAATGCTAATTTTTTTTTTTTTTTTCACAGAGACAGAGTCTCATGTTGCCCATGCTGGATTGCAGTGGCATGATCTCAGCTCACTGCAACCTCCACTTCCCAGGCTCAAGCAATTCTCGTGCCTCAGCCTCCTGAGTAGCTCAGATTACAGGCGTGTGCCACCATGCCTGGCTAATTTTTTTGTATTTTTAGTAGAGATGGGGTTTTGCCATGTTGCCCAGGCTGGTCTTGAACTTATGAGCTCAGGTGATCCACCTGCCTTGACCTTCCAAAGTGTTAGGATTACAGGCGTGAGCCACTGCACCCAGCCTAGAATGCTAATTTTAGAATACATTATTTTTATGACTTATTAATCATTATAATAACACCTAACAGCTATTAAATGTACCCTATGTATTGAGTACTGAACTCAACATTTTCTCTATATTAATTATATTCATAACAGTTTGAGGCAGGTGATATTATTACTTTCATTGTAAACATGTGGAGACTGAATCACAGGAAGGTTAGGAAACTCCCCCAATATCACAATTTAAAAATGTATCTGGGATTTGTTTTAATCGTGTATGGTAAGACATGCAGACATGGAAATGACTATTATGGAGGAAGACATTTTTACTCACAGTTCCCTAGACACAGGAGGCACAGCATGCCACACAGGGCCACATGAGGGAAGCACCAGGGTCACCCAGGAGGCAGAAGGAACAGGAGGAAAGCATGAGCAAGAGCCTTTATTGTGGGTGCACAGGAAGGAACAAGTGAGGCAGGGTACCTAAGCTTAGGATTGGCTAGTTTGAATGTCAATGGGCTCCAGTGTGTAGGGACCGCCCCTAGTTTTCTGGTAAGTGGCCCAGGTATGCTTAGGGCAGAAGAATAATGCCTTCTGGAGTGGAAAAGCCAGAGAGAGGAGGCGGTTTGAAGTAAGGACTCTGGATTAGTTGGGTTGCATATGAAAGGCACACTTGCAGGGGAGCGGGCTGCTGTCTCTAAGAATTGGCTAGCCCTGGAAGGGGCAATCTTGCCCCCGTCAGTGGGGATTCAGATGCCAGAGCATCAAGAATACGAAAAATAGGCCGGGCTGGTGGCTCACGCCTGTAATCCCAGCACTTTGGGAGGTCGAGGCAGGTGGATCACTTGAGGTCAGGAGTTCAAGATCAGGCTGGTCAACATGGCAAAAACCCTGTCTCTACTAAAAATGCCAAAATTAGCTGAGTGTGGTGGCATATACCTGTAATCCCAGCTACTCAGGGGGCGGAGGCACGAGAATCCCTTGAACCTGGGAGTGAACCTGGAAGGTGGAGGTTGCAGTGAGCCGATACCACACCACTGCACTCCAGCCTGGGCAACAGAGAGAAACTCAATCTAAAAAAAAAAAAAAAAAAAAAAAAATTAGTTAATATGGTCACACAGTATAAGTAGCAGAGTATGGATTTCTTAGCATTTTGATCAAGGAACTTCTGAATCCACTTGGTTGATGCTAATGGATTCTAGGCAATTCTAAGACATGACAGATGAGCCTGGAGCGGTGGCCAGGCTCATCTTGGGAGGCCAAGGTGGGCGGATTGCTTGAGCCCAAGGAGTTTGAGACCAGGCTCGACATCATGTTGAAAACCTGTCTCTTTAAATACAAAAATTAGCTGGTTTGGGAGGACGAGGCGGGCGAATTGCCTGAGCTCAGGAGTTCGAGACCAACCTGGGCAACATGGTGAATCCTTGTCTGTACTAAAATACAAAAAATTGGCCAGGGTGGTGGCCCACTCCTGTATTCCCAGCTTCTCGGAGGCTGAGGCACGGGAATTGCTTGAACCCGGGAGGTGGAGGTTGCAGTGAGCTGAGATCATGCCACTACATTCCAATGTGGGCAACAGAGTGAGACTCTGTCTCAAAAAAAGAAAAAAAAAAGTGACAGATGGATTAAAATCCCTTCCATTGTTATTACTGCATTCCTGTATGACTGAATGAAGAGTTTCAAAAAGCCTTATAATGCTGCTCTAAAGCATTATTTGCCATTTGTTGGGTCCCAGCAGTGTTCCTGTTATGTCTTCACATACTGAGGTAGGGGCAGGGGCTGGTCTGCCCCCTTTGCAGTCAACTTTGCAGACTTTGGTTGACCTGCATTGTGATCATTATCAGCCTGGCCATGATGGACGAAAAGCTAATAGAATCAATGATCTTTTCAGTTACGAAAACCACCATAAAAACAATAGTCTTGACTTGCATTTCAATGCAAAGCTTTAATAGATAAGTTGTAAAAGAGCCTTATATGGATTTATTTAAGTGACTTTTAAGCTAGAATGTTTACATATTTATGCTTTTCCCAGCTCTTTGCAAGATGCTGTAGAAAAAATTAAAGAAAATATTGCTTTATTTTGTTCCCCAATTTGGGAGCTATGGTGATCAGAAGGACAATAAATGAATGTCAAGCTTTGGATAATACAGACTAAAAGTGCAATGTGAATTTAGATAAAGGAATTTAGATTGCTTTGAAATGAGCTTAATCAGGTTACTTAATATCTTTGGGCCTTAGTTGCCTTATTTGTAAAATCAGAATAATTAATTTCCAGTACTGTCATGAGATGTAAGTGAAATAATATATGTAAAATAATTAGCAGAGCACTGACTTGTAGTTATAAATAAACAAATATGGGCTGCAATTATTATAAGTATTAAAGAAGCAGGTGCTAACCAGAGCAGTGTAGGGTAAACTCTAGATATCCATACAAAAGCTTTCCCCCACACCTTGTCTCTTTTTTTTAAATTATTATTATACTTTAAGTTCTGGGATACATGTGCAGAGTGTGCAGTTTTGTTACACAGGTATACATGTGCCATGGTGGTTTGCTGCACCCATCAACCTGTCACCTACATTAGGTATTTCTCCTAATGTTATCCCTCCTCTAGGCCCCCACCCCATGACATACCCCAGTGTGTGATGTTCCCCTCCCTGTGTCCATGTGTTCTCATTGTTCAACTCCCACTTATGAGTGAGAACATGGGATGGTTGGTTTTCTCTTCTTGTGTTAGTTTGCTGAGAATGATGGTTTCCAGCTTCATCCTTGTCCCTGCAAAGGACGTGAACTCATCCTTTTTTATGGCTGCCTAGTATTCCATGGTGTATGTGTGCCACATTTTCTTTATCCAGTCTATCATCAATGGACATTTGGGTTGGTTCCAAGTCTTTGCTATTGTGAATAGTGCCACAATAAACATACGTGTGCATGTGTCTTTATAGTAGCATGATTTATAATCTCTTGGGTATATACCCAGTAATGGGATCGCTGAGTCAAATGGTATTTCTAGTTATAGATTCTTGAGGAATTGCCACACTGTCTTTCACAATGGTTGAACTAATTTACACTCCCACCAACAGTGTAAAAGTGTTCCTATTTCTCCACATCCTCTCCAGCATCTGTTGTTTTCTGACTTTTTAATGACCACCGTTCTAACTGTTGTGAGACCTTATCTCTTATTTCATGCTTACCTGTCTTGCAACTTCCACTTCAATTATGCTGGGTGAACTAGACCGTAATCTACTGCTTCTCTGTGCTGTGTCTCATGTTGCTTCCTCCTGTGGAAGTGCCCCTTCCATGATGTAGCACTCCAAGCACCTCAGTCTTTCTCGAACCCTCCCACTGATCACCTTCCCTTCTTTGCTATTTCACTGTATTTTTCAAATATTACTAAAGGTGCCTATAGCATGAATCTATAGTTTGAATATTTGTCTCCTCCTAAACTCATGCTGAAGTTTAATCCCCAGTGTGTCAGTACTGAGAGGTGGAGACTTTAAGAGGTGATTGGGTCATGAAGGCTTTGCCCTCATGAATGGATAAATTCATTAATGGAATAATAGATTAATGGGTTAATGGATTAATATGGTATCATGGGAGCAGGACTGGTGGCTTTGTAAGAAGAGGAAGAGAGACCTGAGTAACCACGTGAGGATGCTCAGCTCCTTCCGCATATGATGCCCTCCATTGCCTTGGGACTCTGCAGAGAGTCCCCACCAGCAAGAAGATCCTCACCAGATGTGGTCCCTTGACCTTGGACTTCTCAGGCTCCATAATCATGAGAAATAAACTCCTTTTCTTTATAAATTATCCAGTTTTAGATACTCTCTTATATGAAACAGAAATGAACTAGGACAGAAAATTGGAATTGAGAGTAGGGTGGTGCTGATAATGAATACCTGAAAAGGTAAAGGTGGCTTTTGAACTGGGTAATGGGCAGAGGCTGGAAGAATTTGGAGAAGCAGTCTAGAAAAAAACCTGCATTCTGATAAGGGCTTAGAATTGGCTAGTTTGAATAATTTCAACGGGCTCCCAGGGTCTCAGTGGACTCCTAGAAGACTAGGGAAAGTTTGGAACTCCTTGGAGACTGGTTCAGTGGTCATGACCTGAATGAAATCTGGATAGTAAAGGCCATTCTAATGAGGTTTCAGATGGAACTCAGGAGCAAGGTATTGAAAATGGTAGTAGCTGGGTGTGGTGGCTCACGCCTATAATCCCAGCACTTTGGGAGGCCAAGGCTGGTGGATTTCCTGAGTTCACAGGTTTGAGACCAGTCTGGGCAACATGGCAAATCCTTGTTTCTACAAAAAATACAAAAACTTGTTGGGTGCGATGGGGCATGCCTGTAGTCCAAGCTATTTGGGAGGCTGAGGTGGGAGGATGGCTTGAGCCTGGGGTTGCAGTGAGTGAGGTTGCAGTCTAAGTGACAGAGCCAGACGTTGTCTCAAAAAAAAAAAAAAAAAAAAAGAAAAGAAAGAAAACTGTAATAAAAGCTATCCTTCTTTCCTTGTTATAAACTGGCAAATAACTTGGCTGAACTGTGTCCATGGCCAAGGGCTTTGTGGAAGGCTGAACTTGAGATTGATGAATTAGGGTAGCTGGCAGAAGAAATATCCAAGCAGCAAAACATTCAGGCTTCTGCCTGGCTGCTTTTAATTGCTTATGCTAAGCTGCAAGAGGGAAAATATGACTTGAAGATGGAATTTATGATCAAAAGAGAAGCAAAGTAGAAAGATTTGGAAAGCTCAGCCAGACCATGTAAAGGGTGAAAAAGCATGTTCAGGAGAGGAAACCAAGGGTATAGTCCAGCTACATTTGCCAAAGAGATTAGCATGGATAGAAGGGAGCCAGGTGCTATTTTTTAAGACAGTGGGAGACAGACCCTGAAGGCATTTCACAGATCTTTGAGTCTGCCCCTCCCATCACAGGCCATCACAGGCCCACAGGCCTATAAGGGCACAGTGATTTCAAGGGAGGTACCCAATGCACACTCCACAGGCTTGCTGCCCTGGGCCACCTTGGAACTCTGCTCCCAAATTCTGGTGCAGTGTTTCTTGGCCACTCTAACTGGAGTTCAAATGGCCTGAGGTGTTAAGTAAGCCTTGGCAGTGTCCATGTGGTGCTAATTCTGCAGGCTTGCAGAAAGCAAGAGCTGTGGAGGCTTGTCAGCCTTCAGCCAGATTTCAAGGAATGTTGCTAAAGCCTGGGAGCCCAGGCAGAGACCTGTTGCCGGGGCAGAGCCACTGCAGAAAGCCCCCACTAGAGCAATGCCAGAGTGAAAACGTGATGTTGGAGCTGCCACAGAGTCCTCACCTGGGCAATGCCTAGTAGAGCTGTGGAAGTGAGGCCACTACAGAAAGTCCCCACTGGAGCAATTACCTAGTGGAGCCATGGGAGCCAGACAGCCATCAGGACCCCAGAACTGTTGAACCACAGGCAGCATGCAATCAGTGTCTGGGAAAATTACAGGTACTGGACTCTAACCCTTATGAGCAGCCATGTGGACTGCTCCAAGTAAAGCCATAGGGATGGGACTGCCTTAGGCCCTGGGGGCCTAATCCCCACCTCAGTCTCTCCAGGAAGTAGCACATGATAACAAGAGATTATTTTCCAGCTTTGAGGTCTGCCCTGCTGGGGTTTGGACTTTCTTGGGGCCCATTACTCCTTTATCCTGGCCTATTTTTTCCTTTTGCCATGGGAATGTTTACTCTATGCCTGTCTCACCATTGTATCCTGGCAGTAAATAACTTGTTTTGATTTCAAAGACTCATAGATGAGGCTCTGGAATTTAGACTTTTGAGTTGGTGCTGGAAGTAGTTTAGACTTTGGGACTATGAGGATGGAATGAATGTATTTGTATAGGAGGAGGACGTGAGTTTTGGGGGGGCTGGTAAAAGAATGCTATGGTTTGAGTATTTGTCCCCTCCAAAAGTCATGTTAAAATTTAATCCTCAACGTGGCAGCATTGAGAGGTGGGGACTTTAAGAGATGATTGGGTCATGAAGGCTCTGCCCTCATGTATGGATAAATCCACTAGTAGATTAATGGAATAATGAATTCATGGGTTATCATGGGAGTAGGACTTTATAAGAAGAGACAGTGAGACTTGAGCAGACATCATCATGTGATGCCCTTTGCTCCCTCAGGACTCTGCAGAGAGTCCCTACTAACGAGAAAGCCCTCACCAGATGTGGCCCTTCAACCTTGGACTTAGACTCCATAACTGTAAGAAATAAATTTCTTTTCTTTGTAAATTACCCAATTTAAGATATCTTGTTATAAGCAACAGAAAACGGACTTAGACACGTACTCTTTCACATTCTTATTTAAGTGTCTGCTTTCTCTTACTGGACTGTAAGTTCTCTGATGGCAAGGACTCTATCCCTCTGTGTCCCCAGTGTGAAACAAACACTTGTGAAGTAGGTGCAAAAATGCTGTAGAAGCCCAATTTTTAGCAGGAGAAACCTGGATATCTGGATATAATCTGAGAAATAATAGGGCTTCTTAATTAGGGGACTATGTGATGATCACAGTGTATGTAAAGTTTTGTTTTTCTGGAGGTGCATGTTATGGGTGAGATGGGAACTGTTAAGTGGGGAGGCTAGTTTTATGGTGAGAGCCTGGATTTGGCAATGGAAATTGACAAGGGATCAATCTGGGATACTCTGTTGAAGAAACTACTACATAGGATCAAATGAGAGGAAAGAGCCAGATGTCCCTCTGTTATGGAGGCCAATGGCTGGCTTGTGTCCTGGCTTTGTCACCCTTTGGTTGTGCAACTTTGGGAAATTTACCTAGATTTCTGTGCTTCAGTTTCCTGAGCTCCAAAATGGGAGTAAAAGCTACTGTGGAAGTTGATGAAATGAAGCGGTCTTTAAAGCCAACA
Source organism: Homo sapiens (assembly GCF_000001405.40). Classification (NCBI taxonomy): domain Eukaryota; kingdom Metazoa; phylum Chordata; class Mammalia; order Primates; family Hominidae; genus Homo; species Homo sapiens. The sequence goes on from NC_000012.12 coordinate 19,667,594, forward strand.
GGGTCTAACACTTAATAGGTGCTATATAAGTTAATCTAAGCCTATTTTGAAAGAGTTTGTATTATCTTTTGGAAATTATATGGGGATAATGCAAACATTTGTGTGTGTGTGTGTGTAGAGAGAGTGGGTGGGGCTGGAGGACCAGATATGCTAGCTTGTAATATTCTAGGAAACTAATTATCTGAGATAATTTATTTAAATTTGGGGCGATTTTGGTGCCATAAATGCCAGGATAAATGTATATATGAGCTGCATAAATACTATGGAGAAGGAGGTGGCTAAGCCTAGTGTGGTGGGGTATGAGATGAAGGGGAAGGAGTTGGAGCAGAAATAAAAGTTTAAAAACAATACTATGGAGATCTTAAAAGAATTTTTTTGTTTAAAAAAAAAACAGTAAACAGTACATCACAACTGAGGATCTCCAGGACCACTCAAAAAGTGTTCTGTGAATCTTTCAAATCAATAGCACTACTTACTCCAGATAAAGGCGTGAAAGGACCTCAAGGTGACAGAGTTCTGTTAACAGCGAGAGAGCAGCATGGTCAAAGGCAGTGGATAGATAATCTGGAATTTTCCAGGATGGCAAGAGGATAAATGAATTTTAATTTTAATAAATGGAAATTGGGACAGAGAGAGTAGGTGGTTAGAAAAGACTTTCTTTAAGAAAAATTTACTTTAAATATTTACAAAATATTTAAAACATATTTTGTTTTAAATTGAAGGTTAGGGGACTTTTCTATATGTTTCTTTTTAGGTTTCCGTTAAGAATTGTCTGAATTCTGATATTTGGATTGTTTGATTATTCCACATGGAATTGTGTGTTAGGGTAAGACTTTTTAACTTAAGCACATAAAGAACCTTTGATTGCCACTCCGAGAGGTTCAAGATGAAGAGTAAAGTTTCAGAAAATATTGATTTGGTTTCTACTTCTTTGAATCTTTATGTCTACTTCTACAATCCTCATTATTAATTAGCTTCAGAAGTGGTTTTGCCTAAGAACCTGAAAATGGTCTCTCTGTTTATACATTTTCTAATTAGAAATATATATATGGACATACATACTATGTATAATAATATACACAGTATGTGTATCTATATTCATATATAAGTATATATATAATAGACTATACTTATATAGTCTATATGTATATAGATTTATATATACATCAACCAATTATGTACAGATAGAACATCTTGACTACTAAGATGTCAACTCTCCTTTTTCCTTCCTTTTTTCCTCCTTCCCTTCCACTGTATGAAAAATATTCTTTCATATCAGTAAAGGTAAAGGTATATTATTTCTGATGTCACAGTTGCTTTAGATAATTCTAAACAGCTGATACAGATACCTTCTTTACCATGACATAGAATGACGAATGGGAATTGGTAATTGACAAGATTACAAATACTCTAATTTTTTTAAATAAAAAAATGTAATAGCAATAGCTATTCTGAATTGTAGCAGGTAAGAGATCCTGCTGATTACAATGGAGGGTTAGTGTCACCATTCTGACTTTCTGGAGAGGTCCTGTCTCCTCAGGTACGTCCTGTCTGCCTCAGTCATCATGGGACAGAGAACCTCCTTGGGTTCTAGGGATCCTCCAGATCAAGGACTCTTAATCTGGTACATCAGAAAGACCTTGAACTCCATAAAGTTAATGCAAATATTACAGCTACTTTATTGTGGTAAAATACTTATAACATGACATCTACCCTCTTAACAAAATTTTAACTATAAGCATAATGTCGTACAGCAGATATTTAGAACTTTTTCATCTTGTACAACTGAAACTTTACACCCATTGAACAGCAACTCCCTACTTCCACCTCCCTCCACCTTTTGCAACCATCATTCTACTTTTTGTTTCTGTGAGTCCGACTACTTTAAAAACCTCATATAAATGAAATCATGCAGTCTTGTCCTTCTGTGACTGGCTGATTTCAGGTAGCATGATGTCCACTTTTGTGGAAAACAGTATGGAGGTTCTTCAAAAAATTAAAAAACAGAACTACCATCCAGCATTCCCATTTCTGGGTGTTTATCCAAAAGAACTGAAATCAGGATTTGGAAGAGATATTTGAACTCCCATGTTCATTGCAGCATTACTTGCAACAGTCAAAAGGTGGAAAGCACCTTAATGTCTATTGATTGATGACTGAATAAAGAAAATTTGATACATGCATACAATGGAATATTACTTATCCATACAAAGAAGGAAATCCTGTCACATACTATCACATGAATTATAGCCATGCCTTAAGGGAAAATTCTGTGGGAAACTTAGCTCTCTATCACATTCTGGAAGGAATCTGCCATACAAACAAAGTTAAACATCACTGCATTAAGGCATGCCTAACAATGAACAAATTCAAAGAAGTTAAACTTGACTTACTTTGTCATTTCATGTTTGGGCCTGCTCCAGATAATTAATGTGCTCATGACACTCTCCCTGCCCAACTTTTAAAAGGTCTTTTTCTGTAGGTGATTACTCCAGTCTGGTCTTGCTAGGTAGAGCTCCAGTGGGGACACTAACATCCTATCTCTTTTTTTTTGAGACCAAGTCTCGCTCTGTCACCCAGGTTGGAGTGCAGTGGCACAATCTTGGCTCACTGAAACCTCCGCCTCCTGGGTTCAAGCGATTCTTCTGCCTCAGTCTTCCGAGTAGCTGGGACTACAGGCGCCCGCCACCACGCCCGGATAATTTTTGTATTTTTTTTAGTAGAGACAGGGTTTCACCATATGGGCCATGCTGGTCTTGAACCCCTGACCTCGCGATCTGCCTGCCTTGGCCTCTCAAAGGGCTGGGCTTATAAGCATGAGCCACTGCACCCGGCTACTTGCATCCTATCTTATGGAAACATACTTATTCTATTTTCTCAGCACACTATTCTTTGCTAGGGAAATGCAAATAAACTGAGCTGACATGTCATGGTTTGTCTTTCTCAGATGTGAGTATTTCTTCAGGGAATTTCAATGACCTAAACGGATAAAAGCAGACAGTAGAGATTTGGGGCTCAAGAGCAAGTTAGAGTGGTAGATAAGGCTGTAACAGTGACATTCTTCTCAACTCTTCTAAAGAAGTCATCGAACATGTGCCTTCTCTATATGCAAGACTGATCTACCTACTTAAAAAAGAAGAAAATAATCCATTGGACAATGCCATATAAGATTATTTTTTTGCATCTTTAAGAAAGTCTTCTTAAAATTAATGGTTTTTTTTTGGTAGGAAATGTAGCCATTAAAATAATTGCCTTTCTTAGTACCAAAGTCTCAATAGTTAAAGATTAAGGGTTCTGTTGGTTTTTCTTCTCTGTAAGATCTTGTGGCAGATTTCAGTCACATATGACTGAAGAATAAATAATAAATCTTGGATGAAAGTTTAATTTTTTTCAAAACAGGACACTTCTCATGGTCCTAATTATTTTTGAAGCCATTCTCTATTAACATTATGACAAGGATTTGGTAGTGGGAAAAGAAGTTCCAAACTTGTGTGACACATAGCTCCCATCTGGCTTTTAGTAAGTTTTTTTTTTTTTTTTTAAAGGTGTCTTGGTCCATTGTGCTGCTATAATAGAATACATGAGACTTGACAATTTAAAATGAACAGATATTTATCGGCTCAGAGTTCTGGAGGCTGGGAAGTACAATATCAAGATGCTGGCTGTTTGCGAGGGTCTTCTTGCTACATCATTTCATGGCAGAAGGTGAGAGGATGAGAGAGAGCAAGAGGGGGCTGAACTTGCCCTTTTATAATGGCACCAATTCCACCCATGACGGTGGAACTCTCCTGGCCTAAACACCTTTGAATGGTCCCACATCATTAAAGCTGTTATAATAGCAATTAAATTTCAACATGAGTTTTGGAGGAGCAAACATTGAAACTATAGTGTAAAGGAGACCTTACCCTTTTATATAATCCTTAGTAAAACTTGTGTAATTCATGTGATGGAGACTGCTAATATCTGGTTATATTGGGAAGCTTGGATATTTCCTATACATTTTAAGTATTGGATAAACTTAAGAATATTCTGTATAGGATACTTTCTCCTTGGAATCTAAATCATTTTTCTGATTTAGAAACTAAGGAGAAGCCTGTAGTCATTGGCTTAAAAATTGATTACAAATGAATTTGTAGAAATAGTACTTCCCATCCCAACTTCACTTCTATTTTACATCAGTTTTCTTTTTTTTACATAACAGATGTGACATTTAAATATTTCTCTAATGTTATGGCATAATGAACTTTGTCAAAGAGCCATATGGTTTATGCAAACACAAAGATAATCTTGGAACATTGACATATGTAAGCTTAATTTAAAAAGTCTGTGAAAATAGTGAAAAGCAGATGGAGAGTTGCCATGGAAATTACTAACACTTAGAGGAAGAAAAATATTACTTTAGGGTCATTGTGATTTCTAAAGGAATGGTCAGACTTGCAAAATTGTTTTCCTACCCAATTGTCAGTAATAAAAACAGATATTGGCAGGTAAATATATTTTTTATTTATCTATGATTTTATGATTTCACTGCATTCTGAATATATTACAGGTATGCACATTTTTATTGGTAAAGACTTTTAGTAGTGGAAGAAAATCTAACTATTTACCACTACTTTAAATAAGAAATGTTCTTTTCAATTTTTCTGAATGAAAGTACAAGTTGTGACTTATTAGTTTTTGTTCTCCTTATGTAGGTTTTTATCTTGATATAAGATAAAATTAGTATCAGAATGACATAGTCTTTAAAGGAAGATGACTAAAATTTGCTCTTATAGATTAATTGTACCAATTGTAAAAAATAGAGAGAAGTCTAGATAGCTCAATAAAAGTAATGAAAAAACCTTTTAGGCCAGATTCTTTATTAGAAATTATAATTGGTAGACACTGCTCTTTACCATAGCTTAGTCATAGAGAAAGTTTAAAAATCTCAATAGGAAGTCATTTGCACTGCTCATTTTGTACCAGCAATTATTTATCACCTGATTGGTTTATATATTCATTTCCATGAACTTTCGAAAAGTCAGTAACTAAACTCTAATTCTTTCTCTTTTCTTCTGAGGCAATTTCAGTTGCTGTGGTTCTCATGGAATAGACTAATCAAAAGTGGGAAGGAATTAAAGTTGGGGCCAGGCGGTTTTGGAACATCGACATAACATTTGGTAAAATGTGAAGCTGAATTAACGCTGTTTTTGATGTTGAAAATGAAATATCAAGAATAAAGGGATAAATATCTATGATTCCAACCTGTAGGAAATCATAAAAACTTGTTTCTTTGCAAAACACTAAAATTATACAATAAGATTCAATGGGAATTTAAAATGAGGATGCTGGGATCAACTAATGCAGATGGATTAGCATTTAAGTTGTTTTTTTCTTTGTTCTTTCTTTCCTTTCCTTTTTTTTTTTTTAAAGATTTGGATGGCAAATCGTCTTTCTGCAATTGTTTTATGGCTGCCATTGCAATTAAGAAATGGAAAATAAATTTCTGAAATCCAACAAAGTCTGATCTTATCAGCATCAGAACCATGTATGGAAAAATCCTCATAAGTGGAGCGGTTGAACCTTGGAAATATATCAGCCTTCGAAAATTGCAGCTGGAGACATCTGTCATTTGTGAGAGTGAAGGTTTAGTTGGCTTCATACCTGAGCTAGGGGTTCTTGAGATCCCGCATTTGTTTTAGGCGAAGAGAAATCAGTGTTTCTCTCTTGTGAAATGCTTTGGATGTTTGAGGAAAAATACACGTTTATTGAAGTATAACAAATATACAGAAAAGTGTACAGACCACAGGTCATAGTTTTATCAATTTCCACAAAGGAAGTTACTAATACCCTGAAAAATAAATACACTATGATTAGAAGCCCAAAGTCCATTCTGGTATAACCATCCAGTCTTTACAGCCCCAAATGTAACCACCACCTTGACTTTTTTTTTTTTTTAAGATGGAGTTTTGCTCTGTTGCCCAGGCTGGCGTGCAATGGTGTGATCTCGGCTCACTGCAACCTCCACCTCCTGGGTTCAAGCAATTCTTCTGCCTCAGACTCCTGAGTAGCTGGGATTACAGGTGTGTGCCACCATGCCCAGCTAATTTTGTATTTTTAGTAGAGATGGGTTTCACCATGTTGGTCAGGCTGGTCTCAAACTCCTGACCTCAGATGATCCGCCCACCTCGGCCTCCCAAAGTGCTGGGATTACAAGCGTGAGCCACTGTGCTGGGCCCATCTTGACTTCTAAACTGTGGAATAGTTTTGCCTGATTCTGGAATTTATATAAATGTAACCAAAGAGGATATACTTTTTGGGTCTGTCTCTGTTAGCTGAACATTATGTTTGTAAGATTTATTCCTGGTGTTGCATGTAGCAAATCGGTGTCATCCTCACTGCTCTATAGTACTAACTATTCTGTTGTATGAAAAGTCCACAATTTTTCATTAATATTAACAATGTTCCTATAAACATTCTTATATATGTTTTTTAGGGAAGATAGAGACACATTTGTGTGTGTGCGTGTGTGTGTGTCTGTGTGTATATATACCAAGGAGTGGAACTGCTGGAGCATATGGTAATCATTTCTAGTGGAAACTGCTGAATAGTTTTTCCCAAGAAGTTTTATGTGAATTCCACCTGCTTTTCATCCTTGTCAACTCTTGGTACTGTCATTTTTATTTTTACCCTTAATGGCAGATGGTCGTGGTGTCTCATTCTTGTTTCAGCTGAAGAAGCTGAGTGCCTTTAGATATGTTTACTGGCCCTTTGGATATCCTCTTTTGCAAAGTGTCTGTTCAAGTTTCTTGGCCAGTTTTTCTATTGGATTGTCTGTATTTTTCTTATTGATTTTAGGAGTTCTCTTGTATTCTGAATCGGAGCCTTTTGTCAGTAAGATGTATGGAAACATCTTCCACTCTGGGGCTTAACTTTTTACTTCTTAGTGATGTCTTTGATGAACAGACGTTATTAATTTTAACATAATATAATTGATCAATTTTTGTTTATTTTATGGTTAGTCCCTTTTAAATTCTGTTTAATAAATCTGTTTAATAAATTTTATATTTTTTGTTTTTTATAAATTTTATTAAAATATTCTTTTATGATTTATTCCAGAAGCCCTATTTTTTTAAACAAATTTAATTGATATATAATAATTATACAGTCAGGTGTGGTGGCTCATGCCTGTAATACCAGCACCTTGGGAGGCTGAGGCGGGCAGATTACTTGGGCCTAGGAGTTCAACATGGTGAAACCCCATCTCTACAAAAAATACAAAAATTAGCCGAGTATGGTAGCATGTGTCTGTAGTCCTAGCTACTTGGGAGGCTGAGGTGGGAGGATCACTGGAGCCTGGGAGGTCGAGGCTGCAGTGAACCGAGATCTCAGCACTGCACCACAGCCTGGGCAACAGAGCAAGACCTTGTCGCAACAAAAATAGTTATACATATTTTTGGGGTACCTGTGATATTTTGATACATGTATACAATGTGTAACAATCAGGGTAACTGGGATATCCATCACCTCAAACATTTATCTTTTCTTTGTGTCGGGAATATTATAATTATCTTCTAGCTATTTTGATATGTACAATAAATTATTCTTAATTGTAATTTCCCTACTGTACTATTGAATGTTAGAACTTATTCCTACTATTTAACTGCACTTTTGTACCTATTAACTAACTTCTTTTTATGCCCCCTTCTCCCTTCCCTTCCCAGCCCCTGGTAACCAGCATTCTATCCTCTACTGCCATGGGATCCACTTTTTTAGCTCCCACAGATGAATGAGAACATGTGATATTTGACTTTCTGTGCGCCAAGAAGCTCAGTTTTTTAGCTTTCACATATAGATAGATCTACAGTATATCTGGAACTGGTATTTGCATATGAGGTGAGGCAGAAGCTCAAGATTCACATTTTCCCCTGTGGTTACCCAACTGATTCATATCCAGTTGACCCAGCAACACTGACTAAAAAGAATATCCTTTTCCTAACTAATCGTGTGTTACTTTAATCATACATCAAGTGGACTCTTTTCTTTTCCATTGACTAATATCTATCCTTTCACTAATTCTCTTAATTACTGCAGCAATGTAATAAGTCTTGATACCTGAAAGTGAAAGACTAACTGTTCTTTGTATTACTATACAAATATTTGAACCAGCTTGTTAAATTTATTAAACAAAATTTAGCTGGGATTTGGACTGGGATTGCACTGAATTTATAGATCAATTTGGGAGAAAATGATAATTTTACAATATTGAGTCTTCTAATTTATGAATATAATATCTCTCTCCCAATAATTTTAGTTATTTTTTATTTTATTTATTTTATTTTTGGGGACAGGGTCTTGCACTGTCACCCAGGTTGGAGTACAGTGGCACAATCATCTCTCACTGCAATCTTAACCTCCTGGGCTCAATCAATTCTCCTACCTCAGCCTTCCAAGTAGCTAGGACTACAAACGTGTGCCAGTAGGCATGGCTAATTTTTGTTTGTTTGTTTGTTTGTTTTGGAGAGATGGGGTTTCGCTATGTTGCCCAGGCTGTTCTCAAACTCCTGGTCTCTAGCAATCTGTTCACCTTGGCCTCCCAAAGTGCTGGGATTATAGGCATGAGCCACCATGCCCAGCCAACATTTTGTATTTTTTTGGAGTAGAGATGTTACACTTCACTCATTAGATTTATTTCTAAGTACTTGATGATTTATTCCAGAATAAATTATTTATTTATTCATTTTTGTGATAAAGTGACTTGTATTTAGTAAAATTCTCATGAATGCGCTATCAAGTTCCATATAGCAGTACGGTTACCCAGCCAATTCTGGAATGCAGAAAAACTTGGAGTATGTCAGTTGTGTCTTTTCCCAATCTTCTGTTTTTACAACAGAAGCAGAAGAGGAGGGATTGTAGGGTAATCTTCTTTATTTTTATATTTATTTTTCCATAGGTTATTGGGGTACAGGTTGTATTCGGTTACATGAATAAGTTCTTTAGTGGAGCTTTGTGAGATTTTGGTGCACCCATCACCCGAGCAGTGTACACCGTATCCTATTTGTAGTCTTTTATCCCTCGCCCTGCTCCCACCGTTCCCTTCAAGTCCCCAAAGTCCATTGTATCATTCTATGCCTTTGCGTCCTCATAGCTTAGCTCCCACATATCAGTGAGAACATACGGTGTTTGATTTTCCATTCCTGAATTACTTCACTTAGAATAATAGTCTCCAGTCTCAACCAGGTCACTGCAAATGCTGTGAATTCTTTCCTTTTTATGGCTGAGTAGTATTCCATCATTCTTCTACATGTGGCTAGCCATTTGTTGAAAAGGGTGTCCTTTCCCCACTTTATGTTTTTGTTTGTTTTGTCGAAGATCAGTTGGCTGTAAGTATTTGGGTTTATTTTTGGGTTCTCTATTCTGTTCCATTGGTCTATGTGCCTATTTTAATATTAGTACCACACTGTTTTGGTGACTATAGCCTTATAGCATAGTGTGAAATCAGGTAGTGTGATGCCTTCAGATTTGTTCTTTTTGCTTAGTCTTGCTTTGGCTATGCAGGCTCTTTTTTGGTTTCATATGACTTTTAGAATTGTTGTTTCTAATTCTGTGAAGTATAATGGTGGTATTTTGATGGGGATTGTGTTGAATTTGTGGATTGCTTTTGGCAGTATGGTCATTTTCACAATATTGATTCTACCCATTCATGAGCATGGGATGTGTTTCCATTTGTTTGTGTCATCTATGATTTCTTTCAGCAGTGTTTTGTAGTTTTCCTCATAGTGGTCTTTTGCCTCCTTGGTTAGGTATATTCCTAAGTATTTTATTTTATTTTTTGCAGCTATTGTAAAAGGAGTTGAGTTCTTGATTTGACTCTCCACTTGGTCGCTGTTGGTGTATAGAAGAGCTATTGATTTGTGTACATTAATCTTGCATCTGGAAACTTTGCTGAATTCTTTGATTTGTTCTAGGAACTTTCCAGAGGAGTCCTTAGGGCTTTCAAGGTAAACGATCATATCACCAGCAAACAGTGACAATTTGACTTCCTCTTTACCAGTTTGGATGCCCTTTATTTCTTTCTCTTGTCTGATTGCTCTGGCTAGGACTTCTAGTACTATGTTGAAGAGGAGTGGTGAGAGTGGGCATCCTTGTCTTGTTCCGGTTCTCTGAGGGAATGCTTTCAACTTTTCCCCATTCAGTATTATGTGGCTGTGGGTTTGTCATAGATGGCTTTTATTACATTGAGGTATGTCCCTTGTATGCCAATTTTGCTGCGAGTTTTAATCATAAAGGAATGCTGGATTTTGTCAAATGCTTTTTTTGCATCTTTAAGATGATCGTGTGATTTTTGTTTTTAATTCTGTTTATGTGGTGTATCACATTTATTGACTTGTGTATGTTAAACCATCCCTGCATCCGTGGTATGAAACCCACTTGATCATGGTGCATTATCTTTTCGACATGTTATTGGATTAGTTAGCTAGTATTTTGTGAAGGATTTTAGCATCTATGTTCATCAGGGACATCAGTCTGTAGTTTTCTTTTTTGGTTATGTCCTTTCCTGGTTTTGGTATTAGGGTAATGCTGGCTTCATATAATGAAATAGGGAGAGTTCCCTCTTTCTCTATCTTGTGGAATAGTGTCAAAAGGATTGGAACCAATTCTTCTTTGAATGTCTGGTAGAATTCTGCTGTGAATCCATCTGGTCCCGAACTTTTTTTTGTTGGTAATTTTTTAATTACCATTTCAATCTCACTGCTTGTTATTGGTCTGCTCAGGGTATCTAATTCTTCCTGATTTAAGGTAGGAGGGTTGTATTTTTCCAGGAATTTATCCACCTCTTCTAGGTTTTCTAGTTTATGTGGGTAAAGGTATTCATAGTAGCCTTGAATGATCTTTTGTATTTCTGTTGTGTCAGTTGTAGTATCTCCTGTTTTGTTTCTTACTGAGGTTATTCGGATTTTCTCTCTTTTTTTCTTGGTTAATCTTGCTAATGGTCTATCAATTTTATTTATCTTTTCGAAGAACCAGCTTTTTGTTTCATTTACCTTTTGTATTTTTTTGTTTCAATTTCATTTTATTCTGCTCTGATCTTGGTTATTTCCTTTCTTCTGCTGGGTTTGGATGTGGTTTGTTCTTGTTTCTCTAGTTCCTTGAGGTGTGACCTTAGAGTGTCAGTTTGTGTTCTTTCAGTTTTCTTGATGTAGGCCCTTAGGGCTGTGAACTTTCCTTTTAGCACTGCGTTTGCTGTATCCCAGAAGTTTTGATAGGTTGTGTCATTGTCATTCAGTTTGAAGAATTTTTAAATTTCCATCTTGATTTTGTTTTTGGCCCAATGATCACTCAGGATCAGGTTATTTTATTTTCATGTATTTGCATGGTTTTCAAGGTTCCTTTTAGAGTTGATTTCCAGTTTTATTTCACTGTGGTCTGAGAGAGTGCTTGATATAATCTCAATTTTCTTAACTTTATTGAGGCTCATTTTGTGGCCTATCATATGGTCTATCTTGGAGAAAGTTCCATGTGCTGTTGAATAGAATGTGAATTCTGCAGTTGTTGAAAGAAATGTTCTGTATATATCTGTTAAGTGCATTTGTTCCAAGGCAGAGTTTAAATCCATTGTTTCTTTGTTGACTTTCTGTCCTGATGACCTGTCTAGTGCTGTCAGTGGTGTATTGAAGTCCCCCACTATTATTGTATTGCTGTCTGTCTCCTTTCTTAGGTCTATTAGTAATTGTTTTATAAATTTGGGAGCTCCAGTGTTAGGTGCATATATGTTTAGGATTGTGATATTTTCTTGTTGGACAAGGCCTTTTACTGTTATATAATGTGTCTTTAAACCACTGTTGCTTTAAAGTTTTTTTTTTTCTAATACAAGAATAGCTACCCCTGCTCACTTTTGGTGTCCATTTTCATGAAATGCCTTTTTCCATCCCTTTACTTTAAGTTTATGTGAGTCCTTTTGTGTTAGGTGAGTCTCCTGCAGGCAGCAGATAGTTGGTTGGTGAGTTCTTATCCATTCTGCAGTTCTGTATCTTTTAAGTGGAGCATTTAGGCCATTTATGTTCAATATTAGTATTGAGATGTTAGGTACTGTTGCATTCATTCTACTATTTGTTGCCTGTGTACCTTGGTTTTTTTGTTTGTGCTTTTTAACTTGTATTTTTGTTTTATAGGTCCTGTGTGATTTATGCTTTAAAGAGGTTCTGTTTTGATGTGTTTCCAGGATTTGTTTGAAGATTTAGAGCTCCTTTTAGCAGTTCTTGTAGTGGTGGCTTGGTAGTGGTGAATTCTCTCAGCATTTGTTGGTCTGAAAATGACTGTATCTTTCTTTCATATATGATGCTTAGTTTCACTGGATACAAAATCCTTGGCTGATAATTGTTTCGTTTGAGGAGGCCAAAGATAGGGCCTCAATCCCTTCTAGCTCGTAGAGTTTCTGCTGAGAAATCTGCTGTTAATATGATAGGTTTTCTTTTATAGGTTACCTGGTATCTTTGTCTCACAGCTCTTAAGATTCTTTCCTTCATTTTAACTTTAGATAACCTGATGACAATGTGCCTAGGCAATGACCTTTTTTTGATGGATTTCCCAGGTGTTCTTTATGCTTCTTGTATTTGGATGTCTAGGTCTCTAGCAAGGCTGGGGAATTTTTCCTCAATTATTCCCCTAAATATGTTTTCCAAACTTTCAGATTTCTCTTCTTCCTCAGGAACACCATTTATTCTTAGGTTTGGTCATTTAACATAATCTCAGACTTCTTGGAGGCTTTGTTTATATTTTCTTATTCTTTTTTGTCTTTGTAGGATTGGGTTAATTAGAAGACCTTGTCTTTGAGCTCTGAATTTCTTTCTTCTACTTGTTCAATTCTATAGCTGAGGCTTTCCAGAGCATTTTGTGTTTCTCTAAGTGGGTCCAATGTTTCCTGAAGTTTTAATAGTTTTTTGTTTTGCTATTTCCTTGAATATTTTTCCCTTCACTTCTTCTATCATTTTTTGGATTTCCTTTTATTGGGCTTCACCTTTCTCTCGTGCCTCCCTGATTAGCTTAATAACTAACCTCCTGAATTCTTTATCAGGTAAGTCAGGGATTTCTTCTTGGTTTGGATCCATTGCTGGTGAGCTAGTGTGATTTTTTTGGGCGGGGGCGGGGGGGGGTGGGGTGGGTGGGTATTGAAGAGCCTTGTTTTATCATATTACCAGAGTTGATTTTCTGGTTCCTTCTCATTTGGGTAGCCTCTGTCAGAGGGAAGGTCTAGGACTGAAGACTGTTGTTCAGATTCTTTTGTCCCATGGGATGCTCCCTTGATGTAGTACTCTCCCCCTTTTCCTGTGGATGTGGCTTCCTGTGAGCTGAGCTGCAGTGATTGTTATCTGTCTTCTGGGTCTAGCCACCCAGCAAGTCTACCTGGCTCTGGGTTGGTCCTGGGGGTTGTCTGCACATAGTCCTGTGATGTGAACTGAATATGGGTCTCTCAGCTGTGGATACCAGCACCTCTTCTGGTGGAGGTGGCAGGGCAGTGAAATGGACTCTGTGAGGGTCCTTAGCTTTGGTGGTTTAATGTTCTATTTTTGTGCTTCTTGGCCTCATGCCAGGAGGTGGCGCTTTCCAGAGAGCATCAGCTGTGGTAGCATGGAGAGGAACTGTTGGTAAGCGAGGGCCCCAGAACTCCCAGGAGTGTATGCCCTTTGTCTTCAGCTACCAGGGTGGGTAGGGAAGGCCCATCAGGTGGGGGCAGGGCTAGGCATGTTTGAGCTCAGGCTCTGCCTGGGCGGGTCTTGCTGTGGCTGCTGTGGGGAATGGGGGTGAGGGTCCCAGGTCAATAGACTTGTGTTCCTAGGAGGATTATGGCTGCCTTTGCTGAGTCACGCAGGTTGTAAGGGAAGTGGGGGAAAGCCAGCAGTCACAGGTCTCACCCAGCTCCCATGCAATCTGACCGGCTGGCCCACCATGCCCCCTAACAGCCCCAAGTCTGTTTCCAGGCAGTGGGCGAGCAGGGCTTAAGAACTTTCCCCAGGCTACCCGCCTCCCAGCTGTGAAAGGAAAGGGTTTTGGTTCTTCCCCCACCTGTGGAGTCGGCACACCGGATTTGGATTTGCGGCATCCCCTGAGTTCTGACCAGGAGGCTTCTTGCCCTGTTCAAATTGTTACAAAGTTCAGCTGGAGACTTCCTTTTCTCTGTGGCATTTTCTCCTGCGCCTCTGGCCGCCCTCCCAAAGGATCCCTGTGGTGCCAGGTAGGAATGGCCTGCTTGGGGGTCCAGCAAGCTCCCAGGGCGTTTCTCACTGCTTCCTTTACCCCTGTGTTTCGCTCGGCTATCTAAATTGACTCAGCTCCAGGTAAGGTCGGAAACTTCTCTTGCAAACTAGACCTTCAATTGCCCCAGTGGAGGTGTGTTCGGGGGTGGAGGACCTCCCTTTCCCACTTCCGCAGTTTGGGCACTTACAGCATTTGGGGTGTCTCCCGGGTCCTGCAGGAGCAATCCGCTTCCTTCAGAGGGTCTGTAGGTCCTGGGGATTCCCAGTTTGTTCTTGCAGTTGTTTCAGAGCTAAAATTCACAATGTGGGCCTCCACACACTGCTCTGTCCATCTGATTCGGAGCTGCAATCTAGTCCTGCCTCTTGTCCGCCATGATGATTCTTTAATGCTTTTTAAATGTTATTTTTCAAATTATATTTTATATTTGTGTGTTGCCAGTATATGTAATATTATATAGTCATGCTTTTTCTAAAATGATAAGACTTTAGTAAGGAACAAATATTTTTTACTTTTAATATAGAATATTGGCTGTTAATGACATACATATTCAAAAGGTAACAATTAGAGCAACACCTAAAATCTCCAACTGTTCTCAGCGTTTGCCTAGTTTGATTACAGTTCTTGTTGCGTATTGAGCAGAAGTGTAACAATTCCTCTTTCCAAACATCTTTGATGGTAGAAGATCCCTAGATCTGTGCATGATTTCCCAGATACTTTAAAAGTTGCTACAACTTTTAGCTGTTGCCTGTTCCGTATTGATGATGACCAGTGACTAGCTCTTGGTAACTAACTAGATCTTTTTTGTATCTTCTCTTCCTCTTTGCCTGGGGTAGGTATTATTTTCTATATAGAAAGTCTACAGTTTTTTTCCCTCAGTAAGAAGAGATTAGGAGCTTCATTTTCATCACATGATCCTCCTTTGATCTAAGCAGGAGATTTCTTTTTCATCCACATCCTCTTTCTCACTGAAGTCTTTAAAATGCAAGCTGGTATATACAATATTTGTTTCATTTGAGTATATGTATTATATATATTCACTGATTGTTTTAAGATTATCTTTTAATTCATTTTTTTTTCTCAAAATATGGCTGAGAACTACCTGCATCAGAACTAGTCATGGTGCTTGTAAAAAGTGCAGATTTTTTAGTTTCTCTCCAGAGCTATGAATAAGCAATTCTGAAGATGGGGTTAGGGACAATTTTATTTTATATTTTGTTTTGTTTTATTTATTTTTGAGGCAGTCTTTTTATTTTGAGACAGGTCTTACTCTGTTGCCTAGGGTGGAGTGCAGTGGTCCTATAATAGCTCACTACAGCCTTGAACTCCTGGGCTCAATTGATCCTCCCTCCTCAACCTCCCAAGTAGCTATAAATCTTTTAAACAAACAAACAAATAAAAAAGACCAGTTGTTTGGAAGCAATTTATCCTGATTTATCAAAACTGTAGACATGAAGAGCCCTAAGAAGTGCCATTTAAGGTATTAGAAATAATTCCACATGGAAATTCATGCTTCATTTTAGTGGTGAATCATTCCGTAAACATCCAGTGCTTGAACTGGGAGGAAGTGAGAGATAGTAATGTGCTCTTTTCGGTGACTTAAAAACTGTTCTCTGCTGAAGAATGCTTCGGTTTAACGCTTGCCATCTTTTTCCTACGAAGGGGGGTGAAGTGGATTTTGGGAAGTGCACTCAAATTCCCCTTCAGCACTGAGGGAATTTATTCCCCCATTGTTTGCCCTCTGATGAAGAAAGCCACTTTGCCAAGGTTATGACCCCTTCCTGAGGTAGCCTGCATCCAATGACAGGTTGATATCTGGTATAAAGACCCAACCGCTCGTCCCAACTCAGAAAAAACATCACAGAACTAGTCTAGCCTCAGAACTGCCTGTGAGTCAGCTGAGGTCTTTCTTGAGATGGCTTCTCTGCCCAGTTTCTCACTCTCCCCAATCCTGCTTCATTTCCTTACCCCACAGTTATCAATCACTCCCAGACAAACTTCCTGCATGCTAACCTCTGACTCCAAGGCTGTTTCCCATGGAATCCAACCTGCAATATAGGGTATTGAGAAGGCATATTTTCATGGCTGTAGGGTGGAAGTCACAATTAGTGTACACAGTGGGTTTAAATACTGATAAGCATAGTAACGATTCCCAGTTGTAGAATACTAAAGAGACCCTAGAGATTCAGCAGTTATTTAGATCAGTAGTTCTTAAACTTGTACCAAGATATGTACCAGAATATCTTCAACAGAGTGTTTTTTTTTTTTTTTTAAATACGATTTCCTCAGCTTTACTCAGACTTTCTGAATCATGATCTTTAGGGGTGAGACCCAAGATTAAAAAAATAATTTCCGGCAGGTGTGGTGGCTCACACCTGTAATCCTGGTACTTTGGGAGGCTGAGGTGGGTGGATCACTTGAGGTCAGGAGTTCAAGACCAGCCTGCCCAACATGGTGAAACCCTGTCTCTACTAAAAATACAAAAGTTAGCTGGGGGTAGTGGCACAAGCCTGTAATCCCAGCTACTGGGGTGGCTGAGGCACAAGAGAATTGCTTGAACCTGGGAGATGGAGGTTTCAGTGAGCCTAGATTGCACCACTGCACTCCAGGCTGGGTGACAGAATGAGACCCTGTCTCAAAATAATAATAATAATAATAATAATAATAATAATAATAAAATTTCCCATCTATAGATCAGCACTTTAAAAATGACTGGCCAGAAATAAAAAGTTTATAAGTGAGAAAAAATTACAACCCCAAGTGCCTAAGCTCTTATTTTTGCTATATGTATTTTTAATGACTGAAGATTAAGGTCCTACTGAACATGGAGACACGTAAAAAGTGTTGGGTAAATGGAATGAATGAGAGAACAAACCTGCCATCCTCATACAGTTTGATTATTGCCTCTCTTGTGGAGGTAGTCATGTCTAATAACCCATGGGACATTTAGACAAACATTAGCAGACTCCATGACCAATATAGGAAAAAACTCATACTAAAGCTGCTCCTGCAATGCACAGATTGCCTCAGGAAGTGCTAGTGAGTTTTCCATCATTTAAGGCCATTCAAGCAGAATATGGATGGCCTATTGTTCCTTCAGCGGGGATTTCTGCACAGGGAAGGAAGTTTAGATTGTCTGGAAGAGTCTATGATGCAAAAGGCAGATGGGGAATCTATATCATCAGAGAGGAGAGAGGACAATTTCGGTGGGAATGCTTAAGTAAGGCCTGAGAGCATTTAGCTATGATTTTCGGCACATCGACTTTGGAAGAGAGTATGACCTTTGCTGGGCTTATAGACAAAAATGAATGAGTGCTGTGATATATCTTCAAAAAAGTAACACTGGTTAATCTTACATGGAAAGGATACCATAGGAAGGCCGTGTGTGTGAGTGAGATACAGTATGAGTGGTCTCTTTCCCACCCTATACCCAGGACAGTTCACATAGTCAAATTCCACTGGGACTCTAATTGAGAGAGCAGAGCTGTTTTTCTTAATGAAATTCAAGTTTTCCCCCTAGAGATGAGCTCAGAACAAAAATGGGACTATGTTTTCTTATAGAACAGCTCAATACAGGTCACAGTGGGATAAATTTCACATACTTAATTGAATCTTTTTGTGAATGGCATTCTTTAATGAATTTTTAATAGAAGATACAGTGTTTTCATTTAGTAGCAATAAAAAGAATTGCTTCCTAAACATTTTAATAGAGAATTTATATATTGAAAGCTGTAATGCTTACTCAAGAGGTTATACCATGTTTATTCCCCAAAAGCAGATAGTGTATCAGTACGTGGCCTCCAGGTATTGTCCTTACAGTCTCCAGTGTTCAAGTTGTGTGAATAGACAGGAGAGCTGTTTAAAATTCCTTTTTAAAAGAATCCATCTGGGGAAGAGTATATTATCAGGGTAATTTTTTGAAGGCAAATATTCAATCATTTTGATTTAAACTCAGCGATCAGGGAACAAAGCATGCTATAGTGGAAAGAATGATGAAACGATAATTCTGGAATTGGTGTTACTACCTTTAACAAGTTGTGTGGTCATTAATCTCTTTTCTCTCTGAATATTGAAATCTTCTTGGTATAGTTTGGCTCTGTGTTCCCACTCAAATCTCATCTTGAACTGGAATCCCCCACTGTTCAGGGAGGAGGTGATTGGATCATGGGGGTGGTTTCCCCCGTGCTGTTCTTGTGATAGTGAGTGAGTTCTCATGAGATCTGCTGGTTTTATAAGCATCTGGCATTTCCCCTGCTTGCACTTCTCTCTCCTGCTGCCATGTGAAGAAGGTCTTTGCTTCCCCTTTGCCTTCTGCCATAATTGTAAGTTTCCTGAGGCCTCCCCAGCCATGCAAGACTGTGAGTCAATTAAAACTCCTTTGTTTATAAATTACACAGCCTTGGATAGTATCTTTATAGAAATGTGAGAACGGACTTATACATTCCTCATCTGTGACATATTAGGATAGCTAATCTTTGGGGGCACTTTCAGTTGTAAAATAGAACCTGATATTACCTGAGAATTTAGTTTAAGACTCATCAGTAAACCTACTTTCCTGGTTCTACTTATTATATGTAGATGAAAAGCCATGAGTCCATGCTCTTAACTACCTCTGCAAATGATGATATCTCTATCATAGGGTTACTCTGAGGATTAAAATGAAAAATGAGATAATATATTTAAAGTAATTAGCACAGTGCCTAGGTATAGCATAGAAAATGTGTAATAAATGTTCCACCCAGTCTCTTTATTATTTATTCACATAACCTCAGTGACAATGAACCTAGGTGCTTTCTAGGCATAAACACTTAATATTCCAAATTACACATTTCAATTTTTTCTTGGTGGTTATGACTGATGTAAAATTACAGCTAAAGTCCCTATTCTTCAAGGCTTTATTTGAAATTTAGTGGAACTTCTCTTATCAAGGATAAATTGCATTGGTATTTACATGCAAATATGAAATGTTTTCTTTAAATTTGTTTCACTGTAAAACTAACTTAAGGCCAGGTGCAGTGGCTCACACCTGTAATGCCAGCAATTTGGGAGGTGAAGCAGGAGGATTGCTTGAGCCCAGGAATTCAAGGCCAGCCTGGGCGATGTAGCAA
Source organism: Homo sapiens (assembly GCF_000001405.40). NCBI lineage: Eukaryota > Metazoa > Chordata > Mammalia > Primates > Hominidae > Homo > Homo sapiens. The sequence goes on from NC_000012.12 coordinate 19,686,934, forward strand.
GATGATGTCTCCACAAAAAAATACAAAAATTAGCTGGGCATGGTGGTGTGTGCTTGTAGTCCCAGCTACTTGGGAGGCTGAGATGGGAGGATTGCTTGAGCCACGGAGGTCGAGGCTGCAGTGAGCCATGATTGCATTACTGTACTCTAGCCTGGGTGATTGCATTACCATACTCTAGAGCAAGACCCTGTGTCAAAAAACAAAAACAGAAACCAAAAAAACCCCCTAACTTATGTGTATAAAATAAAACTAGGAAGTAGGAAAAAATTTGTCCTCCCAAATATGATGGCCATTAATGTTAACATTTTAGTATATTTCTGTAACATTTATTTCATATTTAGGTTTTTTAAAACTTTGATTAGACCATATGGTAGATATAATTTAAAATTCTGTTTTTATCAGCTAACATTATAAGCATGTCTCACATAATTTGGTATCTTTACACACATTTTAATAGATGCAAACATTTTAACAATTGCTCTAAAGGCTTATTAACTTTGTTTTTCAAATGACTTTTTCTGGATTTTCTACAGTTATATTGCCCCCAAATATAGATTTTACTTTTTAATAACTTCATGTTCTCAAGAATTGTCAGTGGTTTGGTGTAGTTGAATCAAGGTTTCACAGGGTGGCAGTCAGAGATAACACAGGGGAGATAAAGTGGATCTTGATCACGAAGTCCCCTGAATGTTATGCTAATATTTTTGGGCTTTATTCTGTAGAAATGAAGAGATGTGAACAATGAAATTAAATTCTTACTTACTGCATAAACAAAATCAATTCCATATGGATTATGAATTAAATGTGAAAGGCAAAAATGTAATGCAATTAGAAGAAAAGAGGACTATCTTTATGACCTAAGCATATGGAATAATTTATAAAACAAACACAAAAGACATAATCCATAGATTTTCGCTAACAAATATTTATTGAATGCCTACTAAGCCAGACACTATTCTATGTACTTGTGATATATCAGGGGACTGAACAGAAAAGACAAAAATCCCTCCCCTCATGTAATTTTATATTCTTAGACTTTATAAAAAATAAGCACAATATATCATAAATTATATAGTATATAAGAAGAAGATGAAGCCAGATGTGGTGGCTCACACCTGTAACCCCAGTACTTTGGCAGCCTGGGGTGGGCCGATCACTGGAGCTCAGGAGTTTAAGACCAGCCTGGGCAACATGGCAAAACCCTGTCTCTACGAAAAATACACAAATTAGCCAGGCGTAGTGGCATGTGCCTGTAATCCTAGCTACTTGGGAGGCTGAGATGGGAGGATGGCTTGAGCCTGAAAGGTCAAGGCTGCAGTGAGCCATGATCACACACACCACTGCTCTCCCACCTGGGTGACAGAGCAAGACCCTGTCTCAATCAATCAATCAATTAAAATAAGAAGGTGGAAAGTATTGTCTTGTCCTGGATATCTCTCCAAAACTCAGTCCTGGTTGTCTTCATTTTTTTCTATCAGTTTCCTCCCTCTGGTGCTCTGACTCCCATTCCCTGGATGTAAATACTATCTGTATGTTGATGGTTTCCACATTTGGTTTGTGGCCCAGAACTTCAGGTTTATATATCCAACTGCCTACATGACAGCTTCACATGGATGTACTATAAACATCTTAAACATACAGTATTCAAAACTTCTGATTTCTCCCAGCAAACCTACCTCAACCAGTCTTGCTCTATTCAACTGATGCCAGTTCCATCCTACCAGTTACTCATAATTTGGCTTCCTGTTGCAACCTGACTCCATCTCATACAATTTTCCTCGTTATGTTCCAGCTTCACTGGGCTGCTTTTTGTGCTTCTTAACTCTTAGACAGACTCCCACTGAACAGCCTTGGCACTGGTTGTTCCCTCTGCTTGGAATATTCATCCCCCAGATATCCATATGGTGAACTCCCTCACTGTTTTCAAATACTTGCTTAAATGCAATTTTCTCAATGAAGTCCACTCTTACTATACAGTGGAACTTCACAGCCATTGATCATTATTGCCTAGGTATTTTATTTTATTTTATTTATTTATTTATTTTAAGAGATGGGTTTTTGCCATGTTGTCCATGCTGGCCTCAAACTCCTGGCTCAAGTGATTCTCTTGCCTCAGCCTCCCAAAGTGCTGAGATTACTGGCATGAGCCACAGCACCCGGCCTGGTGATTTTTTTTTCCCTTTGTTTTAGAGCAGGAGTGGAAGTTTATTAAAAACCTTTAGAACAGTAAGGAAAGGAAAGAAAAGAAGGAAAGTACACTTGGAAGAGAGCCAAGTGGGTGACTTTAGAAACCAAGTGTACGGCGCGACCTTTTGACTTGGGGTTTTATACACTGGCATACTTCCGGGATCTTGCGTTCCTTCTCTCCACTCCTGAGATCTTACTGGGAAGCTGCTGATCAGTTTCAGGTGTTTCCTATCTACATGTATTAGTAGACTGACTTTCTCTGGCACTGGCTGTGGCCAATTATTACTTTAGCGAGACAGTTAACAACTGCCTGACCATCACCTGATGGTCACCCAACACTCGTGGTGTGCGCGTGCGTGCGTGTGTGCGCGCGTGCGTGCCCTCTCCTGCCCTGCTGATACCTGACTAGCTACCCACTGCGCCATTTCCACCCTCAAGATTCCAAGACCCCAAATCTTTGGGGGAAAATGCGCAAAGGTCAGTCTTCTATAACTGCTTTCTGTTGACAGAGGGGCGGTGGTGGTGGTTCTGTGGCTCTTGTCCTCTTGCTAGCTGTCCGGGCACGGTTGGTTCTGTGAGTTGGTGAAAGCAGTATTCAGCCAGGTTCAAGGGAGACAGGGGCAGAATTTCGCCTCTGTCATGTCCCACTGATAGGCAGTCTAGAGGCCCCCTGTAGACAGGTGACTCTTGAACATTGAGAGGACGGTATTCGTCACTGAGGACCATCTGGAGCTTGATGGGCACAACTTTGAGGTGAAAAGACATTACTTTCTGCTTAAAGAGGAACCTCAGATCTTCCAGGGCCTCGCAAGTATGTTCAGGAGCTGAGGGCGTCACTTCCAGCTCTGGTGTTTTGGACCCGTTCCACAGCTTACTCAGGTGTGATGTATCCAGCTGGCAATCTCTGGTACTTTAATGACGTCGAGTCATTGTACTAAATATTTTACCTGTGGAAGGTATCCAAGTCACATGGTGGCAAATCCGTCTGCAGCAACCTCAATTCTTGCCTCCTCAGAAGAAAGAATTTAACTGAGGGTCATAGGCAGAAAAAGAGACAGAGGCAAGTTTCAGAGCAGGAGTGGAAGTTTATCAAAAAGCTTTAGAACAGTAAGAAAAGGAGGAAAAGGAAAGGAAGAAAAGGAAACTTGGCAGAGGGCCAAGCAGGTGCCTTGAGAAACCAAGTGTGCCCCTGGTGATATTTTAATTCTATAAATTCTTTCTTGCTTATTGACTAGAATATTTTTATAAAAATTAATGGCCCGTCATCAATTACTTGATTATCCTGAGGTATAATTTTTACAGCAAAGGTGGGATGAATACTTGATTCTTTTATGAGAAAGACTGTTAACTATTGATTATTTTTCATGATTATAAGATCATTCAGCTTTTCTTTCAACTCCCTTCAAAGTTACATTCTAATTTGTGATACATTTTATTTTGCTTTTAATTTTAACTCCATAATCTAGTTACTATAATAATTTTACTAATTATATTTTATATTATTAAAATAGTTTTAATGTTACTCCCTCCTTTAATTGGCGCTATTTCTCTTATAATCAGTAAATGGCTGGTTTTGCCTTTTAACAGAATAATCAATTCCATTTATCTTTATTGTAATAACTGATATATTTGTATTCATTTCTATCATCTAATTTTGGGGTTTTAATTTAGCCTGCTTTATTTCTTTTTTTTCTTCACTATTCTTGCCTACTTTTGGATTAAGCTCTTTTTCTTTATTCTTATTTCCCCCTCTACTAATAAAGATATTATATATATTCTTGTACTCTTTTTGTAGTTACCCTTCTGCTGAACATTACGAAGACAAAGAATGCTTAAATTGTGATCAACCTGCTTACAAATGAGTCTAGCATTTGGAAGTATTTCACTCCTTAAGAACTAAGATTTTAATATTAGTTTTCTTAAGAAGTAAAATATTAATATTTGAATCCCTAAATTAGATATTATTGCTATTGATTTATACATGCTTTTTCAGATTCATCTCATGTTTACCATTTTCTTTGATTGCTAGCATATCTTGCATCTCAGACCTCCCTTAAATGCTATTTTCCTTTTTCATGAAGTTCACCTTTTAGACATTCCTCTAGTGATATCTGTTGATAATAAACCTTTTGAGTTTCTGTTCTTTTGTAAATGCCCTTATTTCAACTTAATTTTGGAAAGACAGTGTTAATGGAAAATATAGTTTTACCTGAAAGTTGCTCTCTTGACATTTTGAAGATATTTCACTATTCTTTTAGCTTCTGTTTTTGCTCTTGAGAGATTAGTCCTCAGTATGTTGTCCTATTGTAGGTAATATGATTTTTTTTTCCCTCTCTGGTGGCCTGTAAAATTTTCATTGTCTCGGGGTTTTACAAATTCCCAATATGTGTTGAAGTGTGAATTTCTTCTTTTATTTATCTTCTTTGGATTTGTTGTCTCTCGATTCTGAGGATTTATAATTTCCTTACTTAAAAAAATTCTGGGAAATCATTAGCTTTTTCATTATTTAAATATTGTTTTTCCCTTTCTAATCTCTCTTGAAATTGTAATTATTAAATTCTTTGATTTTTCATCTTATGGTTCCTCTGTGATGTCTCTGTACATTTTCTTACTCTATTTTGTCTCTATTCTTCCTGTTTCTTAATCATCTTTTCTTTTTCATATTTTCCATCTGAGAAATTTCTAAGTAATTTCTTCAAAAATATTTCCCAGCTCTCTAATTCTCCCTTCAGATTTGTTTATTCATCTGTTTAACCTGACATTAATTTTCTGTTTAACCTGACATTAAATTTCTAATTTCAATTGTATTTTAATTTTTAGAAGTTCGATTTGGTTCTGTCTTCAAGTCTGCATGATCAATTTTGATAGTCTCTTCTGCCTTCATTTACACATTCATATAATTTTTTTATTATGTATTTCTTTTTCTGTATCTGGTTATTCAAAAATATGTAATTGCTGCATGTATCATCCTATATCTTCTTGATTCTGCCGATTTTGAGTCATGATTGCTTGTTTCTCCATTGTGTTATTTATCGTTGAGCTCCTAACCTTGAAATTTTATTTTTGGAAATTATTTGACAGGTGAGTTTAAATGTGTTTCTCCAGAGATAATACGTGTTTGCTTTTGCCAGGTGCCCAGGGGCACTACTGATCTAGGACTATTTTAAACTTATTTTCAGTTTGAAATTTTTCCAATGGCAGACGCAATAGAAATTCTATTCTTGGTCCCATGCAAGGGAAGGCCTGTAATTATAAGATCTTAGGTGAGGAATTTTATCCCTCTTCTCCCAGAGTCAAGACTATGGCAGTAAACTTATTGTATCTTCCTATAAGGCTTTGCCCCTAATTCACTCACTTATGCCTTTAGGCAGGATTATATGATCTGATTCTCCACTTTGCAAAAAAAAAAAAAAAAAAAAATTCAGGCTTTGTCCTTTTCCCCTTGTGTGTAAGTTCCATTAAAAGCCAATTTCCAGGCAACCAGGGATCAATCCAGCTGGATTCCTAATTGCATTTTTTTGAATTTCAAATTTCCACTTTCAAATTTTAGTCTCTTAGAATCTATTTTTGTTCTGCCAGCTTACTCATATGTTTTAAAAGTTGTTTTTGCTGAAACCATAAAGATTCTAGAAGATAACATCAGAAAAATCCTTTTAGACATTGGCTTAGGCAAAGACTTCATAACCAATAACCCAAAAGCAAATGCAACGAAAACAAAGATAAATAGATGGGATTTAGTTAAAGTAAAATCTTCTGCACAGCAAAAGAAAATCAGCAGAGTTAACAGACAACCCACAGAGTGGGATAAAATCTTCACAATCTCTACATCCAACAAAGGACTAATATTCATAATGTACAAAAAACTCAAATCAGCAAGAAAAAAAAATCCCATCAAAAAGCGGGCTAAGGACATGAATAGATAATTCTCAAAGGATGATATACAAATGGTCAGCGAGCATATGGAAAAATGCTCAACATCACTAATGATTAACGAAATGCAAATCAAAACCACAATACGATGCCACCTCACTCCTGCACGAATGGCCATAATCAAAAAATCAAAAAATATTAGCTGTTGGCGTGGATGTGGTCAAAAGGGAACACTTTTACACTACTGGTGGGAATGTAAACTAGTACAACCACTGTGGAAAACAGTATGGAGATTCCTTAAAGAACTAAAAGTAGAACTACCATTTGATCCAGCAGTCCCACTACTAGGTATCTACCCAGAGGAAAATAAGTCATTAGATGAAAAAGATACTTGCACATGCATGTTTATAGCAGCACAATTTGTGATTGCAAAAATATGGAACCAGCCCAAATGCCTATCAATCAACGAATAAAGAAAATTTGTAGGAATGTATAGGAATACTACTCAACCATAAAAAGGAATAAAACAATGGCATTCACCACAACCTGGATGGAATTGGTGACTCTTATTGTAAGTGAAGTAACTCAGGAATGGAAAACCAAACATTGTATTTTCTCACTCATAGGTGGGAGCTAAGCTGTGAGGATGCAAAGGCATAAGAATGATACATTGGACTTTGAGGACTTGGTGGAAAGAGTTAGGGGTGGCGAGGGATAAAAGACTACACATTGGGTATAGGGTACACAGCTCAGGTGATGGGTGAACCAAAATCTCCCAAATCACCACTAAAGAAATTATTCACATAATCAAATACCACCTGTTCCCCAAAAACCTATCAAAATAAAAAAAAATTAAAAAAAGCCATGCTTCAAATTTTTTAAAAAGTTGTTTTTGCATTTTATCTAGATAAAACTGGTATGGAAGAAATAAAAAATCTAAATAGATGAGAAACCATGGAAGAAATGTAATATTTTAAAAGTACTATCTTAAAAATGAATTCTAGTTTCAGAAGATTTTGAGCAAGTACTCGAAAATTGTTATGAAACAGATACTCTTCATGTTCTACAAAATTTTCCAGAGCATAGGAAAATAATAAACCCAGTGAAGATGTTCCAATAAAATTTATGTGTCCATTTCATTTATGCATATTGACTTTGAAATCTTGAACAAAATTATATCAAGCAATGTGCTAAAAAATAAATACAACATCAGGCTGGGTGTAGTAGCATACCTATAGTCCCAACTACTCAGGAGGCTGAGGTGAGAGGATTGCTTGAGCCCAGGAATTTGAATCTAGGGAATTTGAAGCCTGATCAACATAGTGACAGCCCATCTATTAAAACAAAACAAATGACATCTTTAAACAGTATTTATTTCAGGAACATAATCAGGGAATCTGACATTATAGTAAAATGTGTTAATAAAATCTATATTATTACCTCAATAATTCCAGAAAAGGTATTGAGAATATTCAGCACACATTTAGCATAATTGTTTAGTTCCCGGGAATAGAAACACTCACAGCATAATTAAATGTACTTATTTTGAAATCAATAATTAATGTATTACTTTATGGTAAGATGTGGTTTAGAGCTAAAGAGAAAACATCAAATTGGTGATTTCCTTTAAGAATCATAATTTTTGTAGCTCAAAATTGGAAAAAATGGAATCACTAAATGAGAGGAAGGTTATAGTTGGAAGAGAAAGCGCTGGAGAACAGAACTTTGGGAGTGCCTGCAATGAGTAGGTAGAAACTGAGAAAATGTGATGAAAGAGCTTGTGGTGAAAGAGAACCTGGGCAGTATAGCTTCTTGGAAAATGTAGTGAGGAAAGTGTTTTAAGAGTAAGACAAGGCCAAATGATGTAATACCACAGAGCAGTTGAGAAAGAAAACGACGAAGGAAAAGCCATTGAAGCTGGTTATTAGGAAGTTACTGGTGACTTTTCAGAGAGGTGTCTTAATAGAGAGCTCTGGATAGAATACAGATTGTAGTTTATTGAGATATAGCCTGAAAATGAAATAGATACAGTCATTATAGACTTCTCCACCTTGTTTAGTGGTAAAGAATAGGAGAGCAACAGATGCATGTTAAGGACAAAAATAGACCTCAAGGTTTTGTTTTTGTTTTTGTTTTTGAAATAGGCAATGGTATTTATAGACTAAAAGGAAAGAAACATTTTTATGGAGAGATTAAAGATTTTGATGAAATAATGTCTTAGATATTTTTACAGTGAAAGGAAGGAAACTTTCAGATGGAGAGATTAAAGACTTTGATAAAATATTGTTTTGGAGAAGTCAGGAAACCATAGGGTAAAGTACTAAGTAGTATGAATTAATCTTAATGGAAAGAGACACTTTATTTTCTAAGAAAGGAAGAAAGGAGAAAAGTATGTGTGAGCATACAAAGAAATTTAGGAGTGGGAGGAGGAAGGTTAAGGGAAATCATGTTTAGCCTTGATTTCTGTGAAGTAAGGTCATTTATTGAGACTAAAGATAGCATGAGTAAGCTGTTAGAGACTTAAAAAATGTAGGAAACATTCTCTAATTTTCTTTGGGAGTGTCTGATGATAAGTTAATCAGGGATGATTAAAACACAACTTAGCAGAATTAAGTGATGAGCTGAAATGCAGTGTCATCTGCAATTGGTTTCTATTATGGTATAATTATATATATTTTAGGCCAGGTCTCCCAGACAGCAAAACTCTGAGATAGAAATTTGTAAGCAGGAAGTTGACTGGAGAGTACTCTCAGGATTAACACCTGCGGTGGAAGAGAAGGAAGAAGGATTGTGCAAAAAAGAGTGATTAGGTTGTGATGCATTCTCAACACAGGCCAATGGTCGGGGTGGGTGTCTTGCAGATATCTTGTGTTGAGGTGAGTGGGCCAGTCTGTTATAAAGCCATGTTGATCTATCATTGATGCAGGCAGCCCTTAGTAAGGAAGTGTGACTTGGGCAAGGAGCTTCTTCTTAGCTGAGGGCTGCTAGCTGGCAACACTTCTGCAGCGGGGAAAATAAATCTCAGCATCAGAGGGACTGGGTTCCACATCACAGCATCCACTTTGGACCACTCCTTCTGCCACTCAAAGCTAGTTTTTGTTTTTTGTTTTTTGTTTTTTTTTTTTTCATATAACTTCTGGGAGCAGGTCCTCTATGACTGTGCTGGGCTCCTTTCCATGGGAGAAGCTTACAAGAGGAAAGTTAGTGGGATGAACTGCTGTCTCTTTCACTGGGCTGGGTTTGAGTGGCAATTGATTTTAATCAACTCCTTTCTCTGTTATCCATGATAGATTTCCCTTGTCTTCAGCTTGCATCTCTTTTGGTTTTGGTGGCTTATCTTTTAGGGTACTTAGGTCCTCATCTCTGAGATATCTGAGCTCCCGGTTACCATGCCCCTTTCAGGCAATAGCTGCTGGACTCATCAATTTACCTTCAAATCTGGACAAAGCACACATTCAGAGATGCCCAGATGGATTAGCTGGATGCCAAATATTATATTCCTTCCTGCCTCTTTCTGATAATCAGAGTCAATTATTCTTGATAGGATGATGATTGTTCTTTTTGCATACTGCTTCCTTGGCACAAGGACCCCAAAGTGCCTGATTATCAACCATAGATTGAAAATTACTGGGTCTCGGCCGGGTGCAGTGGCACATGCCTGTAATCCCAGCACTTTGGAAGGCCAAGGCGGGTGGATCACCTGAGGTCACGAGTTCTAGACCAGCCTGGCCAACATGGTGAAACCCCATCTCTACTGAAAAATACAAAAATTAGCCAGGCGTGGTGGCAGGCGCCTGTAATCCCAGCTGCTCAGGAGGCTGCGGCAGGAGAACTGCTTGAACCCGGGAGAAGGAGGTTGCAGTGAGCTGAGATTGTGCCATTGCACTCCAGCCTGGGTGACAGAGCAAAACTCCATCTCAAAAAAAAAAAAATTATTGGGTCTCCTTTGGGATCCAGAAACCTCTAAACCTACAGAAACCAGAGTTGCAAGGATGGGAAGTGCAAGTTCCACAGATGGGGCACTGGGATTAGGATTAAAGGTAAGTGGAGCAACTCCTACTTCAACCCCTTGGTTCCCAGATCACTGAGTTCCTCCTTTAGGAGACAGAGTACCATATAAGGGTCACTGATTTGGAGTATACGTGGTGTCCTCACAGATGGTGCCCTATCCTTGCAAGGTATTGTCTCTGAACCGGAAGCTCAGCTGTGATGTTAACCGCCTCTTGGTTGCTCTGTTAGGCCAATAGCTTCTGGATGGTATGGTTGGTAGTAGTATGGGGGATTCCACTGCCACACTTTTGCTATGAAGTGGGTCTCTGAGTCTACTGTGAGTTATGTGTTGGTAGATCATATACACTGAAAACCCTCATACAGTAGTACTAGCTCTTGCCCTGTAGGCATAGAAGTCAAACTCATACTCATATTATGTGGCTATTGTAGTCAAGATTAATCAATCACTGTCCCCTTCAAAGTGGAAAGGGTTCATTGTTTCTATTTGCTATCAAATGTCTGGTTAGTTTCTTTGAGAAATGGAGTTTAGTATTGGTGGAGGGTTGCACATTCTGTAGTGGCAGAACGTAGGTTACTCTTGGTGAGTGGGAGGCATCCTGTTGGGGCCTTCATAGTCTTCTTCTACTATTGCTACTACATTTATACACCCATAATTCAATACTGGGCTGACCAGTGACAGACTCTGGCTGATACCAGCTGGTTGACTGATTCTGTTTGGTTGTTGAATTGTCTTTCCTGTGTTGAATGCTCTTTGGAGGGCATTAATAATGCAAATATATTTACACTTCATGCCCATTCCTCTAAGTATATCCACATACCTTTTCCTCTGGAGGTTCTCTGATCCTTCAAATTTTTTGCAATCAGCTGTTTGCCAACTGACCAAGCCATATGCTGCTGCCCACTTCTCTTTTCCACACAACATATATGACAAGGCACACTGACTGCAGCTTTGTCCATTAGTAGGATTTCCTTTCACTGGTGTCTTTTTAAGATCACCCTGTTATGCAGCTGCAGTCTGTTTTTTACTGTCTGTCACAGAGTGAGCTGGCTATCTGTGAACCAAGCTCAAGTTTGATTCCTTCATTAATCGTCATCCACTGGGTAAACTGAAACTCCAGTAAACAGTAGCAGATGATAAGGAGCATCTGGGGCACAAGTAATGTTCCACCAACCCTGCTTTCTCCCAATCCTGGATGGACCATTTCCATCTAACTCTGGGACAAGGCGGCAAATGTACACTGTTATCCATTCTAAGTGAAGTACAACGTCTGATTCTCCTTTCAAAAGAATAAGTTCATCATATCAAAGTCAGATATCACATCTGATATAGCATCTTCAAAGACAGCCTTCAGGATCTCTCTAGGATTTGTACAAATTAAACTGGTAAATTAAATGAAGCCATATGGTGGGGAGTATTACCCCTGCAGGTCTTTAAAAATGCAGTAATCTCTGTCATTCTCTTAGGGATGTGATACTATTTTAATTGACCATCTTGGTCAGGGGTTGGGCGAGGCAGTTTCAGAGACTTTCACTTGACCTTCACTTTCACTTGGCCTTCCTTTTCACTACGATAGTGCTTGCTCCATAGGCTGAGGAACAAACATTGGGATTCTGCAAACTACCAACTATATTTTAATATATTTGAGGACCAGGGAAATGACCATTGTGCAGGTCCATGAACCCAGTGGACCCTTATGAACTGGAATGGGCCAACACTGTATTTATTACCTGGCCTCAGATACCATCCTCTAACAGGGATCAATTAAAATGTTCTGATTCCCTGGGTACAGATGTTATCTCAGACTCTATCCTACAGCCCTCAAAATGTTTCACTATTTCCTTTTCCTCAACATATGATTGCCCAGATAAATGGTGGAAGCTCCTTTGCAGAAGGGCTAGGAGAACTGTTGCCATTTACAATTGTCATGTTGCAGGTTCCTTCCTCTTGGAGACCCAGCCTCTACTTCAGTGAATGGGTTTTGAGTCTGAAAACAGGACAAGGGATTGTGCCTTTTTATTCAGTTGGCTGCCCTCAGTGTCCTGATCCTTCATCTTATTTGTTTATATTTTTGGATTGTACAGATTGAACAATGTTCTTTTTGGCACCTTATCTACTTTGCTCCAAGGGATGCATGTTTTATGAATGAACCACCTCCATAACTCTGTGTCCACCTAGCTTGTCACTAATTATTATAATTACCTAATTCACCTCTGGTGAATAAGCAGTGCCACCTGGCCTTTATTATTTTGAGATTATATCATTCCCGTTACTAGCAATGAGCCCAGTTTTGTAACTTCTTCTTGTATCATCAGTCATGGCCTATGGATAAGTGCCACCACCGTGCTTCTCAGTGACACTGGTGCCCCTCTTACCAGTACATATTTTATTTCTTTGGTAAATGGAGTAATGTTTGGGTCTTTCCACAGACAATAGTTACTTGGTGGGTTTTCTGACTTTATCTCCTCTCGTATCCTCACTTCTCAGAGCCACATGCCCCTTCTGCTGTCTGACATGGGAGTTCTGACAAATCTACTTTACTAAGTGTGGATCATCACTTTCTATAAACTTCTGAGAGCTATACTTGCAGCATATTAATACCATGTCCAAGGGCACTGCCAGAATATTAACTTCTATATCCTAAACAAAGCATACCAATATTGATGATCTTTTCCATATGTTCTGGCCCCACCCCCATTGATTTTGTATTTATTCTCATTGCTACTGACAATACATGTAGGCTAGGTTCCACAGTTCCTTCGGGATATAGTCTCTTTTCTCCTTTAGCAAGTCTGGCTTTTCCCTGGATGAGAAATGTTGTGACTTAATCCTAGTTATTGACTTTATAGCCGGGGAAAGTGGAGAGATATCTTGGAGTAGGGACATGTGTTTTCTTGCACAAGGGAGGCCTCCACATTGTCTTTGAGCAAGGCAGAAGTATTTGTCCTTGAAAGAGAAGAGTGCATGCCTCTCCAGTCTTGGAAACTCAGAGGAATCTGGAGATTTCAGATTTGTAATACATCAACCTTGATGACTCCAATTCTATATCTTAGATGCTCATTTTTTTTGCCATTCATGGTCTTGACCTTGACATAGCAGATTTACCTATGTTGAGAATTTAACTTTCTTTGGAATTTTGCTAAGTACTGGGCCTGTTTCTTAGCTTTCTCTGCCGTCCAGTTTCAGGAGATAAAATTCTCTTTAGTAAAGGAACCAAGATGGCTGACTAAACACAGCCAGGAAGAAGCTCTCCCATTAAGTGACTGGGACATCTCAGGAAGACTGGCACACTCCGAGCAGGTCCTCAGAGGGAAGGCATTGAGAAGAGATGGAGGGAGGATGCAGATGCTGGGCTGAAGGAGGAGGAGCTGGGAATCCTGCACAAGGCTACTGAGCACTGGGACTTGTTCCTGACCCCCAGCAACTCCTGGGGAAGGAATGAGTTGAACAGGCGAGGAGCAACCCACTCTTGCCATGGACCTCCAGAATCCTGGCAGCAGGAGATCCCATGACTCCTGTGGACACTTGAGCTGGCAGAGAGAGCTGCTTAGAGAGGTGGTAGGGGCAGAACTCTAGCCAGTAAGAAGCCCAGACAGTTGCCACTCATAGGGCAAAGTGGGAATGTCTGCAATAGAGTGAGGCCAGGGATGCCCATCATCCAAGGCTCACCATGCTCCTCTAGGACACTTTAGCCTAGGATGACTGTCAGACCTGGACAGAGTAGGGTAGACTGGCTCATGAGATGGGGCCAGTCCAATCTGAGCACCTCACTGTCTGCTGACCTCTCCTGGGGCCCCAACCTGGCCATGCCCGCTTGCAGCGTGGCCTCAGATGCCCAGCGGGGTGCTTCTTGGGGACTCTTCTCATAGCTCCTTTGCCAGAAGACCTTGCCTGACCATTAGAGAGCTCCAGCATAGTGACACCTGCCGACATGCACCAGCCCACCCACACCCTCCCCCGACTGCAGCTTCCCCTTGCTGCTTTGCCAACATGCGATTGCCCATGGTTACCACTTACTGCTTTGCTGGTGCATGGGCAGGCCTTGCCTCTCCTCCCTGGCTGGTGTATGTGCACACCCCATCACATCACTGCTGCTGGTGGTGGTACATCACACCAGCCACCCTACCCACTGATGTGCAGGCACGTGGTTATGCTGCTACCACAAGCGCAAATGTGTGCACTGATGCTGGCAACCCTGCACCCCCACGCACCACCACTGCCACTGGTGCAAATGTGTACATGGATGTCAGCAGCTCTGCCCCCACCAGCACCCTGCCCTTGCTACAACTGTTGATGGTGCATGGGTGAATATAAATGCTGGGAACCCCATTAGCATGCTGCTCCCACCACATGCTATTGCTGCCAGCATGAATGCACATAGGCATGCCACAGCCCCACTCCTGCTGGTACCCTTCCCCAGCCAATGTGGATGCACCCCACTGCACTGCTGTGGTTGCTAGCCGGTACAAGTGAGCACAGATCCTGCTGCCACCACCCTGATGAAGCGCTTTAGCCAGCACCCTTCATTGGAGTGTTGTGGCCAGGGGACCATGAACACTTCATCCCCTGCCCCCTGGTGCAGCAGTTTCCTAAACTTGGGGGGCCAGAGAACAAAGCTGGGGGCCTGGTGTCACCCTCCCAGGGATAGAGCACACAGCCCAGGAATGGTGAGCTGAGCCTTAGGCCTCCTAAAATCTTCCAGAAATGAAGGCACCCTAATGAACCCATCTTATACCACAAACAAATAGCCAAGGATATAAAATAAGATAAAAGCAAAAAATCCCACCCAAAGGGCAATAACTTCAACTATTGAAGGAACACCAGCCCACAAATATGAGAAAGAACCAGTTCAAGAACTCTGGCAACTCAGAAAGCCAGAGTGTCTTCTTACCTTCAAACAACCGCACTAGCTCCTCATCAATTGTTCTTAACCAGGCTGAAATGACTGAAATGACAGAAATTGAATTCAGAATATGGAAAAGATAAAAGATCATTGAGCTTCAGAAGAAAGTTGAAAACCAATCCAAGGAATCTAAGAAATACAACAAAATGATACAGAAGATGAAGGATGAAATGGTCATTTTAAGAAAGAACCAAACTGATCTGATAAAGCTGATAAACTCACTTCAAGAATTTCATAATACAATTGCAAGTATTAAAAGCAGAATCTACTGAGGAAAGAATCTCAGAACTTGAAAACTACTTCTCTGAAATAACTCAAAGATAAAAAAGCAAAAAGAAGAATAAGCAAAACTTCAGAGAAATATGGGATTATGTAAAGAGATCAAATCAACGACTCCTTAGTGTCCCTGAAAGACAGGAAGAGAGAGAAATTAACTTGGAAAATATATTTGATGATATTTTCTCTGAAAATTTCCCCAATCTTGCTAGAGAGACCAACATTTAAATTCATGAAATGCAGAGAACCCCGGCATGATACTATACAAGGTGATCATCCCCAAGACACATAATCATCAGATTCTCTAAGGTCTAAATGAAAGAAAAAAAAAATGTTACAGGCAGCTAGAGAAAAGCAGCAGGTCACCTACAAAGGGAAACCCATCAGGCTAACAGTGAACTTTTCAGCAGAAACCCTACAAGCCAGAAGAGATTGGTGGCCTATATTTGGCATTCTTGAGAAATTCCAACCAAGAATTTCATATGCAGCAAACTAAGCTTCATAAGCAAAGGAGAAATAAGATTCTTTTCAGACAAGCAAATGCTAAGAAAATTTGTTGCCACCAGACCTGTTTTGCAAGAGGCCCTCAGGGCAGTACTAAATAACAAAAAGACCATTACTGGCCACCATGGAAACACACTTAAGAACATAGAACATAAACACTAAAATAAATTAATAAATAAAACCAAACAACAACAACAACAAAAACACACAATCAAGTCAGTATTATAACCAGCTGACAACAAGATGACAGCATCAAATCTGTACATATCAATATTAATCTTGAATGTAAATGGGCTAAATGCCCCAATTAAAAGACACGGAGAGGAAAGTTTGATAAGGAAGCAAGAACCAATTTTGTGTTGTTTTCAAGAGACTCATCTAACATGCAATAACACCCAGAGCCTCAAAGTAAAGGAATGGAGAGTAATCTAAGCAAATAAAAAAACAGAAAAAAGCAGGGATTGCTATTCTAATTTCAGACAAAACAGACATTTAAACAACAATCAAAAGAGACAAAAAAGGCATTACATAATGATAAAGGGTTTAGTTCAACAAGAAGACCTAACTATTCAAAATACACATGCACCAAACACAGGAGCACCTAGATTAATAAAGCAAATCCTCAGAGACCTAGCTAAGTGTAAGAGACACAGATAACTACACAATAATAGCGGGAGAATTTAACACCCCACTGACAGTATTAGACAGATCACTGAGGCAGAAAACCAAGATATTTGTAAACTGAACTTGATGCTTGACCAAATGGACCTAATAGACATCTACAGAACTCTCCACCCAAAACAATGGAATGTACATTCTTCTCATCTATCTGTACATGGTACTTACTCTACAACTGACCACACAATCAGACATAAAGCAAGCCTCAGCAAATAGAAATCATACCAACCACACTCTCAGACCACAGTGCAATGAAAATAAAAATTAATACTAAGAAGATTGCTCAAAACCTTACAATTACATAGAAATTACACAACTTGTTCCTGAATAAGTTTTGGAAAAACAATGAAATTAAGGCAGAGATAAAGAAATTCTTTGAAAATAATGAGAGCAAGATACAACATATCAGAATTTATGGGACTCAGCTAAAGCACTGTTGAAAGTTTATAACACGTAAACACTCCCGTCAAAAAGTTAGAAAGATTTTATGTAAACAACCTAACATCACACCTAAAGGAATTAGAAAAACGAGAGCAAACCAACCCCAAAGCTAGCAGAAGACAGGAAATAACCAAAATCAGAATTGAACTGAAGGAAATAGAGACACGAAAACTCAAAAAAAAAAAAAAAAAGATTTTAGATTGCTAGCTAGACTAAAAAGAAAAAGATCCCCCCCCCCCCCACCAAATGCAATCAGAAATGACAAAGGGGACATTACCGTTGACCCCACAGAAGTACAAAAACCCTCAGAGACTATTATGAACACCTCTATGCACACAAACTACAAAACCTCAAAGAAATGGATCAATTCTTGGAAAAGTACAATGTCCAATGATTGAACCAGGAAGAAACTGAATCTCTGAACAGATTAATACTGAGTTCCAAAATTGAATCAGTAATTAAAAGCCTACCATCCAAAAAAATTCCAGGCCCAGGCATATTCACAGCTGAATTCTACCAGACATGTAAAGAAGAGCTGGTACCATTCCTACTGAAACTATTCTGAAAAATTGAGGAGGAGGGACTCATTCCTAACTCATTGTATGAAACCAGCATCATTCTGATACAAAAACCTGGCAGAGACACAACCAAAAAACAAACAAACAAACAAACACACAATAAAAAAAAAAACTTCAGGCAAATATCCTTGATGAATATCAATGCAAAAGTTCTCAAGAAAAATACTAGCAAACTGAATCCAGAAGCATATAAAAAACCTTATCCAGGAAAATCAAGTAGGCTTTATCCCTGGGTTGCAAGGTTGGTTCAACATGTAAATCAATAAATGTCATTCATCACATAAACAGAACTAAAAATGAAAACAAATTATCATCTCAGTAGATGCAGAAAAGACTTGATAAAATTCAACACCTCTTCATGTTAAAAACTCTCAAACTAGGCATGGAAGGAGTATACCTCAAAATAAGAGCCATCCATCACAAACCCACAGCCAACATCATACTGGACAAACAAAAGCTGGAAACACTCTCCTTAATCAGAACAAGAAAAGGATGTCCACTCTCACCATGCCTATTCAACATAGTACTGGAAGTCCTAGTCAGAGCAATCAGGCCAGAGAAAGAAATAAAAGGCATCCAAATAGGAAGAGAAAAATCAAACTATCTTTGTTTACAGATGATCTGATTCTACACCTAGAAAACCCTATAGTCTCTGCCCAAAAGCCCCTTGATCTGTTAAACAACTTCAGTAAAGTTTCAGGATGCAAAATCAATGTACGAAAATCAGCAGCATTCCCATACACCAACCACATCCAAGCTGAGAGCCAAATCAAGAATGCAACCCCATTCACAAAAGCCACAAAAAGAATAAAATACCTAGGAATACAGCTAACCAGAGAATGAAAGATCTCTGCAATGATAGTTACAAAACACTGCTGAAAGAAATCAGATGACACAAATGGAAAAACATTCCATGCTCATAGATAGGAAGAATCAATATTGTCAAAATAGCCACACTGCTCAAAGCAATCTAAAGATTCAGTGCTATTCCTATCAAACTACCAATGACATTCTTCACAGAATTAGAAAAAAACTATTTTAAAATTAATATGGAACCAAAAAAGAGCCTGAATAGCCAAAGCAATCCTAAGCAAAAAGAACAAAGCTGGAGACATCACACTACCCAACATGAAATGATACTACAAGGCTGCAGTAACCAAAATAGCATGGTACTGGTACAAAAATAGACACACAGAACAATGGAATAGAATAGAAAGCCCAGAAATAGAGGTACACACCTTCAAACATCTGATCTTTGACAAAGTCTACAGAAACAAGCAATGGAGAAGGACTCTGTATTCAATAAATGGTACTGGGGAAACTGGCTAGCCATATGCAGAAGATTGAAACTGGACTCCTTTCTTGTATACCATATACAAAAATCGACTTGAGATTTGTTAAAGACTTAATGTAAAATCTAAAACTAAAAATCCTAGAAGAAAACTTAGGAAATACCATTCTGGACACAGATCCTGGCAAAGATTTCATGATGAAGAGATGAAGATGGTAAAAATAATTACAACAAAAACAAAAATTGACAAGTGGGACCTAACAAACCAAAGTACTTCTGCACAGCAAAACCAAAACAAAAACAAACAAAACCTATCAACAGAATAAACAGACAACCTACGGAATGGGAGAAAATATTTGGAAACTACACATTCAACAAAGGTTAAAATCCAGAATCTATAAGAAACTTAAACAAATTTGCAAGCAAAAAACAACCCTGTTGAAAAGTAGACAAAGACATGAACAGACACTTTTCAAAAGAAGACATACATGCGGTCAACAAGCATGTGAAAAAACCCTCAACATCACTAATCATTAGAAAAATGCAAATCAAAACCACAATGAGATACTGTCACATACCAGTGAGAATGGCTGTTATTAAAAAGTGAAAAAATAACAGATGCTGGTGAGGTTGTAGAGAAAAGGGAATGCTTATACACTGCTGGTGGGAAAGTAAATTATTAGTAGTTCACTTATTGTAGAAAGCAGTTAAGCCTTTCTCAAAGAGCTTAAAAGGGTATATACCCAGTAATGGATATAGTACACAGGCATATATACACATATGCACAATGGAATACTATACAGCCATAAAACAGAATGAGATCATGTCCTTTGTAGCAATATAGATGGATTTGGAGGCCATTATCCAAAGTGAACTAATGTGGGAACAGAAAAGGAAATACCACATGTTCTCAAGTATAAGTGGGAGCTGGAGGCCATTATCGTAAGTGAACTCATGCAGGAACAGAAAACCAAATACTACATGTTCTCATTTATAAGTGGGAGCTAAATATTGAGTACACATGGACACAGAGATGGGAACAACAGACACCAGGGCCTACCTGAGGGTGAAAAATGGGAGGAGGGTGATGATAGAAAAAAAAATTTACCTGTCAGGTACTGTGCTTATTACCTGGGTGATGAAATCTGTATACCAAATAATCTGTATACCAAACCTCCTTGACAGCCAATTTACCTATATAACAAACTTGCACATGTACCCATAAAGATTTTCTTTATGTGCGCCAAGGAGACTCTGGCTTTCACGCTTAGTTTATTTTTCCCACTAAACCACAAATTTGACAAAACTGAGGTATAATTCATATGTCACAAACCCACCCTTTATAGTATGCAATTCTGTGGTTTAGTATATTCACAAAGTTGTATAACCATCATGACTATTTCCAAAATATTTTCATTACCCCAGAAAGAAATCCTGAGCCCATTAGCAATCAGTAATTCTCTCCTCCTCCCAGTCTCTGGAAACCACTAATCTAGTTTTGTCTCTATGTGTTTGCCTATTCTAGACATTCCATATACATGTATTCATAAAATACGTGGTCTTTTATGTTTGGCTTCTTTCACTGAGGATAATGATTTCAAGCTTCATCCATGAACCATGTATTAGTGTGTCCAGAGTTGGTTCCTTCTGGTGGGTTCTTGGTCTCGCTGACTTCAAGAATGAAGCTGCAGACCTTTGCGGTGATTGTCACAGCTCTTAAAGGTGGCTTGAATCCAAAGAATGAGCAGCAGTAGGATTTATTGTGAAGAGCGAAAGAACAAAGCTTCCACAGTGTGGAAGGGGACCCAAGCAGGTTGCCGCTGCTGGCTGGGGTGGCCAGCTTTTATTCCTTTATTTGTCCCCACCCACGTCCTACTGATTGGTCCATTTTACAGAGAGCTGATTGGTCCATTTACAATCCTCTAGCTAGACGCAGAGTGCTGATTGGTGCGTTTTTACAGAGTGCTGATTGGTGCATTTACAATCCTTTAGCTAGACACAGAGTGCTGATAGGTGCATTTAAAATCCTCCAGCTAGACAGAAAAGTTCTCCAAGTCCGCACTCGACCCAGGAAGTCCAGCTGGCTTCTCTCATTTGAATATACTTATTCTCTCAAATGAATATATTCTGTCAAATGAATATACTTATTCATTTTTTATGATTGAATAATATTATACTTTATGGACATACCACATTTTATTCATCAGTTGATGGATGTTTGGGTTGTTTCCACCTTTTGGCTGTGATGGATAATGTTATGAACAGTGATGTGCAAGTTTTGTTTTTGTTTTTGTTTTGGTGAACGTGTTTTCAGTTCTCTTGGGCATATACATAGGAGCGGAATTGCTGGATCATATGGTAACTCCATGTTTGACTTTTTGTGGAACTGCTAGAATGTTTTCTAAAGTGATTGCATGACTTTATATTCCCAACAGTAATATAAGAGCATTCCAACCTTTCTACGTAATGGCCAACACTTGTTATAGTCTGTTTTCTGACCATAGCCATCCTAGTGGATGTGAAGTAGTATTACATCAGAGTTTCGATTTGCATTTCCCTAATGACTAATGATGAGTAACATGTGCTTATTGTCTATTTATATATCTTCCTCAGAGAAATGTCTATTCAAGTCATTTGCTCATATTTTATTTGGGTTGTCGTTTTGTTGTTGAGTCGTAGACATTCTTTGGATATTAAACCTTTGGCAGATATTTCATTTGCAAATACTTTCTCTCATTCTGTGAATTGTCCTTTTGCTCTCTTGATAATGTGCTTTGATGCACAAATGTTTTTAATTTTAATCAAGTTTAATTTATCTATTTTTCTTTTGTTATGCTTTTGGGTCCATATTTAAGAAACCATTGCCAAATCCAAGGTTATGAATGTTTACCTCTATGTTTTCTTTTAAGGTTTTTAAAGTTTTAGCTCTTAAACTTAAGTATTTGATCCATTTTGAGTTAATTTTTGTATATGGTGTAGGGGATCTACTTTATTCTTTTGCATGAGGCTTTCCAGTTGTTCCAACGCCACTTCTTGAGGACACAAATTTTGCCCCATTGAATGGACTTGGCACCATTGCCAAAAATCAATAGGCTAGAAGTGGGTTTATTTCTGGACCCCATTGATCTGTATATCTGTCTTGTACTACATTGTCCTGATTACTTTATCTTTGTAGTAAGTTTTGAAATTAAGAAGTGTAAGTCCTCTTTGTTTCACATTTGGATTTTTTTCCCCCACCGATTTAAGAAAATAGTGCGGTAATACCAATTAATGTGAGATCTGCTCTCTTAAATTTTTAAGTGTACAAAACAATATTGTTAATTTTAGGCACAATGTTGTAGATCTCTAGAGCTTATTCGTTTTGCATAACTGAAACTTTGTACCCATTGAATGTCAACTCTGCACACTTACCTTTTTTTTTTTTTTGAAACAGAGTCTCAGTCTGTCACTCAGGCTGGAGTGCAGTGGTGCAATCATAGCTCACTGCAGCCTCAACGGGATCCTCCTGCCTTGGTCTCCTGAGTAGCCAGGACTATGCGCATGCACCACCATGCCCAGCTAAGTTTTATTTTTCAATTTTTTGTATAGATAGGGTCTCACTATGTTGCCCAGGCTGGTTGCAAACTCCTGTTCTCAAGCAATCCTCCCACCTTGGTCTTTCAAAGCATTGGGATTACAGATGTGATCTACTGCACCTGGCCACACTTAGCTTTTAATTGGTGATTTATAACCATCAGCTTTTCATTGCCTTTTTTCTCCAGAGCCTCAATTGTCCCCAGCAATTGCCATCTAATTATATTTTTCTTAGAATTTCTGTTATCCTCAAATTCTCAAAGTCCCAATACATTTCTTTCTATTGGTTTATCATCCTAGTTTAGCACTGGTGCAAGTGACAATTGTATTGTCCACTTTGATACAGCTTTCTTAGAATCCAGTTTCATACATATTCTTTTGACTTCTTCTAGTATGTGTTGGGTAGGTGAGAGGTGTATGGTGGACCTAGAATTATCAGGAATCCACCACCAGTGATGAGGTTTTCATTGCCAGCCAGACGATATTTAAACCCCCATATTCCATCATAGCATCTGCTTTTCTGGAATACTACTGCTACCAACTGAGGCAGACTCTGGAATAGAGATTAGTATGTGGGAGACTTATTAGGGAGTACTTTCAGGGCTAACAACTTTTCTGGAAGGATAGGAAAAAGGACTGGGCAGAAGGAGAAATTAGGCTGTGATTCGGTCTTCACATAGCCTCAGCCAACTTTACAGGGGCTCAGAAGGTGGGATGGCTTTTCAAAGTTGTCCTAAATTGTGATGAAGGGACCATTAGTCTTGTGCACTGACCAGTCATTTTATGGGGCTGTGTTCATGGGCGATGCAGCTATCTTCAGCTGAGGGTAGTTCTTGGAGAGCTGAGGGCTCTCTGCCAGCAGCACTTCTAGCTGCTGGGGAATGTAAACCTTTCAGTCCTGAAGTGGGGATCTGGGTAGCCACCACAGAACCCACTTAATACTTATCCACTAACAAATGTAATTTCAATGATAAGTCTGAGACAGTTACAGACTTTTGCATAATTTTTTCTTATTGATATGAAAGAGGGAGCTAGAGAGGAGGAAGGCGTTAGGCATCGAAGGGAGTATAGGACATCTAACGGGATTGCAGAGAAAGGTAAAGCTGCTGAGAAAGAAGAAACACTTCTCTGATTCCATGAAATGCATCTAGGAATTCAACTGTGAAGAAATGGAGGCAGAAGGCTGTATTATTATTATTACTATTTGTGCTTTGTCCTTCAGGCGCTTAGCAGAGATCTTGTCTAACTTCCAACATAGTGTGACATGGCATGGTTTGTGGAGATTTTTTTAACCTAATTAAAATAACTCTAATTTCAGAAGATTCTTCTTTGAGTTGTCATTTTTTTGGAGTTCACTAATAGTAGCATTTATTTATTGGTGCTGCATGTTTGGTTCACCAGGAAGCATACTCTGAGATGCTGTTAATGTTTCAGGTTGTGCATGAAGGAGTACTCTTAGGATCAAACCTTGGAAGAGAGGTAGAAGCAGCAGGGTTGGCATGGAGAGGGGTCTAGCTGTGATGTAGACCCAGCCCAGCAGTCTTAGCTGATTCCATGGGGAGCTCTGGAGCTAAAAAGGCCTGGCAGGGATGTCTTGCATTGGGCCAACATTTCCAGTCCTTTTAACCCTAATCAGTCATTTGACTGTGGGCTGCCCCTAGAAGGATATGACTTTTAGGGGAGACGGTTCTCTATGGCTGAGACTGAGACAGCCCCAGAAGGGGCTGACAGCAAAAGCTGCACACTCCACAGCTGTGGCCATAGATCTTCCTAGTGACTCTCTCAATGTCACATGGCTCAGAAGTGGTAAGGAATCTAGGATTTCTGACGCCTACTTAAGAGAGTTTCTGTCTTTTACGTGCTGCCTCTCAGCTCATGTGACTACCCAGTGGGACAAGCACCAAGCTTGCCAGTACGTTCTCCAGGACTTGTTCTTGGCAGCAGTGGCTGAGCTATGTGGACTTTATGTGAAAGTAATATTTTTGAAAAACCTCAGGTGGCCTAGGTTTAGCGGAGTAAGTTCCAGGATTGGCTGAGGCAAAGAATTTCTGGCATGGAGTCATTGCTAATTCACTAAGTTCTCTCAGACAATTTATTATAAATCTGAAGGCACGCTGAACTGGCCAGCTTGCTTCCCATTTTTGTTCATTTCCAGGGTGAATACTAAGTTTGGCATCTCACTGGCTCTCTTTGCTGCCTGAGTATGTCAGTCTTGATCTAAAAATAGCCTGAATCCTCCTAGGGTCAATGTGGGTTGACTAGGGTTCAATTTTTCTGGAACCCTGAGGAGGTTGGAGAGGAGGATGAAGGGAATCATGAAGAAGAGAAAGAAGAGATTTTATTTGCGGTAGACATGGATGGCTTTGAGTATTACAAAACAAGAGAAATTGCTTCAGGAAGGCTAGCTTAACATAGAAGAGGTTGTTCATTAACCTTTAAGAAAGCAAAGAATTGTTATGCAGCTGTGTAGGCACAGTAGGAGAGAGACAATGATTGATGGCTGAGGAGATGGCATGGAGGTAAAGCAAAACATGGTCCAGGAGTCAAAAGCTCTGGATTCTAGCTCTTACTCTGCTTCTTAACTAGAATGCACCTTTGGGTCAAAGTCTTCATCTCCCTTGGTTTTAGTATCTCCATGTTTAAAATGGGTCTGATTATGTCAAATTTGCCTTATTCCGTTGATTGTTACAGGGAATAAATGAAGCAATGGATGTAAGTGTGTGAAGTTCCATATAAAAAAGAATGAATTTCTTAGGCCCTTTCATACAAATTCCAGGACTTTGGGCAATTTTTGGGACTCTGTGATACATACAAAACGGATAGTAGAGTTTGGAAGATCATATATCCTGGAGGTTCTAATTATCTTGGTAATGGTAGGAGTCTTGACTTAGCTACTACTTTGGAAGTCCTCTTGATGTTGAGAATTCACTGGGCCCTTATAGGCGGCTTCTGTCTGTCTCGACTCTTAGACAAAATGAAGTTCGTTTGAAGCAACTGAAAGTTCAGGAAATGAGTCAGGATGACTAAGAGTTGCTAGTGGTGCAACATGATGTGGATCCAACAAAAATATATTGTTGGTGTAGAAATTTGTTAAGGTTTGAGGACTAACTCACATTTTGTGAGAACTGAATCAAGTAAAATGATATTTTGAATTAAAATTCTCTACAAATTCCTGATGAAGACTCATGTATGAGGAGACCGTAATATTTAATGGAAGAGATCAGAAACAGGACTCATCTGGTCTATTGTAGTAGTCTTCCAACTCATTTTACTATGTCTAGTTTTTCCTGTTTCAGTTATTCTATATATTCTTAAAAGAGTTAACTTTCTAAATCAGTTTGTGCCATTTTCCCTGCTTACCTCTGTTGCCTTTAGACTAAGGTCTCAGCCTTGCATATACCAGAATCTAGGGCAGGGATCTTGTCTGCTGTGTTCACTGCTGTGGCTGCATTATCTAGCATGATTCCTAGCATATAGTAAGTGCCCAGTAATACTCATTCATTAATTAATAAAGGTTATACATGATTCAGCCTTAATCTATACTTCCAATTACTTTTCCTAACCATCTTCCCTAGCTCCACATGTCTACCTAGACAAGTTGCTCACAGTTCCCCAAATTCGTTTGGTTATCTCAATCCATGTCTTTGGCATACGTGTCTTGCTGCCTAGAATACCGTCCCACATTTCCATTCCATTTTGTTCTACAATGCTCACATTGTGTATGCTGTAGGGCAGTTGTTTCCATGTCTGTCTCTCTTTCTTACAAGATATTATCTTATTCATCTTTGTATCAGTCTAGTTCCTCGATGTAATAGGTACTTAATTAATGTGTGTCAAATGGTCAAATGGAAGTATTTTATGATAAACCAAATAGCTTAATGATTTGTTTACCATATTCTCTCTGTGGGCTATAACTAAAGAACTGGAAGCAAGAGTGAAAAGTTAAACACCACAGGTACTAGGCCAAGAAATATTCCTTTTGTTTTCAGTTTTCAAGATGAGAACCAGTGATATGTTTCATTGTTACAAATCTTTAGACTCAACCACTTATCACAAACCTAAATTCTGGTGCTAATAAGGTTCTTTCTGTAAAACATCTTCTGTTATTTGGGAGAAAACAACTCTCTTCTGAGGATATTGACTGCACTACCAAGTTCTGGCTCAATATTTTACACATTCCTAAAATGAACCAGTTGAAAGAAGGTGATAACTCTTCTTTTAAACTTTTATTTTAATTTCAAGGGTATACGTGCAGGTTTGTTGCATAGGTATTAAGTCTAGCATCCATTAGTTATTTTTCCTGATACTCTCCCTCCTCCTACCTTCCACCTTCAAGTAGGCTCCAGTGTCTGTTGTTCCCCTCTATGTGTCCATGTGTTCTCATACTTTAGCTCCCACTTATAAGTGAGAAAGTGGTATTTGGATGTCTGTTCCTGGGTTAGTTTGCTAACTATGGACTCCATCCGTGTTCCTACAAAGAACGTGATCTCATTATTTTTTATGGCTGCATAGTATTCCATCATGTATATGTAACATATTTTCTTTATCCAATCTGTCATTGATGGGCATTTGGGTTGATTCCATGTCTTTGCTGTTGTGAGTAGTGCTGCAATGAACATACACGTGCATGTGTCTTTATGACAGAATGATGTATTTTCTTTTGGGTATATACCCAGTAATGGGACTGCTGGGTCAAATGGTATTTCGGTTTTTAGTTCTTTGAGGAATTGCCACCAATAGTGTATACACATTCCTTTTTTTCCACAACCTCGTCAGCAACTGTTTTTTGACTTTTTAATAATAGCCATTCTGACTGATATGAGATGGTATCTCCTTGTGATTTTGATTTGCATTTTTCTTTTTTTTTTCTTCCTTTTTGAGACGGAGTTTTGCTCTTGTTGCCCAGGATGGAGTACAATGGCACAATCTCGGCTCACTGCAACCTCCGCCTCCTGGGTTCAAGCGATTCTCCTGCCTCAGCCTTCTGAGTAGCTGGGATTACGGGCATGCACCACCACGCCCGGCTAATTTTTTGTATTTTTAGTAGAGACGAGGTTTCACCATGTTAGTCAGGTTGATCTCGAACTCCTGAACTCTGGTGATCTGCCCACCCTGGCCTCCCAAAGGGCTGGGATTACAGGCGTGATGATTTGCATTTCTCTAATGATCAGTGATTTTGAGCCTTTTTTCATATGCTTATTGGCCACATTTAAGTCTTCTTTTGAAAAGTGTTCATGTCCTTTGCCCACTTTTTAATGAGTTGTTTGTTTTTTTTCTTGTAAATTTGTTTAAGTTCCTTATAGATTCTAGATATTAGACTTTTTTTCTGTTGCATAGTCTGCAAAAATTTTCTCCCATTCTGTAGGTTGTCTATTTTACTCTATTGATAGTTTATTTCGCTGTATAGATGCTCTTAAGTTTAATCAAATCCCATTAGTCAATTTTTGCTTTTGTTGCAATTGCTTTTGGTGTCTTCATCATGAAATCTATGTCCAGAATGGCATTGCCTAGGTTATCTTCCAGGATTTTTATAGTTTTGGGTTTTGTATTTAAGTCTTTAATACATCTTGAGTTGATTTTTGTATATGGTGTAAGGAAGGAGTCTAGCTTCAATTTTCTGCATATGGCTAGCCAGTTACGCCAGCAACGTTTATTGAATAGGGAGTCCTTTCCCTGTTGCTTGTTTTTGTCAGGTTTGTCAAAGGTCAGATAGTCATAGGTGTGTGGCCTTATTTCTGGGCTCTCTATTCTATTCCATTGGTCTATGTGTCAGTTTTTGTACCAGTCCCATGTTGTTTTGGTTATTTTATTCCTGCAGTATAGTTTAATGTCAGGTAGTGTGATGCCTTCAGTTTTGTTCTTTTTGCTTAGTATTGCCTTGGCTATCAGGGCTTATTGTTGGTTCTGCATGAATTTTAAAATAGTTTTTTCCTAGTTTTGTGAAGAATGTCATTGGTAATTTAGTAGGACTAGCAATGAATCTATACATTGCTTTGGACAGTATGGCCATTTTAATGATACTGATTTTTCCTGTCCATGAGCATTGAATGTTTTTCCATTTGTTTGTGTCATCTCTGATTTCTTTCAGCAGTGTTTTGAAATTCTCATTTCAGAGATCATTCACCTCCCTGGTTAGGTGTAATCCTAAGTATTTTATTCTTTTTGTTGCATTTGTGAATGGGATTACATTCCTCATTAAGCTCTTGGCTTGACTGCTGTTTGTATATAGGAATGCTAGTGATTTTTGTACATTGATTATGTATCCTGATAATTTGCTGAAGTTGTTTATTAGCTTAAGGAGGTTTTGGACTCAGACTATGGGATTTTGTAGGTATAGGATGGTGTAGTCTGTAAACGGGGATTGTTTGACTTCCTCTTTCCCTAATCGGATGCCCTTTATTTCTTTCTCTTGCCTAATTGTTCCAGCCAGGACTTCCAATAGTATGTTGAATAGGAGTGGTGAGAGAGGGCATCCTTGTCATATGCCGGTTTTCAAGGGGAATGTTTCCAGCTTTTGCCCATTCAATTTGATGTTGGTTGTGGGTTTGTCGTAGATGGCTCTGATTATTTTGTGGTATGTTTGAAGGAAGGTAATAACTCAGTACATTTTTTTCTCCTATTGGAGAAACAATTTGAAGTATTTGTATATTACTTTGGATGGTAGGACTTTTTGTAAAGGATTAGATTATATATAATAATGACTCAAATAACATAATTTAGTGATTATGTTAGGTATGGTGTCATGTGTCATTTAGTGATTATATTAGGTGCTCTGTCATAGTCATCATTATAACATGATTTAGTGATTTTATTAGGTGCCCTGTTAAGCATAGTCAAAACTGACACAGTGCTGAATACAGTAAGATATTCAATAAGTCACTATTAAATTATCTTAAAAAGGAATTCTTGTTTGGATTTTTATTGGAGAGGGATATTTAGGCTATGTGTGGAAATGAAGACATATTGCAAAGTTAGGCAAAGCCCTGGAAAATATTTTTCATTTAATTTCTATTTTCTATGTTCCATATTTACTGGTCTTAAATACCGCTTTAATTGGTAAGAATCCCTTTAAAGATAACCTGGACACAGAATTGATTCATGACTTGTTAGCATCGTGAAAGCTGGAGACAGAACAGAATGTTCTGGATCCTCAGCCACATTATCATACCCATTTTAAGGACTGAATACCACGTGTATTCAAATACGCATGTGCCTAATAACCATGTTGAGATTATTGTGGGGTTTCTAGAGTTAAAGACTAACTTTACTTTTTACCACCTTTCTGCTTAGCTATTTAGGGAGAGCATAGTTGATTTCTAGTTCTCTCAAAGTAGATGATTTAAGTCTACTGTTCCACTCTCAGTTTTTCTTTCCTGTTCTATGTACTTGCACATAGGTTTTAGATTATCTATATGTTGCAAGCTCTCTGTGCCGAAGGAACCCATCTTTGTTATAAATGCCTGAAGGTTGACTATATTCTCCCTTTGTTCTATCTTTTGTTCTTATAGTAATTAGTATAATCTACCTAATAAAAAAAGGGGGCACTTAACTATTTCCTAAAGACTTCTTAAGAACTTCTGCATGTATTATCTAATTTAATCCACACAAAAGTCTTATGAGGTGAGTGTTGTCATTTCCATTTTGTAAAGGAGAAAATGAGCTAAGAAAGATCTTATTATTTGAAAAACCATATTACTAGCATTCATTCATTCACCAAATGTTTATTGAGCTCAGTTTAAGACACTGAGTTTTTTTGTTTTTGTTTTTTGAGATGGAGTTTTGCTCTTGTTGCCCAGGCTGGAGTGCAATGGCCCAATCTTGGCTCACCGCAACCTCCGCCTCCCAGGTTCAAGCAATTCTCCTGCCTCAGCCTCCCGGGTAGCTGGGATTACAGGCATGCGCCACCAAGCCCGGCTAATTTTTTATTTTTAGTAGAGACGGGGTTTCTCCATGTTGAGGCTGGTCTCGAACTCCTGACCTCAGGTGATCTACCCGCCTTGGCCTCCCAAAGTGCTGGGATTACAGGCGTGAGCCACTGCGCCCGGCCAAGACACTGAGTTTATGGTTGCCAAAAAGAGGTTCTTACCTTCATGGAGCTTATATTCTAGTGGAATCTACATCACAGAGCCTTTGACTTTAGCACTGACATTTAATTGAGCAACCCATACTGTAAAATACTTGAAAGTAGAGACCATATCCATGGACTGTATCAATTCAATTACTGAATTGAATGAAATTCTGGCAATTAGGATTTATTCTTACCTGCCACCTGTTGTTTCCTCCTTACTGGATGTTTGAAAAGGTGGATACATATGCATGGGTAGAATAGATGGATAGCCCCTCCTAAGCTGATTTCCTCCAGGACTTTTCTTCTCCCCAAATTCCCATCAGGGGTTATTTAGCTGAAGGTTCTCTAATTTCTGGTTCCCCCTACTAAGTGTCAAATGTAATATGGTATAAGAAACCCATAATCTAGGAACTTGTCATCGATATCTCAGCACAAATAATTCATTGATAAATAACAGTGGCTGTTTTCACTAGAGGGGCACAGGTTGAAGTATACGCCAAGAAAGTAGAAGTCCAGATATTTTGTTCTGGCTGAGGCTATTTCTTTTTTCTGCAAGGCAACCTGAATATGGTCTAAGTAATTAGGGCAAATCAGCAGGCCTAGGGCAGTGGGGGTGGAGATGTATGTGAAGGCAAAGACAAAGTGCTAAGGAGCTTTGGGTGATATATGGGAAGTGTGTCTGCGTGTGTGTGTTTGTGTGTGTGTGTGTGTATGTGTGTGTGTCACAGTTTTGCCTGAAGCACTACTCATATCTGAGAGTTGCCATTTGTAGCTACTAAGAAAACAGCACCGCAGTTAAGCTTCGTTTCTCTTTGGATTTGGCTCTTAAAAGACTGCACGGTTTATGTGGTGCTTTCATTTCACAGGATACCATTATAGTTTTTGTGTTAGGCTGGGTCAACAATGTGTTAGTAGACCAGCACTGTACGTTATTCATTACCTAAATACAGTAATGTATTTTCATAAAAGTAGCTACTTCTCCATAGTGCCCATCTTTCACCTAAAGAGGAATTAAGGGAAGAAATGAAGCAAATAGTGTTTTATGGATGTTTTTGCTTCATTTAAGCTGCCAGAGTAGTTTTGTGGTCCTAATTTAAAACCTATTATAGTATAGAGAAGGGCTACTGAGAGGTGGAAAATAAAAGCGTTTCACATAGCTAGCTAAGTGAGAATGTGATTCTTAATGACTGTTGAAACAATACTGAGGGCAATAAGGATTATAATATTTTTGAAAAGCAGCCTGCAAATCCAATTAAAGGGGAGAAAAGAGTTCTCGTTTTCTTATTTTTGGAGTCAGCAGGATTTCCAGCTGGATGTAATTTCAGGAAGTGATGTGACTATTTATTCAATAATGCTTTGCAAATTTCCTGGGAAATGATGGAATAATTCTGATGAAATTAAAGTGGCTATTGAAATATATGTCATACTATTTGCCAAGTGTTATTTCTTGTCTATTTAACCATATTAATTCATTTCATAATGAAAATAAACTCTTAGTAAATACTTTCCATAGACATATTTTCTAGGACTGAGAATATATTATCAAAATCCAGATCACCAAAGCCAACCAAATTAAATAAATGGACAGTGAATATCTCCTATAGTGCCATGCATGATGCTAGGTATTGGGAAAACAAAAACTAACTTTAAATTTTTTTTCTGAACTCATGGAGCTTAATGACTGGCAGTAGAGACAGTCATTGAAGCAATGGGTCACTCAGCCACATGTAAAATGACAACATTGGGAAGTGCTGTGCAGGGAAGGGACATGGTGCTACAACGGCCTCTGGCATTCATGGAAGGCTTTTCATATATACATTGTTAAAGCTGAGATCTAAAGGATGAATAGGAATTACACAGATAAAGAGTAAGAACAAGAGCCTTAAGTATGGCATGTAGCGTCTTCAAAAGTTCATGGTGGAGGGTAGGAGTACACAATGGGGTGTATGGTACAAAAATAGGCTGAAGAATCAGGGGATAAACCCTGAGGCTTGTAGACCCGGTGAAAAATCTTGTTGTCTATTTTAAGAACAATGAAATGATTTTAATAGCAAGGTTGAGGGTGGATGAGGGGTGACATCCACCCCTCATCCAGGAGACAACCGTCTCTGCTTTGGAAATATTACTCTGGATGCAACATGGAGGATGGATGATAGAGGGTCCTGAGTGTGGGTGGCAAAGCAGTTGTGAGGCTCCTGTAGATGTCCAGATAAGAAGGAAAGTTAGCAAAGACTATGGATGTGGACATACTTTATGGTTGGATTAAAATAAATTTACAATACTTTCATCCCGGGTTCACGTCTATGTTCACTCACACATACACACACAGAGCTGATGGTTTGTGAGATGTTTGAGAACCTGTTTCTCAGGATCCAGTCCTTGATTGTCTTTTCTTGTTTACATCAGGGAAGTCAAATGCATTTTTATCTCAGGTGCCAACTCTGGTTGGTTGGTAGCAGATGCTTGAGAGCAATATTGAGAAAGCTTCCGCAGTCACATAAGGGCTTAGCAATAGAGAAAGCTTTAATAGCTCCTTCAGTGAGCACAGAGTTGGGAGTGGTGGCATGCATGCCTTTCCAGAGCCTTTATGGTTCACATTCTCCATGGCAGACTTCCAATTTTTCTCCAAGGATAGGAGTAGTACTTGTCCCAGCCCTCATAACCATTTTCCTAGACACTCTGCCTCTACTCCCTATGCTTTTCTCAGATTCTGAAGTGCAATATCTTGGGTCAGATTCATTCTTCCTCTGAATGCACTCAGCTCTCTCAGACCAATTAAATTAGTTACCATCCCTCCATTTGCTTCTATCTTCTAAAACTTTGTAAACATTTCTCATTTGCTGTTATATCCATTGTGTTCTTATTGTCCTGTGGATCACTATGTTTTTATTAATCTCTTTTGGTCCATTTATAATATTAGGGTTTCATTTATTCAATTTTCTGTTTGTTCAGTCTACCATGTTTAATCAAAACTTGTGCCATGGTTTTCTACTTATGCTCTTTGGTATATACTTATTTAACTGAAGGGATATGCAACCATCAGAGAATATCAGTGAACAATTCACAACCTCTATTTATTAGGGCAAATGGCTTTGGGTATTGACATGTTTTGGCTGTGTCCCCACCCAAATCTCATCTTGAATTGTAGCTCCCATAATTCTCGCAGGTTGTGGGAGGGAGCTGGTGGGAAATAATTGAATGATGGGGGTGGTTTCCCTCATACTGTTCTCGTGGTAGTGAATAAGTCCGATAACATCTGATGGTTTTATAAGGGCAAACCCCTTTCACTTTGTTCTTTTCTTCTCTTTTTTCTGCTGCCAGGTCAGACAAGCCTTTCACCTTCTGCCATGATTGTGAGGCCTCCTCAGCCATGTGAAACTGTGAGTCCATTCAACCTCTTTTTCTTTATAAATTACCCAGTCTTGGGTATATTTTTATCAGCAATGTGAGAAGGGACTAATTCTGGTATGATTAAAATATTTTGTGCTTTGGTGTGTCTTTCCATTTCTATCATTCCCCACACCTCCATAAGCACATTATCATTTCATACGCCAATCTACCTGTAGTTTACTGTTTTGACATAGTTTTCTAAGGGCTATTTATTGTTGATTATGTTCTCTGAGCTTCGAGTTCCCTTCACTCTAGCTAAATTCTTCTTACTCTTTGAAATCTGGTTTAAGTGCCCTTTATTTTGAAAGCCTTTCCCTATCTAACCCCAAGATATGATTCATATACTCCCTGTATCTCTCATCTGAATACCTCCTTTGGACTCACAATGTCTTTTGCTTTCTTGATTATAATATTTATCACCATATCATGACATTTGACTCTCTTGTTTAGTTTATAAACTAGACTGAGCCCCTTGATGACAGGCTCTGGGTTTATTCGTGCAGTATTTCCATGTCCTGTATTACAAAGTAGGCACTCAATACCTGCTTGTGGAATTAATGATGCTATGGGACTCCACTCCTAGAAGTGATCTGTTTTCATTACTTTAGGAAGTCTGTTTTACCAAGGTGCTTTCTTCACAGTTGCGCTTTATGGACTCTAGTCATCAGGAAATTAACTGCAGAGAACACGCATGCAGAACATGAGGTTACCAAGGGTCAAGTGCATGTGCATGTTTTTGATTTGGGCACAGGGAAGTTTATGAGCCTTGTGAGCACAATTTAGAAATTCTCAGTTGTATATACTGCAGGTGAAATACACTTTATGTTGAAGCACGCGGTGAATTATTGAGATTTGGCTGACTATTAAAGCAATAGCGTCTTTTTCAATCTAAGTTGATGATGCAAATGAAAAACACAGCTAAAAATATCACTTATGTCTGAAAAAGCCAGTCCAAAAAATAAAAAGCAATTAGCTTGAACAGCTGGAAGCAGATTTTGCCAGGATCTGTATTTACCAATATTTGAGTACAATTGGTTCACAATTTTGTACTTGGGGTAATAGCATCACTCAAGCCCAGAAGAGGAAAATTTCTTTATGCTAGATATTTTTCTATGCATTCCCCTTCTTCCCTCTTCTTCTTCCCCTCTCCTTCAATCATACACTTAGAAGTCTATGATATATAATGTCAAACAATTTTAAGGACCTAGGAGGAAAAGTAGGGAGATAATACCATAAATCAAATAAAGCAGTCTCTGGGCTTAGGCTCTCTAAGTTTGAGTCCCAAATTCAGTGTTACTGTGTGACCTTGGGGAAGTTACTTACCCTCTATATATCTCATTTTAAAATGGGATTATAAAGATATATTTTAGTGTTGTTGTAGGATTAAATGACATACTTGTAAATTTCTTAGAAAAATCCTTGGTATATCATAATTCTATTACTCATTTATAGTTCTGAGGTCAAATATCAGTTTTGACTTTTGTAGATGATGAAAAATATTCCTTCCCACCTACCTTTCCACCGTGTACAGTGGAAATCACACTGTCCTATGATTCACATCAGAAACATAAAGAGTTAGTGCTAAGATCATCTGTGTGCCCTTTGATTAATGCTTCTTAATACTTGTCATCTCTACCTCCATTCTAAAATCCAACTTTTAGCTTTCATTTAAGAAAGGGAGTGCCTATGGCCAATGAAGGAGTGTATCCTTTCATTACTATTCTGCTTAATTTCTGTGTCACTTGATTTTTTTCCTAGATTGTACTCTCTCAATTTGAATGTATAGCAACATCAAACAAAAAAGCAGAAGTAATTAGGTTTGTCAGTCCACAAGAATTTTGGACCAAATATCCATGAAGTGGTGGGTAGATTATAATACCTAATACAGAGTATCAAAATGAGTTCTTACAATCCCACACGTAGTCTCCATGTGGTATGAGATGCCACTGGCCTGAGCTGACGTAGTATTTTTTATATGAATGAAGGCTGTTCAAGGACTTGAGAATAATTTGTTTTCTTAATTAATATAACCCCTGCCTCCATTTTCTTTATACTACACTCAGATCAGTGATGTCTCCTTTCATGTGTTGTGTGAAAAGCAAATTTTAGTCTTGTCTTGATGAATTATAAATTCCAGGAGTTCAGAGCAAAAATGAGTATATATGTATGCTTCTGCACATGCATACATATGCTTATAAAAAGTGACAACTGGCCAGGTGTGGTGCTCACACGTGTAATCCTAGCACTTTGGGAGGTTGAGGCAGGTGGATCACTTGAGGTCAGGAGTTTGAAACCAGCCTGGCCAACATGATGAAACCCCATTTCTATTAAAAATACAAAAAATAGCCAGGTGTGGTGGTGCATGCCTGTAATCCCAGCTACTCAGGAGGCCAAGACATGAGAATTGTTTGAACCCAGAGAACGCAGGTTGCAGTTGAGCAGAGATCATGCCACTGCACTCCAGCCTGGGCAGCAGAGTGAGACTCCATCTCAAAAAAAAAAAATAATAAAAAAATAAAAATAAAAAAGTGACAACCTGTGGAGACTTCTGTTTGCAAACGGAAATGTTAAAGTGTTAAAAAAATTTTATATACCATGCAAAAAGTAAACCATTAAAGCTAGTATTCCACAGAAAACAAATAGATATCAAATAGACTTGTAGAATCTATTATAATAATGGGTAGAACACCTGAACAAACGCTTCAACAGGATAAATCTATTAGGGGAAATGTAATAAAATTTCCCTGTGGGAATTCCTCTCTAAATGAAATTATCAGGTCTGTTAAGTAATAAAAGAGAAAGCTTAAATATCTAAGACTTTTAAAACTCTGAGAATATTTTAGACCATGGCTATCAAAACAGAGACTGTTGAACTGAAAAATGCCTTATACTGCAGAGAGAACTGGTTTAGAGGGTAGAGGAAAAATAGTAGAGAGAAACAGTACTTTAGATAATTAATAGTATGGTATGCTTAGATTTAAAGGGAGGGAAATGAAAGGGTGTACATATCCAGAAGCAAAGAAAGGTAGTCTCTTTTTCCAAAGCTGACTCAGTGCTTATGGAGCTAAGTGTTTCACAGGTGGAGAAGTAGGAAGGCAAACTGCTAAGAGAACTAGGAACTACTCATGCATTGTCTGTATTCCTGAAGGGTAGAAAGTGGAGTACTCCAAGGGTATTGCTCTGTGATCGTTAGGAGGGTTTGGAGTCAGATATCCTTGAGGGGGTGTCACCTTCCATAGTCTGTAGCCATTGGAAGTGTGTCAGTGCTTCCAACAATAAATCCACCTTAGCTCAGCTATGCAGCAACCGAAATAGCATGCTACTGGTACAAAAACAGGCACATAGACCAGTGGAACAGAATAGAGAGCCCAGAAATAAGGCCGCACACCTACGACCATTTGATTTTCAACAAAACTGACAAAAACAAGCATTGGGGAAAAGACTCCCCAGTCAATAAATGGTGCTGGGAAAACTGGCTAGCCATATGCAGAAGATTGAAGCTGGACCCCTTCCTTACACTGTATACAAAATCAACTCAAGAGGGTTAAGGACTTAAATGTAAAACCTAAAACTGTAAAAACCCTGGGAGACAACCTAGGCAATACCATCCTGGACATAGGAACGGGCAAAGATTTCATAACAAAAATGCCAAAAGCAATTGTAAGAAAAGCGAAAATTGAAAAATGGGATCTAATCAAACTTAAGAGCTTCTGTTACAGCAAAGGAAACTACCTTACTTACCTAGCACGGGAGATACTGTGATCACAAAGGTGGTTTTCCCAGAGTAAGTCTCACCTATTGCACTCTGGGTATACTGGCCCCTGTGATTTTCCCAAATGCAAGAAACTTGACTGCATAATTTGTGGTAGTGGGGGGACTGTGTTTGCGCTTTCCCTGTGTATATTGTTAAATAATTTTTTATAATTAAAATGAAAGAAACTATCAACAGAGTGAACAGACAACCTACAGAATGGGAGAAAATATTTGCAAACTATGCTTTGAACAAACGTCTAATATCCAGCATCTGTAAGAAACTTAAATTTACAAGAGAAAAACAACCCCATTAAAAAGTGGGCAAAGGACATGAACAGACACTTTTCAAAAGAAGACATACATGTGGCCAATGACCATATGAGAAAAAGCTCCACATCACTGATCATTAGAGAAATGCAAATCAAAACCACCATGAGATTTCATGCCAGTCAGAATGGCTATTAATAAAAAATAAAAAAATATGGATGTGGAGAAAAAGGAACACTTATACACTGTTGGTGGGAGTGTAAATTAGTTCAGCCATTGTGGAAAGCAGTATGGTGATTCCTCAAAGAGCTAAAAATGGAACTATCATTTGACCCAGCAATCCCATTGTCATGGGATCTTTAGGGTGCTGCTTTTCTGGCCAGAAACCTCTGTGGCTGGTGGTGCCTTTGCCTGAGTTTTGCTTGAGCCCACTGGGCTTGTTCTGCCCACTCAGCCTGGCAAGCTGTGCTTGGCTTATGCTGCTGGCCTGGATCCCATCCCTGCCAAGGGTAAGCCAGGCATGGAGCAGTGAGGGGTTTGTGAGTGAGCATGGGTTTTGGGCACTGTGCAGTCAGACAGCAGCTACTGCAGTGGGGTGGGCAACTCCAGGTGCTGGCATGGGCAGCTCCAGCTCTCTGCAAGGCTGTGACTGGACCAGGTGCACTGCAAGCAACTTCCACCGCTGGCACTGGAAACATGGTGGCACCCAGAAGCTTGGAGATGCCAGGAACCACAGGGCCCCAAAGAGGGAGTCACAGCCCTGGCTCAGGGAGCTCCCAGGTCTGGGCTCCCTGAAGGGCCGCAGCTCTTCTGTCCTTCTCTTCAACCATGACATGGTAAGCAAGGGGCATGTTTCAGCTTTGTTTGTGTTACAGCTCTTTTATTCCCGCTATTTGAGAGGTCCTGAGTTCTTGTCCTGTGACCAGGAAGAATGAGGTACACAGATAAGTGGAGGGTGAACAAGATGAAGAGGAGCTTTGTTGAGCAATAGAACAGCTCAGAGGAGAGCAGCAGTGAGTAGCTCCTTTCCACAGCCAGGGTGGCCCAGTGAGTGTTTAGCTCCTAGCAGAGGGTAGACCTTGTAGTGGGAAGCTCATCTCAGCAGGCAGGTTGTCCCATTGTCTCTGAAGCTCTCAACAGAGAGGAGGCCCTGGAGTGGGTTGCTCCCTTCTGCAGGCAGGTTGTCCTGACATCTGCAGCTCTCAGCAGAGAGGAGGCCCTGGAGTGGGTAGCTCCTCTCTGCAGCTGGTTGTCCCAACATCTGCTCACCTCTGGCTGAGCCCAGGGCTTTTATGGGCCTCAAAGGGGAATAAGTGAGTACTGATTGGTCCATGGGTGGGCATGGGCAGACCTGGAAAAGGCACCACAAGTTTCTACTCTGGTCTGCAAGACTGGGTCTTCAGGCCCACCCGTGGCCTGAAGGTGGAGCCTCACTGGGAACCCACCTCCTTCTGCCCAGGAGCCTGTCTGCCTCCCACTGCTTTTCAGGATCTTCGAGCCAAGGGACGCCTACAGGCCAGTGCTGAGCTGCCCTCAGCCCCCACCTCGGCTTCCCTCCTATGCTTGTCAGTGCCCAAAGTCTGGAGAGGGACAAGACAGCAGGGAGCTGGTGAGTCAGAACTGCCCTGAGCATGTGCACATCTTGCTGGGCTGTGACAGTGCCTGGGCTCAGCCCTGACTTCGCTCCAAGATCAGAGTGGGTGCCAACAGCAGGGAGAAGCCAGGTAGTGGCAGAAGGCACTTCTGAGCC
Organism: Homo sapiens; assembly: GCF_000001405.40. NCBI lineage: Eukaryota > Metazoa > Chordata > Mammalia > Primates > Hominidae > Homo > Homo sapiens. Next base: position 19,726,472 of record NC_000012.12, read on the forward strand.
TGTGAGGGCAGGGTGGGTCTTCCTGGGCCCCAAAAGCACAGGGAGGCCTGGGTTCACAGCTGCTGTTTGGGTGGCTGCAGCCATGCCTGGGGCGGGGGGTGCAGGGCTCCTGTCTGCCTCATGGTGTGGGAGGCCTGGGTTTGCAGCCACAACTTGGGTAGCTGCAGCCGCACTTGGAAGTGTGAGGCTCCTGCCTGCTTCTGTCCCCGCCAAGAGCACAGGGAGGCCCAGGTCTACAGCCACAGCTTAGGTAGCTGCAGATGCACCTGGGAGGGCAGGGCTTCTGCCTGCTCTGTGGAGTGGGAGGCCTGGATCTGCAGCCACGACTTGGGTGATTGCAGCTGAGTCCAGAAGGGTAGGCCTCCCGCCTGCTCCTGGGCCCTGAGAGCACAGGGATGTCAGGGTCCACAGCTGCAGCTTGGGTGGCTGCAGTGTACCTGGGGAGCACCTGCCCCAACTCAGAAGGGGCCAGGCTCCCTCTTTTCTCTGGCTCCCGATGGCTACATGGAGCACGCAGCCCTGACCATGCTTCCCTGCTGCAGCTGTTGTGATGGCAGCTGCCACTCCAGACAGCCCACCACTGCCATCACCATTACACCAAAGGAATATAAATCCTTCTATCACAAAGATACATGCATGTGAATGTTCATTTTAGCACTGTTCACAATAGCAAAGACATGGAATCAACTTAAATGCCCATTGGTGACAGATTGGATACAGAAAATGTGGTACATATACACCATGGAATACTATGCAGCCATAAAACAGAACAAATTCATGTCTTTTGTGGGAAGCTGGATGGAGCTGGATGCTATTATCCTTAGCAAACTAATGCAGGAACAGAAAACCAAATATCATATGTTCTCACTTATAAGTGGGAGCTAAATGATGAGAACACATGAACACAGAGAAGAGAACAGCAGACACTGGGGCCTACTTGACTGGGGAGGGTGAGAGGAGGGAGAGGAGCAGCAAAAATAACTCTTGGGTACTAGGCTTATTACCTGGGTGATGAAATAATCTGTACAACAAAACCCTTGTAACATGAATTTACTTATATAACAAACCTGAACATGCACCCCTTAACCTAAAAAGAAAGTTTAAAAAATATTATAAAAAAGAAAATAAATCAAATTTAAAAATATACACATCTTTGGCATTAAAGAATTGCCAATAGATTTAGGGTATCTGGCTCAGCCACTGCAAAGCCAGAAATGGTGCCCAAACCAGACCTTGGTGGCTACTCCAGCAAAGACACCAATGCTGCTGCCACCTAGCACAGACATTGCATTTTGTCCTAGACACTGCAAATTCCACTGATAGTACTGAGGCCTGGAGTGCAAAATTCTGGGGCTGCTGATCTTGAAAACCCAGATACTTCTGTTGCTGTGAAAGAGAGTACATGTGCTTTGTAATGTCACATGTGGAGTCCTGGGTGTGGGTGCATTACATACATTCATACAGCTGCAAATAAGACTGGGGTTCTGGTTTCTTCAATGAAGGGACAAGAATGAGAATGTGCAAAAATGTTGCAACATAAGAAGAATGTTTAAAAGATGCTGGATTGCACAAACATGACAAATATTCCCAAGACCCCCCAAAGTGATAGTTATGTGGCATAAAGGGAGGGTATGATAGCTTTGTATACCAGTAATTTAATTAATGCTATTTCATGTAAGTTAAACATAATAAAACACCATAATAAGAATGTCTGTTCTGTGTTTTATGTTACATCAGGACATACTGAGAGTAAAAGGAGAATCAAGACTGGAAAAATGGTTGGACTATTCGCTTGATCCTTCAATCATAATATATTAAAATGAAAAACACTTTCAAAGTCATTGAAGGATAAATATGAATACATATTTTACAATAGTAAAATTGCTACCTGTATTTCATAAATTTGACAGTTTTCTCCTTTGCTTTTATTTGAACCATGTACTTAATGCTATTGTAGCAATTATAACACTTTATTCTACATATTGCCTCATATTTCTAGTCTGTTTTATATAGGGTTTAGTGCTGGCACATGGCAAGAGATTGAAACATTTGCTGAATAAAATAGGAGTATCCGTCAGGTGTGGTGGCTCATGCCTGTAATCCCAGCACTTTGGGAGGCCTGGGTGGGCAGATTGCTTGAGCCCAGGAGTTCAAGACCAGCCTGGGCAACATAGTGAGACCTCGTTTCTTTTTTTTTTTTTTTTCCTCTTTATTATTATTATTATTATTATACTTTAAGTTTTAGGGTACATGTGCACAATGTGCAGGTTCGTTACATATGTATATATGTGCCATGCTGGTGCGCTGCACCCACTAACTCGTCATCTAGCATTAGGTATATCTCCCAATGCTATCCCTCCCCCCTCCCCCCACCCCACAACAGTCCCCAGAGTGTGATGTTCCCCTTCCTGTCTCCATGTGTTCTCATTGTTCAATTCCCACCTATGAGTGAGAATATGTGGTGTTTGGTTTTTTGTTCTTGAGATAGTTTACTGAGAATGGTGATTTCCAATTTCATCCATGTCCCTACAAAGGACATGAACTCATCATTTTTTATGGCTGCATAGTATTCCATGGTGTATATGTGCCACATTTTCTTAATCCAGTCTATCATTGTTGGACATTTGGGTTGGTTCCAAGTCTTTGCTATTGTGAATAGTGCCGCAATAAACATACATGTGCATGTGTCTTTATAGCAGCATGATTTATAGTCCTTTGGGTATATACCCAGTAATGGGATGGCTGGGTCAAATGGTATTTCTAGTTCTAGATCCCTGAGGAATCGCCACACTGACTTCCACAATGGTTGAACTAGTTTACAGTCCCACCAACAGTGTAAAAGTGTTCCTATTTGTCCACATCCTCTCCAGCACCTGTTGTTTCCTGACTTTTTAATGATTGCCATTCTAACTGGTGTGACATGGTATCTCATTGTGGTTTTGATTTGCATGTCTCTGATGGCCAGTGATGGTGAGCATTTTTTCATGTGTCTTTTGGCTGCATAAATGTCTTCTTTTGAGAAGTGTCTGTTCATGTCCTTCACCCACTTTTTGATGGGGTTGTTTTTTTCTTGTAAATTGGTTTGAGTTCATTGTAGATTCTGGATATTAACCCTTTGTCAGATGAGTAGGTTGCGAAAATTTTCTTCCATTTTGTAGGTTGCCTGTTCACTCTGATGGTAGTTTCTTTTGCTGTGCAGAAGCTCTTTAGTTTAATTAGATCCCATTTGTCAATTTTGGCTTTTGTCGCCATTGCTTTTGGTGTTTTAGACATGAAGTCCTTGCCCATGCCTATGTCCTGAATGGTAATGCCTAGGTTTTCTTCTAGGGTTTTTATGGTTTTAGGTCTAATGTTTAAGTCTTTAATCCGTCTTGAATTGATTTTTGTATAAGGTGTAAGGAAGGGATCCAGTTTCAGCTTTCTACATATGGCTAGCCAGTTTTCCCAGCACCATTTATTAAATAGGGAATGCTTTCCCCACTTCTTGTTTTTCTCAGGTTTGTCAAAGATCAGATAGTTTTAGATATGCGACGTTATTTCTGAGGGCTCTGTTCTGTTCCATTGGTCTATATCTCTGTTTTGGTACCAGTACCATGCTGTTTTGGTTACTGAAGCCTTTTAGTATAGTTTGAAGTCAGGTAGTGTGATGCCTCCAGCTTTGTTCTTTTGGCTTAGGATTGACTTGGCGATGCGGGCTCTTTTTTGGTTCCATATGAACTTTAAAGTAGTTTTTTCCAATTCTGTGAAGAAAGTCATTGGTAGCTTGATGGGGATGGCATTGAATCTATAAATTACCTTGGGCAGTATGGCCATTTTCATGATATTGATTCTTCCTACCCATGAGCATGGAATGTTCTTCCATTTGTTTGTATCCTCTTTTATTTCCTTGAGCAGTGGTTTGTAGTTCTCCTTGAAGAGGTCCTTCACGTCCCTTGTGAGTTGGATTCCTAGGTATTTTATTCTCTTTGAAGACATTGTGAATGGGAGTTCACTCATGATTTGGCTCTCTGTTTGTCTGTTGTTGGTGTATAAGAATGCTTGTGATTTTTATACATTGATTTTGTATCCTGAGACTTTGCTGAAGTTGCTTATCAGCTTAAGGAGATTTTGGGCTGAGACAATGGGGTTTTCTAGATATACAATCATGTCGTCTGCAAACAGGGACAATTTGACTTCCTCTTTTCCTAATTGAATACCCTTTATTTCCTTCTCCTGCCTAATTGCCCTGGCCAGAACTTCCAACACTGTGTTGAATAGGAGTGGTGAGAGAGGGCATCCCTGTCTTGTGCCAGTTTTCAAAGGGAATGCTTCCAGTTTTTGCCCATTCAGTATGATATTGGCTGTGGGTTTGTCATAGAGAGCTCTTATTATTTTGAGATACATCCCATCAATACCTAATTTATTGAGAGTTTTTAGCATGAAGTGTTGTTGAATTTTGTCAAAGGCCTTTTCTGCATCTATTGAGATAATCATGTGGTTTTTGTCTTTGGTTCTGTTTATAGGCTGGATTACATTTATTGATTTGCATATATTGAACCAGCCTTGCATCCCAGGGATGAAGCCCACTTGATCATGGTGGATAAGCTTTTTGATGTGCTGCTGGATTCGGTTTGCCAGTATTTTATTGAGGATTTTTGCATCAATGTTCATAGAGGATATTGGTCTAAAGTTATATTTTTTGGTTGTGTCTCTGCCCGGCTTTCGTATCAGGATGATGCTGGCCTCATAAAATGACTTAGGGAGGATTCCCACTTTTTCTATTGATTGGAATAGTTTCAGAAGGAATGGTACCAGTTTCTCCTTGTACCTCTGGTAGAATTTGGCGGTGAATCCATCTGGTCCTGGACTCTTTTTGGTTGGTAAGCTATTGATTATTGCCACAATTTCAGCTCCTGTTATTGGTCTATTCAGAGATTCAACTTCTTCCTGGTTTAGTCTTGGGAGAGTGTATGTGTCCAGGAATTTATCCATTTCTTCTAGATTTTCTAGTTTATTTGCGTAGAGGTGTTTGTAGTAATCTCTGATGGTAGTTTGTATTTCTGTGGGATTGGTGGTGATATCCCCTTTATCATTTTTTATTGCGTCTATTTGATTCTTCTTTCTTTTTTCTTCATTAGTCTTGCTAGCGGTCTATCAATTTTGTTGACCTTTTCAAAAAACCAGCTCCTGGATTCATTAATTTTTTGAAGGGTTTTTTGTGTCTCTATTTCCTTCAGTTCTGCTCTGATGGTAGTTATTTCTTGCCTTCTGCTAGCTTTTGAATGTGTTTGCTCTTGCTTTTGTAGTTCTTTTAATTGTGATGTTAGGGTGTCAATTTTGGATCTTTCCTGCTTTCTCTTGTGGGCATTTAGTGCTATAAATTTCCCTCTACACACTGCTTTGAATGTGTTCCAGAGATTCTGGTATGTTGTGTCTTTGTTCTCGTTGGTTTCAAAGAACATCTTTATTTCTGCCTTCATTTCGTTATGTACCCAGTAGTCATTCAGGAGCAGGTTGTTCAGTTTCCATGTAGTTGAGCGGTTTTGAGTGAGTTTCTTAATCCTGAGTTCTAGTTTGATTGCACTGTGGTCTGAGAGATAGTTTGTTATAATTTCTGTTCTTTTACATTTGCTGAGGAGCGCTTTACTTCCAACTATGTGGTCAGTTTTGGAATAGGTGTGGTGTGGTGCTGAAAAAAATGTATATTCTGTTGATTTGGGGTGGAGAGTTCTGTAGATGTCTACTAGGTCTGCTTGGTGCAGAGCTGAGTTCAATTCCTGGGTATTCTTGTTAACTTTCTGTCTCGTTGATCTGTCTAATGTTGACAGTGGGGTGATAAAGTCTCCCATTATTAATGTGTGGGAGTCTAAGTCTCTTTGCAGGTCACTCAGGACTTGCTTTATGAATCTGGGTGCTCCCGTATTGGGTGCATGTATATTTAGGATAGTTAGCTCTTCTTGTTGAATTGATCCCTTTACTATTATGTAATGGCCTTCTTTGTCTCTTTTGATCTTTGTTGGTTTAAAGTCTGTTTTATCAGAGACTAGGATTGCAACCCCTGCCTTTTTTTGTTTTCCATTTGCTTGGTAGATCTTCCTCCATCCCTTTATTTTGAGCCTATGTGTGTGTCTGCACATGAGATGGGTTTCCTGAATACAGCACACTGATGGGTCTTGACTCTTTATCCAATTTGCCAGTCTGTGTCTTTTAATTGGAGCATTTAGTCCATTTACATTTAAAGTTAATATTGTTATGTGTGAATTTGATCCTGTCATTATGATGTTAGCTGGTTATTTTGCTCATTAGTTGATGCAGTTTCTTCCTAGTCTTGACTGTCTTTACATTTTGGCATTATTTTGCAGTGGCTGGTAGTGGTTGTTCGTTTCCATGTTTAGTGCTTCCTTCAGGAGCTCTTTTAGGGCAGGCCTAGTGGTGACAAAATCTCTCAGCATTTGCTTGTCTGTAAAGTATTTTATTTCTCCTTCACTTATGAAGCTTAGTTTGGCTGGATATGAAATTCTGGGTTGAAAATTCTTGTCTTTAAGAATGTTGAATATTGGCCCCCACTCTCTTCTGGCTTGTAGAGTTTCTGCTGAGAGATCCGCTGTTAGTCTGATGGGCTTCCCTTTGTGGATAACCTGACCTTTCTCTCTGGCTGCCCTTAAAATTTTTTCCTTCATTTCAACTTTGGTGAATCTGACAATTATGTGTCTTGGAGTTGCTCTTCTCGAGGAGTATCTTTGTGGCATTCTCTGTATTTCCTGAATCTGAATGTTGGCCTGCCTTGCTAGATTGGGGAAGTTCTCCTGGATAATATCCTGCAGAGTGTTTTCCAACTTGGTTCCATTCTCCCCATCACTTTCAGGTACACCAATCAGACGTAGATTTGGTCTTTTCACATAGTCCCATATTTCTTGGAGGCTTTGTTCATTTCTCTTTATTCTTTTTTCTCTAAACTTCCCTTCTTGCTTCATTTCATTCATTTCATCTTCCATCACTGATACCCTTTCTTCCAGTTGATCGCATTGGCTCCTGAGGCTTCTGCATTCTTCACGTAGTTCTTGAGCCTTGGCTTTCAGCTCCATCAGCTCCTTTAAGCACTTCTCTGTATTGGTTATTCTAGTTATACATTCGTCTAAATTTTTTTCAAAGTTTTTAACTTCTTTGCCTTTGTTTTGAATTTCCTCCTGTAGCTCGTAGTTTGATCATCTGAAGCCTTCTTCTCTCAACTTGTCAAAGTCATTCTCCGTCGAGCTTTGTTCCATTGTTGGTGAGGAACTGCATTCCTTTGGAGGAGGAGAGGTGCTCCGTTTTTCAGAGTTTCCAGTTTTTCTGCTCTGTTTTTTCCCCATCTTTGTGGTTTTATCTACTTTTGGTCTTTGATGATGGTCATGTACAGATGGGTTTTTGGTGTGGATGTCCTTTCTGTTTGTTAGTTTTCCTTCTAACAGACAGGACCCTCAGCTGCAGGTCTGTTGGAGTTTGCTAGTGGTCCACTCCAGACCCTGTTTGCCTGGGTATCAGCAGCGGTGTTTGCAGAACAGCGGTTTTTCGTGAACCGCGAATGTTGCTGTCTGATCATTCCTCTGGAAGTTTTGTCTCAGAGGAGTACCCGGCCGTGTGAAGTGTCAGTCTGCCCCTACTGGGGGGTGCCTCCCAGTTAGGCTGCTCAGGGGTCAGGGGTCAGGGGTCAGGGGCCCACTTGAGGAGGCAGTCTGCCCGTTCTCAGATCTCCAGCTGCATGCTGGGAGAACCACTGCTCTCTTCAAAGCTGTCAGACGGGGACATTTAAGTCTGCGGAGGTTACTGCTGTCTTTTTGTTTGTCTGTGCCCTGCCCCCAGAGATGGAGCCTACAGAGGCAGGCAGGCCTCCTTGAGCTGTGGTGGGCTGCACCCAGTTCGAGCTTCCTGGCTGCTTTGTTTACCTAAGCAAGCCTGGGCAATGGTGGGCGCCCCTCCCCCAGCCTCGCCGCTGCCTTGCAGTTTGATCTCAGACTGCTGTGCTAGCAATCAGTGAGAATCCGTGAGCGTAGGACCCTCCAAGCCAGGTGCAGGATATAATCTCCTGGTGTGCCATTTTTTAAGCCCATTGGAAAAGCGCAGTATTAGGGTGGGAGTGACCCGATTTTCCAGGTGCCGTCTGTCACCCCTTTCTTTGACTAGGAAAGGGAACTCCCTGACCCCTTGCACTTCCTGAGTGAGGCAATGCCTCGCCCTGCTTTTGCTCGCGCATGGTGAGCTGCACCTACTGACCTGCTCCCACTGTCTGGCACTCCCTAGTGAGATGAACCCGGTACCTCAGATGGAAATGCAGAAATCACCCGTCTTCTGCGTCGCTCACGCTGGGAGCTGTAGACCAGAGCTGTTCCTATTTGGCCATGTTGGCTCCTCCCCTCCGAGACCTCATTTCTACAAAAAAAAAATTTCAAAAGTTAGCTGGGCATGGTGGCACGTGACTTTGGTCTCAGCTACTTGGGAGGCTGAGGTGGGAGGATTTTCTCAGCCTGAGGGGTGATCATGCTACTACACTCCAGCCTGGGCAACAGAGTGAGACCTTATCTGAAAAAAATTAACCTGAGTGTGAACAGGGATGTCTGGGGTATGCTCATAACTTTTCTGAGACAGGTATCATAGGTATCAGCAAGGTTCTTCCTAAACATACTAAAAGGGTATCATAGTGGGAGAATATAGATGAGAGAATGACTTGTCCATGGATTGGAAGCAAGGCCAAGTGAGTGTTCACTGCATTGTATACTAGCATTTAGTCAAAGGAAAGTTTGGCATATCTAGACTGGTTAAGAGAAAGACCCATTCCCTGGTTTTGTTTTGACTTTGTGTGATGGATGAAATGGTTGTTGTATGTATGGGTAGGAAAAGTTGACATGATCAACTTAATCCTTCTAGGGAATTTTTATGCTATTTATAAGAATGCAGATGGACACTTTATATAAGGTCTTTTTCAAATTTAAAGCAAATGGGTTTTGATGTGAATCAAAGCATGTTATAAATGCCAGTGTGTAGCACACAAAAATACACGTGGATAACCCGTTGTAATTCCTTTGGGAAATAATGGAAGTGCTTGTTTTAATCTAAGATATTCAGATATTAAAACATTCCCTTTGAGTAAAAGGGAACATTCTGCTTCTAACTAAGCCTTTGTTACAACCAAAATGATTCTTTCAGAATAGAGCAGTATTAGATAATTATGATTTTATTAAAAATACTTGTTACCCGAATACATGTTACAAGGACCCATCTATTGCCATGTATTACAGTGATCTCACACAAAATTGTATTTATACTTAATTTCATGTGGTGGAATATGATTTATTATAGGGTCGATGCCTAAAAGATGCCAAAAGAAATTGACTTTTTTTTTTTTTTTTTTTTTTTTTTTTTAAGACAGTGTCTTGCTTTGTTGCCCAGGCTGGAGTGCAGTGGTGTGATCAATCTCAACCTCCTGGGCTCAACCCATCCTCCCACCAAATAGCTGGGACCACAGGTGCATGCCACCCAGCTAATTTTGTATGTTTCTGTAGAAACGGGATTTTGCCATGTTGCCTAGGCTGGTCTCCAACTCCTTGGGGCCAAGCAATCCTCCCACCTCGGCCTCCCACAATGCTAGGATTACAGGTGTGAGCCACCATGCCCAGCTGAAACCGACCAATTTTTAAGACCACTGTTGAAGTGATAGCTCAATATATTTCATGAAGTCTTTTTTATATAAGGATGCAAATAGTGAATTCTTGTTTGACTATAGTTCTTGGAAAAAAATATGTATGTAACTCAATATGTTTTCTGTAGATAGAAAATGGAAATTGTTACTCCATTTTTGGCTCCATGTCCAGGAAATTAAGAGCCAGATGAATTGCCCAAGTACTAATCCCTGTTTAACTGAGGTGCCTGAAAGTACTGTAGCCTTTGGTCTTCTCAAAACATAAGTTCTACTTTATTCTCAAATGTCTCATCTTGCATTGTGTTTATTTTAAGTAAAACTATTTTTCTGGTAAAAAGAATGTGTATTCACAACAGAAAATTTAGAAAATATAGAAAAGCATATGATGAAAAAATCAGTAATTTCTATTCCAAAGAAAACTATTATTATTATATTTTCTTCAGTGTCTTTTTCTATGTTAGTTACCGTATACTTACTAAATATGCGTATTCACAAATATTGACTTGATTGAACTTATCACCTACCTTTTCTTTTCACTGAACAGTATATCAAAGGCATTTTCTCAACCCATAAACTATTGTTCTGTTAATAAAACATAATTTTTCTTGGCTTCATGAAATTCCATTATATTGAGAGACAAAAATTTATTTTCATTTTATCAATTCAGTGTAAGTAGATGTTTATGTTTTTTGTCTGTAACTAAGATAAACAACCTTATGAATAATTCTGTGTTCATCCTAGAAATGTGATTGCTGAGTGAAATGGTATGAATATTTGTATATCTTTAAGAATATATATCTATATCTATGTCTAGTTCTATTTCCACATCTCTATCTAAATGTTGGATCACTCTATTTTCCTACCAGCTGCTTATGTGAGTAGTCTGTTCCCTCATGCTCTCAATAATTAAATTATCAACAATGCTAGACTGGTGAATTATCTATAGTACTTCATTGTTGTTTAAATTTTTCTTTGACTACTAATTTATTGGCCATATATATTTTTATTTTTACCATTTACAGGTGAGTCATCCTGTTCTCTTTCACATTGTTTCAATCTGGAACAATATGAAGAGTGACATGTTTTATATGAACTAATTTCCTCCAAGTTATCTATTGTCATTGACTTGTAAACTCACTGGTTTCCTGCATTCTTGTGGATGTGATTTTGGAGCCCTATTATTAGGACTTTTGCAGTATTGGTGGAGTCACACAAAATGACCTAAAGATACTCTCAGAGATCAGAAGGAGCATGTGAGTTTCAGGCAACTGCATTCACACTTCCTGGGACACATAAATGGAAAAGGTACAAAGATACAGCACCAATACTAACTGAAACGGCCCTTTTATCATGAAACAGCTTTAATTCAATATACAGGCCATGAGTGATATATAGGGTGGCTTACTCATTAGTCATTCACATTCATACACAGAGGAAATAACAGAATTGATACCAACTTTGAACGAAAGAATAGTAAAGCATATGTTATTTTCCATATAGATCTTGTCTTCGCCTATGCCTAAATTCACAGTATACTAGTTACTTGCTTTAATATTATTATTATTTTTTGAGACAGAGTTTCACTCTTTTGCCCAGGGTGGAGTGCAGTGGTGCGATCTCGGCTCACTGTATCCTCTGCCTCCCGGGTTTAAGCAATTCTCTGCCTCAGCCTCCCGAGTAGCTGGGATTATAGGTGCCCACCACCACAACTGGCTAATTTTTGTTTGTATTTTTAGTAGAGACAGGTTTCACCATCTTGGCCAGGCTGATCTTGAACTCCCGACCTCATGATCCACCCACCTCGGCCTCCCAAAGTGTTGGGATTACAGGCGTGAGCCACTACACTTTAATATTTTAATAACTGTCTTTTCCATACAACTTCACAGCATATCATTGTGAGAAAATAAAACATCCTTAAAACCAAGAATAAATGAATTGTTAGGAGACTATTTTTATAAATAAGACAGAAAATTAATAGGAATGCCAAGGATCCTTAAAAGCTATGCTTGTCTGTCTCTTGGGTTCTTGGTAATATTGAACTTTATCTCTTTAGAATAATTTTTTTTTCTAGTTAAATGCTTTTTACATAGAAAGTTTCAAGTAGTTTTTTTGAATGAAAAATATTCCAGTTGTTTCACACTCCTCCTTAGATGTCTTTTCAGCATTGCCCTATACAGTTATCCAACATTTCAGGCAATGGAGTAAATTTTCCTGAGATTACCTCAGACTTACTTGAATTAGTAATCTGATTGAATTTTATTTGTTTTATGTGAAACATTCCCTGAGCATCTCCATTGCTATAGGGGATCCTGTTGGAAGAGAATCTTCTCTGAAGGGGATTTTGCGGGTAAGAAAGGGTTAAAAAGACCGGCGCGGCGGCTCACGCCTGTAATCCCAGCACTTTGGGAGGCCGAGGCGGGCGGATCAGGAGGTCAGGAGATTGAGACCATCCTGGCTAACACGGTGAAACCCTGTCTCTACTAAAAATACAAAAAATTAGCCGGGCGTGGTGGTGGGCGCCTGTAGTCCCAGCTACTGGGGAGGCTGAGGCAGGAGAATGGCGTCAACCCGGGAGGCGGAGCTTGCAGTGAGCCGAGATCCCACCACTGCACTCCAGCCTGGGCGACAGGGCGAGGCTCCGTCTCAAAAAAAAAAAAAAAAAAAAAAAAAGAATAATAGTGCTCCTGGTAGCCCAGAAGTTAATACCACACTATCCCACAGAGGAGAGTCAGTTAGTGTTTCATTGTGGCCTTCATCTACCTATTGATGCCAGTGTGGAGGCATGAAGTTATGCTTAAATCTGATATATGATTTTCCAAGTTAACTGTGTGTTCTTTCTTTCTTAATTAAACCCCGTCTATAGAGTTACCATTCAGGTTTCTGCTATTAAACTGAGGGATCTTTTGATGATTGACACCATTTCCTGCTGTACAAACACTCCAAATATTCTAGTTTTCTCAGAAGCTTTTAAAGAAAGACACTATCTACTTACCTTTGGACCCAATAGATTTGTAGCTTTTCGATATGGTAAATATTGTAGGATATATTTAAATTAAGTACTTATTTAGTTTGTGGAGTAATATTTTGCTATACTCATATGCTTTGTGTATTTTGGACACTTGGAAAAATGATTATTGTATTTAAGCTCCACACATCAAGTTATTGAAAAGCTCAGGGTTTTCATCAAAGCAGAATGTAGGTAAGTTTCATAAGTATTTTACTGTATAAAGTTTTAAAGACACAATTAGACAATTTAGGCCAGCAGATGGCACTCTTACCTTTGTCCTCATTTGAAGAGATGTTTGAGGTTGTGGCAACTTCTCTCATAACTAGATCTCAGAAACTGTTGAAAATTGCATTTTCCTATTTTTATTTAAACACAGTTTTATAAAAAAGCAATAAAGTTATTTTTACGTTGATAGAGAAAAGTGGATGAATGGACAAAACCATTTCTATAGATAGTCTGTTCAATTATTTGTTAGCACGTGAAATAGTTAAGATCCATATGGATGAAAAATGCTCTTACTGCAAATGCGTTCTATATTGTATAAGTGTCTTTTCTTTCTTATTTATGAACTCAGAATCTTAATCTGATAAATCCAGCTGGATGAACAATAGAATGAGAACAATGCTCCTCTTGTCTTTTGTTTCTTGGATTTCATATAATAGCTTGAAATCATAGGATCTTAGTGCTATAAAGAGCCTTGGAGATCATTTAGTTGAACATGCAAACTTTTAGGTGAGGAAACCAAGGCCCACAGAGGTGAAATGACTTGTCCAATTTGAAGGTAGAAATACTGCTTTTAGTTAAAAGCAGAAAACAGGACTCACTGTCTTCAGAGCAAAGCTGCACAAGAACCTTATGCTTTATAATTGCATTTTGCTCCGTTATTCTCTGACGGAATGGAAGGCAAGGGAGCTTTGGCCACTTGACTTATTGGTGGAGATCGATAAATTTGTCATGTTTCTTCTGCTTTTGCTTTTTTTCATAAAACTGCACACAGCAGCTAAGAATTCAGAAATGCCCCTCAGATATATCTAAATATCCAAATCAGGCAAAAAACATATGGTAGGAATCTTTTTTCGTGGTAATTACAAATTTAAAGAGGGATACACACATTTTTAATAAAGTTTAATTTAATAAAAAAGGGGCATACCAAGACTAGGGTAATCTACATGTTGCAGATATAAAATGTCCGAACTCTGAACTAGTTAACTGAGTAGTTAGTTCATTTGCAGTGGAGATATTTGTGGAACCAGGGAACATTCATAAGCAGTACGGGATTAGTAGGATAGGGTATCCAGTTGGTGTTCAAGAATATCAGTATACAAAAAGCATCTCATTTCTTTATTGTTATGAATCAAATTAAATATGGGTTATTCCATTTTCCTGGCTAGCAGGCTAGCAGGACATCCAAACTCAAGTTTTTTTTTCTTTTTCTTTTCTTTTTTTTTTTTTAAGGAGAACTTCCCTACTTCACGCAGAATGGGAAAAGACCCAAGGGGCTTAAATAAACCAGAAAAATTGGACCAGGGCCTCCATTCTCTGCCTTTGTTGATAGTCACTGAGATGTTTGTTGTTTAAGCTTGTGTGGTCCTTTTGGAGGCATTTCTCTTTTACCATTCACCGCCTTCGTGGGGCATTGACACAGAACCTTCACGCTGTGCAGGGTTCTAGACATTCACACAGAAGCTCTGCTACTTCTTAGGTGCTGTGAAGGTGCGTGTCCTCTACTCCCAACCTACCACCACTGCTCCAGAGTCCACCATCCCCAGCTTCCAGTCTCTGGATATCTAGCTCACTTCAGGGTCTAGTGGGGCAAAACGCTCCAGGCCCTTTGGGACTCTATTGCTTAATTTGCTCCAACGGGTCTGAAGCCAAAAATGGTTCCTCTTCTCCTGGGGAATTCAGAACACAAAAGGAAGTCTGACAGAAGAAAAAAAAATAATCTCTCTCTCTCTCTTTTTTTTTTTTGGACAGTGAGTTTTCAGCAAGAAGGATAGAACAAATTTTAATTTCTCAATAATGTGGCCTATTTCATAAGGCTACACTTTATTCTAGCCATACGTTTTTATGATGAGTGACAATACAGGAGGAGGTGAAAGGAAGATCCAAATTCACAGAAGCTGCTGCTTCTAAGTGTTGATACTAACCAGGTCCCTGAGCTCTTGCTGGGTAAAAAGTAGGTTACTTTTAAGTGGAACAACTGTTCAAAGTACAAAGACTGGAGTACGTGGGGGGAATAAAGAGCAGTGGTTTTTTCCCAGAGGAGCGGGCCTCTTCTACTAAGCAGCCAAAAATGTTTATTGCTGTTTAATGTTCTATTGCCAAACTTGATTTCTTTTCTTCTCAGAAACCTTTAACTTCCTATCAAATAGAATCCACACTTACTGCCTACTTTATGCCTTAGGGATCCTTGAGAATTTCCTAGGTTAATTTATGCTAAGTGCTATTAAGGCATCATCTAGACAAGTGAATGCCCTTCCCCCGCCTAACCATCTTTTTTTAGTTGTTTTTGATGTACCTCCTAGACTAGGACCTGAGATAAATGTAAACTCCTAGAAAATATCCCAGTGAGCGAAGCTTGTCAGGTCTATAAGGCAGAAGAAAAAGATTATTTCTGACATGACTGCCCATTTCTCCACATGGTGGTGTAACAGCGAAACTTGGAGTTGTTCTTCCTCTTCTAGCTCAGCCCTGATGGGTTCATACCCGCTTGTGACAACTGATTGGGTGAATCTCTCCCCAACAGCATGTTGGCAGGATGATGGTGTGGCTTGAAATCTGCCATGGTGGAATTATTTATAAAGAGGGGCAAAGACTACAAATAATAGCTGGTTGATAAACCAGCACACTACTACTAAAAAATCACATTTGAACCAGCTTTTTGAATAATTTATTAAAACAACAACAGCAACTGTAAGGACCTAAAGGCTTTTCATTTCAACTTTATGTGAAAAGAATACCTAGAGAGAGAGTTTGGGTGATTCATAATGGGAAGGCTATTCATTCCCCCTGCTTCAGCATATATTAATTATAATTTTAAAATTCCAACATCACTTTTGTTTAATAAAAATTAATTGCCTGTGTGCCAATGATAACATATCTTTAGAGCATGCCACAACTTTGCTCCCTTAAAAGAAAAATATAAGAAAATGAGCAAGAAAGTCTTTTGAGTTAATGTTTTAAGAAGTAGGTGGAGAGATAATGAAGAATACCATTTGAAAGCTATTGCAGGTGATATTTTTAGGAAGTTATTTGTACCTTAATGCTCATTGCTTCCCCCTAAGCTTTGCCAGCGATAACTCCTGTTAAACCTAAATTACTTTGACAATTATTACAGATTTTAAGGAATGTTGTGGTAAGCCTTAGGGAAGCAACTAGATTAAATGAAATAATATATTAGTGACTACAAAATGTATTGTTGAAGAAAAAGCCCCTTTCTTCCCCCAAAATCACCATGTCCATAAACAAGAACACCCTGAGTGTTATATCAGTATCAAGTTTGACTTTATTTTTATTAGAACCATGGCAATTGGCAAAGAAATTATTTTTTGTATAGTGCTGTCATATACATATTGCAAAGCAGGATTGTAAAACAACATATATTTATATATAAGTCAAGGATTCTGTTAAGCCTTCAGGAAGCTTAGGTATCAAGTAGTAGTTTGAAAAGCAAAAAATAAAAAAGGTATGAATGGTAGGAGGCTTTCTTTAAGATAAGGAGCCCTGAATCATTGCTGATTCTGTTGTCTCTGCAGTTGCTAATGTTCACGCTTCAAGGATTGTCAGCTACACCGCTGTAGAATCACCAAACAATGCCTCCAAATCCCTCAAGAAGTCAGCCATACAGCCTTCTAACTTTAGGAGCATCTCATGTTGACTTTGTCAAATATCTCAGGATCCATCACGAACCACAGATGAACTAGGGCCCCGAGCTTCAACATCAGAGAGGGAGATGTTTCCCTGCATTTGGTTCTCAAACACACACCTCTACAGACGTGGCTGAATCCCCTCTTCCATCCCTCTAGGGAAGAGATGGCCTGATACGGAGTCTGGCTAGAGTACTGAAAATTTATCATAATGTTTATACTTCATCGTCTTCTATTCTTGTGCCTTCTAGCCTTAAAATGTAACCATGATATATACAGAAGTTATCCCTCAATTTCTTGTATCTTATTTGGAGGGAAATTTTGGATGTTTGAGGGTAAGAGGCACATGAGGGACTGGATTTGAATCTCTGCATGTCAGATATTAAAGTTCATGGAATTAGGCACACATTGCTATAGTCAGTGTAACCCTCAAATCTGATCTTACTAAACCTACACAATATTTAAAAGATGCTCCAGATTTCTGAAACACTATAAAAATAATGCTCTGAATTTTAGACATTTGATAATTTGTAAGTGAAGGTATTCGAGTTTGATTATGATATGTCCATGCATTGAAGTTTATTTATGAGGAGAGTTATTCAATAGACATTTCTTGGGGCCAAATATATGTATATGAAACCAAAAAATTTAAAACAATTAAGCTAGAAATAATAGTGCCTCACATTTATTGTCTACTTTTCCTGTGCCAGGAACTGTGATAAGGGCATTTAAGGGATTTTTCATTAAGAAAATCTAGGATCACACGTCTTATAAATTTTAGAGTCAGCCTATTAGAACAACTGGACCGAATCTAAGGGTTTAACCCCCACAATACAACTGTCACACTATACAAAATATAGTGTAAATGGGCACCGATGGAACAGCTGCAGAATGATCTGAGGAGAAAAGACTTCTTGAAAGGCACATTTGGAACTAAATTTTGACATATGATCCTATGGCTCCATGCTATAGATTATATTAACAACCTAAAAGTACATAGATTTACAAATTTGAAAATCAGTTAAAATTTTGGAAGGAATAGATACCACATGTACTGACTTAAATTTACAGCACAAGTAATTTACCTCCAGTTCCTATTCCTTCATCTCTCCAGTCCACCAAAACACCACTGAGAAAATATTCATGAATTGTCATTTCAACTCAAAAACCTTCCCATCATCACTTTCCCAAGCTTTGGTTTACGAATCCATATAAGTTGCCTCTTCTTCAGTCTGTTAACAGAAAACCTTCATGATCTTAGTCTTTATGATGTCTGGTTTATCAGAGTCTCTTACAGACATTGGTTGAATAAATTCTAATGGTTGTTTCATTTTTGTCTTCAATTGTCTTGTTTTCACAGCCATGTCATTTTCATTAATCAAACTTTCTCATTCCAAGCTCCCTGCATCCCTTCCCTTGCAAACACGAAAAATATATAAAATTGAGCTTTTAATGAGATTGGTAGGAAGCATTATTAACAACTATTCCTCCCAAGACTTGCGGTGGATACAATTCTAAGACAGGAGATGGGACCGTTTTGAAAGATAAAGAGTTCAGTTTAGACAGAAGGGCTTTCTGATTTATATTTGTGTTAAGTGGTGTGTATTGAATAGTAGTTCTATCAATGGCTGCCAGAGAGAATCTGGCACCTTTTATTTTATTTTAAATTAAAAGGAGTGTCTGTAGAAGTAAGTGGTCAGGAATCAGCCAACTGCTTCTTTAGACTGGACAAACACACTTCTTTTTGGAATCCATTCATGCCTTTCCCAAAGGGACATTGTCACACAATGTTTACACAAGTGCTTCCTATTTGTAACTTTGCCAGAATTGTGTTCTGTGTGATTCTGATTACACACCCTAGACTTATTGAGTTGCCAACATTCAGACATCATTAGTGACCTCATTAATGTCATTTTGATAAAACGTTTACATCATTGCTTCTCTTATATCTTGTTTTTGACGCATATTGGAATGTCTGTTCTACATTTCCCCACATCCTTCATTTACCACATATTTGTTTGATGCGGTGTTTTTCAAGTTGTTAGTGTTCTGTACTTTTAATCCTTTTGGCTAGAACCCAAATGTTTGGTGTGCCAGGTCATGAGCATTGCACCTTGACAAGAAAAATTCTGTTAAAGGCCCCATAATGAGAGAAGTATTGTCTCTCCAGAGGTCTCATGTAGTTCACCTCTCTCCCTCAGTGTTATGTCGGGAAGAGTCACTTTTCTTCTCTGTACTTCTATTCTATGAGATAAACACAGCCAGTTAGACTTGGGTATCCACAGTGGAGGTTTTTTTCTTCTACCAATTCTAGCTAATTTCATTTCCACAATGGTCTCTTCTGTGGGATGTGAGCTGCCTACTCTCTGGAATTGGTTACTTTCTTAATGGAAATAGCTTCTGCCTCAGATACCTTATGGTCTCCTAGGTCCTGATATTGACTTTCCTGTCTGTTCAGATTCCTGAATGACAGCCTTAACCTTAGAATATTATTTGATTTAAAAAAATGAGAATTTAAGGTTATTATTCAACCTTAAAAAGGAGATTTAAAGTTGAATATTATTCAACCTTGAAAAATGAGATCCTGCCATTTGCCACAATATGAATGCACCATTTTACTATTTATATGTTTTCCATAATATAACATTATTAACCTCAAATATGCACAACAGAATTTATTAAAAATAGAAACCAAAAATAAAAAATAAAAAATAGAAATTGGTGAGCAAAAAGGAAATGGGAAAGCAATACATGCTTCCAAAGAAGTCACAATTTCTTTGAGGGTGATTAGGCAGTTTTTGGAAACCTTGTCAAACAATCATTGTAACAACTCTTATAGAAAGTTAGAGTTTACAAAGAATTTTGACATCTATTATATATTTTATCCTCTCAAAAAACTCTGAGGTAGGGTATTATTATTATTCATGCTTTACAATAGAGGAGATTGAGGTTTAGATAGAATTTACTATTTGCCCAGGATTATCCAATTGGTAACAGAGGTAGGAGTTGATCCCAGTGAGTCAGGCTCAGAATCCAGTGTCCTTTTTGAAATACCTCTGTTTGTGAATGGTCTTTCTGATTTGGAATTTCACTGTTTACTTCTTACTTGGCTACAGAGACACAGGATTGAGAAGAGGATAATGTGATATTATCCCCAGGAGCAACAGCGACTTGGTATACATGCCAGTCTAACCTATATGGGGAGTTGTGGGTTTCTTTTCTTATATCTTGAAGGTAGGTGAAGTTTGTGGAAATTGTTGAGTTCAAGGGAGGCAAGTTTTGTCTTGGGATATTAGAGTCTAATTGCTTCCCAAGCAATTCTTGCTTGGGATTATTTAATATGGGTTACATGGCTTAAGTTTACCCATCAATAGGAATTGGGTTCAATTGTGGGAGCAGAAGGCACACTCCTATTTTATTCCTATCTTTTTTTTGTCTGATTTTATGAAATTTTGTTGCATCCTTTTCTGGATACAGTAGCCACATTCGTAATATACACTGAATGTACAGAAGTGTTCCTCTGTGTTCGGGAGCTTTCTAGTCTTTCTAGTCTTTCCTCCAGTCCATTAAATTCAAGGTAAACAAACTACCTCCATGTAGAAGCTAAACTGCTTCTGTAACAAGCTTTCCACAAACTTCCCACAGGATAAAAAGAATAGTCTAGCAATATTCCCCTTGTATTGCTCATAATTCTGGGCAGATAGTAAACCAATTAAATAACACAGCTGGACAAACATTCCAACTATAATTTATAAAGTTCAGATCGTGAACACATTTTCATTGTCTTCTTTCTCCATATGGAATCTCATTGTTTCTTTTAATTATTTTTTTTAAAAAATGTGTTTATGTAAGATGGCGTGTTCTTTAGCTAGTGAAAATAAATTTATGCTGCATTTGAAATGAAATGAATTTTTTGAGGGGAACCATTTTGGGGAGAAAATTTGTTTAGAATAAACAATATTCTTTGAAGATAGAAATGATTGAATTTTTGAGTCTAGCTTAGGCTGTGTTGGCACTGAAGCTTCCCCTCCAGTTTTTCTCAGCAGTTATCTGGTGAGATGACCTATTGGGATAAGTGTATAACTTAGTAACCACCAGTCATTCTGCTGAAGATATAATCATTGCAGTGAACATTTATGAGCACTTGCCTTGAAGCAGAGCCTGTTCCAAGTGCTTTACATGAGTTGTGCTATTTAGCCTTCAAAATGACCTGTTGGTGTGCTTATAGTTACCATCCCATTTTGTGGATAAGGAGAAAAAGGTATAGAGAGGTGAGTAAACTGCTTGTTGTCACCTAGCAAGCTAGTATGTAAACCTAGGAATTGTGACTCCAGATCTATACTTTTAACCCTGATGCTGTATTACCATCCTTCAAAAGAAAGTGGCCTGTTTCATTGGTCTTTAAGTGACCTCTTCTTTTTTGGAACCACTAACCTATCGACCTACGAACTGGTCAACAACTAACTGGTCAACCAGCCTTCAAATGACAATGACAGTTTTCCTTACCTCATTACCAAAAGGCAGACCAGAAGAAATCATTTCCTGGAAACAATTAGAGAAAGGTAAATAAGTTTTGTAGCTCTATTTAAAACATGTGTACAAAATTGACTTGATTTTTTTCTTTCATTTCTTGATTGTTGAGACACTTTCACTTTGCATGTGCTCAAAAATAGAACCATCTGATGAAAATTCCATATTCCATACTTTAAAAAAATTTCCAGCTTTTATTTTAAGTTCAGGGGTACATGTGCAGGATGTGCAGATTTGGTGCATAGGTAAACATGTGCCATGGTGGTTTGAAGCACAGGTCATCCCATCACCCAGATATTAAGCCCAGCCTCCATTAGCTATTATTCCTGATCCTCTCCCTCCCCCAGATGCCCCCAGTGTGTGTTGTTCCTCTCCATGTGTCCATGTGTTTTCATCAGTTAGCTCCCACTTATAAGTGAGGACATGCAGAATTTTGTTTTCTGTCCCTGTGTTAGTTTGCTAAGGATAATGGCCCCCAGCTCCATCCTTGTCCCTGCAAAGGACATGACTTCATTCCTTTTTATGGCTGCATAAAATTCCATGGTGTATATACACCACATTTTCTTTATCCAGTCTCTCACTGATAGACATATAAGTTGATTCCATGTCTTTGCTATTGTGAATAGTGCTACAGTGAACATACCCGTGCATGTGTCTTTGTGGAAGAAGAATTTATATTTCTTTGGGTATATACCCAGTAATGGGATTGCTGGGTCAAATGGTGTTTCTGCCTTTACATCTTTGAGGAATTGGCACACTGTCTTCCACCATGGTTGGACTAATTTACACTCCCACCAACAGTGTATAAAGCATTCCTTTTTCTCCATAACCTCACCATTATCTGCTATTTTTTGACTTTTTAATAATGGCCATTATGACTGGTGTGAGATGGTATCTCATTGTGGTTTTGATTTGCATTTCTTTAATGATCAGTGATGTTGAGCTTTTTTTCATATGCCTGTTGGCTGCATGTTTGTCTTCTTTCAAGAAGTGTCTGTTCATGTTCTTTGCCCACTTCTTAATGGGGTTTTTTTTTTTTTTCTTGTAAATTTGTTTAAGTTACTTATAGATGCTGGATGTTAGACCTTTGTCAGATAGATAGATTGCAAAAATTTCTTACTATTCTACAGGTTGTCTGTTTACTCTGTTGATAGTTTCCTTTGCTATACAGAAGCTTTTAAGTTTAATTAGATCCCATTTGTTAATTTTTGCTTTTGTTGCAATTGCTTTTGGCATCTTTGTCATGAAATATTTGCCTGTGCGTATGTCCTGAATGGTATTGCCTAGATTTTCTTCTAGGGTTTTTATAGTTTTTGGTTTTATAAAGTCTTTAATCCATCTTGAGTTGATTTTTGTATATGGTGTAAGAAGGAGTCCAGTTTCTGTTTTCAGCATATGGCTAGCCAGTTCTCCCAGCACCGTTTATTAAATAGGGAGTCCTTTCCCCATTGCTTGTTTTTTTTGTCAGCTTTGTCGAAGATCTGATGGTTATAGGTTTGTGGCCTTATTTTTCTGGATTCTCTATTCTGTCCCATTGGTCTATGTGTCTGTTCTTGTACCAGTACCATGATGTTTTGGTTATCGTAGCCTTGTAATATAATTTGAAGTCAGGTGGAGTGATGCCTCCAGCTTTGTTCTTTTTGCTTAGGATTGCCTTAGCTATTTGCACTTTTTTATTTGGTTCCATATGGATTTTAAAGTAGCTTTTTCTAATTCTGCCAAGAATGTCAATGGTAATTTAATGGGAAGAGCACTGAATCTATAAATTGCTTTGGGCAGTATGGCCATTTTCACAATATTGTTTCCTCCTATCCATGAGCATGGAATGTTTTTCCATTTGTTTGTGTCATCTCTGATTTCTCTGAGCAGTGGCTTGTAGTTCTCCCCGAAGAGGTTCATCACTTTCCTTTTTAGCCGTGTTCCTAGGTATTTTATTCTTTTTGTGGCCATTGTGAATGGGAGTTCATTCATGATTTGGCTGTTGGCTTGCCTGTAGGTGTATAGGAATGCTGGCAATTTTCGTACATCGATTTTGTATCCTGGGACTGTGCTGAAGTTGGTTATCTGCTTAAGAAGCTTTTGCATAGCCCATACTTTTTACCTTACTGCATTCTTATGAAAATAATTCACTGAGTCTCAAGAACGTATTCATTCTTTTTTTCCAGTTCACACTTGTAACACTCTAGGAAGTCACAAATTCTCAAATGAATTGTTCCAATTGGTTGCTCATTATTCATGGGCTCCGTTAGAATGTAACTGTGCTCCTCCTTAGAGGGCAAAAAGTGGATTAGTAGTGGCTAATGATAAGAGGAGTTTACTTCCTCTAGTTTTTGAAATTTTTTTGTGTGTAAATTTAACTTTTCCCATAGCATATTTTAGATGCTTTAGATACTTAGGATGTACAGAAGGTACATGGCTTTTCAAAGCTCATGTATTTAGAGAGGCAGAGCTGGAGTCACTTTCTTAGCGTAGACCACTTCCAGCTAAATTTATCTTCCTTTCTCATCTAAATTGCGTTTTAATCATTGTAGATACTAGTCGAGCAAAAACTGTCAAGCAAAAACTGTGCTTTGAAGTGTTCCATCTGTTTGAGGGCTTATCATTTATATATATATTTGAAAATGTACCAAATATAAGTTCTGCTATGTTCTCAGGAACTGTGGAACTCTGCTCTGATTTCTAGTTGAACTCTTGATCAGTATCTCCAGGGATGATAAAGATTAACAAGCTGAGTCACACTAGCAAGACACGAAAGAGAAAGATTGGCAAATTGGAATGCTAATTAGTTAATTCACCCCACTTTGCTTCCTTGTGAAGTATTGCCTCCATTGAGCTGTTATTCTTATATTTTTGGAGGAATATTACAAGAAACAGTCTTACGAAATCTGATGCTCCATTGGCAGTAGAAATGCTGTCAAGGATGTTTCCTACGGTATGGCTCAGTGCTCCATTAGGAAAGTCCCAAGTGAGAAATTTCTACGTAGCTCTAAGAGATTAGAAAAGTTCTGCTTTCTCTGAGAAGTGATTATATCTTTATTCCTCATTTTAACAACACAGATCAACCATAACTTCCATTTCTCTTTGACTACCTTAGAGAGAAAAATGAATTATATTGACACTTATGATCTGAATATTTGCTTTTCCCCCCACCTACTCATGCCTTAAAGCTTTCCAAGAATGTATTATTATTGATATTTTATTATTTTGCTATGTGCATTTCTGTTGCCTGTTGCTTACAATTCTTTGCAGGATTTGGTTGGGTACAAAACACTCTATAAATCTAATTTGCTGCAAGAATAACAACTGGGTGAGGAATGAGTTTTATGCTTTATTTGGATAAATTTATGAGGCCAGACTTCTTTTATGAAAGGAATTCCTTTTCTTCTTCTGTCAGGGAGAAAAATCTTGTTCTTTATTCTTTTAATTTTAGTTATTGGGGACCTGTGAATTAAACTGACAGAAAACTGATTAGCAAAATCAATAAATGAATGAAAAGGCAGATTTTCATTCCTATACCTATGTTGGAGTTCACAGAATCATGTGACTCAAAGATGAGGTTAGATTTAGAGGCCTATATACACTATTAACAGGAGAAAGAAGAGGTAGAATGGCACTTATGGGAAAACAAATGATTTTTAGGAAAGATAAATAAACACTTAGGAGAATAGATGGGAGATATGATAGTTTGTGATGATGTCTTTTTAGGCAAGTTCTTATCTTTGTGCTGGCTTCTCATTTGTGGTTGTAGAAGTCAATCTTCCCTGGTTGTGAAACTCCTCAGGGAGGGCATTTATGACAGCTGAATTCTGTTGGAAGGTTCTTTTTTAGGCAGATAAGGGGAGTTCAGGGAAACAAACAAACAAACAAACAAACAAACCCAACTCTGGTATATTCCGGGTCCTTTCATTTCTGAAGAAACTGCTCTTGGGAGGGTAAGTTCATCTGGGTAGATCACTGGTCATTGCAAAATTTGGTTGTGGGTTAAAGTGGGTTCCAGAAATGTATTTCTCTAAGTTTTAGTTAAATTTAATAGCTTGACACATCCTTCTCTTAGTTAGTAATGATGTATTCCCTAATTAAATTTCCAGAGTGCTGGGCTGACATTCTGATTTCTTAAAACTTTCTGTCTCCAACTCACCATGCAAACCTTCAGGGTTATGGTATTTCCTGGCATCTCATTTCTTGTTTTGTTTTTTTTTTCCTCAATTGTAAATGCATTCTTTTTTCTTCCTTCAAATGACAAACTTGTGCTTATTTTGTGTCAATTGATACTTTTTTGTTGAGGGATGGAGTCTCGCTCCGTCAACCAGACTGGAGTGCAGTGACATGATCTCGACTCACTGCAACCTCTGCCTCCCAGGTTCAAGTGATTCTCCTGCCTCAGCCTCCCAGGTGGCTGGGACTACAGGCACCTGCCACCACGCCTAGTTAATTTTTGTATTTTTGGTAGAGACAGGGTTTCACCATATTGGCCAGGCTGGTCTCAAACTCTTGACCTTGTGATCTTGACCACCTTGGCCTCCCAAAGTGCTGGGATTACAGGTGTGAACCACTGCTTCTGGCCAATTTTTGTATTTTTAGTAGAGGTGGGGTTTCACCATGTTGGCTAGGCTGACCTTGAACTTCTGACTTCAAGTGATCCTCCCACCTTGGCCTCCCAAAGTGCTGGGATTATAGGCGTGAGCCACTGCACCTGGCCAATACTTCTTTTGAATAAAAATTAATACTACCTAGCACTTCTTGTACCACATTTAGCGATAATTTTTGTTGAAAGAAGTACACATCAAAAAAAAGTCCTTTCTTTATTCACTTTTACTTTGTCCTGATTTCTTTTGTTTTTGGTCTAACCAGGCTCACAGGCTCCTAATTACATTATTTCTGCCAAGATTAGAGACTTAAGTACTAAAATAGAAAGAAGTTAATTCAAATACACAGAATTTTCTCAACCAAAAATCCATATCTTATAAAAGATAATACATATCTTATAAAAATACATATCTTATAGAAGTATAAAATATATTTTATAAAAGTCCAAAATATATCCTCGATCTATCTACTTCCTTATGTCTCAACTATTATCCTGTTTTTGTTTTTTTACCAAATAAATTCCATTTGTACTGTAATAACTTCCTAATTCATCACTCTGCTACCTTTCTTTCAGTCAAGCCATTTGTCCAGTACTATAGACAATGTGATTTTTTTAAAAGGTAAGAGAGATCGTTAAAGGTTAAAACCCTTTCGTGGTTATCTAGTGCCCTTAGCACCAAACCCTAACTTGTCAACACGACCCACAAGGCCCTGTATGATTTTGCACTTACATCTTATCTCAGACTGTTAAGTTCTTACCCACTGTGCAGATAGAGCCAAACATGGAGACAGCAGGTATTGCAGCAAAGAAAGAGTTTGTCACAAGGCAATTGAATGAGGATAGGAGATATTTCTCAAATGTGTCTCCCTGAGAATCCAGAGGCTAAGGTTTTAAAAGGATGGTTTGGCAGGAAGATTGGGGATGAAATCATAGGAGTGTTGAAGCTGTCTTCATGTGCTGAGTCAGTTCCTGGGTTGGGGTGGTGTTCACAAGACCAGTGGAGTTAGTTCTTTAGTTGGTATTACAAGTCACTGGTCTGGTTGGTGTTAGTTGGTCCACTTGCATGCAGAATCTGAAAAATATCTCAGAGATCGGTCTTAGGTTTCACAGTAGTGTTTGTGATCTCGATTACTATGGAAAAGCAAGGTAGGAACCAATGACAGGCTATTGTTAACTCTGTCTATAGTTAGCAGAGAGGTTTGCAAGAGGTGAGATCCCCAGTGGTCACAGCTGCTTGGTTCCTTGGCCAATCTGACTTCTAGAAGACATGAAGGGGGTCTATATGACCCAAGAATCATTGTTGTTTAAAAGAAAAGTTAATTAATCTTGCAGGCAGCCTGACCAGAGGCTAGATAGGAAGATTATCAGTTATTAGTGACTACCGTTTATTGAAATGACTTGTGCAAGCAATCATATATGGAGGAAGAAAAGGTCAGCGAGAAGGGAATATACTTTACCAAAATTTAGGCCCTTACCATAATTCCAATCTTGTGGTCTTTTATTAATTTTATGAAGGTGGTTTCAATACATCATTTCGTATAAACTCCCATTGTTTTTTCTTTCCAGCCACAATGGCTGCCTTTCTCTTCCTACAAAGCACTATGCTCATTCTTGCTCAGGGTCTTTGTACAATGTGTTTCCCTTGTCTGGGCCATTTTTGTCCAGATTTTCTCAGGGCTAGTTCTCATCATTTGAATATCATCTTCCCAGGGAAGCCCTCTCTGACTACTTTCCCTGAAGTCACCCTCTTCTACCCTATTTACTTTCTCTCATATTACCTGTTTTATTTTCTTCATATCACAACACCACCTGAAATTCTTTCTTTTGGAAACAAGGTCTTACTTTATCACCCAGGCTGGAGTGCTGTGGCACAATCATGGCTCACTGCAGCCTCAACTTCCCAGGCTCAAGTGATCCTTCCACCTCAGGCTCCTGAGTAGCTGGGACTGCAGACTTATGCTGCCATGCCTGGCTAATTAAAACTTTTTTTTAATAGATATGGGGTCTCACTATGTTGCCTTGGCTGGTCTCAAACTCTTGGCCTCAAGCAATCCTCCTGCCTCAGCCACCCAAAGTGTGAGATTAGAGGGGTGAGCCATCATGCCCAGACTGAAATTATTTACTTGTTTATTGCCCATCCCCTCAAAAGAATGTAAACCCTATAAGATGGAGGCATTGTCTACCTTATTCTCTGCCATGACCATATCTGCTCTGAAATGTACTCACTGACTCTTTGTTAAGTGAATCATGTCAAATAGAAAAAAAAATAATTGTACTACTTGCTAAATAGTTACAGGGTGATAAGTTTTCCAAACAAACAGTAAATTCATGAAATTGATATAGAAACTTGGTTTTGAATATATTTTATACAAATATTTTGAATACAGTTTTACTGAAATGCTTGGATAGACTTTCATACACAGTATTATATTTAAAAAATTTTGGAATAAGCATAAACTTATAGAAAAGTTGAAAGTATAGTACTGGAACTATTATGTTTTTCTTGAATAATTTAGTAGTATGTTGCTGAATGCTTTCATGTGTGTTTCTCATTAACAAGGACATTCTCCTACATAACTAGATCCAACTACCAAATCAGGAAATTTACATTGATACATTACTACGGTATGTTCCTCAGAATCCACTGAAGTTTCATCAGTTGTCCCAGTCATGCCACTGATAGCAAAAGGATCCAGTAGAATCACTCATTGTAATTAGGTCTCGTGTTTCTTTATCTTTCTTCATTTTGGAACAGTTCCTTAGTCTTATCTTAACTTTCACGACCTTGACACTTTTGAACATAAAAGGCCCATTATTTTGAAGAATGTTCTTTAATTTGTAATTGTGAGGAACATGATAGATGTGATGCTAAGTTCTCATTGCATCCCGTCATGTGGCACCTGATTTTAATTTTTCCTGTTTCTGATGGTATTTACCTTGATCATTTGATTAAGGTGGTATCTGCCAGACATCTCTACTGTAAACTTACTCTCTTTTCCTTTTCGTAAGAGTGTTTTGTGGAACAGTCCCTTAAGATTATATGACACATCTCTTTTCTCATCGAACTTTCAATTTATTCATTTATTTAAATGTGTGTGTTTTCTATTTTACTCTTCAATGGGTTATACTTTGTTACCATCTTTACTTGATATAATGCTCAAATTCCTCCCAATTTAGCCAGGAATTTGCTCAAGCTGGCTTTTGTGTCCTTTCGACATGCCTTTACCATTTTTTGTGTGCTTCCTTGATTCTTGGCATAACAAGACATTCCAGGCTCATTTTATACTTCCCTTGTTTTAATTCTGTCTATAGTCTGCTGTTTCTCTATGAAGACTTAGTTTCTTTTAGTGAAGAATGGTAATTAAAGTCCAAAGTCTGGACATTAGGTATGTTCATTGATATTGAGGTATCATTGCTTCCAGGCATTCCAATGGGCAGATAAGGGGATAAACATATATAAAATTTACATATTTATAGCTATACTTATTTCCATATGTATGCATGTGTGTATATATATGCATGTGTATGTATTTATGTGTGTGTATACGTATAAATATAGTGTGTGTATCAAAAACCGTAACTTCACACATTTCTTCCAGTTCTAGTCCTCTCTAACCATATCCTAATATGTCCCTTTGGGTGAGTTTACATGGTAGTGACTTTGTCAGCCTAACTGTACCCCAAGTCTAGTCTGACTCTTGATTACAAATTAAAAAAAAATCTTATTCATGATGGGTACTGTATCCATTGAAGTCTGAGAAAAAGTGTTGGCAGAAGGGACATTTTGTGGGAACACATGGGGAAAAGATTGAGAAATGTATACTTAATATTGAAATGCATGTATAATAATACATTTCCACAATCATACTCTATTTGTTTACATTCATTAGAATGCTGCACCCTTTCCCCATCTCCCTCACCTGGGTTCAAGTAATCATTGGTTATGCTTTGCTGCTTTTTTAGCTACAAGTTGCTCAATATTTTTAAACCTTGCATTACTTTATTTACTTGTTATTTATAGGTATTTAACATATTGTATTATATATTTATGTGCTATATGAGATAGTTGTATAAAACTAGGATCAACCTGTGACGTGGGAATGGGCAAAATGAGATGTTTAGCAATTTCAGGCTTCCTCAATAAAAATCAATGGCAAATCATCTCATGACTGGTAAGTGCTGAGAAGCTGAGCGGGAGGACAGAAAGCATTTGAAAGGTCAGAAATAAGATGTCCACAAAAATGAGAATATGAGCTCTGCCTGATGACTGAGTAACAATTCCAAATACAACCTTCGTGTTTTCATAAACCCATGTGAGTGAATTGGCCTTCAAAATATTAAAGTCCACTTTAATGTCAGTAAAAAAGAGAAATTATAGTGAAGGGTCATTATTAGGAAAAAAGGAACTGCATTGAGATAGGAAAAGCCAGTATGCCAGAAGTGCTGCAGGCGGTTTTCCCTGCTGGTGAAGGATAACTCACAAGTGGAAGGCAAAGTGAAAACAAAATACCTCACCTGTTAAATGCCTCTTCCGGATTTCAGCCTGAAGTAAGATCCCAGGCTGGCCTTTTGAAATGATCAACATCAATAACTAACGTACTGATGTTAGTCATTTCTATTTATTAACTTATAAAATAAAAACTTTGTATCAGTTTCTTTATACTGTTTGAGACCCAGATCTAAATGCTTACTCTTTTCTTTTTTTGGCTCCACAACCCTCCGGCAATACCTAAATACCTGAGAAGCAGTTGCTTTTTCCATTCCAGCAAGAAAGAAAGCTAATGAGGAAAATAGTATTTGCCTTGAAGTAAGTTTTCCTTGATTTTCCATCTCATTTTAAAGAAAAAAGCAAAAAGATTTCTTTAAAAGAGGCACATATGAAAATACCTTAAGGATGCGGAATGGCTTAATTAGGAGTCACTGTTATTTTCTTTTATTGATTTCAATTGGGATATAGATCATTAGTTTTCTATTAGTTTTTTTATTATCGTCGTATGGCTTTATAAAGTAATACTGTTAAACTAATGTTCTACAACATAAAGGGGAATTGGTTTATTGTGGCTTTTAATGTTTCTAGAAAGATTAATTTTTGTATAATGATTATTTTACTTCTTAATACTGCTATGGCTCGAAAAGATATAGAACCTGATGAGTACAAATCCATCTTGGCTATAAGCCTAGTTTTATGTTATCATGTAAAAAAGAAAATTTGCTTCAAATTCTTTGCTTTTGCATGCATTTTTTTGTTGTTCAATTGCTGTTATAAATACTATGAATGGCCATTATTGAGAGTTCGGGAATTTTTTTCCCCCTTAAATATGAAGATAGACCAAAGGTAAGGTTCCTATATTGTCAAGGAGCCAATCACTGCATTGATTTATCTTTGCCACTAGATGTCCCTGTATTGATGCGCCTTCTACTTCGGAAGCTTCTTTGAAAACAAACTAACAAAATGAGAGATGTTTGCTACTCTTCAAGTCTTTTTCCTTCCTCTAAGTTAGCAACCTGGGACTTCCCAGATACGATCCTCTTCTTTCCAGAGGATTAATTCCTTAGGACTGGACAGGAATGGAATTAAGCGAAATGCAAGTAAAGTTAGGTTTAGGCGTTGGCCTAAATATATGCCTCTATTAACTACTCAGCCTAGAAAATGTGAGAAGCTGTATAATTTAGATCGACAGAATTTTAAACATGCTAAAATGAGTAGGGGCTTGAATTTGAATTACATAATCAAAATGGCAGATAATTTAAAGTTATATTTGGTAATAAAACAGTTTGTATTTATATTTTTTAAAATTTTAGGTTCAGTGGTACATGTGCAGGTTTGTTATATAGGTGAACTTGTGTCAGGGGGTTTGTTGTACAGATTATTTCATCACCCAGGTATTAAGCCCAGCACTCAATAGTTTTCTTCTCTGCTCTTCTCCCTCCTCCCATCCTCCACTCTCAAGTAGTCACCAGTGTCTGTTGTTCCCTTCTTTGTGTTCATGAGTTCTCATCATTTAGCTTCCACTTATAAGTGAGAACATGCAGCATTTGGTTTTCTGTTCCTGCATTAGTCTGCTAAGGATAATAGCCTCCAGCTCCATCCATATTCCCTCAAAAGACATGATCTTGTTCTTTCTTATGGCTGCATAGTATTTATGTTTTGAATATGAGAATGTTTGGTGTTATGGGAATGAATGAAAATTTCAGTAATAGACTCATACAGATAATATTCATCTTCAAGGAAATTTGTAGTTGTTGAAATCTCTTACACAGCTTCTTACTTCAGTACTCTTCACTGTTTTCCATACTTGACGAAGATTGACCATGTCAGCTTCCAGAAAAATGTGACAAGATAGCTTTACCTGAGCTAATTTCTTTATAAGTTTGATTGTTAGCTCTTAGATTACCTACAAAAGAGGAGATAACTGAATGTTTTGATTCAAAATGTCTCTTGTTCAATTTTAGGTTATACAGAGTCATAATGTTGGATTGGAATAACAATAAAATAAATATCTTTTTATACTCTGTTTTA
Organism: Homo sapiens; assembly: GCF_000001405.40. Taxonomy (NCBI): domain Eukaryota; kingdom Metazoa; phylum Chordata; class Mammalia; order Primates; family Hominidae; genus Homo; species Homo sapiens. Next base: position 19,758,638 of record NC_000012.12, read on the forward strand.
AAATTATTGGACTCAATACATTTTTAGTAGTAAACTACAATGTTAATAATACAAATGATAACCCATTTAAAATCTGAATTGATTAAAAACTTTTGGGACAATCATTATGTATTATAATAGATCATTTAAAAAATATTAGACCCTGTATTTAAAATAGGCATTCATTTATCAATTGGATATATTATATCTGATTTTGTGGTTAAATAATCTTTTCTCTTATAATATTGATTTAGTCTTTCATGACATGTTACTTATTATACCTCAACACAGGGACAATATAGGGACATAAAAATATAAGTTAATGTCAAATAACCACAATTAATGTAACTTTAAAAATCTGCAAATAAAAATAATCTATGTTTTGGAGGCGGCTTTTGTGCAAACTTTCTTCTCAGTGTTGAAGAAAAAGACACAGTGGATACCCAGTTTTCTGTTTGCCTTAATACAAAGTGATCTTTGAGAAATGGCAAGCTTGGAGAATGGGAGTGATTGCAGGAGACTCACAAAGACAGTTATCCATACTGTCTCTTAAAAATAGAAAGAAAATTCTACAATCTAAAGGCTGAGGAATTTGATATCCTGGACAAAACTCTTGAAAATATTATTGAGTGAAGTTTGTAAGCCCTTTAAAGAAGGAGAAAGTGATCATTGGAAATAAGCATGTGGAATAAAGAAGTCCAATTACAAGTGTTGGAGAGGATGTGAAGAAATGAGAATTCTGATACACTGCTGTTAGGAATGTGAGGTGGTGCAGCCAGTTTGGAAAAGTCTAGCAGTTCCTCTGATGATTAAACATAGAGTTATCATATGACTCAGCAAATTTACCCCTGGTTAGATTCCCAAGAGAAATGAAAACATATGTGAACATAAAAATTTGCACTTCAGTGTTTATAGCAGCATTATGCATGATAGCCTAAAGGTAGAAACACATCCATCAATGGACAAATGGATAAACAAAATGTAATATATCTATGCAGTGGGATATTGTTTAACCATAAAAAGAAATGAGGTGTTAATACATGCTACAACATGGGTGAACCTTGAAAATATCACGCTTATGCTATGTGAAAGAAGCCAGTCACAAAAGACCACATACCATGTTATTCGATTCACGTGAACGTTGAGAAGAGGCAAATCCATGTAGACAAAGTAGATTAGTGGTTGCTTAGGGCTGGGGGAGTTAGGCCAGTACAGGTGGGATAGTTCAAAGGTATAAGGTTTCTTTTTGAGGTGGTGAAATGTTTTTAATTGACTATGGTGATTGGTGCACATACTTGTGAATATACTAAAAGCCATTGAATTGAACACTTTATTATTTTTTAAATTTATTTTTTAGAGATGGGGTCCCATTGTGTTGCCTAGGCGGGAGTGCAGTTGTCATGATCATAGCTCATTGCAGCTTCCAAACTCCTGGGTTCAAGTGATCCTCCTGCCTCAGCCTCTTGAGTAGCTGGGATTGCAGGTGCATGTCACTGAGCCTTATTTATTTATTTACTTATTTATTATAAACAGGGTCTTGCTTTGCTGCCCAGGCTGGTCTCAGACTCCTGGCTTCAAGCTATTCCACTGTTCTGGCCTCCCAAAGTGGTGGGATTACAGGCATGAGCCTGTGTGCCCAGTGAATTGAACACTTTAAATGGGTGAACCATACATTATATGAATTATATATCAGTAAAGCTATTTAAAGAAGAAAAGAAAGAAGAGAAATACTGTTACTTGATACAACACGATGAACCTTGAAAACATGATGCTGACTGGGAGAAGGCAGTCATACATGGTCATGTACTGTATGACTCCATTTATAGAAAATGTCCAGAATAGGTAAATCTACGTAGACAGAAAGTCAGTTAGTGGTTGCCTAAAGCTAATTGAAAGGGGAGGATTGGGCAAGTGATAGGTAAGGGGCATGTGGTTAATTTGGGGGGTAATAAAAATGTTCTAAGATTGCTTTCGGTGATTGTTGCACAACTATGAATATACTAAAAGCCATTAATTATATACTTTAAACAGGTAAATTGTATGGCATGTGAATTATATCTCAATAAAGCTGTTAAAAAAAGAATAAGCATGTATTTATCTAGAGCAATACAGTAGAATTTGAAGAGGGTTCAGTAGTTCTAGACCTTAAAGCAGATGTGCCATCCTGAGTCATTCTCACATGTTCTTCCAGAATGTGGATTCTCATCCCCCCCACACATATGGATGCTGCCTCAGCTGGTGGCTGCTCTTATTCCCTTGAGGTCGCCATGTTCCCTCTGTCCTTGAGTTGGAGTCTTTCCTCTTTGGGATTCTGAAAAGGGAGTAAATCACATCTTCTACTTTTGTTTTTGTTTCCTTTTCTCCACGATTCCAATGAGGAAAATGCCTATCTCTCACAATTTATAGGTGTAATTTTGAACATCATTCTTTGATAAAATTTCTTTTGCTATCCTGGAGAGGATTTAGGATGCTGTAGGTTGGGAAGTCATTTGGATTATATAGTAACAATTGACTGAATGATCCAGAAAGTAAGCTGGTTATTGAAAGTCTTCTGATGTTCATGTTATCTAATACTGCGTTTTTTTTTTTTCTAAATTAGTGATGTGGATAATGGCATGTTGACCACATTTCAGTGGATGTGAAATAAGGAGGCATTATAAATACATTGACTACAAGAACCAGAATCTAAGATGGTTTTGCTAGGTTGAAATGTTGGATCTAATAAGAAACCAACAGCACAGGAAAAAGGATAATATGGCTAGTATTTATACATGTGTAAAACCTCATAGTTTTGGTTTATTATAATCTTAATATGAATGAACAGCTTATGAGGGAAGGAAAAAGACCAAACGGAGTCTTAACCTGCCTTTGTAATTCTTTTCTACACTGATTAGGTCAGAAAAGCCTGTAATATTATCTTTGTTTCTGGTAAACATACTACAAGAAGGATATTGGCTATAGGAAGAAAAGGGTCTGGAATCATAGCATAAGAGTAAAGTTGAAAGAAGGGGGAAGTTTGGGTTGGAAATGTGACACTTTCCCTTGATGTCTAGTCTGATGTAATCAACTTCCTCTTCTCTGTTTCCATAGTGCTTTGGGACTGTTATAATTTTGTTCAGAGAAAAATTAGGTACACTTAAGCCTTAGATTCTTGAAGGTGGGAAGGTTTTCTATAGTTATCTTTTTATGCTCTCTAGGATGCTTGAGGTGCTCATATAAATCTCAATGTCATATAGATTTATTGACGGGAGGAAGATTTAGGCTTTAAGTGTCAAATTGGAAGACACATTGAGGGCCAACTAGTAAGTTACAAGGTAGTAGATTTTGTCTGAATATGAGGACAAAAATCATTGCATAAGACCTCATAAGGTTGTAAGTTCTTGAGGTAGCTTGATTATTGTCAAAAAATATTCCTCATCCTACCTTGGGTGTGGATTATATTTTTCCATTCTCATTGGCTTTAGGTTTGGCCGCTTGAATTGTTCTGGCCAATGAAATGTGAGTGGAAGATCCAGCTCATGGTGTTCTTTGTCCTCTTTTCCCTCTATCAAGACGATTAGCATTGTTTCCAATAGAGGCTGCTCTGTCAGTCTAGGTACTAGAGTAAAGATGATGTGTACATACAGGCTCATCCATGACAAACTTTTACTGTTCGTAATAATAAATAAGTGTTGAAGAAATAAATGTTGGGGCCGGGCGCAGTGGCTCACGCCTGTAATCCCAGCTCTTTGGGAGGCCGAGGTGGGCGGATCACAAGGTCAGGAGATCGAGACCATCCTGGCTAACACAGTGAAACCCCGTCTCTACTAAAAATACAAAAAAATTAGCCGGGCGCGGTGGCGGGCACCTGTAGTCCCAGCTACTCCGGAGGCTGAGGCAGGAGAATGGCGTGAACCCGGGAGGCGGAGCTTGCAGTGAGCCGAGATCGTGCCACTGCACTCCAGCCTGGGAGACAGAGCGAGACCCCATCTCAGGAAAAAAAGAAAGAAAGAAAGAAAGAAATGTTGACACACAGGAGAGAACCCAAGATGGCTGACTAGATGCGAAGAGGTTCTCCCATTGAAAGACACCAGATCATCGAAGTTGGAGTGATACAGTGTATGAATAACGTGCTGATTCTGGCTTTGGAGATAGAGGAAGGAGACCGGAGACCATGAGCCCAGGAACACAGGTATCCTCTAGAAGCTGGAAAAGGCAAGGAAAGGGATTCTTTCCTGAGAAAGAAACCCAGCCCTGCTGACACCTTGATTTTAATCCACTGAGACCTATTTTGGACTTCTGATCTCCAGAACTATAATATAATAAATTTGTGTTGCTGTAAGCCAGAAATAAATAAATAAATAAATAAATAATAAAGACAACAGACCATTAAGTAGATTGGCACACTCCAAACACTCTATATAGTTCTTTGGAAGGAAGGCATTGAGAGTGGACCGAGTGAGGACATGGACCCCAGGTTGAAAGAGGAGGAAACTGGGAACCCTGCATGTAGTTGCCAAGCACCAAGACTCATTCCAGGCACTGGGTGGCTCCTAGGGAAGAGGCGAGTGAAATAGTTGTGCAGTGGCCCACTCTTGCCACAGACCTCCAGGGTCCTAGATGTGGGAGGCCCCATGACACCCATCGATATTTGAGCTGGCAGGGAGAACTGCCTAGAGAGTTGGTAGGGACTGATCTCCAGCCTTTGTGGAGCCCAGAAGGTTTGGTGCAAAAAGAGCTGCAGTGGTGCAAAGCCATGGGTGTCCATCCCCCAAGGATCACCATACCCCCTAGGTGGCTTTATCCTTCGTTAGTTGCTAGACCTGGACAGAACAGGAAGTCTTGCCTGGGGGATAGAGCTAGTCTGATCGGAGTGTGCCTCTGTCTGCTGGCCTCTCCCAGGGTCCCTGCATGGACACATCCACTTACACTGCAGCATCAGCTTGCCAGTGACATCACCATAGCTCTTTCACTGACAGACTCCCAATACCCATCAGAATACTTTTGCAGATGAACTCCTGCCAGTGCACACTCACCTACAGCCTCCTCCCCACTGGCACACACCCACTCTTAGCCTCTCCCCCCCAGAAGACATTATGCAAGACCTCATAATGTTGTAAGTTCTTGCCTGCAGCCTCCTTGGGCTGCCTTGCTGGTATGCATGTATACGTTGACCCTCCACCACCTTACTGGTGCACACTATGCTGGGACATTTGCTGCCCTGCCAGAATGTTTTTTCCAGCAGCCCCTGTTGGAGTATTCTTGCCAGTGGACTAAGAACATCTCACCCCCTCCAGTGCAGCAGGTGCTTAACCTGGAAGGGGCAAAGAACAAAGCCCCAGGCCTTGTCCTAGCTCCCCAGCATTACAGCATGCAGCCTAGGATGCTGAGTGAGAACATGGAAGCATCCAGAAAGGAAGCCATTGACCAAACTCAACTTATACCACAGACAAACCCTTATGAGCATCAAAGAATATAAAAGCAAAAAGCCCCACTCAAAAGACAGCAACTTCAAAGATTGAAGAAACATCTGCCCACACAGATGAGAAAGAATCAGTGCAGAAACTCGGCAACTCTGAAAGCCAGAATGTCTACTTATTTCTGACTGACTGCACTAGCTCCCCAGTAATGGTACTTAACCAGACTGAAATGGCTGAAATGTCAGAATTCAGAATCTGGATGGCAGAAAGCTCATTGAGATACAGAAGGTTGAAGCCCAATGCAAGGAACACAGTTAAACAGTCCAAGAGTTGAAAGACAACATAGCCGTTTTAAGAACCAAACAGAACTTCTGGAAATAAAAAAAATTATTGCAAGTATTTAAGAATTTAATTACTTAAAATGCAAGTAAGAGCATTAATAACAATAGACCGAGGTGAGGACAGAATTTCAGAGCTCTAAGACCTTTCCTTTGAATCAAGGCAGGCAGACAAAAATAAAAGAATAAAAAAGGAACAAAACCTCTGAGAAATATGGGATTACATAAAGAGACCAAACCTATGACTCATAGGAATTCCTGAAAAAGACGAAGACAGAGCAAGCCACCTGGAAAACATACTTAAGGATATTGTCCACTAAAATTTTCCCAACCTCACTAGAGAGGTCAACATGCAAATTCAGGGAATCCAGAGAACCTCCATAAGATATTATACAAGATGACCCTCCGTAAGAGACATATTCATCAGATTCTTCAAAGACAATGAAAAATAAAAAATATTAAAGGCAGCTAGAAAGAAGGAGTAGGCCACAAAGCCATCAAGCTAATAGCAGATCTTTCAGCAGAAACCTTACAAGTCAGAAAAGACTAGGGGCCTACATTTAGCATCCATAAAGAAAAGAAATCCCAATCAAGAATTTCATATCCAGCCAAAATAAATTTCATAAGTGAAGGAGAAATAAAATCCTTTTCAGACAAGCAAATGCTAAGGGAGTATGTTATCACCAGACCTGCCTTACAAAAGGTCCTTAAGGGAGTGCGTAACATGAAAACAAAAGACTAATAGCTGTGATTACAAAAGCACACTTAAGTACATGGCCCACTGACATTATAAAGCAGCTGTAGAAGCAAATCTACATAATAACCAGATAACATGATGATAGGATCAAATTTGCACATATCAATATTAACCTTAAATGTAAACAGGCTAAATACCTCACTTAGAAAACACAGAATGACAAGTTGAATAAAAAAAGCACAGACCCAACTCTGTGCTGTCTTCAAGAGGCCATCTGACATGCAATGACACCCATAGGCTCAAAGTAAAGGTATGGAGGAAGACGTAGCAAGCAAATGGAAAACAAAAAAGAGCAGGGGTTGTTATTCTATTTCAGATATAACAGACAATGATAATAAAGACAAAGAAGGGCATTATGTAATGATGAAGGGTTCAATTCAACAAGAAGACTTAACTATCCTAAATATATATGCACCCAATACTGAAGAACCAAGATTCATAAAATAAGTTCTTGGAGACTGCAAAAAGACTTAGATAACTGTACAATAATAGTGGGAGACTTCAACACCCCACTGGCAGTGTAAGGCAGATCATTGAAGCAGACAACTAAAAAAGATATTCAAGACCTAAACTCAACACTTTGACCAAATGGACCAAACAGACATCTACAGAATATTTCACCTGTATTAATTCTTTCTCATGCTGCTATGAAGAAATAGCTGAGACTGGTTAATTTATAAAGAAAAGAGGCCTAATTGACTCACAGTTCCACATGACTTGGGAGGCCTCTGGAAACTTACAATCATGGTGGAAGGCACCTCTTTACATGGTAGCAGGGGAGAGAATGGGTGCCAAATGAAGGGGGAAGCCCCTTATAAAAACATCAAATCTCATGAGAACTCACTATCATGAGAACAGCATGGGGGAAACTCACCCCATGATTCAGTTATCTCCACTTGGTCCCACCCTTGACACATCGGGATTATTACAATTCAAGGTGAGATTTGGCTGGTGCCACAGAGCCAAACCATATCACCACCTAACAACAGAATATACATTCTTCTAATCTGCACATGACACGTACTGTAAGATTTACCACACATTTGGCCATAAAACAATCCTCAGCAAATTCCAAAAAATCAAAAGCATACCAACCACACTGTCATATCACAGCACAATAAAAATACAAATTAGAACCAAGAAGATCTCTCAAAACCATACAATTACGCTTAAATTCACCTGTTTCTGAATGACTTTTGGGTAAAGAATGAAATTAAGGCAGACATCAAGAAATTATTCAAAACTAATGAAAACAAAGATACAACATACCAGAATTTCTGGACACAGCTAAAACAGTGTTAAGAGGAAAGTTTATAGCACTAAATGCTCACATGAAGAAGTTTCAGAGATCTCAAGTTAACAATCTAATATCACACTTAGAGGAACTAGAAAAGCAAGAACAAACCAACCCCAAAGCTAGCAGAAGAAGAGAAATCACTAAAATCAGAGCTGAACTGAATGAAGTTGAGATGTAAACCATATAAAAGATCAATGAAACCAAAAGTTGGCTTTGTTGAAGAATAAATAAGATTGATTGGTTTGGAGGGGGGAGGGATAGCATTGGGAGATATACCTAATGCTAGATGACACATTAGTGGGTGCAGCGCACCAGCATGGCACATGTATACATATGTAACTAACCTGCACAATGTGCACATGTATCCTAAAACTTAGAGTATAATAATAAAAAAAAAAAAGATTGATTGACTGCCAGCTAGACTAATAAAGAAAAAGAATATGTAAATAACACAATCAGAAATGACAAAGGTGGTATTACCATGACCTGTCAGAAATACCAAAAATCCTCAGAGATATTTGTGAACACTTCTATGCATACAAACTACAAAACCTAGAAAAAAATGAACAAATTCTTGGAAACACACAACCTTGAAAGATTGAACCAGGAAGAAAATGACTCCCTGAATAGGCTAATAAAAATTCTAAAATTGAATCAGTAATAAAAAAAACCTACCAACCAGAAAAAGCCCTTGAACAGATGGATTCACAGCCAAATTCTATCAGCTGTATAAAGAAGAGCTGGTATCAATCCTACTGAAATCATCCCAAAAAATGGAGGAAGAGGGACTCCTCCCTAACTCTTATGAGGCCAGCATCATCCTGATACCAAAACCTGGCAGAGACACAACAATAACAAAAAAAACTTCAGGCCAATATCCTTCATGAACACAGATGCAAAAATCCTCAGCAAAATATGAGCAAATCCAATCCCCCAGCACATCAAAAAGCTAACCCATCACAATAAAGTTGGATTTATCCCTGGGGCTCAAGGTTGGTTTGACTCACACAAATCAATAAATGTGATATACCACATAAACAGAATTAAAAGCAAAAACCACATGATTATCTCAATAAATGCAGAAAAGGCTTTCTATAAAATTCACCATCCTTTCATGTTAAAAACTCTCAACAAAGTAGGCATCATAGGAACATACCTCAAAGTATTAAGAACCATCTATCACAAACCCACAGCCAACATCATACTGAACAAGCAAAATCTGGAAGCATTCCCCCTGAGAACTAGAACAAGACAAGGATGCCCACTCTCACCACTTCTATTAAATGTAGTACTAGAAGTCCTAGCCAGAGCAGTCAGGCAAGAGAAAGAAATAGAAGGCATCCAAATAGGAAGAGATGAAGTCAAATGATCTCTCTTTGCAGACAGTATGATTCTTTACCTAGAAAACTACATAGTTTCTATCCAAAGGCTTCTAGAACTGATAAACAACTTCAATAAAGTTTTGGGATACAAAATCAATATAGAAAAATCAGTAGCATTCCATAAATCAATAATGTCCAAGTTGTGAGAGCCAAATAAAAAACGCAATCCCACTTACAAGAGCCACACAAAAATAACACACATAGGAATACAGCTAACTAGGGAGGTGAAAGATCTCTACAACAAGAATTACAAAACATTGTGCAAAACATTGCTGAAAGAAATCAGAGATGACACAAACAAGTGGAAATCTTTCCATGCTCAACGGTATAGAATCAATATTGCTAAAATGGCCATATTGCCCAAAGGAATCTATAGATTCAGTGGCATTCTTATCAAACTACCAATGTCATTTTTTTCACAGAATTAGAAAAAACTATTCTGAGACTCATATGGAACCAAAAAAGAGCCCAAATAGCCAAAGTGATATTAAGCAAAAAGAACAAAGCCATAGACATCACACTGCCTGACATTATACAACAAAGCTACATTGTGTGCTACATGATACTATGTATAGCATGGCACTGGTACAAAAACAGACACATAGACCAATGGAACAGGTTAGAGAACTCAGAAATGAAGCCGCAAACCTACAGCCATGCAATCTTTGACAAAGTCTACAAAAATAAAACAATGGGGAAATTACTCCCTATTGAATAAATGGTGCTGGGGAAAATGCAGATGATTGACTCAGGACCTCTTCCTTTTACCATATACAAAAAATAAAATGGATTAAAGACTTAAATACATCACCTAAAACTACAAAAACCCTAGAAGAAAACCTAGGAAATACTACTCTGGACATAGGCTTTGGTAAAGATTTCATGACAAAGTCTCCAAAATCAGTTGCAACAAAAATAGAAATTGACAAGTGGGATTCATTTAAACTAAAGAGCTCCCGCACAGCAAACAAAACAAAGAGCAGTGTAAACAGTCAACCTACAGATGGGGAGAAAATGTTTGCAAACTATGCATCAGAAAAAAGTCTAACATCCAGAATCTATAAGGAACTTAACAAGCAACAAACAAATAATCCCATTAAAAAATGGGCAAAGGGCATGAATAGACACTTCTCAAAAGAAGGCATATATGTGGACAACAAGCATGTGAAAAAATGCTCAGTGTCACTAATTAGAGAAATGCAAATCAAAACCACATTGAGATACTATCTTACACCAGTCAGAATGGCTATTATTATAAAGTCAGAAAATAATAGATGTTGGTGAAGTTACCAAGAAAAGGTGATGCTTATACACTGCTGGTGGGAATGTAAGTTAGTTCAGCCACTGTGGAAAGCAGTTTGGAGATTTCTCAAAGAGCTAAAAACAGAAATACCATTTCACCCAGCAATCCCATTACTGGGTATATACCCAAAGGAATATAAATCATTCCGCCAAAAAGACACATGCATGCATACGTTCATCGCAGCAGTATTTACAGTAGCAAAGACATGGAATCAATCTAGCTGCCCATGAATGGTAAACTATATAAAGAAACTGTGATACATATACATCATAGAGTACCACTCACCCGCAAAGTGTATGAAATCATGTCCTTTGCAGCAACGTGGATGCAGCTGGAGGCCATTATCCTAAGCAAACTGATGTGGGAACAGCAAACCAAATACTGTATGTTTTCACTTGTAAGTGGGAGCTATACATTGAGTACACATGGACACAAAGAGGGGAATAATAGACACCAGGGCCTACTTGAGAGTGGAGGATGAGAGGAGAGTAAGGATTGAAAAACTACCTATCAGGTATTATGTTACTATCTGGGTGATGAAATCATTTGTATATCAAACCTCAGCAACATGCAATATACCCATCCATGTAACAAACCAGCACATGTACCCCTTGAACCTAAAATAAAAGTTGTAAAGAAAAAAAAAGAGCTAAATGTTATTGTAAGCTACTAAATTTTTGCTTGTTTTCTTCTCATAGCTTCACCCAGTCTATACTAACTGATATTGTTCCTCTGAAGACAAAGGGGGAAATTATAGCTAGTGTTCCTGTAGAGGAAGTTCATATTTAGGGTAGTAGTTTTGATTACGTCTCTTTGAATTGTGAGCAGCCATGAGAACCATTCATAATCTCTTTGGGTTCTTTTCTCTGGAACTGCATCATCCACCACTTGTTCTCTACATTCAACTAAACATTCAGGCTCACACAACTACCATAGCCGCATTTGACACCAGTCCACCTGGAGGGAGGCTTAACTTGGTGGCAGGGCAGTATTAGGTGCTCCCTGTCATTGAGACTCCTTTTAACAGTTAACACAGCTAATTTAGCCTCTGGAGTTACTTTCTATCCAAATGATAGCTCAGGTGAAAGAAGATGAAATCTACATGGGGGTGGGTGTGGAATCTGATTTAAACACCTTATATTCCACAGGAGTTAAAGTCCCTTGGGACAATACCATCATAGGCATAGGCATTAGGTGAAGTTATACATTCATCTTTACAACTAGTTAGGCAACTTTAAACAAATTTTATCTCTCTAGGTCTTTGTTTTCTGTGTGTAGAAAATGGGGAGGTGAAATCAAATGAGTTTTAAGAGAATTCCTGACTCTGATATCTTCAGATTCTGGACTAAGGCCTCTGAATGAAGACAGACACGCAGAATATTAGATTGAAAATAAAACTTGGCCAAAGGCTTATAGTTATGGTAAAATTAAATTTTAATTTGTCAGTATACAAAATCTGGAGGATAATTTTGTTGTATTCAGTTTTTAAGTTCTATAACCGTAAAGGTCTATTAAATATAAGCCAGGTACCAGTTTTTATATTTACGAACCCTGTTTTAATCTACATCTGCTTGTGGGAGTTAATTGACAGCATATTTCTGGTGTTTGATATTTTTCCCTTCTCTTATAATCACTGAGATGTAAATTTTATATTGTAGGCTTTAAACAAAGGAAGAAAGTTACATTTTTGATTATTTTTAAATGACTTTTCATTTATGGATCCTGCTTTTTTTGATATGATACAGTGCTCCAAAAATCACTGTGACAAATGCAAGCAATATCAGAGCCCAGGAAAGACACTTTCTTGGATGAACTTTTTCATTATGCTTCATTGAGGTTGCATATTTAAATTGTAGCAATGCACTGAAGCAAAGAACAGATGGATGTACTCTGGGTCTGAGCAGTAACCCGGATACCTGGTCTACAGGTGTTTTTCATCATCATTGCTATATACATGTACAGTGTCCTAGTATTCAGGTAGATGACATGGAGGCATGAGGATGTTTTCCCCATTTAATACGTTGAAATAGGTAATGATATTTTTAAAAACCATTAAAAATTATATTCCATGGATAGCTACTTCACCAGGGCAGATATTCTTGTGTAATTGTATATTCTGCTGGTGGGTCTGGAGGTCCTAATCCCACCAAAGGCTATCAGAGTTGGATATGATGCAGCTCTTTTGTTCACCTCTCTTAAATCTTGTTATGATAATAAGATTAGTGATATTCCCAGTATATTGAACACATATAAATTGAACCTTGTAGTCAGAAAGTCACTTCTTTGAAATTTCATTGTTATTTAACATTTATTCAGTGAAGCTGGTTCTTCTCTTGTCCTGAAAATGTGTGCAGTCAAATGAATTTTCTAGACAATCTTAAGTAATTCAAAGAGTTGATATCCAAAAAGAAAAGCAGTCCATCCTGCATAAGAGCCATCAATCTTCATTAAAAGATAAAAGTTGATTTAAAATGGAAGATCCTCTTCCTCCTCCAATCCAAACCTGCTATAGTCTGAGAACCCTGTGTCCCCAGAATGAGAGGCAGTCACTGGCTATGGGATGGACTTTCACTCTCATGCCCACTTAGCCTTCAATTCCTTTTCTCTTCACTTGCTACCTTATTTCTGAACTCTCTCATGTTGGTGGTTAGGGAGGAAGGAGAGGACAGAGGCAGGAAATTTTACTTGTCTGGTACTGTGAAGGTGATGGGGCCATACTCTGGACATAGCACACATTAAAGCTGATTCTTTCCTGCATGGGCACATGTGGTTCTTCAGAGATGAGCCCTCCATTGCAATTCCTCTGACACGGGCAAGTGCAATTTGTATTTAGTCTACATAGCCCCAAGGAACCAAATGTAAGGAACCAAAGAATGTAAGGAATGCCCTTTGGTTCTTTCTGTTGATGCTTGCTCATTTTTCTTGCAGGCTCTTTTAGCATCTAAAAATTCCCCATACAGTTATCTCTCCCACATGAGACCACATTTGGTCCAAGAGAAACACTCATACTCACCACTAATACATTGGCACTGATAATTCCCAGAAAACAGCTCCTTTCCTGCCTCGGCTACTTCAGTCAGGTTCTTGCCACTATGTTCCCAGCAGCAGAGGACATTGCCTCCTTTTACAGTTACTTTTTCCTGGCTTTAGGTGAAGGGTAGGGCAATTCTCTGAAAAGCCTTTAAAAAAAAATCCCTTTCTGGGTTTCTGTGGTGCTGGCAGTATTCTGTTTCTTGACTCAAGTGCCAGCTATATTGGTGTGTATTTAGTGATAATTTATTATGCTTTACATTTATATTTTATAGCTTTTCTCTGTGTTAGACCCCAATAATACTCATTCAGAAAAAAAGTAGTCAAAATAATATCATCTGGTGCTAAAAGCAATGCAACAAAGAGCCTCCTTCCTAATCTCCAACTCACAACCTTCATACACTTTTTAAGACGTATCTTCTCTCTGGTTCTTACTTTTTTTTTTTGAATAATTTTGTATCTTGTTTTAGCTTCTCATTTCAGAGAGCGCCTCAGTTGAAATTTTTGTTTTATCACTTGTACATTCATTTTAACTACAATCTAGTGAATACTAATATCCAGTACCATAATAAGCCTTTTACCTACATTATCTCAAGAAATCTTCCTACAAACTCAAAAAGGTTAAGAATTGTTAACCCCATTTTGCAAATGTGGAAACCAAGTCTCTAGGGATGGAGTCATTTGCCCAAGGTTGCAGGACAAATACATGGCTATGCCAAAATTTAGACCCAAAATTCTTTGACTCCATAGCCCATGCTTTTTCCATGTAGACAATTCTCAGTCTCAGAACAAGGATTCTCATGAGCGCAACTTGGGTGCCACCACAAAATATGTAACAACGTTGAAATTGCTGACCATGTCAGATTTCCAAGTCTCTCCCATTTGCTGAAATCGAAGTGAAATATTTGTATGGAGATCTCAAGTCTGGTGACCAAAGCCTGTTTCAAGCCTAAGGGAATTCTATTGTAAGCTTATGGCTCTTGTGATGGGCAAAACTATACCTGTCCTAAACTAAACACAGAATAAAAGATGGACAAAGGAGAAGGGATTGTTCTTAAAAATTTACTCAGCCACTGAGGTTGGTTGATAATTTCATTCTACAAAACAAATTATTAGTGGCCTAAGGACTAAGACAATTTACTTAGAAACTTCAGAAGAGTAAATAATTTAGCTCTCTGTCATGGAGTTGGGAAGCAATTGCCCATTAGGCTAATTTGGGGAAAAAGAACTTGTGTACCAGATGAACCAGATATATGGTCTTTACCTGGGTAGCTCAAGCTGCAGAGAAAATGTTTATTTAGCAGATATTGAATGAATATATCTACAGCAATTAAGTGAGGTTAAGAATTACTTTGGAGATTTTTTTGGTGATAGAACACTGTGGGACCTCACAGTACTGAGGCCCATGAACTGACTGATTCTACCCCTTGTTGATAAAATAAAACTGCTGATGAATCTAATAGTAGTGTCCATGTATTGTAAGCAGAGATACATGTATTACCTTGCTTCAATTTCTTGGTAAATTTAATCCATTGAAATTAAAATTTATCCCAAAAGCGTTTTTTTTCTAAAATATGATTTCCAAATTTCCTCATTATAAACATAATAAAAATTCACTATAGGCAACCAGAAAAATTAAAAGAAACATTTTAACTTGGTAATTCTAAGGTGATAATCATTTAACCTTTTTAATGTTAATTCTTTCTTTGTTACAGTTGAACTCAGGATTTATAAACAATTTTATTGTCTCTTTTTTTCTTCACTTAACTGCATAAGATAAGCCATTTTTGTTGTTATAAAATTAAATCTATATTTTAAACTAATAATTCTTTAATTTTATAAACTAGCCAATCAGTGTTCAGATTTTCTAAATCATATCATACATATTTTCTTTGTTTTGTTTTGTTTTCAACTTTTATTTTAGGTTCAGGGGTATAAGAGCAGGTTTGTTATATAGGTAAACTACATGTCACGGGGGTTTGGAGTACAAATTATTTTGTCACTCGGGTAATAAGTATAATATCTGATAGGTATGTTTTCTGATCCTCTCCCTCCTCCCACCCTCCACCTTCAAGTAGGCCCCAGGGTCAGTTGTTCTTCTCTTAGTGTCCAAGTGTTCTCATTGTTTAGCTCCCACTTATAAGTGAGAACATGTATTTGGTTCTATGTTCTGCATTAGTTTGTTTAGGATAATGACCTCCAGCTCCAACCATGTTGCTGCAACAGATGTGACCTCATTCTTTTTTATGGCTGCATAATATCCTACAGTGTATATGTACCACATTTTCTCTTTTTAATATTATTTTTCCATAAGTTATTGGGGTACAGGTGGTATTGGTTACGTAAGTTCTTCAGTGGTGATTTTTGAGATTATGGTGCACCCATCACCCAAGCAGTTTACACTTTACCATATTTGTAGTCTTTTATCCCTCATCCCCCTCCCACTCTCCCCACCAAGTCCCCAAAGTCCATTGTATCATTCTTATGCCTTTGCATCCTCAAAGCTTAGCTCCCACATATCAGCGAGAATATACAACGTTTGGTTTTCCATTCCTGAGTTACATCACTTGGAATAACAGTCTCCAATCTCATCCAGGTCACTACAAATGCTGTTAATTTATTCCTTTTTATGGCTGTGTAGTATTCCATCCTATAAATACCACAGTTTCTTTATCTACTTGTTGATTGATGGGCATTTGGGTTGGTTCTACAATTTTGCAATTGTGAATTGTGTTGCTATAAATGTACATGTGCAAGTGTCTTTTTGAATAATGACTTCTTTTCCTCTGGGTAGATACCCAGTAGTGGGATTGCTGGATCAAATGGTAGTTCTACTTTTAGTTTTTAAAGGAATCTCCACACTGTTTTCCATAGTGGCTGTGCTAGTTTACATTCCCACCAGCAGTGTAGAAGTGTTCCCTGATCATCGCATCCATGCCAACATCTACTGTTTTTTTATTTTTTGATTATGGCCATTCTTGCAGGAGTAAGGTGGTATTGCATTGTGGTTTTGATTTGCATTTCCCTGATCATTCATGATGTTGAGCATTTTTACATATGTTTGTTGGCCATTTGTGTATCTTCTTTTGAGAATTTTCTATTGATGTCCTTAGCCCTTGGTTTTGGGTACTTGGTCATGAAATCCTTGCCTAAGCCAATGTCTAGAAGGGTTTTTCCAATGTTATCTTCTATAATGTTTATAGTTTCAGGTCTTAAGTTTAAGTCCTTAGCAAAACGCACCGGATTCGCGCCCTCCCCGGAGTTCTGGCCAGGAGGCTCTGGCTGGATTCCAGTTGTTACAGAGCTCGCTGGAGACTTCCTTCTCCCTGTGGCATTTTCCCCGCTCCTCTGGCCGCCGAAGGAGTCCTGTGGTGCCGGGCAGGAATGGGCTGCTTGGGGACCCAACGAGCTCCCAGAGCCTTTCCTGCTGCTTCCTCTACCCCTGTGTTTCGCTAGGCTCTCGAGATGGACTCAGTTCCAGGTAAGGTCGGAAACTTCTCCCGCAGACAGACCTTCAGTTTTCCCAGTGGGGGTGTGTGTTTGGGAGAGGAGGATCTCCCTTTCCTACTTCCGCAGTTGGGGGACTCGCTGTATCTGGGTTGTCTCCCGGGTCCTACAGGAGCAGTCCGCTTCCTTTAGAGGGCCTGTGGGTCCTCTCCGGATTCCTGGTTTGTTCTTGCCATTGATACGGAGCTAAAATTAATGATGCGAGCCTCCGCACCCTGCTCTGCCCGTACGAGTCAGAGCTGCAATCTAGTCCTGCCTCCTATCCACCATGATGATCCCTCTCCCAATTTTTTTTTTTTTTTTTTTTTTTTGCAAGGGAGTCTCGCTCTGTCACCCAGGCTGGAGTGCAGTGGCGCGATCTCGGCTCACTGCAACCTCCGCTTCCCGGGTTCAAGCTATTCTCCTGCCTCAGCCTCCAGAGTAGCTGGGACTACAGGCGCCTGCCACCACGCCCAGCTAATTTTTTTGTTTTCAGTAGAGACGGGGTTTCACGCTGTTAGCCGGTATGGTCTCGATCTGCTGACCTCGTGATCTGCCCGCCTGGCCTCCCAAAGTGCTTGGATTACAGGCGTGAGCCACCGCGCCTGGCCCCGCTCCCTATTCTTTATACGTCTGGTAAAATTTGGCTCAGAATCCATCTGGTCCTGAGCTATTTTTATTGGTAGGCTTTTTGTTACTGATTGAATTTTGGAACTCGTTATTGGTTTGTTCAGGGATTCAATTTGTTCCTGGTTCAGTCTTGGGAGGTTGTTATATGTCTAGGAATTATCAGTTTGTTTCAGATTTTCTAGTTTGTCTGCATAGTCATGTTCATAGTAGTCTCTGAGGGTTTGTTTTTATGGTTCTCTTGGGTCAGTGGTAACGTCCCCTTTGTCATTTCCGATTGTGCCTAATTGCATCTTTTCTCCTTTTCTTTTAGTTGTCTAGCTGGCTCTATTAATCATATTCATTTTTTTCAAAGAACCGATTTCTGGATTCATTAATCTTTGTATTTTGTGTGTGTGTGTGTCTCAGTTTTTTTCAGTTCAGCTCTGATTTTGGTTATTTCTTGTCTTCTGCTAGTGTTAGGGTTGGGTTGCTCTAGCTTTAGTTTTTCCAGTTGTGATATTCGGTTGTTAATTTGAGATCTAAGTTTTTGATGTGGGCATTCAGTGCTGTAAACTTTACTCCTAACATTACCTTAGGTGTGTTCCAGAGATTCTGGTATGTTGTATTTTTATTCCCATTAGTTTCAATGAATTTCTTGATTTTTGACTTAATTTCATTATTTACTGAAAAGTCATTCAGAAGCAGGTTGTTTAATGTCCATGTAATTTTATGGCTTTGAGTGATTTCCTTAGCATTGATTTCTATTTTTATTGCCCTGTGGTCTGAGATTGTGGTTGGTATACTGTTGGTTTTTTTGAATTTGCTGAGTATTGTTTTATGTTCGATTGTGTGGTCAGTTTTAGAATATGTGCCACGTGTAGACGAGATGAATATATATTCCGTTGTTGGGTGGGGAGTTCTGTAGATGTTATTAGGCTCATTTGTTCAAATGTTAAATTCAGGTCCTGACTATCTTTGTTAATATTCTGCCTCAGTGTTCTGTCTGATATTGTCAGTCGGGGGTTAAAGTCTCCCAATATTATTGTGTGGGAATATAAGTCTCTTTGTAGTTATCTAAGAACTTGCTTTATTAATCTGGGTGCTCCTGTGTTGGGTGCATATATATTGAGAATAGTTATGTCTTCTTGTTGAATTGAACCCTTTACCATTATATAATGCCTTTCTTTATCTTTTTTTGATCTTTGTTGGCTTACAGTCCTTTTTGTCTGACATTAGGATTGCAACCTCTGCTTTTTTCTGTTTTCCATTTGCTTAGTAGATTTTTCTCCATGCCTTTACTTTGAGCCTATTCATGTCATTGCATGTGAGATGGGTCTTTTGAAGATAGCATACCATCGGGTGTTGCTTCTTGATCTAGCTTGACACTCTGTGCCTTTTAATTGGAGGCATTTAACCCATTTACATTCAAGGTTAGTATCATATTTATGGATTTGATTCCGTTATCATGTTGATAGCTGGTTATTATGCTGGCATGTTTGTGTGGTTGCTTTATAGTGTCACTGGTCTATGTACTTCAGTGTGTCTATGTAGTGGCTGGTAATGGTCTTTGCATATTTAGTGCTCCTTTCTGAACCTCTTTTAAGACAGGTCTGGTAGTAATAAATACTCTCAGCATTTGCTTGTCTGAAAAGGACCTTATTTCTCCTTCACTTAGTTTGGCTGGATGTGAAATTTTTGTTGGAAATTCTTTTTTTAAGAATGCTGAATATAGGCCCCCAGTCTCTTCTGGCTTGTAGGGTTTCTGCTGAAAAGTGTGCTGTTAGCTTGATGGGGTTCCCTTTGTAGGTGACCTGCCCTTTCTCTCTAGCTGCCCTTAACATTTTTTTTCTTTCATATCAACCTTGGAGAATCTGATGATTATGTGTTTGGGAGATAGTCTTCTTGTGTAGTGTCTTGCAGAGGTTCTCTGTATTTCTTGAATTTGAATGTAGTTCTCTCTAGTGAGGTTGGGGAAGTTTTCATGGACGATATCCTGAAATATGTTTCCAAGTTGCTTGCTTTCTTCCTGTCTCTTTCAGGGATGCCAATGAGTCATAGGTTTGGTTTCTTTACAGAATCACACATTTCTTGGAGGGTTTTTTGTTGTTGTTGTTCATTTTAATTCTTCTTTCTTTATTTTTATTTGCCTGGGTCATTTTAGATAGCCAGTCTTTGACCTCCGAGATTCTTTCCTCAGCTTGGTCTATTCTGCTGTTAATATGCACAATTGCATTATGCAATTCTTTTTTTTTTCTTTTTAGACCAGTCCCCCATTATGCAATTCTTGTAGTGTGTTTCTCAGCTCTATCAGATTACTTTGGTTCTTTTTTATAATGGCTATTTCATCTAACGGCTCCTGTATTATGTGATTCTTAGGTTCCTTGGATTGCATTTCAATGTCCTCCTGAATCTCGATGATCTTTGTTCCTGTCTGTATTCTGAATTCTATTTGTATCATTTCAACCATTTCAGCCTCGTTAGGACAGTGTGGGCATTTGGAGGAAAGAAGGCACTCTGGCTTTTTTAATTGCCAGAGTTCTTGTGCTGGTTATTTCTCATCTGTGTGAGCAAGCTGATGTTCCTTTAACTGTGGTGTTGAGTACAGTCAGTTGACTTCCTTTCTGGATGTTTTCAGAGGGCCAAAGCTTTGTTCAGGTGTTTATTTGTAGCTAAATTCTTGTTTTTGATTTCACACGGTGAGTATATTAGCAAAGTATTTTTTGGTATTGATGTTTTGTGCTGTGATCCAGTAGGTGGCACTTAAGTGTAATGGCCGGTAGGTAGGGTCTTGCTCAGTTAACACAGCTCCCCTGTATTTCTTCACAATTGCAGTTGTACTCCCTCTCAGTGCTCTGAAAGTGTGGGTTTATCTCCCACTTGAGTGCTGGCTGCATGTCTCAACTTGGCACTCCTGGGCTGCACACCACAGCTCTAGGGTGATTTCTGGCTTTATGTTCCTTTCCCAGCTTTGAGGCAGCAGGGGAAGGGACTTCAGCGGTGGTTGTGGCAGAGGGTCTTTGATTTGTCTCTTTGGGCTCCAGCCCAGAAACATGCAGAGCTGCTATCAATCAGTTTAATTAGCCTGGGGTGGGGCAGCTGAACGGTGGGTCCACACTAATGGGGCCCCACCTGGTGATGAGCAGGGGCCTTGGGTGGGACCTGGGGGAGACAAACTGGCCTCTTCTCCTTAACGCAACTGCCATTCGCTGCAAGTGTGATTAAAGCACTCAGCGTCTTTGCTTCTTTCCTGGTCTGAAGGTAGCAAGGGCAGCACCACTACAGTGGCAGTGGCAAGGGGGTTTTTGGTTGCTTCTGGGAGCTCCACCTCAGAGAAATTCGAAGCTGCTGCTCCCAGGAATGTTCGGCCATGGGGTGGGGCAGCTGCTCTGCTAGCCTGAGCCGGGCTCTGCTTGTTAAAGAGCAGGAGGTTTGTCCACAGCTCACAGGGATGAGAGACTGGGCTCCTCTCCACTTGGTGTGCTGGAAGCTCGGGTGAAGCCCTTAGATTCTTTGTTTTTTCTCCAGACTGAGGGCAGCAGAGGCAGAATCATTGCTGTGGCAGTGGCAGGGGGGCTTTTGGTTGCTTCTGGGAGCCCCTCACCCGGGAAGAACAGCCCCTACCAGTGGGTATGCCTAACCATGGGTGGGTCAGCTGTTCTGCAGTCCCAAGCCGGGGGCCCTGCCTGGTGAAGAGTTTTGGGGGCAGTGGGGAGGGAGGGTGTCACAAGGAAGAGAGACTGGATTCCTTTTTGTCTGGTGGCTGCAGTATGTTGCATTTGCCAGCGTAGCTATTGTGCCTTCTGTTCCTTCCCCAACCTGTGGGAGGTTAGGGTGTTATTACTGTAGCTGCAGAGGCAGAGGGGTTGTGGGTTGTCTCTGGGATTTCCTCCCACCTCTGACTAAAGGGTTCAGGAAGGGGCAGGGTAGTTTTGCTAGAGTCCCAGGTTGGGTGGCCCTACCCAGTGATGAGAAGCTGAGAGAGAAGCCCACGTGGAGAACAATCCAGTCACTTTTCTGTGGGAGGGCTGCACTGTTCTGGGGAACTATGCCACTTCCTAATCACCGTGTACTCTCCAGACCAGAAGGCAATAGCAGCAGGATCTGGAAGACGCAAAAACTGTGGCCAGCCTCTCCCTCTGCAAGCTTCCGTCTCAGGGAAGTGTAGATCTGTACTAGCCTGAGAGCCCTGGTTGTGGTGAGTACAGAGTGGCTGGAGTCCCAGATAGATGGGTCCCACTCAGTGAGGAGAAGTGGGATCAGGGACCCATGTAAAAAACAATCTGGCCACTTTACCTTGGGTCAGTTGCGCTGTGTGGGGGATCCATGCCACTCCCTAATCACCACTTGCTCTCCAGAGCCTGAAGGCTATAGCAGCAGAGACTGCAAGGCAGCAAAAACTGGTGGCCGGACTCTCCTTCTTCACACTGCATCCTAGGGAAGTGCCGAGTTGCTACCAGCCTGAGAGCCCTGGTTGGGGTTGGCTGGAGTCCCAGGCTGTGGGGTCCCACCCAGTGAGAAGAAGCAGGACACATATAAAAAACAGTTTGGCCGAATATCCTTGATGAACGTTGATGTAAAAATCCTCAACAAAATACTTGCAAAACAAATCCAGCGGCACATCAATGGTGTATATACAGGGAGCTAATTCTCCATGATAAAGTAGGCTTCATCCCTGGGAAGCAAAGTTGGTTCAACATAGGCAAATCAATAAATGTGATTCATCACATAAACAGAACAAAAGACAAAAACCACATGATAATCTAAATAGAGGCAGAAAAGGCTTTTGATAAAATTGAACATCTCTCCATGTCAAAAGCCCTCAATAAACTAGACAATGAAGGAACATACTTCAAAATAAGAGCCATCTATGAGAAAACCACAGCCAACATAATATTGAATAGGCAAAATCTGGAAGTATTCTGCTTGAAAACAGGCACAAGATAACAATGTCCTGTCTCACCACTCCTATTCAGCATGGTATTGGAACTCCTGGTCAGAGCAATCAGACAATAGAAAGAAATAAAAGGCATCCAAATATAAAGAGAGGAAATCAAATTATCTCTCTTTGCGGACAGTATGATTCTACACCTAGAAAACTCCATAGTTTCTATCAAAAAAATCTTAGAACTAATAAACAACTTCAGTTAAGTTTCTGGATACAAAATCAGTGTAGAAAAATGGGTAGCATTTCTATAAACACACAACATCCAAGTGGAGAGCCAGGTCAAGAATGCAATCCCATTCACAATTGCCACAAAAAGAATAAAATACCTAGGAATACAGCTAACCAGGGAGGTGAAAGATCTCTATAATGAGAACTATAAAACTCTGCTCAAAGAAATCAGAGATAACACCAACAAATGGAAAACATTCCATGCTCATGGATAGGAAGAACCAATATGGTTAAAATGGTCATACTGCACAAAACAATTTCCAGATACAATGACATTGGTAGTTTGATAGGAATAGCATTGTATAGGACTAGGAAAAACTATTTTAAAATTCATACGGAATCCAAAAAGGCCTAAATAGCCAAGGCAATCCTAAGCAAAAAGAATGAAGTTGGAGGCATCACATTACCCAACTTAAAACTTTATTTCAGGACTACAGCTACTAAAACAGCATGCTACTGGTACAAAACAGACACATAGACCAATGGAACAGAATAGAAAGCACAAAAATAATGCCACATACAACCATCTGAAATTTGACAAAACCAACAAAAACAAGCAATGAGGAAAGGGCTTCCCATTCAATAAATGTTACTAGCTAGTTGTGTAGTCATATGCAAAAGATTGACATTGGACTCCTATCTTAATTAAACCACATACAAAAATCAAGATGGATTAAATATTTAAGTACAAAACTTAAAATTATAAAAACCCTGGAAGATAACCCAGGCAATATCATTCTGTACATCTGAACAGGCAAACATTTCATGACAAAGATGCCAAAAGCAATTGCAACAAAAGCAAAAATCGACACATGGGATCTAACTAACTTAAGAACTTCTGCACAGCCAAAGAAACTATCAACAGAGTAAATGGACAACCTACAGATGGGGAGAAAATATTTGCAAACTATGCATCTGACGAAGGTCTAATATCCAGCATCTATCTATGAGGACCTTAAACAAATTTACAAGACAGAAACAACCCTATTAAAAAGTGGACAAAGGACATGAACAGACACTTTGCAAAAGAAGACATACAAGTTTTTTTTTCACATGTGCCCAACAAGCATATGAAAAAAGCTCAGCATCACTAATCATTAGAGAAATGCCAATCAAAACCATAATGAGATACCATCTCACACCAGTCAGAATGCCTGTTATTAAAAGTCAAAAAAATAAGGCCAGGTGCAGTGGCTCACACCTGCAATCCCAGTGCTTTGAGAGGGCAAGAGGGATGGACCACTTGAGGCCAGGAGTTTGAGACCAGCCTGGTCAACATGGTGAAACCCTGTCTCTACTAAAAATATAAAAATTAGCCTGGCATGGTGGCACATGCCTGTAATCCCAGCCACTCAGGAGGCTCAGGCATGAGAATCACTTGAGCCTGCAGGGTGGAGGTCGCAGTGAGCTGAGATTGCGCCACTGCACTCCAGCCTTGGCAACAGAGAAAGGCTCTGCTCAAAAAAAAAAAAAAAAGTCAAAAATAACATGCTGGTGAGGTTGTGGAGAAAAGGGAACATTTATACACCGTTGGTGGGAGTAAAAATTGGTTCATCCATTGTGGAAAGCAGTGTGGCCATTCCTCAAAGAGGTAAAAACTGAATTACCATTTGACCCAGCAATCCCATTACTGGGTGTATACTCAGAGGAATGTACATCATCGTACCATAAAGACACATGTAAATGTTCATTGCAGCACTGTTCACAATAGCAAAGACACAGAGTCAACCTAAAAGCTCATCAATAACACGCTGGATAAAGAAAATGTGGTACATATACATCAGCGAATACTATGCAGCTGTAGAAAAGAATGAGATCATGTCTTTTGTGGGAGTTGGAGTCCATTATCCTTAGTAAATTAACACAGCAACAGAAAACCAAATACCACATGTTTTCACTTAGAAGTGGGAGGTAAATGATGAGAACTCACGGAAGAAAGGAAGGGAACAACACACTGGGGCCTACTTGAGGGTGGAATGTGGGAGGAGAAAGAGGAGCAGAATAAACAACTATTGGGTACTAGGCTTAGTACCTGGGTGATGAAATAATCAGTGCAACAAACCTCCGTGACATAACAATCCTGCACATGTACCCGTGCGCCTAAAATAAAAGTTATTTTTTAAAAAAACACGGAACCCTTCCCCCCGCCCCCCGCCCGATCCCCCGACCCCCCGGCCAGAAACAAAACCAGTCTGGCCTCTTTTCTGTGGGAGAGCTACGCTGTGCAGGTGCTCTGTGCCACTTCCTAATCGCTGCTTGCTCTCCAGTGCATGAATGCTACAGCAGCGGGGGCTGCAAGACAGCAACAATGGCAGCTGGCCTCTTCCTCTGGGAGCTCCGACCCAGGGAAGTGCAAAGCTGCTACCGGCCTGGGAGCCCTGGTGTGGGGGTGTTTGCAGTCCAGGGCGTGTGTGCGGGGGGCGCGGGGGTCTTGCCCCGTGAGGAGGAGCAGGATTGGGGAACTATGTAAAAAATACTCTGGCCGCTTTTCCGTGGAATGGCTGCGCTGTGCAGATCAGCGGCGGGGCCTGTCAGACAGCAAAACTGGCAGCTGGCGTCTCCTTCTGGGAGATTTGTCCCAGGGAAGTGCAGAGCTGCTACAGGCCTGAGAGTCCAGACAGGGTGTGGCTGGAGACCCAGGCCAGTGGGCCTTACGCTGTTAAATGCAGGGGAGGCGAGGTCTGCATTTGCTTCTCAGTGTCTAGATTAGGCTCTGTTCTTGGGGGAGTGCATGGGGATCTTGACTTTCTCTGCTGCCCCAGCTGCAGCTGCTAATGCAGGGATGCCTGGGGATTCCAGGCTTCCAGGACTCTATGTGTGGCGTGTGCCTGAGTCGGGGCTATGGCCAGGCTCCACGTAGTTCTCCATGTCAGACTGGAGGTCCCAGTGAGGTGGGCTCACAGGGGAATCACCTGAGCCCAGGCTGCAGAAGTGTGAGTCCCCACGGACTCTCACTCACTATCCTCCCCGCCTCTCCCGTGAAGGGAAGAAGCTCCCCCTGACTCCATGCCACTCTCGGGTGTGAAGTTGTCCTGTCTCACTCCTCTCCGTTCTCCGTGGGTCGTTTCCTTGATAAATCCCAACGTGTCCACAACCAGATCTTCAATGTGTCCCACTGAAGATCTAGTAATTACTTGTCACTGTCTTCTCTCCATGAAAGAGGTGCACACTAGAGATTTCTAGTCAACTTTTATTTTAGATTCAGGTGGTAAATGTGCAGGTTTGTTACCTGGGTATATTGCATGATGCTGAGGTTTGGGGTACAATTAACACCACCCAGGTACTGGAGCATAGTACCCAATAGTTTTTCACTCCTTGTCCCCCTCCCTCCTTCCCCCTTCTAGTAGTCTCCACTTTTGATTGTGGCCATTTTTATGTCCATATGTACCCAATGTTTAGCTCCCATATATAAGTGAGAACATGTGGTATTTGGTTTTCTGTTTCTGCATTAATTTGCTTAGGATAATGGCCTCCAGCTGCATCTATGTTGCTGCAAAGGACAAGATTTCATTCTTTTTTATGGCTGCATAGTATTCCATGGTGTAGCCAGTTTATTGTTGATCAGCACCTAGGTTGATTCCATGTCTTTGCGATTGTGAATGGTGCTGCAATGAACATATGAATGCATGTGTCTTTCTGGTAGAATCATTTATTTACTTTTGGATACATACACAGTAATGGGATTGCTGGGTCAATAGGTCATTCTGTTTTAAGTTCTTTGAGAAATCTCCAAACCGCTTTCCACAGTGGCTGAACTAAATTGCATTCCCACCAACAGTGTACAAGTGTTCCCTTTCTCCACATCCTCGCCAACATCTGTTTTTTGACTTTTAGTTTTTTTAACTTTGGCTATTCATCCTGACTGGTGTGAGATGGTATCTCAGTGTGCTTTTGATTTGCATTTCTTTGGTGATTAGTGATTTTGAGCATTTTTTCATATGTTTGTTGGCGGCTTTCATGTCTTCTTTTGAGGAGTGTCTATTTGTGTCTTTTACCCATGGACAATGGAGTTTTGTTGTTGTTGTTATTTAGGTTCCTTATAGCTTCTAGATATTAGACCTTTATTGGATGCATAGTTTGCAAATATTTTCTCCCACCCTGTAGGTTGTGTGTTTACTATTGATAGTTTCTTTTCCTGAACAGAAGCTCGTTTGTTTAATTAGGTCCCATTGCCAATTTTTTTTTTTTTGGTTGCAACTGTTTTTGAGGACTTAGTCATAAACTCTTTCCTAAGACTGATGTCCAGAATGGTGTTTTCTAGATTTTCTCCTAGTATTCTTATAGTTTGATGTCTTGCACTTAAATCTTTAATTCATCATCATCATCTTTAATTCATCATCATTTAGTTAATTTTTGTATATGGTACGAGGAAGGGGTCCAGTTTTATTCTTCTGCGTATGGCTAGCCAGTTATCCCAGTACCATTTATTGACTAGGGAATTCTTTCCCCATTGCTTATTTTTGTTAGTTTTGTTGAAGATCAGATGGCTGTAGGTGTGTGGCTTTATATTTGGGTTCTCTATTCTGTTCCATTGGTCTGTGTCTGTTTTTGTATCACTACTATGGTGTTTTGGTTACTGTAGCCTTCTAGTATAGTTTGAAGTCAAGTAATGTGATACTTCCAGCTTTGTTTATTTTGCTTAAAATTGCTTTGGCTATTTAGGCTCTTTTTTTTGGTTGCACATAAATTTTAGCATAGTTTTTCCTAGTTCTGTGAAAAATGACATTGGTAGATGATAGGAATAGTGTCGAATCTGTAGATTGCTTTGGGCAGTAAGGCTGTTTTAATTTGGTTCTTCCAATCCCTGTGCATGGAACGTTTTTCCATTTGTTTTGTCATGTACAATGTCTTTCAGTACTGTTTTGTAGTTCTCCTTATAGACATCTTTCATCTCTTTGATTAGATGTATTCCTAGGTATGTTTTTGTGGCTATTGTTAATAAAACTGCATTTTTTATTTGACTCTCAGCTTGAATGTAATTGGTGTATATAAATGCTATTGAGTTTTATACCTTGATTTTGTATCCTAAAACTTCATTAAAGCTGTTTATCAGTTCTAAGAGCCTTTTGGTTGAGTCTTTAGGGTTTTCTAGGTATGGAATCATATCATCCATAAGGAGAGATAGTTTAAGTTATTATTTGTCCTGTTGTATGCCTTTCGTTTCTTTCTCTTGCTTTATTGCCCTGGCTAGCACTTCCTGTACTATATTGAATAGAAATGGTGAGAACGGGCCTGTTACTTGTCTTATTCTAGTTCTCAAAAGGAATACTTCCAGTTTTTTCCTGCTAAGTGTGATGCTAACTGTGGGTTTGTCAGAAATACTTATTATTTTGAGGTATGTTCCTTAAATGCCTGGTTTCTTGTGGGTTTTTTTTTTAATCACTAAGCTATGGTGGATTTTATTGAAAGCTTTGTCTGTATCTATTGAGATGATTTTATGGTTTTTGTTTTTAATTCTGTTTATATAGTAGATTACTTTTATTGATCTGCATATGTTGAGCCAACCTTGCACCACAGGATTGATTCTTACTTAATCACAATAGACTAGCTTTTTATTGTGTTCCTGTACTTGGTTTGCTGGTATTTTGTCGAGGATTTTTGCATTGGGGTTATTGGCCTGTAGTTAATTTTCTTATTTTATCTTTGCCAGGTCTTAGCATCAGGGTGATGCTGGCTTTGTAGTTAGGGAGGAGTACCTCCTCCTCAATTTTTTGGAATAGATTCAGTAGAACTAGTACCAGCTCTTCTTCGTACATCTGGTAGAATTTTGCTGTGAATCCATCTGGTCCGGGGCTTTTCTGGTTGGTAGGTTTTTTTTAAATTACTGATTCAATTTTGGAACTCAATATTGGTCTAGTCAAGGTTTCAATTTCTTCCTAATTCATCCTTGCGAGATTGTGTGTTTCCAGGGATTTATCCATTTACTGTGGATTTTCTAGTTTGTGTGCATAGAGGTGTTCATAAAGTCTCTGAGTATTGTTTTTTTTTTTTTTTTTTTTTTTTTTTTTTTGAGACGGAGTCTCGCTCTGTAGCCCAGGCTGGAGTGCAGTGGCGGGATCTCGGCTCACTGCAAGCTCCGCCTCCCGGGTTCACGCCATTCTCCTGCCTCAGCCTCCTGAGTAGCTGGGACTACAGGTGCCCGCCAGCATGCCCGGCTAATTTTTTGTATTTTTAGTAGAGACGAGGTTTCACCATGTTAGCCAGGATGGTCTTGATCTCCTGACCTCGTGATCCGCCCACCTCGGCCTCCCAAGGTGCTGGGATTACAGGTGTGAGCCACCGCGACTGGCCAGATCATTTACATTTAAGGCTAATATTGATAATGTGAGGTTTTGATTCTATTGGGAAGTTGTTAGTATGTTGCTTTGTAGTTTCTATTGTGTGGTTGCTTTATGGGGTCTTCAGGTTATGTACTGAAGTATATTTTTGTGGCAGCAGGAAATTGTTCTTTCATTTCTATGTTTAGAACTTGCCTTAATGATCTTGTGTAAGGCTGGTCTAGGGGTAACAAATTCCTTTAGCACCTGCTTATCTGAAAAAGGTTTTTTTTGTTGTTGTTGTTTTCTCCACTTACGAGGCTTAGTTTGGTGGGATATGAAATTCTTGCTTGGAATTTCTTTTCTTGAAGAATGCCGAAAATAGGCCCTCAATGTGTCACGGCTTGCAAAGTTTCTGCTGAGATGTCTGCTGTTAGCCTGATGGGATTCCCTTTATATGTGATCTGACCTTTTACTCTAGCTCCCTTTAAGATTTTTTTCTTTAGTGTTGACCTTGGACAGTCTGATGACTATATGCCTTGGTGATGTGCATTTTGTATGGTATCTCACAGTTGTTCTTGGGATTATTTTTGTATCTGGATGTCTACCTCTCTAGCAAAATTAAAGAAATTTTATGAATAAAACTAATTTATTTAAATATATTATTAAAATATATTTTCTATATTATTAAATATATTATTAAAATATATTTTCTATATTAAATATATTAAAATATATTTTCTATATTAAATATATTAAAATATATTTTCTATATTATTAAATCTATTATTAAAATATGTTTTCTATATTATTAAATCTATTATTAAAGTATGTTTTATATTATTAAATCTATTATTAAAATATGTTTTCTATATTATTAAATCTATTATTAAAGTATGTTTTCTATATTATTAAATCTATTATTAAAGTATGTTTTCTATATTAAATCTATTATTAAAGTATGTTTTCTATATTATTAAATCTATTATTAAAGTATGTTTTCTATATTATTAAATCTATTATTAAAATATATTTTCTATATTATTAAATCTATTATTAAAGTATGTTTTCTATATTATTAAATATATTATTAAAGTATGTTTCCTATATTATTAAATATATCTTAAAACATATATTTTAACATTTATATGATGTTCCATCATGTGGTTAAATCACAATTAAACATTCTCCTGTTAATGGATTATTATTTTTGATGCCATAAAGACTGCAGTAAATATATTTGTGTATAAAACTTGTTTTTGATATTTTGGCTTTGTGTTAGGTAACATCCGCAAAAGTAGAATTACTGAGTCAAAGGGCAAACATTTTTAATTCTTTAATGTTGTTTCTCAAGAAATGGCAGAAATAGATTGTAATATAGAGACACGCATCAAAAAATTAGTGTTTTTTTGAGTGATTAGTATATAACCTACATTTGTCTTTTTTTATTTTTATATTTTATTTTTTATGAGAAGACCTAAAGTTAATGGAACAGTGTAAAGTAACTACTTATATTTAAAGTACCTATTTTAAAGGAATTCAAATTATTTTATCACATTAATTTGCATAATTCTTTAAGGTAGGTGGTAAAATTATTATAGGTGAAAAAAATGGGGCTAATGCTCTTGTTCAAATTCATTTAACTAGGGTTTGACAGAGCCCTAAATGGAATTTTTACTTCTTAAAAAAATCTTACTTGCTGTGTCTTTGTGACCTTAATATAACTTTTATCAGAAAACTATTCTTACGGCAAAGGGAAAAATTATAGATGCCACAAATACATCTCCTCTATAATAGATTTGCAGCAAAAAGGAGAAGGACTGAAAGGGCATAAAGTTGAAATTCCCTCATTTTAAGGTATTCTAAAGAATTCATGTAAATAACAGATTAGCATGTGCAGTGTTCCCTGCTTGGATACATTTATGCATATTTTAAATGGACTTGATCCTGGAGAGACATAAAAATTGTTATTTAGAGGCAGGGTCTTGCTCTTTTTCCATATTGTTTTCCTTGAACTCTAGATGGATACATGTATATGTATATACATTTATAAGAATGTTTAGATTTTTCCAATATGGTCTTCAATCAACAAATATTTATTTTAAACAATTTTTCATATTTTTCATTTACTTTCTTTTTAGAGACAGGGTCCTGGTCTGTCACCTGGCTGGAATGCAGTGACATGATCATAGCTTAGTATAACCTCAAACTCCTGGGCTCAAGCTATCCTCCTGCCTCACTTCCTGAGTAGCTAGGACTACAGGTGTGCACCACTATGCCTGGCTAACTTAAAAATTTATTTTTTTTTTGTAGAGATGGGGTCTCTGTATGTTGCCCAGGCTGTTCTCAAACTCCTGGCCTCAAGTGATCCTCTCACCTTGGCCTCCCAAAGCATTGGAATTACAAGCATGGGCCACTGCACCCAGACTTATTTTTCTTATTATAGAAGAAAAACACACATTTTATTGCAAAAAGATCACAAATATATTAAACTGAGTAATAGTATCAGTTTTATTGGTTTGTTGTGAGGATTCAATATGTAGAACTGAGCACAATGCTGTGTATTTCATGAATGAGCAATAAATATTAGCTATTGGTAATATTAGACTTGCAGGCTGATATAGCAGAAAGCCAAAGAAGGAGGGAAGTCTACATTGGAGGGAAGGAGTAGTTGAAGTGAGTGATTGTATGGTCCAGATTAGGAAGCTAGAGAAGTGGTTGAAATATGTTAGCAGAAGAATATGGGTGGACACCTTTAATTAGGAGGAGAGAAGGATAGATAAAAGGAGGCTTTGAACAAAGAACTTGATAGCAGAAAACCTGCTTTTAAAATAGTTTTTCTGTTTTTTTTTTCTTTCATTTTGACATGTTTCATAGGCACGACTGGAAAAAAATTACAACAAATAAGGCAAAAAACGTTTAAGGATTAGAAAGGAAATAATACAACTGTATTTTTTCCCAGGTGACTTAACTGTATACATAAACATTCAAAATCACCTATGGATAAGCTATTATAATTAATAAGTGAATTTAGCAAAGCCATCCAAAGAAGGCATGTATATAAATTGACAAGCTGACTATTAAATTTATGGGGAAATATAAGACAATCTTGAAGAAGGACAAAAAAGGTGGAAGGCTTGTACTAATAGTTAACAAGATTGATTTTAATCCTGAATTAATTATTATGGTGTATTATTTATGTAAGCCTAGGCAAATCAATCAGTGAACAAAACATAAATTCAACCTCTAATTCATGGCAAATGTGACACTGAAGAGCAGTGGGAATATGACAATTTTAAAAAGAAGTGGTTTCCCATATGGAAAACAGTAAAATTTAAGACCTGCTTCACACGCTACCTCAAAATCAGTTTGAGGTAGAATCTGTTGCTAGGGGTGAATGGTAGAACACTAAATTTTCTAGAAGATAACATTGGAGAATATCTTCATGACCTTGGGGTAGGGAGTGATTTTTGGAAAAAGACACAAAAAGTGCTTGCTATAAAGGCAAATATTAATAAGTTGTCCAAATTAAAATGATGAGCTTCTGTTCATCAAGAGATATAATCTAATAAACAAAGAGGCATGCCACAGCATGGGAAAAGAGATCAGCAATGCACACAACTGCCAAGGCATTCAGTCAGAGGATTAAGAACTCCTATAGATCAACAAGACACAGACAGAAAATTGAATAAAAATGGACAATTGACTTGAACAAGCACTTCAAAAAATAGATATCCAACTAGTTAATAAAGTGTGCCAATTCATTAGTAACCAGGGAGATGGAAGTTAAAATCACAATAATATAGCATAAAGCACCCACCAGAATGGTTAAAAGGAAAAAGACTGATAATCCCAAGTGTTGAGGAGGATGTGGAAGAAACAGAACTCTCTCACTGATAAGAGTGTAAATTTTTGTCCTTGTTTTGGAAAACTGGCACTATTCACTAAAGATGAATAGGGAGATACTCTATGACTTAGCAGCTCTACTCCTGGGTACATATGTTTATGGAAAGACACATACAAGAATGTTCATAGCAGCAGCTTTATTTATAATAGCCAACATAAATATATAAGTATATTTTCACCTAAAGACATATATATGTGTATATATATATATGTGTCTGTGTATATATATATACACGTGTGTATATATATGTGTATATGTATGTGTGTATATATGTGTATATATGTGTGTGTGTATATATGTGTGTATATATGTGTGTATATATACACACACACACACATACACACACACAAAACAATGTTCATTGCAGTTTCATTTATAATAACCAGAAACTGGAAATGATTTAAATATCCACTATCAGGAGAATGAATAAATCAATTGTGTTACATTCACATGTTCACACAAAGCAATACTATAAGAAATGAAAAAGAATGAACTATAGCTACATGCAGTAACATGGATGAATCTTATAAACATCATGATTGAGAGAAAGTAGATACACAAAATAATACAGAATATATAATTCTACTTACACAACCTTGAGAACCCAGCAAAAGTAATAGTGACAGAAATTAGTGATAGGAAGTGGTTATCTTTGGAGAGGAAGTGGATAGTGGTTTTGGCACTGGGGTTTTCTTGGGTACTATTATTGTCCTGTTTTTATAGGGGTGGTGATTACCTGGGCAAGTTTACTTTGTGATAATTCATGGTGCCATACAGTTAAGATTTGTGTATTTTTCTGTGTGTAATATACTTCAGTGGAAATTTCATTTTAAAAAGCCAATTGTATTTCTAAATGACATCAGTTGTATACTTTAGCCATTTGCAATATTAGCAAAAGCTAAATTCCTAGGAATAAGTCTAACTAAAAATGTTCAAGATTTGTATGAAAGAAAATCATTAACTTTCTTTAAAGACATTAAAACTACTCAAACACATGGAGAGACAAACCGTGTACAAAGAACACAATTCAATACTGTAATGATGCCAAGTTCATATGTATTTACATATAAATGTAACACAAGTTCAATAAAAGTCCCAAAGCATCTTGGAAATGATTCTAAAACTCATATGTAAGAACAAAGGGCCAATCATAGGTCACTAATAAAGAAAATTAGTAAGATATGAATTTGTCCTACCAGGTTTCAAGACATTATTAATGTGAAGAAATTAACATTCTTTTATTTATGAAGTTATAGGAATTACAACAGCATGGTATTGATGCAATATGGTATTGGCATAGAAACAGAACAGAGAAGTCAGAAATGGAGAGGGACCAGTGGTTATATGCACCCTCAATATATGATGTAGTGCCATTGCAGATTGGTGGGAAAGGATGAACTTTTCTATAACTTGTGGGGAGCTAAATGTTTAATAATGTAAAAAAATTAGATCCCTACATCATGTCATACACAAATAATACCTAGTAGATTAAAGACTTAAGTGTGAAGGGCAAAGCTATAAAAATTTTAGGAGATATAGGAGAATATCATTATGATCCCAAGACACAGGAGGTTTCTTTAGCAAGACACAAAATGTATAAACCATAAACAAAGGTTTACAAATCCAATCACACTAAAGTCAAGTATTCTTATCCATTGAAAGAAAGCAAAAAATGAATTAATATAGCAATAAATAATAGTAGTAATAGTAGGAAGAAATCAACAAAAAGAAACAAAAAGATGAGAAAGATAAAAAAAAAAACTAGGCAAACAAATTACTAGGAATTTTGTAGAAGAGGAAATGCTAATGCCTCATAACCATCTGAAAAGATGTTCAAACTCATTAATAATTGGAAAATGCTAACTCTTGTGAAATTGACAAGTATGAAAAATTTGGATAAATTGCAGTCTATTCATACACTAGAATATCATATGGCAGTAAAAATTAATGAACTCAGCTACCTATATTAGTATGCTTGAATCTCAAAACATGTGTAGTAAAACAAATTGCAGAAGAAGGTGTATAGTATGATCCCTCTCACAGGAAGTTCTAAAAGACTCAAAACTCACTTAATGCACTTATAAGTATGTGGCAAACCTATAAAGAAAGCAAGGGAATAATTAACATTCAATTCAGAATAGTAGTTACTTGGGGAGTGGTGAACAAGGAGAGGAGGTAGGGAAAGAGCTGCAACTAAGAGGGGCCCTCAGGGAGACTATAATTACTAGAAAAGCTCTATTTTTTTTAAGGTGGGGGGTAAGTACAAGGGTGATCAATTTATTATTTCTCCCTGAAATGTATATACCACCTTTTAAATAGGTGGTATATTTCATAGCAACAGTGTAAAAGAAAAAATTAAATAAAAGTAGTTTCCATTAAAAAATAGAAAGTATAATAATTATAACATTGTTTAACCTCAGTAATAAAGAGAAGAAATTTAAACTTGGAAATTGGTACCTTGACAAATCTTTGAAGTTTCCATTTTCATCTTTGTAATATGATTTGCCAATATCCATTAAAAAGAAAAGATGCCATTGTACAATGGAAAAAGAAGGCCAAAAATATCAGAAGAAAATTCTCAAGAAAGGAAAATACTAGTCGATAGTACTAGTTGAGTGTGTCTTACCAAAATACATTGAAAAAACTTTTCAGAGCCATGGGCCAAAGATTACACAAAGGGGCAGTTTGTTTTTATATCTGGAGTTCATAAAAAATATGCTTCAGAGATCATTGGTTAGTCCATCCATGCAGAAAAGGAATGTGTGTTGTCATTTTAAACAGAGGCAGTAGGTTCATTACATGAAAACTCCTGAATGAGTTATTACTATCAAGATTCATTTATGAAAGGAAATTCAGGAAAAAGGACATGATGATTTCAGGAGAGGAGGCTTAGTCTGCAAAGGAAGCTGCCAACTCTAGTGAGAGTAATTTAAGAGAAGACAGTCTTATATAAAGGCCAACACCAGTGACATTATAGAAAAAGAGCATTTTGGAAATAGAAATGTTGATTTCTGTATGTACAAAACCACTCCATTTGCTGTGATTCTAGACTTAAATATGAACCTAGTTAAAAAAACTCACTTTTACAAAGTTAAAATTTTTTTAAAAAAATTCAAATACTGTTAATAACTCAGTGGGGAGGGGTTGGAATATTTTTTCCCTAGAGCTCTCTGAAAATTTTAGCCTGACAAAGGTTTATTCTTACGAATAATCTTTCTTGTTTTTTATGTTATATAGTTTTCACATTCTCTGCCTCAGGACAGTTACTTTTTACCAGTTTGTATGTGACTTGCACTTGGCATATTAATAGCAGGAGATAAAGCCAGGCAGGTATGATTGTTTGCTGAGAAATAAATTTGGAAAAAATCCTGAGAATGCAAAGGAGGATCTTATCTTTGAAAGGGAATATGGCCCTGGAAATGAGTAGAAATGGCTTGATGTAGGTGTGATGGCAGATTATTCTTGTATTTTTGGATGAGATCAGTTTGGAGAGTTTGGCTTTAATCATCTTACAGTCCAAAAAGCCATAGGAAACATTCTGATAAGGAAAAAATGTACATTAATGTTATTTTTAAAATATTGAAGCCAAATGGTCTTTTGTTTATCCTCAAAATTCACTGGTTGGTATCTGTTTCAGTCCATTTTGAGTTGCTATAAAGTAATACCTGACACTGGGTAAATTTATAAAGAAAATACGCTTATTTGGTTCATGGCTCTGCATGCTATACAAGAAGCATGGCTCCAGCATCTGCTTCTGGTAAGGACCTCAGGAAGCTTCCACTCACAGCAGAAGGCAAAGTGGGGCCAATGCATTACATGGTAAGAGAGAGAGGGGAGAGAGGTTCTAGACTCTTATTAACAACCAGATCTCATGGGAACTAACAGAGAGAACTCACTTAGTCTCCTGAGAATGGCACCAAGCCATTCATGAGGGATCCACCCCCATGACTCAAACACCTCACACTAGGCCCCTCCTCCAACATTGGGGATCAAATTTCAACATGAGATTTGGAGGTGACAAATATCCTAATTATATTAGTGTCCATCTAGGAAACACGAATCAAAGTGCTCCACCATGGATTGTATGGCCAACGGCTAAACACTTTAGCTGACCTTACTTTAGGATAGGGTGCCTGAGACATGGGGATCAGGAATTGAAGTCTTGGTGAGTGTTTCCAAAGACCTCATCATCGAAACTGCAAAAGTTCATTCACTCGTGCAGCAGATGTTAAGCAAATGCTCTGTGTGTGTGTGTGTATGTGTGTGTGTGTCTGTGTGTAAACCTTACGGAAGCCTGGGAATGGAACAGGCAGTAAGACAAATATGTAGTTACTACCCTTATTTAGACTACCTTGTGATACCGTGAGGCAGAAAGACATTAAACATCCACAAAGGAAAAGGACAGGATGCAATAAAATGATAAAGGAGAGAACCTAGTCTCCTGTAAAGGTAACATTTTGCTGAGCCTGAGAATATAGTTATATAATAAATAATTTTTGATTGATTGGATGCCAATAGCATTGTTACAGATTTAATGTTTTGAAAATTTTTTAATTCATAAAGTTTTCACTAGTCAAATTCCCAATCTTTTCTTGGCTTTCAAAATAGCCTAGAAAGAATAGGCATCTACATTTTTTTTTTTTTTTTTGAGACAGAGTCTTGCTCCATCACCCAGGCTGCAGTATTGCTGAGTGGCACAATCTCAGCTCACTGCAATCTCCACCTCTCTGATTCAAGCAATTCCCCTGCCTCAGGCCCCGAGTAGCTGGGATTACAGGCGCACACCACCACGTCCAGGTAATCTTTTTGTATTTTTAGTAGAGATGGGATTTCACCATGTTGGCCAGACTGGTCTCGAACTCCTGACCTCAGGCAATCCACCCACCTCGGCCTCACAAAATGCTGGGATTACAGGTGTGAGCCACCGCACCTGGCCAGGCGTCTACCTTTAACAAAGCTAAGAAATGATCCACAATTCAAAGCCCAAGGAAAATATAAGTGAAAGAAATATAAAAGATGGAGTCAAATGTGATAACTTTCTTTTAATACTATTGCCATATTTTAATTTTATGCATTGTTATTTGAGTTTTGAGGAAGCTTCAGGCTGCTATCCATTGATGTGGTTATTCTATAAAGAGTTGTATGGTATAGGAATGCTTTTGTGAATCTTATTTCTTCCATACAAATTAACTGGTTAATACTTAAACAAGTTTGGAATGAGAAAGGTGGTTTGCTGAAATCCCAAATTCGCAACCTGCTGTATGAATTTGGGTAAGCCTTAATCTTACTGAGGCTTACCTTTCTCATCTGAAAAATCAGTATTTTTTCATCACTGCTGTCAGAATTATGAGATTGCATATGTAAATTACTTATTACAGTGCCTGGAGCATGGTGGTTTCTCAGAAAGCATTAGGCTTCACCAGCACATCCACAGAGTTATATATAAAGAGCCTTGTCCATGATAGGGGCACAATAAATCTTACTTTTAAAATACATTTTATTATTAAATAACAGTTATTAGATGAGGCTTTGGTTTTGGTAATCTCGGAGGAGATAATTACTCTACAGAGTATGACAGAAAAAGAATTGACTGCCATCCTAAAATATTTTAGGCGGCTGGGCACAATGGCTCACGCCTGTAATCCCAGCACTTTTGGAGGCCGAGGCAGGCGGATCACGAGGTCAGGAGATCGAGACCATCCTGGCTAACACGGTGAAACCCCGTCTCTACTAAAAATAAAAAAATTAGCCGGGTGTATTGGCGGGCGCCTGTAGTCCCAGCTACTCGGGAAGCTGAGGCAGGAGAATGGCGTGAACCTGGGAGGTGGAGCTTGCAGTGAGCCGATATCGCGCCACTGCACTCCAGCCTGGGTGACAGAGCAAGACTCCATCTCAAAAAAAAAAAAAAAAAATTTAGGCAATTGTTAGACAAATTATTTGATATAACCACTACGCATCTAGTTTTTATAAAAATACTTCATCTTTTCATATAGTTTGTCAGGCTAATTATAGATTAAGTATGTGATAATGTACATATAATAAACAGTGTTCTATGTGCTGGGCCTGGTACTTGGCACACACTGTATACATGTGAGCTATGGATTGTGAATACAAATGCTCCTTGACTTACAATGGGATTATGCCTGATAAACCCACTTACAGTCCAATTATCAGTAGTCAGGACCATCTGTATGTAGCTCCCTTTGTTTTTGTTTTGTTTTGTTTTGTTTTGTTTTGAGACAGAGTCTCGCTCTATCGCCCAGGCTGGAGTGCAGTGGCGCGATCTCGGCTCACTGCAAGCTCCGCCTCCCGGGTTTACGCCATTCTCCTGCTTCAGCCTCCCGAGTAGCTGGGACTACAGGCGTCCGCCACCACGCCCGGCTAATTTTTTGTATTTTTAGTAGAGACGGGGGTTTCACCGTGTTAGCCAGGATGGTCTCGATCTCCTGACCTCGTGATCCGCCCCTCTCGGCCTCCCAAAGTGCTGGGATTACAGGCGTGAGCCACCGCGCCAGGCCCCTTTGTTTTTTAAGTATTGTCTTCATTCTGCATTACAAAGTGTTTTATTATTCCAACTTCCATGTGAATTTTGGAAGAGAGCTAGGTGGTACTTAAGAGGACGTCAAATTGATAATTACTCAAGTAACAATAATCAAATAATAAACATGATCATTGTTTTCTATATAATTCTGTACTTTGCAAAGAACTTTCATGTAATTGATTTTTTTTTTTTTACCCTTACAACTATTCATTAAGAATCCCCTTCTTGGCCGGGCGCGGTGGCTCACTCCTTTAATCCCAGCACTTTGGGAGGCCAAGGCGGGCGGATCACGAGGTCAGGAGATGGAGACCATCCTGGCTAACACGGTGAAACCCCATCTCTACTAAAAATACAAAAAAATTAGCCGGGCGTGGTGGCGGGTGCCTGTAGTCCCAGCTACTCAGGAGGCTGAGGCAAGAGAATGGCGTGAACCCGGGAGATGGAGTTTGCAGTGAGCCGAGATCGCACCACTGGACTCCAGCCTGGGCGACAGTAGTCTCTTTCTACCTACTAATTATGAGATAGCAGTTGAGCATGGTGGTTTCTCAGAAAACATTAGGCTTCACTAGTGCCTCCTTAGGGTTACATATAAAACAACAGTCCATTAAGGTGAGTATCATACAGACTTTCTCCTCCCTCTTCCTTGTTCTCTTTCTCCTTTTTAATGAGAAGACTGAGCCTTAGGGAGAATAAAGGACTTGCTCAAAGGTACACCCACAGGAAATGGAAGATCTGGGGACTTGATCACAGGCTTTTCCCTGTGGACCCCAATTTATCAACTGCTTGCTGTGTCTAAGATAAGCCAGCCCCATGCACTCATTCCTCATATCCCTTCTTTATAAAAAAAAAAAAAAAAAACACTGTCTAGGCCGGGTGCGGTGGCTCACGCCTGTAATACCAGCACTTTGGGAGGCTGAGGAGGGGGATCACAAGGTCAGGAGTTCGAGACCAGCCTGGCCAACATGGTGAAACCCCGTCTCTACTAAAAATACAAAAATTAGCCAGTGGCTGACGCCTGTAATCTCAGCTACTCGGGAGGCTGAGGCAGAGGAATAGCTTGAATCCAGAAGGCGGAGGTTGCAGTGAGCCGAGATCGCGCCACTGCACTCCAACCTGGGCAACAAGAGCGAAGCTCCGTCTCACCAAAAAAAAAAAAAAAAAAAAAAAGACCATCTAGTGTTAGTCTCTTTCCACTTATGAACGTTACATTTTGTTTGCTGATTTTCTAGATGGAAAGCTTTGAGGACCATGATACTTTGGCCACAATGCCCGTATGTTTTAATCATTGGTTATAAATGCCTGTGGCAGCAGCCTCGTCATCCTTACTCAAAGGAGCATTGTTCATTTTACTTCCTGTGGTCTCGGGCTAGAGTTACTGAGTGGAAGTAGTCCCCTGTTTTTAGAAGAGGAAAGCTTATATAAATATTTCACTTACCAGGTACTTTATGAACCTTAAAATGGTGTCATATGTGGCGGTCATCCATAAGCAGTGTTTATTTCAGTCATTTAATAATTTGCTGAACAAATACTTTGTTTCTAAATCACAATATTGTGGGAGATTTAAAGTGACTTTTTCCCCGAACCCCTTAGTAGAGAATTCTGTATTCCATTTCTTCTTCAGATAAAAAAACAAGGATGTAGAGCATAGACTGGCACTCTCCTGTAAACTTTGCACTTGATAGCCTTGACTTCCAAGGTTGCATTTTGAGTCTTTGAGTCAGTTTCCCCTTAATGTTTTGTATATATTCTTTCATTATTAGAATACTAAGGTGATGACTTGGGTGTGGGTTAACCATGCTTAATTGCAGTTTTGATTTATCCGTGATTTGGGATACAGTCATTACCTTTCTCCACCTCATTAATCCACTCATCAAAAGTTGACTGCACACATTTTTTCATTGGAAATTTAACTGCTTCCAAACCACAGAGGTGGCTCCTCTGTATGACTTCAAATACTAGTTTCAAGTATCAAAGAGTGTCCGGGCCAGCCAAGATGTCCTTGAACAATAGAGGTCAGTTCACTGCGGCGGCTCAGTCTTGTGGTTCTCTTTCTTGACTGGAACTTATAAAGTTGGAGCCAGAACCAAGACATTATGCTTACTTCAGATAAATCCTAAGTATAAATTAGTCAGAAATTAAGTAAATCCCATTTGGCAAGGTCATAAAAAATATCCCAGGGTCTTGAATATATTTAAATGCCATAAATGGTGAAATTTGCAGCTCATTAAATATGAGGAAATGATTTAAATAATAAAACCCTAAACTTCAAACTCACTGTTATTTTCTTTTCCCACCTTCAATTTCCTGCCAGGAAATAGTGCCATAGACCAACAATCTTGTGGTTCAACTCTCTGCTGCCAAAGGCGTATGTTCAAGTTATCTTAAACTAATTCCTACAAATGAATGTCTAACTGATTCTTAAAAACCTCTGAGGGAGATTCCAT
This sequence comes from Homo sapiens, assembly GCF_000001405.40. Classification (NCBI taxonomy): domain Eukaryota; kingdom Metazoa; phylum Chordata; class Mammalia; order Primates; family Hominidae; genus Homo; species Homo sapiens. The sequence goes on from NC_000012.12 coordinate 19,800,540, forward strand.
AAACTCCTTTAGTAAACTTTAGCAATGTTTGAATGACCTTGCAGTCAAAGGCAGTTCTTAATATTTAAACTAAACCTCTTTGCTGGTGTCAGAATATCACCCGTGAGTTTGTTTTTATAAATATCAGAGATGGAAAAGATTTATCTTGAGACTACATGAGAAGTACTTGAAATAACACTTTTGCATTTACTAAATTATTTCCTGAAATAGTTTTTTTAAAAAAATTCTTTCAATGTTGTAGGAATAGCTCTTATATTTATTCATTTAGGATTCTTATTAAATAAATTAAATTTATGATATGTAGTCCTTATGTAGTGGTAACATTTTTGGTGGTGTGTGGGTTTAGAAGGATCTGAGGGCCCTCTCTATCCAGACATTTTATGATTTTTTTTGTTTAGTTATGATTGAATGATGAACGTTTTTCAGAAAAGCCGGTTTTACCCTAGGTATTCTAGTTCTGTTTCTTGGACTATAAATAGTATGAGTAAGATTTGGACAAGTCTGTGAACTTTCCACTGACTTAATTAGAGCATTGTTTTCCACTGGTTGTTCCTGAGAGTCAGGGTCAGATCTGATAGGGGATTAGCTCAGTTCCAAATACTGCGTATACTGACTCAACACGAGAATGAAAGCCAGAATATGAGAAATGACAGAGATGTGCAGGCTTGAAATAATGTTTTCAAGTTCATATTATGGATACCCATCTGCTCTGTAGGTTCCCTGGATAAAATTATTCATTCTTGAGATTTTATATACCATTTGCATATTACGGATTCTCAGTTTTTTTGTTCTTGTCTAAACTCCTCTTCTGATAAGTTTCTACTGAGTGCTAGATTATATGTACAACTTTAGACCTTGTGGTGTCTTGGATTTTCATGGACACCCCATACTCAACATGTACAAAATTGAGTCTTCCACTCAAACCTGCCCTCTCCTATCTTAGTGAGTGGTACCACCATTCTTCTGGTTAGTTGCTCAAGCAGGAAACTGTCTTGATTTCATGTACCTGTGTCAATTAGGACTAGGTTTTACTGTATAGAAAGTTCCAGTTAATAGTAACTAAAATAAGATAAAAGTTTACTTTAGCTGTGCACAAAAATCTGGATTGGCACTTGAGGACTGTATGGTGCCCTATAACATGGACTTTACATATATATATATATATATATATATATATATGTATCTTATTGCCTTTTATGGATAGTGGCATCCAAATTCCAGGCAGCAGTTTAAAGCAACAGAGAAAGAAGAGCAAAGAGCATATATCTCTATCTCATCAAAAAGATTTCAAGAAGCTGCTACATAAACACTTCTGCTTACCATCCAGGTGACCTGCATTTAGTCATATGGCTATACCTAGCTGCAAAGGGAAAGTGGGAGCTGTAGTTTCCATTCTGGGAAGCCATGTGCCCCAAATTGGAGGCTTGATCACCATTGAAATAGGGGAGAATGGATATTGCAGGATAAGTTGTGCATTCCCAAATATCCATGAACACACTACTCACTTCTGTTCACACAAGAACAACATCAGCCCCTTCTTAAGGAAAGCAACTGCCAAATGCCATAAAATTACTCATCTACTCAAAGTCCTTGACCTTTGGGTATGCTGGTCGCTCTCCATCGGGGCCAGATGTAGCATTTTGTGGTTTGGTGGCCTACAAACTAAAAGATGTTCTATCGGCCCCGTAAGTGCTAAAAATATAATGGTACAGGAGGAGTAGAATAACTTCTGGGAAACAAGAAATGCATAGGAGTCACTATCCATAGCAATTATCAAAATCTGCAGGACAGGAATTCTGAAAATTATGGACTTTCTTCTCGGGCATTAGAAAAGGTCCTGGATTTAGTTTATTTGGTAGCTCCTGGCTTTGCTTTCTGATAATTCCCTAGTCCCGTGTTCGCTGTGATGCCTGACTATATCCTTTGGGATTTAGTCATTTTTACTCTCCTCTCCTCCACAGCTGTATCAAAGTACATACCCCCTGAGGATAGTCCATGTCCTACTGGTATAGACTAGGTGGCCCAGGGATTGCTTTTTGGGCCGAGGGGAGTAGTTGAAGAATGCACAGGGGTGAATTTCCCTAGAAAAAAAATGTAAAAGTGAGAGAAGGAGCCAATGATGCTACGCCTGAGAACATCAACATTTAAGAGTTAGATGGAGAATATGGACCTGACAAGGAAGAGAGAAAATTGTCAGGAAGAGGAGAAGCATGAATTTGTGATGTCCTAAAAATCACAAGAAAAGAAAATTTCAAGAAAGAGAATATAGTCCAAAATATATATATTCAGGTTTGTCAAAAATATAGAAATTGAAGTGTCTATAATGTTTGGTAAATAGAAGTTGTGTGAGACCTTGCAAAGCAAGAACAGTTTCAGTGGAGAGTTGGTGGGCACAAACGCTGACTGTGGTGGGTGCAAGCGTGTAATGAGGAAACAGGGTAGCAAGTTTGAATCTGATTATAAAGATAATGAGAGGTAAGGGGAAAATCAGAAAGTTGAGATTCACTCAAATTCTCATTTTTTTTTAATTAGAAAGAGAAGATAGGATTTCACCTTGCAAGACAATAGGGATGATGTCATCTGTATTTACTCTGTTCCCTTTCTTAGCTTTAGATCACTTGATGTGCTCAATTTATGGTAGGTGGCAGAGACTGGGAATTTAGGATATTTTTCCCCCTTTTAGTTGGAAGAGTTGAGGAGGAGAGAACTGGCCATAGCTCATTGGACATTTATAGACTGAGAACAGGCTGGAGGAAAAAGAGAAAGCTTTGATACCCAGGAATATTTATTGAAGAGAATTACTTTGTAAAAAGATCACTGAAACATGACTGTTTATTATGTGCAAGGCACTGCATGCAGTAACACAATGAACATTCTCTGAAAGAAGAAACCATCTTTGTAATTCAAACTCTACTGCAGTCAAGTTTAATGAAGTGACTCTTATTTAAGTCCCTATTACATGATCCATGTAGGAAATTTCTGTTAGGATTTGGTACTAGCATTAACTGTGTCTTCTTTGAGAAGCATCACCTGTCTTTTCCTTTTATAGAATAATACTAGATAACATCCTTAGACATCTCCCATGTGCCAGGCACTATGCCCAACACTTCACCTACATTTTCTCAGGGTGTTCTTACAATGTCTCTTTGAAGAAAGTACTGTCATCATTCCACCAGTGAGGCTAAGTAACAGTCCCTTAAATTTTCCACTCCTTAGTGCCAGAAAGCTTAGAGCAAAATTTTAAGCCCAATCACAGCAACTCACTGACCTCTCCTTTTGTAAACAAAACAACAAACAAACAACAGTGGAAAAGACATGTATTTTGCCTTACTTATAATCAGAACTCTTAAACACTCAAGTAGAATGACTCAATTTTAGTTTAGGCTACTGTTGTATATCAGCTGACTTATTTTTCACTCTATTTTCTCCTTTCAACTTTTTTCATCCTTAAAAATAGTTGCATTCATCCTGTCTTGTGATTTTTTTGAATATTTAGTGATTTTTAAAAAGAAATAGGGTACAAAAATCGAATTTTATACTTAATTCCATTTGTATAGTGCCATTCTATTACAGTTATGTGTTGAGTTCCTAATTTAAATCCTAGACTTTTGATATATTCACTAAATATACGATGACACAAATATCTACTATCACTTATGCTCCCTTAGGTCAGGTCTCTTTATACATATAGTAACATTTGCAACCATGTAACATATTTTACATACATGTTTCTGGGAAGGAACCATATAAGATATTTACATAATTAAAAAATTGATTTTTGTTTGTTTGTTTTTCAAGATGGAGTCTTGCTCAGTCACCCAGGTTGGAGTGCAGTGGCACAATCATAGCTTACTGAAGCCTCAAATCTCTGGGCTCAAGTGATCCTCCTGCCTTAGCCTGCTGAGTAGCTGAGACTATAGGTATGCACCATCACTCCCAGCAATTTTTTTGTAGACATAAGGTCTCACTGTGTTGCCCAGGCTGGTCTTGAAATCCTGGCCTCAAGTGATCCTCCTACTTTGGCCTCTCAAAGTGCTGGGATTACAGGCATAAGCCATCACACTTGGCCCAAAATTTGATGTTTAAATTGCAATTTGGAGTAAACATAATTATGAGGAAAAAATTTAATGCTGCATATATTACTTTTCCTGGTAGATTTTTGGTTTGGGAAAGCCTTTTCTAAAAATCCAGACTGAATAATTTCCTTCGTTGTTAAAATATGGAATTATGAAATAGTTCTTTATGCATCTAAAATAACATTTGGCCTTAATTCTTATGTCCTGTAGAATTTCCATTCAGAAATTTGAATGTAAGCTGGCATAACATGATGTTCAGATGACTTTCAGGCTGTTTATGTGTATACAACTTATTTGGCCAACTGTTCTTGCTCAACTTGAGTAAATGTTATTTACCTCCCTCCTAAGAGATGAGGACACTGACCTTAATTTTCTCAAGTTTTAGATTTAACTTTGATACATGCAATAAGAATGATAATTTATAAGAAAGAGCACTTTCTTATGTTAATCATTAGTCATTAGGGTAACTAAGGATGAGTAACATTTTCATGTTTTGGCATTAGATGAATTAGATTTTTGAGAAGTTGATAAGAGAGACAAATTGCGTTAAACTCCAAGATTTTCCCAATCAAAACTAATTTGGAGGCATTTTTCTAAATTTAGAGTAAGTTGGAAGCCTTATGTGTTGGAGTGGATTGTAAATATTTAACAACAATTTCAGTCAACCACTGGTCTACCAGGTGCGAAACCTTCTATAGGTCTCCAAATTATGATTCTGGGACTAAGTGACCCATCACTCAGATCCCTCTCTAACAAAATGTAAGCAAGTTTTTCTCATATTTACTTTGAAATAGCAGTTAAATAAATGAACAAATAATTTGTTCTATTAATACTTACTGATAACCGTCTATGTGCAAAGCACAACATTGGTCCTTTAGGGATAAAAATATGCATCAAACTTCGCACTCAAAGAGCTTAGAGTTTAAGGGGGAAAATTAGACATGTTCACAAAATACATAAGGCCCTAACAGAGGAGCAGATAAAGGGCCTTGCCTGGGACTTCAGAATTTATCATTTATATGCTGAATCCCCAAAAATATTTGACATGACCAAATTAAAAGTGATTAGCCATAGAGTTTGAAACCCAACAAAAAAGAAACAAATACAAACCCCCTATGTGCTTGTGGTAGAAAACACATTAAAAATATATAACTAGTTTATTGAACCTTGTGAACTCCAGTCACTTCTGCTGTGTTACAGTGAGTCTCTTCCTCACATTGCTTAATAATACCTTGTATTTATCCCATTTTTCCAGGCACTTTTAGTTATTAAACACTATGTCTGGCCCAGTGTGAAGCATTGACCTCATATCCAATTCCATGGACATCTCTTTCCCTTTCCCCAGCACTAGCCAGGCTTAGGCCTCAAAGACTCCTTTTATCCTTTTCTCAGTTGGGAGGAGAGATGGCAGGATTGGGAGGGATACAGTTTGCCACTGGGTCACCTCCTCCCCTTCTTTTTTTTGGGTCTTTGATGGGTCCCTAAGGTGTATTGAGTGAGCTGGGAGGAAGCACAGAAGAATTGCATCCTTGAATTATATAACGGGCTGCCTTTGGTGTTGGGAAGGCTGCCTGGTCTTCCATGGGCTGAGATTGGTCTGTCCATTGCTGGTGGCTTCCATTCATATGTTTTCTGTGGTGATAGTGAATATTGTTTTACTGGGGGAGTGCTTGGCTTCAAAGGAGTAGGGCATCTTTGGGCTTCATGGGGGCTGTGGTGCCAGCCTTCTTTCCTAGTGGAGGGACTGGCAGCTCCACAGCTCATGTCTTCACCTCTGTGCTTTTTCACATGGGCTCCTGGGAGCCTCTCTGCTGTTCTTCGTGCCTGTAGAGAGTGTGAGGGGACTGTGTGTGGCGTTGCTGTCCATCGTCATCTGAGACACACTATGACATGTCCCTTTTTGCCTTGTAGGAACAGCTGCTCTAGCATGCCTCCTTTCTTTGGAAATATGTAATCCAGAAGCAGGCCAAAGTGTCTAAGTTCACATATGTCCCGAACACATATCATGCTCCCTCACGAAGACCATCATTTTATTCTAATGGTAGGAGCACCTGCTTGGGTGCTCTAGTCCCATAAGCACCCTGCCAGGGAGTGAGGGAGTGACCTCCTTTCCTACAGGTGAGCGATTCCCTGGGGGTTCTGCCTCACTTGGCTTCAGGATGCAGAAACCCCCATTTATGTTTATTCTTTTTTTTGTTTGTAATTTTAATTTTTAAGTTCTGGGGTACATGTGCAGGAAGTGCATGTTACATAGGACATTTACCTTTATTCTTTATCACCTGGGTCATCTCTTCCATTCATTTCTCTTTCTCTTTGTTGTCTGCTTATTTGAATTAGAGTTGTGGTGGGTTTAGGATCTGGTGGCAGAACCAACTTAGCTGCTGTTTAATCAACCCTGAGATGGTGTTTGCCTCCATTTTTTGACTCCTTTAGGATGCTGTACTTAATTACTTAATACATTTGTCCTCAATTTCGGGTTCTGGTTGTTAATCCTAGGGCAATGGACAAAAATGTCACTTAACATCATGTTAAATAGAGAAAGAATTAAATGTCACCTGCTTCCATACCTAGCTGTGGCTATTTTGTCATTTAAAATTCTTTTTTTTAATAGCAATATAAGAATGGCAAAAAATTTTTTTTAAACTAAACAGTTTCTTTTTAAAGTCATTATAGTTTTACATACACAGTTTATTCAATTTTCTCTCATGGTTTTTAAGATTAGAAGTGTTATAAAAATCATTTCCTCATGCTATTGCGAATGACTTATAAAAATAGTGTCCAGTGCAGAAAACTTTGCATTGTGTATTTGACATTGATCATTTCACTCGACAATTAATCATTACTTAATCATTTCATAATTTTGGATCATTTAGATGGTTTCAGATAAAAAATATTGTAAATAATGCTGAGAAGAATAGCATTTGACATACATTTTCCCCCCTCTATCTTGGATTATTCCATTTGTATGAGCAATAACTACTTTATGAATGACAGCTGGAGTTACTGAGCTTAGTTTCTCAGAACCTTGGAAAACATTTTGTATTAAATACAGATGTAATTTTGTATTGGTTATCTTTTCTAAATGGCACCACCTCTGACCCTGGGAGAGATGTTAAATTCTTCCTTTTGGTTTTAGCTAGGCTATGTCTCTAAGCTAATTTTGAGTGGAATATTTTTATGATTTAATATTTTATTTTCATGGTTTGGCAGCAAGTGATATATTTATTTCTGTGCTGGGATTTTGGCAAAAGCTTTCTGAAAATCTCAGAGTTATGTCAACCAATTTACACTTTCTGTGATCCAAGACCAAGATCACTTCCCTGAATTCCAACAACTTGGTAAATTTTGGGGAGCTTCGTGAATGCCTTTTGTGGAAACCATAGTGGAGGTCCCTGATTAGGCTTCCTTCTTTAATTAGTTCACCTAGCAGCATAAACCTAAACATTTATCCTTTTTTTGGGTTATAGCCAGAACTTTTATTTAATAAATGCCTTCTTGTCAGAGTCTGAAATGAAACAAAAAATTGGAAAAGATAATGGCAAAGGTCTTTGTTTTATGTGATGGCACACAGGTGGGCCAGGTGTGTACAGCTTATCAGGGAACTGAAAGAATGAGCAGAATGAACATATTTTTAGGGCATGAACTGCACAACAGTTGATCTCGGAAGTGGACAGCTACCAGAGGTGGATGCTTTACTGCCCATCTCTCTCCCTTTTAGTTCGAGGGAAGAATAGGGAGGACACTAAGCACTGAGTATAAGCAAATGGATTTCTAAAATAGAGACCTCTTGCAGCACACATCTACTATTAATATAAATTAACTCACAAGGATCCTTACTGTTAAATTCCTTTGTACCCACTTCCTGGGGATTCACATTCACAAGGTAGTGCATTCCTGATGATAATGAAATGTAAACACCAATATCATTATGTGGCTTAGCATCAACTAGAATTGCAGTTGCTGGTTGAGTAGACTGGCCGAGATGGATTGGGTTATAGCACAAATGGACAGATCTTAAAAGATACTTGGCCTTAGGATCCTTTGTTAGTGAGTAAGCTGAATTAACGGGGTTATCATGAAATAGTGTGGGAAGTAAATAAGAATTGCCTGACAAGCCAGAGAATGCAAGAACATAGTTGCAAACTATACATCTGATAAAGATCTAATATTCAGAATCCATAAGAAACTTACACAATTCAAGAAGCAAAAAACAAATAATCCCTTGAAAAAGTAGGCAAAGGGCATGAACAGACTTTACAAAGGAAGACATAAAAACAGCCAACAAACATATGAAAAATGTTCCACGTCACTAATTGTCAGAGAAATGCAAATGAAAATCACAATGAGATATCATCTCACATTAGTCAGAATGGCTATTACTAAAAAGTCAAAAAACAACAGATGCTGGTGAGGCTGTGGAGAAAAGGGAACACTTATACACTGTTGGTGGAAATATAAATTAGTTCAGCCACTGTGGAAAGCAGTTTGGAGATTTCCCAAGAACTTAAAACAGAATTACCATTTGACTCAGCAATCCCATTACTGGGTGTAATTCAAAAGTAAACAAATCATTTTACCAAAAAGTTTCATGTGTTCATTGCAGCACTATCCACAATAGCAAAGACATGGATCAACCTAGGTGCCTATCAATGGTAGATCAGATAATGTGATACATATACACTATGGAATATTATGCAGCCATAAAAAATCAAAATCATGTGCTTTGCAGCAACACAGATGCAGCTGGAAGCCACCATCCTAAGCAAATTAACACAGGATCAGGAAACTAAATGCTGTATATTCTCATGTATAAGTGGGAGCAAAACATTGGGTACATATGGATATAAAGATGGGAATAATAGACGCTGGGGACTACTAGAGGGAGGAGAGGGGGACCGGAGCAAGGGCTGAGAAACTAACTATTGGGTGCTATGCTCACTACCTGGGTGACGGGATAATTTGTACCCAAAACCTCAACATATCACCCAATATACCAATGTAACAAATCTACACATGTACCCCCTGAATCTAAACTTCAAGTTGAAGTTATTAAAGAAAATGACCTAAGTATTATAAAAGCAAACAAATGAAAAAAGAAATCTACTCAACTTTTGTTGTTGATTGTTGATTGTTGTTGGTTGGTTGGTTAGGCTTTGTGTCCCCACCCAAATCTCATCTTGAATTATAATCCCCATAATCTCCATGTGTCAAGGGAAAGACCAGGTGGAGGTGATTTAATCATGGGATGGTTTCTCCCATGCTTTTCTCATGATACTGAGTAAGTTCTTGTGAGATCTGATGGTTTTAAAAGGGGCTCATCCCCTTTCGCTTGGTCCTTCTCCTTCCTGCTGCCTTGTAAAGAAGTTGCCTTGCTTCCCTTTCACCTTCCATTGTGATTGTAAGTTTCCTGAGGCCTCCCCAGCCATGCTGAACTATTAGTCAATTAAACCTCTTTCCTTTATAAATGACCCAGTCTTGGGCAGTTCTTTATAGCAGTATGAAAACAGATTAATAAAGTGGTGTTCACTAGCTCCTAATTAATGTGTGAAGTGCAAGAAGTTATTTATTGGAAGTGCTTAATAAATATATGTATATGTGCTTAAAAATAAAAATAAATAAATAGCTCAACCAGAGTTGGAGGTTGGGGAATTCTGAACCATCTTTGTTCTGGAATGCTGCCCAGTACAAAAACCTTTGTCTTGCTCAAATAAACTTTGTTAAAAAAAAACAAAAAACAAAAAAACCGGCTTGATGATTTGGACCTTAAATTGGGATAGCTGGCTAATGTCATTTCCTAAGACTGATGGGGGAATAAAATAGTAGAGATTGCACAACAGCAGGCTGGGTCTACAGAGAGGAGAGAATCCATAAAGAATAAACAGGAGGCATAATGGAAGAAAACTGCAGGAAATTAGAATGGTCAACATTTTGGCTCAAGCCAAGAGAACTAACCAGGTTGTTTTCTCAGGATAACTTTGTGTTTCTCTTGGGAAAGTGACATCAGGAAGGAGAAACCCAAACTCAGCTTTTTTCCTATATCTTGAGAACTTCTGTGGATCTTATAAGTCTCTTCAGTTTAAGGAACATTATCTTTTCATTTGATTTTGATAGGCTAAATAAACCACACTACTTAAAGACTTAAATAAAGACTTAAAAATAATATTATACATTTATATGTCATTCGGTTAAAGCAGAGCTGACCCAAGATGAAACAAAATGAGCTTCCCCTACCGCATTGAGGATCAGCTTAATTCTCTTGAGCTTCTTCTTTTCTCCCCTAATGAGGAAAGATAGCTGAGGAGACTGATACATTGGAAGATCCTTCTATAGGTCTGTTGAGAGAAGACTAAACTAGAATACGTATATCAGAATCAGGCTGATGTAGAAGTGATATTGGAAATCTGATTATGGACACTTTGCTGCCTTTGATAGAAAGCTATAGGTGGTTTCGGCAAAGTCAGGCGAGCCATGTTAATGAAGCAACCTTCTCTTCCTATAGTCTCTTGCCCAACTTGAACTCCTTAGGTTTGGGCTCTAAATTTTAGAAGAAGGATCACCTTACAATGAGATGGGACAATACTTATCCTCTCATGACTACTCTGGAGTAAAATATTTGGAAAACAAACAAGCATTATAAAAGGAGGCCTTTTTCTAAGTAAAAGTTGAGAGAGTGTAGGACTAGAGGAAACTCCAGGGACAACTGAAAGACAGAAGGTCTCCACATTTTCCTGTTGGTGTGGTATGTGCGTCTGCTATAACCACTGCTGTGCCCATGCCTCCTGCTGGCCATCATCAAGACAGATCGTGATATACCAACTAATTAACATTTAAGAGGGACAAGAAAAAAAATTAAATCCTTCACAAAATATAAAACACATGAGAATTATATTTAAAAATGAGATAAAGTATTTTAACGGCCCAAAGAAAAAGCTCAAATAATGATGAAAATTTTTGTAGAATTTGTTGAATTTAAAAATAAATGGGCAAAAAGGCTTAAAAATAAGATAAAATTAGAGAGAATGACCAGATCATGTATTTTTTTAAAAAATAAAGGCAGTCAAAACTAATAGAAAAAAAGATGAGAAAAAGACTGATAAAGAAACAAAAATGATTAAGCATAATTGTGTGATTTAAAAGAAAAAAGTAAAAGCAAAAATCTTGAGATGGAAGGTAAACACACAGAAAAAATTGAGTAGCATAGTAGAGCAATAAGCTAAAATAATGCTGAGATATAGAGATATTTTTCAAAAGACAAAGTATAACTTGAGTAAAATAGGAATCAATTGACCAACCAGCTGGAAGCCAGCAAGTGGCAGAAATCCTCAGCAAAATTCTATGGGTTGGAAACAATATTTTGTAGAGTGAGGGTCAATTTAATAGAGTCCCTAATGGGTAGAGATCAGAGAGAGAAAGAGAAGTCTGTGCTCATAGACTCCTGCCCATCAGCACACCTTCGGCACCAGAGCCCACATCAGGATTTCTCAGCAATTAGGAGCATGAGGTCAGGGCCCTGGGGCAGACTGCCTCAGCTGTATGTGTGGTCCTGGGCCCTGTAAACTCCACTCCGAATTTAGGTGGTGCAGATGTACTTAATCTTTGATTATCCATAGTCATGGAAGAAAGGATTAGTTTGTGTAATTAAAATAATTTGTATTTGGCTCTCGGGTGTGTGTGTGTGTTTTTTAATTAAAAAAAAATTATTCCACATCCCTCCCTTAATCTCTCCCCAGAGGTCACTGCTGTTAAGACTTACTTTCCTGTATGTAATTCTTGACCCTTTTCTATGAATTTAAAACATTTATAAATATATACTTGTAGAATTTTACACATAAATTGTTATAGCTAACATAAATATTTACAATATGCTAAGTACTGTAGATAGAATATATTAATCTGTGTCATGGACTTTATATGCATTAATTCATTTAATTCCTGTAGTATTTTTATTTTTATTTTAAAGATGAGGGAATTGAGGGAAATGAGATTTCATAACTTGTCTTAGACTACCTTGCAAGGGGGAAATGGAACCAGGATGTGCACTTAGAGTCCCAACTCTTAAGCATTATGATGATTTTCTACTTCACTAATTCGGATAATGCTATACCAACTTTTTACAACTTATTTTCACTCTTAGTGACCTATCATGGAGATCTTTCTATGTGACTACGTATAGATCTACTTTATTCTTTAAGTTGCTGTATTCTACTGTATATCATAAGTTATTTAATTATTTCCCTATTTATGAGCATTTAGGTAGTTTCCAATTCTGACTACTGGGCACATTCATTTCTTTCAACAGATGTTTATGGAGTACCTACAATGTGCTAGGCCTTCTTCTTGGTGTTAAGGAATCAACAGTGAACAAAACAGACAAAGCCTGTAATGTCATAGGATGTATTTTCTAGTTGTAGAAGTAGTAATGAAGTAACTGTATTATCTATAGCAAAACAAGTAAATCTATAGGGCAATGAAGAGTAAAGGAATAGATGCTATGGGGGTGCCATTGTATATGGTATAACAAAGTGATTGATCACTAATATTTTTCCTTATTTAAAACAATGTGTTTTTTTCAGAATTATAGACTCGCTAGAAGTTGCAAAAATAGTAAGAGGTCCCATGTGCACTTTGTCCAGCTTCCCCAATGGTCACATGTTACATAACTATAGTACAATATTGACATAGTTTGGCTGTGTCCTCACCCAAATCTCATCTTGAATTGTAGTTCCCATAATCCCCATGTGTGGTGGAGGGGATGCAGTGGGAGGTAACTGAACCATGGGGGTGATTTCCTCCATCCTATTCTTGTGATAGTGAGTAAGTTCTCAGACTTGTTTTTATTGACTTGCTCTGGCTGCTGTGTGGAAGCAGGCAAACCAGTTGGGGTGTGAGGCTATGGATTGTTCCCAATTATTCCTTTCCTAAAAGAGGATTATGTGTCCTGACTTGTTGCTGTGTGATATGCAGAGACACCCTGTTGGAGGATTACCCCCACTATCCCACCCACCCATCCATCAAATTGTCAAGCTTAGACCATGTAATACTTGTTTAATAGAATGTTTATAGTATGTTTTGTTTAATAGAATGTGTGGAGACATGACCTATGAAAAGCCTTACATTAGATTACATGGTTCAGCTTCACCCCTTGGTTCTGTTTGTTGCCAAGAGAATAACAGATAGGAGATTCTCTTTCATGCTGCATCTTGGAATGAGAAGACATATGAAGAAGACCACAGCCTGTAGCAAATCTTCAGCTTATATATAACATAATAAGAAATAAATGTTTGTTATTGTAAGCCATTAGGATGTTAGGGTTTATTATTGCAGCAAAGATGACTAATAAAGAGATCTATTGCAGTAAGCTAGATAATGGTGGTTTGGACTAGGGTAGTAGCAACACTTTTGTACATATAAATTATTTGGATATGATTGCTGGTTCAAACAACATGTGCATACTGTCAGTTTGTCCTAAAAATTATCCTCAATCTACACAACTATCAATTGTGCAAGAAAATGCCTGTTTTCTTACATATTTTTCATTTTTCTCTAATCTGAGAGGTAAAATGTGATCTCACTGTTATTATATGCATTTCCACGATTCCTAGTGATATTGAGCATCTTTGCATATTTCTTTTTTAGCTCTTCTTCCTAGCTTGAGAGATTAGGTTATTATCTAATACCATCCTACTTTTCCACACTTCTCCCATTTCTGCTGTTATTCTCCAGTTTAATAATATATTTGATTGAGCATCTACTGCATGCCAGGGAGAGCCCTCAATCTTTTACATATATTACCTAATTTAACTCTCACAAAAATCTTGTAGGTAACATAACAATTTATATTATTGCCACCTTTATGCATGAGAAATCTGAGGCCTGAAGCTAAGAAGCAATTTAAGGTGGAGCCAAGATGGCCGAATAGGAAGAGCTCCAGTCTACAGCTCCCAGCATGAACAACGCAGCAGATGGGTGATTTCTGCATTTCCAACAGAGGTACCGGGTTCATCTCACTGAGGAGTGCTGGACAGTGGGTGCAGGACAGTGGGTGCAGCGCACCGTGCATGAGCCGAAGCGGTGCGAGGCATAGCCTCACCCGGGAAGCACAAGGGGTCAGGGAATTCCCTTTCCTAGTCAAAGAAAGGGGTGACAGATGGCACCTGGAAAATGGGGTCACTCCCACCCTAATACTGCGCTCTTCCAACGGGCTTAACAAATGGCACACCAGGAGATTATATCCCGCACATGGCTCGGAGGGTCCTACGCCCATGGAGCCTCGCTCATTGCTAGCACAGCAGTCTGAGATCAAACTGCAAGGTGGCAGTGAGGCTGGGGGATGGGCGCCTGCCATTGCTCAGGCTTGAGTAGGTAAACAAAGTGGCCGGGAAGCTCAAACTGGTTGGAGGCCCCACAGCTCAAGGAGGCCTGCCTGCCTCTGTAGGCTCCACCTCTGGGGGCAGGGCACAGACAAACAAAAAGACAGCAATAACCTCTGCAGACTTAAATGTCCCTGTCTGACAGCTTTGAAGAGAGTAGTGGTTCTCCCAGCACGCAGCTTGAGATCTGAAAACGGGCAGACTGCCTCCTCAAGTGGGTCCCTGACTCCCAAGTAGCCTAACTGGGGGGCACCCCCCAGTAGGGGCAGACTGACACCTCACATGGCTGGGTACTCCTCTGAGACAAAACTTCCAGAGGAACGATCAGGCAGCAGCATTTGCGGTTCACCAATATCCACTGTTCTGCAGCCGCCGCTGCTGATACCCAGGCAAACAGGGTCGGGAGTGGACCTCCAGTAAACTCCAACAGACCTGCAGCTAAGGGTCCTGATGGCTAGAAGGAAAACTAACAAACAGAAAGGACATCCACACCAAAAAACCATCTGTACGTCACCATCATCAAAGACCAAATGTAGATAAAACCACAAAGATGGGGAAAAAACAGAGCAGAAAAACCGGAAACTCTAAAAATCAGAGTGCCTCTCCTCCAAAGGAATGCAGCTCCTCACCAGCAATGGAACAAAGCTGGATGGAGAATGACTTTGACAAGTTGAGAGAGGAAGGCTTCAGAAGATCAAACTACTCCAAGCTAAAGGAGGAAGTTTGAACCAATGGCAAAGAAGTTAAAAACTTTGAAAAAAAATTAGATGAATGGATAACTAGAATAACCAATGCAGAGAAGTCCTTAAAGGACCTGATGGAGCTGAAAACCACGGCACGAGAACTACGTGACGAATGCACAAGGCTCAGTAGCTGATGCAATCAACTGGAAGAAAGGGTATCAGCGATGGAAGATGAAATGAATGAAATGAAGTGTGAAGAGAAGTTTAGAGAAAAAAGAATAAAATGAAACGAACAAAGCCTCCAAGAAATATGGGACTATGTGAAAAGACCAAATCTACGTCTAATTGGTGTACCTGAAAGTGATGGGGAGAAGGGAACCAAGTTGGAAAACACTCTGCAGGATATTATCCAGGAGAACTTCCCCAATCTAGCAAGGCAGGCCAACATTCACATTCAGGAAATACAGAGAATGCCACAAAGATACTCCTCGAGAAGAGCAACTCCAAGACACATAATTGTCAGATTCACCAAAGTTGAAATGAAGGAAAAAATGTTAAGGGCAGCCAGAGAGAAAGGTCGGGTTACCCACAAAGGGAAGCCCATCAGACTAACAGCTGATCTCTCGGCAGAAACTCTACAAGCCAGAAGAGAGTGGGGGCCAATATTCAACATTCTTAAAGAAAATAATTTTCAACCCAGAATTTTATATCCAGCCAAACTAAGCTTCATAAGTGAAGGAGAAATAAAATCCTTTACAGACAAGCAAATGCTGAGAGATTGTGTCACCACCAGGCCAGCCCTGAAAGAGCTCCTGAAGGAAGCACTAAACATGGAAAGGAACAACCAGTACCAGCCACTGCAAAAACATACCAAATTGTAAAGACCATCAAGGCTAGGAAGAAACTGCATCAACTAATGAGCAAAATAACCAGCTAACATCATAATGACAGGATCAAATTCACACATAACAATACTAACCTTAAATGTAAATGGGCTAAATGCTGCAATTAAAAGGCACAGACTGGCAAATTGGATAAAGAGTCAAGACCCATCAGTGTGCTGTATTCAGGAAACCCATCTCATGTGCAGAGACACACATGGGCTCAAAATAAAGGGATGGAGGAAGATCTACCAAGCAAATGGAAAACAAAAAAAGGCAGGGGTTGCAATCCTAGTCTCTGATAAAACAGACTTTGAACCAACAAAGATCAAAAGAGACAAAGAAGGCCATTACATAATGGTAAAGGGATCAATTCAACAAGAAGAACTAATTATCCTAAATATATATGTACCCAATACAGGAGCACCCAGATTCATAAAGCAAGTCCTTAGTGACCTACAAAGAGACTTAGACTCCCACACAATAATAATGGGAGACTTTAACACCCCACTGTCAACATTAGTCATATCAACGAGACAGAAAGTTAACAAGGATATCCAGGAATTGAACTCAGCTCTGCACCAAGCGGACCTAATAGACATCTACAGAACTCTCCACCCCAAATCAACAGAATATACATTCTTTTCAGCACTACACCACACCTATTCCAAAATTGACCACATAGTTGGAAGTAAAGCACTCCTCAGCAAATGTAAAAGAACAGAAATTATAACAAACTATCTCTCAGACCACAGTGCAATCAAACTAGAACTCAGGATTAAGAAACTCACTCAAAACCACTCAACTACATGGAAACTGAACAACCTGCTCCTGAATGACTACTGGGTACATAACGAAATGAAGGCAGAAATAAAGATGTTCTTTGAAACCAACGAGAACAAAGACACAACATACCAGAATCTCTGGGACACATTCAAAGCAGTGTGTAGAGGGAAATTTATAGCACTAAATGCCCACAAGAGAAAGCAGGAAAGATCTAAAATTGACACCGTAATGTCACAGTTAAAAGAACTAGAGAAGCAAGAGCAAACACATTCAAAAGCTAGCAGAAGGCAAGAAATAACTAAGATTAGAGCAGAACTGAAGGAAATAGAGACACAAAATCCCTTCAAAAAATCAATGAATCCAGGAGCTGGTTTTTTGAAAAGATCAACAAAATTGATAGACTGCTAGCAAGACTAATAAAGAAGGAAAGAGAGAAGAATCAAATAGACACAATCAAAAATGACAAAGGAGATATCACTACCAATTCCACAGAAATACAAACTACCATCAGAGAATACTATAAACACCTCTACGCAAATAAACTAGAAAATCTAGAAGAAATGGATAAATTCCTCGACACATACAGAAGACAGAGTGGTGAGAAACCTAAGATATAAAGCAAGACAAAGGCAAAGCAGACTGTTGCTTATCCACACCTTGCTCATGTTTTGACTTTCTAAGTTGTAAAGTGTGAAGACCTTGTTACAGAGATTAATAAGATATGGCCTTCAAATAGTTTCCTCTGCCTTTCTCCTTCTTTATAACTAAACAAGCTGTACATTTTCTCCCCCCTGTAAGTTTAGTTTAAAAATGAGCAAAGAATAGGTTTTTTAGTTTTTTCTTCTGTGGAAAATAGCAAATTGATATTTCTTTCTCATTCAATGACAATAGGAGTGATTCCTTTCTCCCTCATTTCTTTGTGGCCTCCACATGTCTTTGAAAATATGTGTGTTCTAACTTAATTTTCCAATGTGGTGAAACAGACAAGTGTGTCTGACATGTATTGAACAGGAAATAAAAAAACTTTTTATTGCAGAAGATGTAGGGCCATCTGAAGTCAGGCAAACAGTTAATTAAAAGACATCCAACTATGCAAACAGGAAGAAATGGTCCAGCTGGGAAAGTGGAACAATTTGGAATTCAGTAAAATCTTGTTTCCAACATGTCTCTAAATTTAGAGAAATTTTTTTTTATTGAATGTTTACATAGAAGTGGAATAGGATATTTCTCTAAAAGTATTCTCATTATTCCCAAGGTAAGAATTTATTATTTTGTTTAGAATTTACATAAGGCATTGCGCTGTGCTTTGGAAATAATACTTGCAGACTGAAACAAAAACAATTTTTTTTGCATCTACATTCAATAGAGATGAAAGCTTAGGTTACTATGGTATTTAACTTTTCAGATTAGCATGGATGAATTTTTTTAAATAGCAAAGATAAGCTCTAAAATAATTAGAATATTCTACAATTAGGTTGCTATAATTTTTAAAAAGGAACTAATATTCATTGCCAACCCTTTGGTAATCAAAAGTATGTAGAAAAATGTAATCAAATGTTGGTACATGGCCCTCATTATTGTGAGTCAAATCATGTTCTCACAAAAAATGGTAGCTTATTTATCTAACTTCAGTGTTCCTTGTAATGACATTTTGGGATAATTAAGGCAGACTCCATTGAGCACATAAATGTTTTTCATAGAAAAATTTCTAAAATACTGTGAAAACTTTCTTTTCTGTTAAGCTTATTACAGATAAATTCAACTTTTGCTAATGATTCAGGGAAATCTCAAGAGCATTTATTATTTTGTGGTGCTAGAAGATAGCCCAAAGTGCGAATGATATTATAACAATAACAATCATCAGAATATTTGTGATTATATAGGATATTGTATGCAGGTATGCTTCCAACGGCTTGCTTGTATTAACTCATTTAATTCTAATAAGAACATCGTGAAGTAAGTACTAGTATCATTCTCATGGTACAGATGATGTGACCAAGGCCTAGGCACAGAAAGGTTCCGTAACCAAAGTGGCCCAGCCAAGAGGCTGTAGTGCCAAGATTCACTTTCAGGCAGTTCATTCCCAGAGCCTAACCTCTCAGCATTCATGTGTTACAGCTTCTAAGATAAGTACGGGTTCAGAGTCAAGCCTGAATTTTGGCTTTGCTACTTGGAAGCTGAATGAGAGTAAGTTGCTTAACTTTTCTAAGTTCCAATTTCCTTATCTTAAAATGAGGATGATAATGGCACTAACATCACAGTGTGTTGCAAGGAAGAAATGATATACTGTAGGCAAAGAGCTTAGCACATAGAACGTCATCAAGAAATATTAACTTTTGTTGTTGCTTTTTATTACTCCTGTTATGTAAAAGAGTGAGAATCTGCAAGTGGTCTGTGATGTGGAGAACTATTTGCACACCTGAAAAATGGACCTCAAATGGCTAATTTTTTTGAGTATGCATCTATAGTCTTTTCCTCGTTGATTATCTATTGTCACTTTTTGATGTTTACTCGTCAAGAATGTAGGTTCCAGAAATCCTGGCTTCACTATTTACAGATTTATCCAGTGGGAGGCAATCTACATCTCTTCTCTAAGCCACGATTCTTTTTCTATAAAATGGGGATCTATATTCTTATTGAAACAGTTCCATAAATTTCACAGTATCATGTTGTCCCTTTGTAATCTGGATAAGAATTTTGAGGAAATATTCTATATATTCAGATGTCTTCAATCTAACCTTCATAGTAGGTGATGTTTTCTATGATTTTATTTCCAAGTTTATCTACTTACTTCGGCATTTTAAATTTGGTCAGAACCAACTTATTCATTCCTTCTTATTTTTCCCAAATGCTTGATTGCTTATGTCTTCTGTATTTGTCTTTATTTCTTAGTACTGGCAGATTTGGTGTATCGGTTGCCATCATTTGGGGTGGTTTGGCGGGGAAAGGTTTCCCCAAGGGAGAAAGCATTTATATCTCTCCACCCCTTTGTGGGGAAGGCAGGCTGGCTTCAGTTACCACTTTTTGACACATTAATGTTTTTGAAATTGATTGTATGCATCAGTTCTTGAAATAGTTGAGTTCTACTCTCTATTTTCCTGACTGCTCTTAATTCAAACCAATTTCCTTTGGTTCTTTTGTTACTTGCATAAAGCATATTGTTGCTCTAAGAATAATGAAATGTAAATAATAATGAGACATGTTTTTAAAAGGAAAACACTATACAGTTGTCTTTAAATGAATTGTTAGATGTGAAAACAAGCTCAAATCAGCTTTTCAGCTCCTTCTCTACCTACATTAACAGTTACTAAATTTATTAGCCACCTTTTGCTAGCCAGAAAAAACGGTGTGGAAGACAATTTTGTAAGAAACCTGCTATCATAAAAACAGTCACATCATAGGGAGAAATGATGCATTTGAAACACAAAATCTATCACTGAATCTTTCACTTCTATAGCATTATTTTTAAGTTCTTAGTTCTCTATTTTTATGCCAATTATTTTAATTTTGATTAAGAAAATTTGGCAATTATTTGTCCATTGACAGTTTCGAATTTAAACCTTTTTGAACAGATGACATTTTCATATGGCTTTTAAAAATAAATATTAAAGAGGTAGCATTGAAAAGTCTCACTCTTAACCTGTTTTTGATAAAGTTCATTTTTGTACACTTGCCCCATCTTCTTTTATTAAATTGGTATGTATCTTAGAAATATACAAATAAAAGCAAAGATTAATATATATCCATATTTCTTCCATTTCTTACACAGCTTGCTTTTGTTAGCAATATATTATAGACATCTTCCCCTATGCATATCTAGAGATAAGAGATAAGTGGATATCATTGTTTATATAATCAGTCTTGGATAGATACACATTTGAGTTATTTTCCATTTTTTTGTGCCACAAAAAATGTAGTGAATAGCATCATATTAGGTTGGTGCAAAACTAATTGCAGTTTTTGCTATTTAAAGTAATGGCAAAAACTGCAATTACATTTGCGCCAACCTACATGTATGTCATCCAGAATGTGGGAAGTTGATCTGTAGGATAAATTCCTAGAATTGAGATTGCTTAGGTGGAGGGATCATGTACTTTGAAGTTTGGTAGTGATGGCCAAATGGCTTTCCATAGGGCACTGCACATGCCAATTAGCAAAGAAGAAGGTTCTTCTTTCTCAACTTTGCCAACAAAGTATGTTATCAAATGATAGGCTTTTGACCCCCGTTGTACATGAGAAGTGGTATATTCGTGCAATTTTGGATTTAGTTTGAGTGATGTTGAGTATCTTTGCACAGGTTTAAGGGTGTGAGTCTCTTTGCCCTGAATTTCCAGTAGTTGTGTCTGTTAGATTTTTGTCTGTGATGTGAGTCACAGTTTCTTTCCCTAGTTTGTTACTTATTTTTTGGCTTCACTGGAAGTATTTAGTAGACGTTTTAAAATTTTTTATATAATAAATGTATCAATCTTTTATGGCTTTTGAATTTTGATAGCTGCTTAGAAAGGCCTTCCTCTGCCCAAAGTTATAGAGGCATTTTGTCCATGTTTGCTTTAGTAATTTTGTGGTTTGATTTTTCTATATTTAAATTTGTAATTCTTTTGGATTCAACTTTAACTTTTTCCAGATCATGATTCATTGTCACCACATCATGTATTTTATCTTTTCTTCACTAATGTGAGATGCTGTATGTATTTGGGCTTATTTTTGGACTTCAATTCTGTTCTACTAATTTGTATGTCTACCTGCATCTCTGTAATATTCTACTTTTTTCATGAAATTCTAAATAATTTTAAAAGTTGTAGGTGCCTAGCACAGGGTCTCTGACCTCTTTCATGTATATGATTAATTGGAATAGTAAGTGTCTACTCAATGAATTGTTTTAGTATCTCTACATGTAGTTTGGCCATGCTAAATGAAGGAATGGGATGATTTTTTGGATAGTTTATATGTTAGCAATGATAGGAATTAATGAGGACAGGGTTTCTTTTTAAAAAATATTCCAAAATTTGACATTACACGCAAACCTATGACACTTAAAGAAATTAATTATCTGACTACAATGAAAATGCTTGTATGGATAACATTTCACTGTCTCTCCCCTATTGCAGTCCAGCCCTCTTCCTCTTCATTTTTGGTACTGCTGCCAGGGTGGGCTTTCTTACATATAATCCTGTCGGTCTTCTTATGACAATTTGGTGACTCTCCATTGGCTTGTGTGATAGCATGAAGTTACCATGAGTGGCAGCAAAGCCATCGAAAAATCAAAAAATAATTTTTGAGCACAGACTGTGTTTGTTGAGGAAGTGATACATAAAGGAAGGAACAAAATAACCTTGGCCCTGATCCCATGGAGCTTATGGTGTAATAGAAAAGACTGATATTAACCGATGATTACAGCAAAGTGTGATGTGGACTATGCCAAGATATTAGGCTACCTATCTAGCATCGCCACCTATGACAAACTATTTGCAGTTCCCTGAATTGATTATTGTTGCTTATCTCCAGGCTTACACATTTGCAACATTTTTCTTGGAATACCTTGATACATTTGGATACATTTGACTGAGTCCTTCATGACTTGGTTGGATCAGCTTCTCTTATGGGAAACATTGTCATACCCTTTGCCCTTCCTTGCTGTCTTTCTTTTCAAATATTATTGAGTGTCTATTGTGTGCCAGACCCTGTGCTAGGTGCTGGATATATATGGTGATCCAGAGTAGTTGGATTCTTGTTTTCACGTTGTACCAGACACTATGCAATGCATGGAAGATACAATTATAAATAAGCAAGTCCTATTTCTAAGGAAATGGTGGGGTGGGGGAGACATATAAAGGAAAACGATAAAACATGATAGCAAGTGAAATGCTGGAGATATTCAGAGGACATTATACAAAAACCTGAGATAATCTTTTTGGGAAGGCTAGGTTCAAGTTAATGATTCTGGAGAAGGTGGCTCCTAATATGAGGCTTAAAGAATGATTAGGTGTTGGACAATTAAAGAGAATGAGAGTAGGATAGAGGGCAATTCTTGGAAGGGAAGATAGTGAGAGGTGAAGCCAGCTGGGCTTCTGGGTCGGGTAGGGACTTGGAGAACTTTTGTGTCTAGCTAAAGGATTGTAAATGGACCAATCAGCGCTCTGTGTCTAGCTAAAGGATTGTAAGTGCACCAATCAGCACTCTGTAAAATGGACCAATCAGAAGGATGTGGGTGGGGCCAAACAAGGGAATAAAAGCTGGCCACCCCAGCCAGCAGCGGCAACCTGCTTGGGTCCCTTTCCACAATGTGGAAGCTTTGTTCTTTCGCTGTTGACAATAAATCTTGCTGCTGCTCACTGTTTGGGTCTGCACCACCTTTAAGAGCTATAGCACTTGCCGTGAAGGTCCACGGCTTCACTCCTGAAGTCAGCAAGACCGCAAACCCATTGGAAGGAAGAAACTCCAGACACATCTGAACATCTGAAGGAACAAACTCTGGACACACCATCTTTAAGAACCATAACACTCACCATGAAGGTCCGCGGCTCATTCTTGGAGTCAGTGAGACCAAGAACCCACCGGAAGGAACCAATTCTGGACACAATAGCATGAACAAAGGTTATGAAGTGAAAACTGGCAAGAACAGCACAGTGCACTGCAAGCAGTTTCTTGCAAGAGAGGCTTGTAGCCTGACCAGGCAGGTCTTTGTAGACCACGAGAGTGAGTACTTTATTCAAATGCAATGGAAAGCCATCTATGTGTTTTCAACAGGGAAATATCATGATTAACACTAGTAAAACATTACCCTGACATTTTAGCATAGAGGGATAAGAAGGAGCAAGATTGAAGTCTGGTAATGTGATGGCTTCAGCTTTATTCTTTTTGTTTAAAATTGCCTTGGCTATTCGGACTCTTTTTGGGTTCCATATGAATGTTAAAAATTTTTTTTTCTGGTTCTGCGAAGAATGTCATTGGTGGTTTGATGGGAACAGCATTGAATCTGTAAGTTGCTTTGGGCGGTATGGCCATTTTAATATTGATTCTTCTGATCCCTGAGCATGGAATGCTTTTCCGTTTGTGTCATCTCTGATTTCTTTGAGCAGTGTTTTGTAATTCTCATCGTAGAGATATTTCACGTCCTTAGTTAGCTGTATTCCTAGGTATTTTATTCTTTTTGTGAAAATTGTGAATGGGATTGCATTCCTGATTTGGTTCTTGGCTTGGTTGTTGATGTATAGGAATGCTAGTGATTTTTGTATGTTGATTTCGTATCCTGAAACTTTACTGAACTTGTTAATCAGCTGAAGGAGCTTTTGAGCTGAGACTATGGGGTTTTCTAGATACAGAATCATGTCATCTGCAAACAGGAATCGTTAGCCTTCCTCTTTACCTATTTTCTTCCTATTGCCCAGTTACTCTGGCCAGGGCTTCCAATACATGTTGAATAGGAGTGGTGAGAGAGGACATCTGTGTTTTGTGCCAGTTTTAAAGAGGAATGCTTCCAGCTTTTTCCCATTTATTATGATGTTGGCTGCGGATTTGTCATAGGTGGCTCTTATTATTTTGAAATATGTTCCTTCAGTATGTAGTTTATTGGGTGTTTTTAACATGAAGGAATGTTGAATTTTATCAAAAGCCTTTTCTGCATCTATTGAGATAGTCATGTGTTTTGTCTTAGTTCTGTTCATGCAAAGCTGGAGGCGTTACCACTTCAAACTATAGGGCTACAGTAACCAAAAGAGCGTGGTATTGGTACAAAAACAGATACACAGACCAATGGAATAGAATAGGGAGTACAAAAATAAGGCCGTACACCTACAACCATCTGGTCTTCAACAAAGCTGACAAAAAAAAAAAAAAGCAAAGGGGATATGACTCTCTATTCAATAAACGGTGCTGGGATAACTGGCTAGCATATGCAGAAGATAGAAACTGAACTCCTTTCTTACACCACGTACAAAGATCAACTGAAGATGGATAGATGGATTAAAGACTTAAGTGTGAAACCCAAGGCTATAAAAACTCTGGAAGACAACCTAGGTAATACCATTTGAAACATAGGAATGGGCAAAGATTTCATGATGAAGACCCCAAAGCGATTGCAACAAAAGCAAAAATTGACACATGGGATCTAATTAAACTTAAGAGCTTCTGCGCAGCAAAAGAAACAACAGAGTAAACAGAAAACCTATAGAATGAAAGAAAATATTTGCAAACTATGCATCTGACAAAGGTCTAATATACAGCATCTATAAGGAACTTAAACAAATTTACAAGAAAAAATCCCATTTAAAAGTGGACAAAGGACATGAACAGACATTTTTCAAAAGAAGACATACATGCAGCCAACAAGCGTATGAAAGAAGCTCTGTATCACTGATTATTAGAGGAATGTAAATCAAAACCACAATTAGATACTGTTTCACACCAGTCAGAATGGCTATTAATAAAAAGTCAAAAAATATCAGAAGCTGGTAATGTTGTGGAGAAAAGGGAACACTTATATACCATTGGTGGGAGGATAAATTAGTTCAGCCATTGTGGAAAGCAGTGTGGGGGTGATTCTTCAAATAGCTAAAAACAAAACTACCATTCAACCTGGCAATCCCATTACTGGCCATATTCCCAGAGGAATATAAATCATTCTAACATAAAGACACATGCACATGTATGTTTATTGCATCACTATTCACAATAGCAAAGACATGGAATCAACCTAAATGCTCATAGATGATAGACTGGAGAAAGAAAATGTGGTATATATACATCATGGAATACTATGCAGCCATAAAAGAGAGAGAGGTCATGTCTTTTGTGGGAATGTAGATGGAGCTGGAGGCCATTATCTTTAGCAAACTAACAGAGGAACAGAAAACCAGATACCACATGTTCTCGCTTAGAAGCGGGAGGTAAATGATGAAAACACATGGACACACAGAGGGGAAACAACAAACACTGGGGTCTACTTGAGCAGGGAGGGTGGGAAGAGGGAGAGAATCGGAAAAGATAACTATTGGGTACTGGGCTTAGGACGTGGCCAATGAAATGAAATAATCTGTACAAGAAATCCCTGTGATACAAATTCAGCTATATATGCACATGTAGCCCTGAACCGAAAATAAAAGGTAAAAAAAAAGAAGCAGTCTCTCTCTCTTTTGATGAAGGGTCTAAGGGGTGGGTCTTCGAAACCTGGAAGAGTGAAAAAAACATGTAATGATGTGAGTTGATGGATGTGTCAACTAACTTGATTGTGGTAATCATTTCATAATATATATGTGTATAAAATTATGTTGTACACTTTGGATTTATATATTTGTCAATTATATCTCAATAGCCTGAAAACAACAACAGCAACAAAAATAGTCCAAGGCCAGATGCAGTGACGCATGACTATAAGCCACTAATTTGGGAGGACAAGGTGAAGGCATCAAGCCCAGTAGTTTAAGACCAGCTGTGGTAACATAGGGAGTCCTCGTCTCTACAAGAAATAAGAAAAATAGCCAGGCATGGTGGTACATGCCTGTAGTTCCAGCTACTTGGGAGGCTGAGGCAGGACAATCTTTGGATCCCAGAAATTCAAGGCTGCAGTGAGCCATAATCTTGCCACTGCACTCCAGCCTGGGTAACAGGTCTAACAATGGAGCTGGGACTCTCAGACTGTGGAAGGAGACTACACTTCCACGATGTGGAAGTAATGATGTGGAGGTCATTTCGGAGGCTCAGATTTGGAGGAACTTGGCTCTCCTATGTAATTGGACAATTGGACATTTGCAGTGCTACTTTGTGAGCATGAATGCTTGCTATAAACCAGAATTTTACAAATCATGACTCACCTTCATGACTGTCATGGGATCCTTAGGGTGTTGCTTCACCAGCCAGAAACCTCTGTGGCTGGCGGTGCCTCTGCTTCAGTTTTGCTTGTGCTCTCTGGGCTCATTCTTCCCACTCAGACTGGCAGGCTGTGCTCGACTTGCACTACTGGCCCAGATCCCATGCCTGCCAAAGCCAGGTCCAGAGTGGCGAGAGGTGTGTGAGTGAGTGAGCGCAAGTTTGGGCCACTGCGCAGAGCCAGTCGTGCCGGCTGCGGTGGGGCGGGCAGCTCCAGATGCTGGCATAGGCGCTGGCTCTGTGTGAGGCTGTAGCTAGACCAGACGTACTTCAAATGGCTTCTGCTGTGGGCACCAGTGTCTGGACAAGGGGAATGCAATGGCACCTGAAAGCTCAGAAATGTCAGGAACTGCAGAGCCCCATAGAGGGTGTTATAGTGTGTCACAGCCCTGGTTCTGGAGAGAAGGGCTGCAGCTCTTCTCTCCTCCTTGTCACTCACAACGTGGCAAGCGGGGGGCATGTTTCATCCCTGTTTGTGTTACAGCTCTTTCAGTCCTGCCATTTGGTGAGTCCTGAGTTCTTGTTCCACGCCCAGGAAAAATGAGGTAGTGGACAACTAGAGGGTGAGCAAGATGGAGAGGAGCTTCACTGAATGACAGAACAGCTCTCAGGAGACCCAAAGAGGGAAGCTCCTTTCGGCAAGGCAGGTTGTCCCTACCAGTGAGTGAGTTTGGCTGAGCCTGGGGTTTTTATGTGCTCAGGATGGAGGAGTGCATGCTGTTTCATCCATGGGTGGCCATGGACTGGCCTGGAAAATGCACCATTGGATTGGCCAGTCATCAATGAAGTTCTCACTCCAGGCTGTGGACTTTGCCTGGAACTGGCAGTCTGGCCCCCAGGCTTCAGGTTGTCCCTGGCCTGAAGGTGGGGTTTCACTGGGGACCTGCCCCTTCCTGCCTAGGAGCCTGTCTGCCTCCCGACACCATCAGCATGCCGTCCATGGTGTCTAGGCTGTCTATGTTGAGGGACACCTGCAGGCTCATGCAGAGCTGCCCTCAGCCCTCTTGGCCTCACTCCCATGCTTGTTGGTGCCCAAAGTCCAGAGGGGGCCAAGGCAGCAAGGTGCTGGTGTGTCGGTGCTGCCCTGAGTGCATGCACACCTACCTGGGCTCAGCTGGGCCACGACTTTTTTCTGCCCTGGAGTGGGTGCCAGGAGCAGGAAGAGGCCAGCGGAGCAGGGGCAGACACTTTCAAGCCTGCAGAGACAGGGGGCTTCCTGGGTCTCTGAGAGTGCAGAGATGCCCAGGTCTGGAGTTGTGGCTGGGCAGCTGCAGCCCCAACTTGGTAGGGGGCATGACTCCCACCTGTTCCCAGAGCTTGCCAGCTCTGCAGAGCAAGCAACCCTGGCTGCGCCTCCCCTGCTACAGCCTGCGTCCCTGCAGCAGCTGCTCCAGATAGGCCACCACCACCATCATGATCACTGTTCAAGTGGCAACTGGACTCTCTAGGGAGATGATTTGCCCAGCATCAACACAGAGAGTCAGATCAAACAAAGCAAAGTAGAGCCTTTCCCCTCAAGGTAACTTAGACACATGAGGAAGGGCGGTCTGTGACGCACTGAAAGACATATGCACCAGAACTTCTTCAGATAAAATTGTATCTGCTTTTCTTTCTAATTGTGGTAAAATATACAATATAAAATTTACCATCTTCACCAAAACGATAGAAGAAGAAGGAGCAAGACTACAAATGGGAGCAGGACAAGTTAGATCATTTTTGTGAGTTCTAGTGCAAAAGGAAAACTGTGATGATGTAATGGATGAGGATGGTGTGGAAGGCAGAAATGCAGTATGATATGGCATGGCAAAGAGCCTTTGACACATTTAAGCAGGGAAATGGTGTGTTCGATGGATCATCCCTAGTGGATAGGTAGGAGTTATGAGGGATTTGAGAATTATGAGATTAGAGAAAGGAAGATGAGTTTGGAGGCCATGGCAGTACTGTAGGTGAGAGACCACGAGAATGTGAACCAGTGTAGTCAAAAGGAAGGAGAAAGTAGAAGGGGGAGATAAGAAAACCGTACTGAAGGTAGAATCACAGGACTTGATGAGAGATGAGATGTGCAGATGATTGAGACAAAGGGTTTCAGAAATGACTAGTGCATTCTGTAGAGAATGTAGTGGTTTTTGTGTAATTATCTTTATTGAGGTCCATTTGCCCAACACCATTACCTCTCACCTGACTTGGGGTCTGAAGCAGCACAGCTAAATAACAAGAACAAAACAAATCCTCCAAATCCAACTCCAAAAGCACTGGTAAATAATGGAGGCTTTGGAGCTTTTCTAATTATTGTTCCCTGTGCTTGTGTATTTTAAAATTTCTTTTATATATGTAACATTTATTGAGTGCTCACTGTGTCATGTGAGTTTTAAACAACTGACATGCATTAGCTGATTTATTCTCAGAACAACCCGTGAAATAGGTTGTGGTTTATTTCCATGTATACAGATAAGGCAACTAAACTACAGAATGATTAGGTAATTTCCAGAAGATTCCCCAGTTAGTAGTGGCAGTTGGGCCTCGAACTCAAGAAGCCTGTCTTCAAAACTTGTGATTGTAATCACTGTACTTTGTAAATAGAATTGTTTTAATTTCCCTTTTTTGTTTATTGTTGGTGTATAGAGAAGCACAACTGATTTTTGCATGTTAATCTTGTACGCTGCAACTTTGCCAGATTCATTTATTAATTCTAATAGTTTTTTTTTTCTGTATTCTTCTGGGTTGCTGGTCTGAATTTTGTTATGGTTTTTTTCTTTCCAAATGTATTGCTACTTATTTTAGAATATCCAAGGCCTTTAAAAGATCTTCTGTAGTTTTAAAATGCTACAGAAAATGTGCTTTTTATTTTACTTTTTGTGTTGTTGGTTACATTTTCAAGTGCTCAAGAAGTAGTATGTTAAAGACAAACAATACTGTCATCAGCTAAGACCACTGAAAAATTCTGAGTTGATTTGTTTTGGTTGGAGAATTACATGGAGTTAATGCGATCATAGTTACTCTGATCAAATGACCCTCATCCAACTAGGTAATTTAGGTGGCCCACTCATCCTGGCAAATTATAACTGCTCAAATCTGTTCCTGGTTTGAAGGAAATGTAGCTATTTAACTTCCTTTCATAGTAAAAAAGTAGCTTGTTTCTCTCTCTCCTTTGCTAATTTATGGTTTCCTGACAGTTGGGGTTGATTTTTTGTCTCCCAAATGGGGTTTCCCCCCCCATCCCAATTCCATTTTGAGTTTTAAAATTAATTTTCCTTTCATTGTTATGATTCACTCATAAGACATATGTTGAATTTTATCAGCTGTTAAGATGCTGAGAACACATTTGTCCCCCCCACCATTTTAGTGTCTGACCTAGAACAGTGCTTCTTGTTATTGCAGCCTTGACCTTAGCCCTTGTTTATGATAGATGTACAACAAATGGATCATGTCCTAGCATCTTAAGACTCAAAGAGAGACCTTGGAGGTCATTTTCTGGTGAGAAACTAACCCTCACTCCCCACTTCTAGTTTCAGAATTTCAATGCATATGTTGATTTATATGGTGCAGTTCTCAGTCTCAACTTAGAAAAATGAAGACATTCACATCCAAGGCAACAGAGAGTAATAAATAAGCACTAATCGCTTGCGTTTAGATAACAGGGCTCCTTGATTCTCAATGATAGAGGGAAGAAATGAGCAAAAAGCAAAAACCACAATTAGGGCGATGGCTTAGGAATCTGGCATCATAGCTTTTCTAAAGATACATCACTGAATTTGCTACCATTCAAGCAGATATTCAGTGTACTAAGTTCCCTCTGACAGCATTATGGTTTAGCTCTGTACCCATGAATTCATATATAGGGGCATCTGGGTTGCAGTGTTCCGAACATCCCTCACATATTCTCACTGACACTATAGTCTGCAATTCCTCCCGTATTTCACTTGCATTTTTTATTGAATTATGACTATCTGCAGATTCATTTCTTTATACCTAATAAACTTCAATAAGTGGAAAAAAGTAACGTTCTTTATTTTAGACTAAAGTGTGCTTTCAGATATTACAGCAGAAAACTCATTATCGACTCCATTAGTATGATTAAATTTTTCTGTCTTGTATTTTACTCAAACTTCAGTATTTTGTTGAAATGCATTTTGTTGCATTTGAAAACTTCTATGACCTTCTTCCTACGTTTCTCAAGATTTGCTAGAGGTAATAGCCACAAACTTATACTATAGTTAAGAGAGAATATTTAGTTTTCTAAAAATAGTGTTCTATAAATGTGCTTTCAATGATTTAAGCACAGATACTTAGATTATATCTGTAGATCTAGGACTTCCAGTATAAAGGGAGAGAAGTTGCATATAATTTATTGATATTTTAGGATACATGTTTTTTCCAAATGACTTAAGCCTCTTAAATGAATGGAGGGAAAAAGCTTTTTTAGATGTTCCAGCTTACATGGCTCTTCCAGGCCTCAGCTGCATTTTTAGGTTAAGATGGCCCAGTGAGGCCTGGCTTGATGGAACCCTGTTTTGTCCAGCCACTCTCTGTCTCACTTCTACCCCCTCTGTCCCTAGTACTTGTACTGATGCTTCTTAGGTAAAGACCTTTGCACCATTATGTTCTTTGTCCCAGGAATGATCCTTCTTTTACTATTACCCTGCCTAAAGTCTTCTCAAGCCTCAGCTTCTCAGCCTTTATCTTACTTCTTGGGTAAGCTTTGTCTGATCCTCCACTCCATCCTCTAGTTGTTCCTCCTTGGCTCACTCTCATGATAACCTGTAGATTTAAGGAAAAGTACTTACTTGTCTATTTTCTGAAAAGCACACGCCAAACTATAATTAAATACTTATTTTTCTTTTTATATTAGTCTGTAAGCTCTGGAGGGCTTTTCTCTCCCCAGTATCCTATAGGCTGGTAGAGGTTTTTGTTTGTTTGTTTTTCTTTTCTTTTCTTTTTTAAATTTTACTTTAACTTCTGGGATACATGTGCAGAACATGCAGGATTGTTGCATTGGTATACATGTGCCATGGTGGTTTGCTGCCCCTATCAATCCGTCATCTAGGTTTTAAGTCCCACATGCATTAGGTATTTGTCCTAATGCTATCCCTCCCCTTGCCCCCCATCCCCCGACAGGCCCTGGTGTGTGATGTTGCCCTCCCTGTGCCCATGGGTTCTCATTGTTCAACTCCCACTTATGAGTGAGAACATGTGGTGTTTGGTTTTCTGCTCCTGTGTTAGTTTGCTGAGAATGGTGGTTTCCAGCTTCATCCATGTCCCTGCAAAGGATATGAACTCATTCTTTTTTATGGCTGCATAATATTCCATGGTGTATATGTGCCACATTTTCTTTATCCAGTCTGTCACTGATGGGCATTTGGATTGGCTTCAAGTCTTTGCTATTGTAAATAGCGCTGCAATAAACATACGTGTGCATGTGTCTTTATAGTAGAATAACTCATAATCCTTTGGGCATATACCTAGTAATGGGATTGCTGGGTCAAGTGGTATTTCTGGTTCTAGATCCTTGAGGAATCGCCATACTGTCTTCCACAATGGTTGAACTAATTTACACTGCCACCAACAGTGTAAAAATGTTCCTATTTCTCCAAATCCTGGTAGAGGTTTTAAAATGTGTATTATCCATCAGTGGGTTCTAGGACCTAGCACAGTATGCACATTCTGGTAATTCAGGGAATAATGCATTACATTTTTTTCTTGTCTTTCTAAAATGATTGAAATCCTTTGTGAAAAGGGCATGGACACAGCATGCAGACAAACATGAGAAGTAATTGGCACCCAGTAGTGTAGGACTTGGTGATGCTGACATAAAATATTGTGGGACTATGAAAGATTTTAGAACAAATTCTCCAGTCGAATTTTTAGGCGATTAAAAAATTTGTATTGGTGGCATGCAAGACACTGTAGGCAATGTAAAAGCAAATATAGTGCATTGCTCACCTTGGCATTAATATTATATAGACTGTGACTTTAAATTCACCTAATCCATTCTGTGGTCTTAGTGCATATTGTTTTGCATTCGTTTGTGCTTCACATCACAGTGTATTAAGTTCAGTATGAGTTAAGGGCAATAATGTGTCAAATTCCATTTGCATCCTTTGACTTTATTTTAAGTAACTGAGTAATAAAAATCCACACCAATGTTCAGGAGATGACTCTGGGGCATGGTTCTCCATAGTATGTCCTAAGGTGCACACGGAGTCTGAAACCTAGTGATATTGGATTCAGAGGATTTGAGGCTGTGGGCCTTATTTTTACAAAGGAGAGTGCAAAAAACCCAAAAATTTATAGTTGAAAAGTTATTTTATATATATATATTTTTCAGAGAAAGAGAGGAAACTCTAACCTAACTAGTATCTGTAGTATCCAGTTAGTTTAAGTGATGACATTTCCTTGGGAACTGGGAAAGGAAGACTAATAACAATGACGATTAATTTTATGTCAGCTTGGCTAGGCCACAGTACCCAGATATTTGGTCAAACACTGGTCTGGAGGTTGTTGTGAAGGTATCTGTTACATGAGATTAACATTTAAATCAGCAGACTTTGAGTAAAGCAGTTGGCCCTCCATAATGTAGGTGGGCCTCTTTCAGTCACTTGAAGGCCTCAAGAGAAAAAGACTGACCTCTCCCAGGGAAGAGGAATTCTGCCAACAGACTGCTTTGAGATTCAAGTTGCAATATCAACTCTCCCCTGGGGCTTCAGTCTACTGGTTTACCCTGTAGATTTTGAACTTACTGGCTCCTACAAGGGTGAGAGCCAACTCCTTAAAAATCAGTCATTCTCTCCACACACACATACACACACACACACACCCACACCCACACACACACGGTTCCATTTTTCTAGGGAACCTTGACTAATATACTAAGCATGTCTAAAATGACATCTCTTAACAGTTTTTGTGGTTTTGTTTTCATAACTGTCATTTAAAACTTTCTTTGTGATTTACATACAAATCTTTTTTTAAGTTTCATTTTCTCTAAATTTCCATGTTGACAGTTTAAAGCCAAAAAATTTATAAATCTCCAGTCTAATCACATTTCTAGAAACAAAACATGTGTCAGTAGTAAATCTTATGCAGAATAAAATTTTACCCGTGAGCTGAGTCACCCACCAGACAGGATGCACCAAACCCTACCTTGTGTCCTCTTTAACTTTAGAGTATACAACAGCACCTCCTACCTTGGTGTGTACCCAAGCACACAATGCCTTAAAAATAATTTGCAGATACAAGGCTGGTTTTTTTTTTCCCCAAAAATGTACTCATATTTCCTCTTTTATTATATAAATACCAGTTCAACCTTTTATGGTAGTAAGAAATAAACATTTTAAGAAGATCTTTGTTATTATTTATACAAATTCACAAACAGGACGATTAATTGATGAATTTCTCTGGGTTTCTTTAACTCCATGGTCTTGTATGTTGCTGTGGAGGATTCTAAAAAAAAACCACAAAAAATACAACAAAAATATACATTCTACTCAAAAGTGATTTCTTTAAAGCCACAACTAGTTGTCCCTCACACCATTCTGTGCAGGGCAGTGAGGTGAATTGCCACATCCCAGCAAGAACTTTTTTTTTTTCTTCCTGGATTCTAGAGCATCTATGAATTGCATCACTGAAAGTTTCCCCTTCCTCCCCTTCCTACCAGAAGAGTGGAGAAACAGTGAAAAATCTGAAGGTAGAATTCTACTTTCAGACTCATCCAAAGGAGCTTCTAATTTGAGAAAGGCCATCACAGAGAAATGACTGGCACTGAATAAATAACTGAGACCTCTGTCATTCTGCTTGCTTCCGATTAATAACAGCCCCTGCTAAAACAAGGATGCCTCCAGAGCCCAGGTTCAGCATCTATGCCCTCCTTCTCACTAACTATTTTACCAGCCCCTGTCTTGCATGAGGTCTGCCCCATGCTCTTTGTATCCTCTCCCTTGGCTTTCCTTTATTCTTTATGGTCCTGCTAAAAGACTGGAGAGAATGTAATCCAAAGATTTACCGAACCCTTACTATATGTCAACTACTGTTGTAAGTGCTTGGGTTCTATGAAGAGGTAGTATTTTCATGTCACTTTTACAGGAGAGAAATATTTAGGAGTTTGAATAAGCTCCCCCGGGCCACATATCGTCATGGCAGAACATAGATTTGAACCAAACTAGTTTGAGTCTAGAGCTTATATTATTTACTATATTACTGTATTGAGCATTACAATAAGTGCTGAGGTATAAATCAATGATCCTAGCTTAATGTGCTATTTTTTTCCTATCAGATTTGAATTTTATGATAATGCTGATGGGATGAGCTAGATGGGATTTCCAGATCCTAGAATGAGATTAGGTATCCAAGAGGTGCTCAGGCTTTTCACAATAATTCTCTAATCATATCTGTAGATTGTATCTTCCTTTTCTCTTTCTATTAGTTTTTGAATTAATAATTGATTTACTTTTATTTGATTTATAGCAGCATTTATTTTATCTATTGCATAACAAGTTTTCCTAGCTTCCAAATTTTTGACTTATAGCAAGTCTAGGATTTCAGAATTAGACAGTATCTTATTGACAGAGAAAGATAATTTTGCCAAAAGTCATTTGATGTATTTCTGTGGTTCTTGTCAGCTCCATGGGCCTCATAAAAGAAATCAGAAATCCACCCTTCAATTATTGGAGAAGCACACTGAGGTTTGAAGGGGTTTCTCCTGGAAATTAATAATTCCTGTTCTTGTATTACAGATGAGAGATACGAATCTAGAAGGTGAGGTTGATAGGGAAGTGCTGGGAAAGGAAGAGCGTATTGCCTTTAAATGATACCTAAGGGGGGAAGGGACGAGCTGGGTAGAGGAGGGCGTGGTCCCTGGCTAGGTCTCTACCCCTACAGACCTAGTTGAGGACAGGCATTTCCTAAGACCACCCTGGCCTACCATGTCCCCATCCTGGTCCTATAAAAACCCGAGACCCTAGTGCGCAGACACACAGGCAGCCAGACGTCGATGGGAGCACATCGGCTGAAGCAGACACAAGCGGCCGGTCCTTGAGAGCCTGCTGGCAGAAGAGCATGGCAGGCACAGGCGGGCCAACAGGCCATCCACTGGCGGAAGATGCGGAGGCTGGGGCAGTCAGAGGAGAACCTGGGGCTGCCGAGCAGCCCAACTCCAGGGGAAGACCATCTCACTTCTGGCTTCCCCATCCTGGGAGAACTACTGCCATTCAGTAAAACTTTGCACTTATCCTCCAAGCCCACGTGTGATCCGATTCTTCCGGTTCACCAAGGTAAGAACCCAGGATACAGAAAACCCTCTGTCCTTGTGACCAGGCAGAGGGTCTAATCGGGCTTACTAACCGCTAAACTAAGCACCCTGTAATACATGGGCACTGGGGCTTCAGGAGCTGTAAACATTCACCCCTAGACACTGTGGCGGTCGGAGCCCCACAACCTGCCTGTCTGTATACTCCCCTAGAGGTTTGAGCAGCGGGGCACTGAAGAAGTGAGCCACAGCCCCTTTGCAGCCCCGCGAGGGGGACAAGGGAATCTTTCCTCTTTCAAGGTGATGAGTAGAGAAGCAGTTACTACTGATAGTTGAGTGCAATCTTAAAAGGATGAACAGGGGTTCTCATTGTTCAGTTCCTACCTATGAGTAAGAATATGCGACGTTTGGTTTTCTGTCCTTATGATAGTTTGCTCAGAATGATGGTTTCCAGCTGCATCCATGTCCCTGCAAAGGACATGAACTCAACCTTTTTTATGGCTGCATAGTATTCCATGGTGTGTATGTGCCACATTTTCTTAATCCAGTCTATCATTGATGGACATTTGGGTTGGTTCCAAGTCTTTTCTAGTGTAAATAGTGCCGCAATAAACATACGTGTGCATGTGTCTTTATAGCAGCATGATTTATAATCCTTTGGGTATATACCCAGTAACGGGATTAAATGGTATTTCTAGTTCTCAGGGAACATCACACCCTGGGGCCTGTCGTGGGGTGGGGGGGCAGGGGGAGGGATAGCATTAGGAGAAATACTTAATGTAAATGAGGAGTTAATGGGTGCAGCAAACCAACATGGCACATGTATACGTATGTAACACACCTGCACATTGTGCACATGTACCTAGAACTTAAAGTATAATAATAATAATGAAAAGGATGAACAGGAATGAACAAAGTGGGGAAAGTAGAAAGAAACTTCCAGGAAGGAGCAAGGAGATGGAAGTTTGAAATTTCCTGGAGTGTGGCGGCAACTGTGAGAGGTTTGTTCTGGCTGGAAGTGTGGGGAGTGTTGGGGGTGGCACAGGAGTCAGGAGCAAGATAATGATATCTATTGCTCTAAAAATTGAAGGGAACTGTTAACAGATTTTGAGGAGGCCATATGGTGAGAGATGCCTTTGGGGAAGACTAGTCCAGCAGAGCCTTGGCAGTGGACTAGTCGGGGGACAAGGTAAGATGCGGAGAGAGAACCTATGAGGCCATAGTTGATGTCAGTTTGTTTGCTTGGCATCCTGCCTCGTTTTGGTATCAGAACCCTTCCCTTTTTGGCTTAGTAACTGCTCCTCTCCTACTCCAGTTGATTTTTTGGGAAAACTTCCAGTCACAGTTCCCTACTCCTGACTCTGCAGTCAGAGAGAGGCATACATTTCCTAGGCATGGGCAGTGATGGTGTCCCATCCCTAGGCACTCTGATCTGTCCAAGCAACAGTGTGTGACTGCAGTTAGGTCCATCAAATTCTGAGGTTAGGATTTTAAAATATGCTTATATGGAAGACAGAGGCATTCTCTTTCTTTTAGGATTTCTAAACTGAAATGACGAATACCTGGGTCTTCCTCTGGCTGTTATATTGGTTTCTTATGGCATTAGGAAATAAATACCACAAACTGGGTGGCTTCTAAAATAGAAATTTATTCTCTCGTAGTTCTGGAGGCTAGAAGTTCAAAATGAAGGTGTCAGCAGGGTGGTGCTCTGAAGGTTGCAGAAGAGGATTCTTCTTTGTATCTTCCAGCTTGGTGGGTTCCCTTCGATCTTTAGCATTTCTTGACTTCTAGATGCATCACTCCAATATCTGCCTTCATTGTCACATGGCCATCTTCTTCCCGGATGTCTCTTTGTCCAAAATTTCCCTCTTCTTAGAAGAATACCAGTCACTGAATTAGGGCCCATCCTAAGTTAGTATGATCTCATCTTAACTTG
Source organism: Homo sapiens (assembly GCF_000001405.40). Taxonomy (NCBI): domain Eukaryota; kingdom Metazoa; phylum Chordata; class Mammalia; order Primates; family Hominidae; genus Homo; species Homo sapiens. The sequence goes on from NC_000012.12 coordinate 19,838,377, forward strand.
ATTATCTCTGCAAAGACACTATTTCAAATTAAGGTTACATTTACAGGTTCTGGGTAGACGTTAATTTTGGAGGATGTGGGAGAGGACTCTGCAGCCTAGGACAGCCTTCTTTCCTGATGCCCAGGTAAACTGATTGCAGTAGGACAGAAAAACACCGTAGTCCTTATTGAAACAGAGACGGCAGGTGGAGAGAGTCCTGGTTACTAGGCACTGTGTGCTTAATTGCACTGGATCCCACAGTTATTCTTTTCGTTTTATGGACTACCCAACTTTCCTTCTTTCAGAAAATTTTCTCCCTTCCCGATTGTTTCCTTAGGCTATATTGAGTTAGGTTTCTGTTCCTTCCTACTAAAACAATTCTGATAAATACAGGGATTATTGCACCATTCCAGGTGGATAGAGAAGCAGATCTGAGACATGGCCGTTGTAGTAGAAATTGCTTCAAGAGGAATTAAGAAGGTGGACTTAATAGAGCTTGCACTCTGTTTAAATGTTTGGATTAAAGGAGAGGAATGAGTCTACAGTAATTCTTGGGATGGCTGAGTAGATGATGGGGCCGTTCTCTGAGAAAGAAATAGAAGAGCATAAAAAGGCATGAAGTTTGGTCTTTGCCAACTTCTTTAGACTATTATTATTTATTAGCCTTCTGAAGCCTGTGATTTCTTGAGGGCAGGGAACATACTCGTATTTTAAAAAATCTGCAGTGCTGACCGGGCATGGTGACTTGTGCCTGTAATCCCAGCACTTTGGGAGGCCGAGGTGGGCAGACCTGAGGTCGGGAGTTTAAGACCAGCCTGACCAACATGGAGAAACCCCATCTCTACTAAAAATACAAAATTAGCCGGGCATGGTGGCACATGCCTGTAATCTCAGCTACTTGGGAGGCTGAGGCAGGAGCATTGCTTGAACACGGGAGGCGGAGGTTGCGATGAGCTGAGATTGTGCCATTACACTCCAGCCTGGACAACAAGAGCAAAACTCCATCTCAAGAAAAACAAAAACAAAAACAAAAAAACTGCAGTGCTTACAACAATATAGTAGGCAGATGGTGGGAGACACAATGTTGAATTAAAAATAAAAATCCACAGCTTGAAAGGCAAAATATCTCTCTGCAGCCAATAGAACATATGATCTATGTTCTAAAGCCTGAAAATGTTTGTACCATTATTCAGCTCCCTGGAGAATCCATCATTATATATAGAAGTTTGTATGCAATAGATTACTAGTTTCATATTTATATAATAGTCACTAAAATAAAAAAGAGAAAAAAACGTAAACTCATAGGGTCATCAACAGGGAGACTGAGTATATTTTAAAATGTTAACATAAGATAAAAGATTCCTTCTTCTTAGGACAAACAGGCTCAAGTATTTTAATTCCTCTGCCCTACATTTCTTTCTTTAAGATAGATAGTGACGGAAACTCCTTGAGGCTAAAATCAAGTTTCACAGTTACTTATAGCAACTAGTAGCCCAATTAGATACAATAGCAGCTCAATAATTGCTTGCTGATGATATCAGTGGAAGTCATTGATAACATAGGGATACTCTTCAGGTATCTCTTTAATAAGGAATTAATAAGGCCAGGCATGGTGGTTCACGCCTGTAAATCCCAGCACTTTGGGAGGCCAGGGTGGATCATTTGAAGTCAGGAGTTCAAGACCAGCCTGGCCAACGTGGTGAAACCCCGTCTCTACTAAAAATACAAAAATTAGCCGGGTGTGGTGGCGGGTACCTGTAGTCCCAGCTACTTGGGAGGCTGAGGCAGGAGAATTGCTTGAACCCGGGAGATGGAGATGGAGGCTGCAGTCAGCTGAGATCATGTCACTGCACTCCAGCCTGGATGACAGAGTGACTGTGTCTCAAAAAAAAAAAAAAACAACAAAAAAAAGCAATTAATAATATATGAGTATACTGCCTGAATGTTTATAATTCAGATTACACATCTTGAAATGTGCATTTAAGACTCATAAAACTCTGAGAGACAGTTTGGAACAAACACATTCAGTGATAAAATGAATATGTTGGTGTATGAATCAACCAATAGATTGAAAATGTGCTTTTATTTTTTATTTTCTGGAGGTGGTGGTAGTATTGGACGTGATACTAAAATCCTTTTATTAACTTGTGACATCAGTGACTACATTTGGTGCTTTGAAGAACAAGTTTTTGAATTTAAACCTCTACTGATAGCACAAGGAAGTTTGCTTGCTATTTATTTTTGCACAACACAGTTATAAAGGATTTTAAGAAATTAATATCAGTACACCAACAGCTGAATGACTATGTCCACTCAGTTTGACCATAAGGAAAATAAAACAGCTATAGGACCTAAAATCCAGCAATTATTTTACCGAATTTGACAACTTTTTATACTCTGTGAGAAATCATGTAAGTGAAATTTAAACTTTGTGTATATCATAGTCCTTTCTTTGTCCACATCATCTAGCAATTATTTGTCACTTCTGTAAACCAGAAAGCATGTTTATGAAAGCCAATAATATACATATTTAGTTAAATTTTTCTTGAGTCTCAGGCATTCTCTCAAGGCCTGAGAGCCTAGAATCTTCATGTGGTTAATTTAATAGGCTGGATTTGGGTAGTCCCTCATTCCCACTCTACCTCCTAAACATTTTCTTTCACAGACCGTAGCTTTCTCTCTCTCTCTCTCTCTTTCTTGGTCTCTCTCTCTCTCATTTCTCTATCATACAAGTTTTTTTTTAAAATCATTTCCCCGAGGTTACAAATAATGAGCTCAGTAAGATAAGAAATACTCGTGTGCAGCACTTTTAAAACCAAAATGATTTCATGTAATGAAATAACTCAAATGCTTCTAGCTACATTAAGTGACTCTCTAGGGGCCAGGCATTTTGGGAGAGACATTAGCTTCTAGGCCACTAAGTACCGTTTAAAGAAAGCAGTGTAGCAATTTGCCATACCATAGAGAATTGTATCTTGTAGTTTTGCACTATCTTCCAAAGGACTTACAGTGTTTATACACAAACCATCTCTTTTGTGCTAAAAACATTCCTAAGTATTATTCTGTATTAGTGTATTGTTTCCTAGGCACCTGGTATAATTCCTTCAATGGGAGATTATTTGGGCTCCTACTATGTGCCAGGCTGTGACTGAGTTTACAGAGCAATATGTAGCCCAGTACATATCTCTGGGTAGCAATCTACTGGGCAGAAAGACCTGAGCAATTTTTATGATAGGATGGCTGAGCCAGTAATAGGGGTGAATGCAAATGCTCTTGGATCACAGGAGACTGAGTAATTAACTGCTTGGAGGATGAGACTGTAAAACTTTTAGAGAGGAAACTATTGAGCAAGGTCTCAATGATCCAACAAAACACAGATGGAAATCTCTCTCTCTCCAACTTATTTTTCAGGTGGAAACATTCTTAATGTTCAACTTACTTCCAGAATTATGAAAAATGGCTTGGGGTATGTGTGTGTTGGGGGGATGTAGGGAGGATATCAGGAGAGTATCAGAATAATTTGGGGACCTTTGAGAAAAAATTATACACATCTCCCCAAAATTCTTCTATCCTCCATCCCCTTTTGAGAACCACTGTTAATGATGATGATGTATATCTGCTAGTTCACTCATGCTGTGCAGAAAAAATATTAATAATTTCTGACCTAGAGAGTTATTTCATCAGTTGGAAGAACTAGTTCAATGTGAAGTGCATTATTTTTGAACTTCTGTTTTTAAACTGTTTGCTCTATTAAATATATTTTACAAATGACATCTCCAAATTCAAAGGAAATATGTTACATAAATGAGGAAGAACATATTTGTTCATTCATAATGTAACAATAAATAACAGATAGGAGAGTAAAATCACTCCTTTTCTTTGGCTAAGGGAGCTGCTAGTTTTACTCATCGTCCCCAAAGACAGTACTAGTTGGAATTGCAGTTGGTTGAATTGAATCAGTAAGAATTTAAGAACTGTGAGATAAGCTATTGAGGAGAGTTACGGATTTGCTTTCATTTCTATAACAGCTCTGGTTTAGGAGAAATCTTTCTTAGACATGAGGGATGGTGAGGTCCCTGCGTGAGCAGTCAGAAAATCTAGGTGCTGATCTTGGCTATGAAACAAAATATCCCTGTCATTTAACCATTTGGAGATTCATTTCCTTAAGCTCTAAGATGAAGTGTTTGGATTAATAACATCTCAATTCTTCCCCGCTGTAATATTTTATAATTATGTGATTGTGTAAACGAGGTGAAACTTTTCATAACATTTTATATTGGAATGCTCATTTGTTCATTGAGTTCCCTCTGTCGGTTACGTATTTTCCCCCTCTCCTCTGCCTGAGAAATTACATTGTTCAAGACTCAGGAACAAAGAAAAGAACTGATATATTTTGAATATTATCTTTGTACTAGATAACATGATAAATTGGGTGACCATGTGCCTAGGTTTATGCCCCTTGTCCTGGTGTAATTTTTAATAGTATCTTCTTATATTCTCAAATGGATCCTCGTTTGGACGATGAATTATATGATGATCAGGGCTTTAGCCAAAATTACTTAATTTAACCCTCACAGCAATTCTGTGAGGTGGATGTTATTACCCCTACTTTTCAAATGAAAAACTATCACTTGGAAAATATTAAGGAATTTAAAGTTTCATTGCTTATAAGTGACTGAGTAATTTTATCCTGGTGTTCTGACTTCAGATGTGTTCAGTGTACCTTGATGCTCAGATCAAGTGTCACTGTTTATGGAAAACTGTTGCCAACCCAATCCTCCACATTGTTTCTCCTAGAGACCCGTGGGCTTGTATTTACTGCTGAAGAATTACATTATACACATAAACATGTGCATGTCTGAGGTTTCTCTCATTGGACCCTCTTCCATCCTGAAAACAAAGACCCTGTTCTATTTATGACAGTGCCAGCAATGTTTAGAACGGGTTGACTGTGCACATGTTTATATGTACCCACATTGTATTTAGTAGCGTGCTTGCTGATAAAGGATGAAGAGACTTAGTGTCCAGTTTGAGCTTCTAGACATGTTAGCTATGTGACTTTGAACAAATTTTATTTTTTTCTGAGCCAGATCCTATCTAAATTTCAGAGGTTGGAAAGATTGGTGGGGGTAATGTAAGACAAGAAAAAGAGTTCTAGGCCGGGTGCGGTGGCTCACACCTGTAATCATAGCACTTTGAGAGGCCGAGGTGGGCGGATCACCTGAGGTCAGGAGTTTGAAACTAGCCTCAACATGGAGAAACCCCGTCTCTACTAAAAATACAAAACTAGCCGAGTGTGGTGGTGCATACCTGTAATCCCAGCTACTCGGGAGACTGAGGCAGGAGAGTTGCTTGAACCTGGGAGGCGGAGGTTGCAGTGAGCCAAGATCGCACCATTGCACTCCAGCCTGGGCGACAAGAGTGAAACTCTGTCTCAAAAAAGAAAAGAAAAAGAGTTCTATTTGTAGAATGCTTCTCTTTGTCAGGTACTGCACTAAACCCTTTAGAAGAGTTAGTCTTTACCAGGGCCTCCATGATAGGGATCTTATGGGGTTTGAAATGTTGACTGTCTTGCCCGAGGTTACAGAGCCAAGAAATAGTATGTAGAGACAGGGCTCAAACCCACCTACCTGAAAAATGCTTTTTTATGTTGAAATTCCATGTCCAAAGGTAGTAGAAACAGCTGAAGGAATCTTGGGAGTTCTCAGCTAAAGGGTTTTAATGTTAAGTGTTAAATTTGTGTTTTGCAGTCTGCTAGGAATCAGCAGCTTTTTCATTTCCTTCATTTACAGGCATTGCTCTCTAAAATTGCTTGTATTGCAGGACCAGAAGTCAAGCATCTGATCTAAGTGAAACTCTGAAAGCCTCTTTCTGACTATGCTTCCAACAGAACTATGGGTACTATTGCATAGCTGAAGGCAATATTGTATGAGGTTTGAGCCCAGATTTTGGAATAGGTAACTGATAATAATGCTCCTCACATTGAGTCAGTGAGGATTTTTGCAGACACTTTGTGGTGCTTAATTTTATGTGACAATTTGACTGGGCTAAGGGATGCCCCGAGAGCTGACACAGCATTATTTCTGGTATGTCTGTAAGTGTGTTTCTGGAAGAGATCAGCATTTGAACCAGGAGACTGAGTAAAGATCATCCCCTTGTGAATTTAACCTAAAATTAGAAAAGGAAAAAAAAGGATCCCTCTCACCAATGTTTGTGGTGATCATCTCATCTGCTAAGAGCCAGGTTAGATAAAAAGGCAGAGGAAGAGTGAATTTACTCTGAGCTGGGACATCCATCTTCTCCTGGCCTTGGACATTGGTACTCCTGGTTCTTGAGCCTTTGGACTCAAGCTAGGACATGGAACATTGGCTCCTCTGGTTCTTAGGCCTTTGAGTTTGGACCAGAACTACGCCATTGACTTTCCTGGGCCTCTGGCTTGCAGATAGCAGTTTGTAGGACTTCTCAGCCTCTGTAATTTCATGAGCCAACTCCTCATAATACCTCTCTTTTGATATATCTATATATATAATATTGGTTCTGTTTCTGTGGAGAACCTTGATGAATACAAAAGGATAACTGATAACAATGCTCTCTTGACTGAGTCAGTGAGTAATTTCATAATGAAAAGTTAACGTGCTTTCTGGGCTTGAAGAATTCTTTCTTTAAAAAATAAGTATAAAAATTAAACTTGAGCATAACAACAACAAGAACAAACAACAACAAAATCCTTTGGTTACAATAATTCCATTACTGTAAAGCAATACACTGCCTCTTATCCAAGCCTGCTTTTGGATGTTGAGGTTCCACTGAGACAGCCTAAGGGTGTACAGCATTTTGTACAGTGCTTTATGTGAGGGTAGGTGCTTAATAAGAATTCATTGAAAGACAATCAATATGTACAGATGATTCAAACAATTTGAAGTTGTTTCATTCAGTGGCATTTGCTTTTTTATTTTAATTTTACTTTAAGTTCTGGGGTACACGTGCAGAACGTGCAGGTTTGCTACATTGGTATACATGTGCCATGGTGGTTTGGTGCCCCTATCAACGTATCATCTAGGTTTTAAGCCTCACATGCATTAGGTATTTCTTCTAATGCTATCCCTCCCCTTGCCCCCCACCCACCAACGGGCCCCAGTGTGTGATGTTTCCCTCCCTGTGTCCATGTGTTCTCATTGTTCAACTCCCACTTATGAGTGAGAGCATACAGTGTTTGGCTTTCTGTTCCTGTGTTAGTTTGCTGAAAATGATGGCTTCCAGCTTCATCCATGTCCCTGCAAAGGACATGAACTCATTCTTTTTTATGGCTGCATAGTATTCCATGGTGTATATGTGCCACATTTTCTTCATCCAGTCTATCATTGATAGGCATTTGGGTTGGTTGCAAGTCTTTGCTATTGTAAATAGTGCTGCAATAAACATACTTGTGCACGTGTCTTTGTAGTAGAATGATTTATAATCCTTTGGGTATATACCCAGTAATGGGATTGCTGGGGCAAATGGTAATTTCTGGTTCTAGCTCCTTGAGGAATCACCACACTGTCTTCCACAATGGTTGAACTAATTTACCCTCCCACCAACAGTGTAAAAGCATTCCTATTTCTCCACAGTCTCTCCAGCATCTGTAGTTTCCTGACTTTTTAATAATTGCCATTCTAACTGGCATGAGATGGTATCTCATTGTGGTTTTGATTGGTGTTTCTCTAATGACCAGTGATGATGAGCTTTTTTTCATATGTTTGCTGGCCACACGTATGTCTTCTTTTGAGAAGTTTCTGTTCGTATCCTTTGCCCACTTTTTGATAGGGTTGTTTGTTTTTTTCTTGTAAATTTGTTTCAGTTCCTTGTAGATTCTGGATATTAGAGACATTTGCTTTTTACTAGAGGAAAATGCCTTTATTCTGGGATTCTTAGTATGAGGTCTATAAACTGTTACAATCCTATAGATGAGTTTCATGAACTAAAAAATCTTCTGCACATTTGCCAAATTGTACATATAATCATCTTTTTAAGAAACCAAGTTCATAATTTTTATCAGAATCTCAAAGGCATTTTCCCTTCATACTTACTTTAATGCGCACCCTTCCAATATCTTACACCTCTTAAGTCCTACCTGAGTTGGTATCTGTCCACTTACCTACCTAGAAGAGAGTTTCTTTGTTATGCAACAAACACTGCAACTGTAATGCTAAATGAAAAAAAAAATTGATTTATGTAAGCTGGCCTGTGTCGTTTTTGTGATATCTGGCCTTACTTCTAAGATACTCTAAAATCATTAGAGATAACATGACTGTGGGCCTGAAAAGTTTCTATAGGTATTTTCTTTTTGAACCATATACTAAACATGGTTGAGTAAAGATCATTTGTCTGTCAGCCTTACTAAAGATAAAATGGAATGTGGAGGTTGGTTGCTCAAGAATGAATCATCTCCTTACCGCTAGAATTATTCCCCTCAGCAAAAGGTATGCTGTGCTTAGTTGAGAAAAACGTGGAAGCTGCTAGATTTTAGGTTATAGAATTTTTAGTCTCTATCATTCAACACTTGAAATAGAAATGTTCTGGTAGTGAAGCTCACAAAAATATAAGCAGTTCTCATAAAGAAACAGGAAATTTAATGTGTGTGATTATTTCCACTATGTTAATTTACAGCAAAAAATGGCCTATTTTTTTTCTGTCCACTTTGGAGTTGAAAGGAATATTTTTAAAAACCCAAGTTAGTGGAATTTTTAAACCAGTTTTGATCGTGAATATTTTAGTCTAAATATTTCTCTCTGGAAATAATCAAGATTGTTTACAGTTTTAAAGTTGTTTCAGAACAGTATCAGGATTAATTAATACAGTTAATATGTCAAATTTCTTTTGAAATATTCAAGCTTTGTTTGAGTTTTATTTTTCTGCCCTGGATGCCTGAGAAATTGAAAGAGTGTAAGAACAGTTGGCATAGACCTTTCCTTCTTGAATTCAGTTAAGCTTATCACAAACTATGTCATGGCCAGAGCTTAACGCGTTGTTCCCCTTCCAGAAAACTATTTGCCAAATATAACACAGTTCAGATGGTGGGAAAACTGTGAAGCGTTCACATTTAACCTAGACTTCTCCCCCAGTGTACAAGTTTAGAGATGAAGAAAACATGCTGATAAATCAGCATACCTGCCCGCCACCTCCCCCACTTCTGAAAACCACAAAAGCAGAAGCAGCCATTATTGGATCCTTGACGTGGAGTTTTCTGCTCTGAGCCTATTTGGAGCTGTCGGTTAACAATTTGAAACAACATGTGAGGGTGAAGGGTGCCTGGATGGATAACTATGAATGTTATTTAAAAAATATGATGCTGCCTAAAGACTACAGCCAGCTATCTGGCCTGTGAATGTGGAGACTCTTTCATCTTCGTCTCATTTGGTAATTAGCACACTGACCCTGTGCAGACTAGAAGCATAAAAAAACATTTTGAAAAGTGCAGAGGAAGAAGGAGGATTAAGACAAACATTTATATAACCAGGAAAAATGACCCAGGAAAGACGGGAAATCTGGTGACACTCTGTTTATCCACAGTAATGTTAAAATAGTTTGCAAGTGAAACAAAGCAGATCCCTTGAATAAATCACTGAGAAAGTAGAAGGATCGACCAACAGCCAAGATCATGTCACGAGCTATCCGTGTGATGTGATCCTCCCCTATTATACCAGACTGATGGCTTTCCATTGAATATCACCTCTCTCTTTTGTCTCTCCAGCTTTTTCCATCATGGAATTATGTGAAAGTGGGCTGCTGTAAATAGGAATTGGAAGGGGTTGAAGACGGCATAAATTATTAGGAAAGGGGAGAGTATCAGGATGTTTGGGCTCTAATTAACACCCAAACATTAATTTAAATCAGAGGCAGTTTAATGAATGTTGAATATCTGAAAAAAAAAAACTTCATAGCAATTTCATGAGGGGCAAAATCTCAGTTGTTTTTCTAGGTCATCTGCACTATGAGAAGATTTGCTCTTCTGAGGTTAGCAAAATTGGTGTTGGTCTCTGTCTAAAAGCTGAAGCAAGCCAGGTGTGGTGGTGCACGCCTGTAGTCCCAGCTACTTGGGAGGCTGAGGTGGGAAGATCACTTGAGCCCAAAAGTTCAACTCCAGCCTGGATGACATAGCATAGACCCCTGTCTCTTAAAAAATCAAAAGCTGAAGCATACAAGCTATCAGAAAGTTAACTGAACTTTCTTAACTTTTATATAAGTGGCTTTGGTTCAGTGCCAGGTAATTATCTCCAGGGAAAGATAAGCTCTTTTGCAAGCAGTTTTCAAAAGTTTGATGGTCTAACTGCTTGCCAGTTAGATGCTAAGAGCCCTAGCCTGGCATGATGAAGGATGCCGCTTATTTGTAAACCACATTCTTCTGTCATCAGGATTCCGAGAGAAGTCTGTGGAATGGTTTACATGGACTTTGCATTTATGCATTCATTTATGAATAGAATTGCTCAGGTGTGGAAGAGACAAGCAAACAACAGTTCCTTGTCCTCAAGAAACTCATCATCTGTTAGAGAAGTAAAAATTTAAATAATCATACAAATTGAGGAAGTACAAAATGTGAAAAAGACTAATTAAATGACAAATTAGCATTTTAAGTAATAATTGCTCTGAATTCAAGGGAGGTAGAGATCAAACAGGCTAGAGTAATTATGAAAGTTTTTGTGGAAGACAGGGGCCTTTCATACCACCTCACATTCATATAGTGCTTTATGGAAACGTGGATTTTACATACATCATCTCTTATTTGAGTTTCACGTTTTTACTGCCATTTAAAGTTGAGGAAACTTAGGCCTCGAGAGAGAGGAAATACTGGCTAACTTTCACACAGGTAGTAATGAGTCCTCACATCCAAGTTTTTCACTTAAAGTCCAAGACTATTTCTGCAGCTCTGGGGCCTCCTTAGTAAATAGGTAATATGCTTAATCTTCATTACTTGAAATTTGCCAACTGCTCATGTTTATTTGCAACCCTCAAATCAATACTTGTGATCCATTTGCAGTCATTTGAGGTCATATGCAGAGGGGTGAAAGAGTTCACTCGCCCAACGGGCACACTCCTAGCTGAGGCCAAACAAGGTGACACTCTGCCTTATTTCTGTTCTCATGCTATAAACAAGTGTCCTTCTTGCAGTCTACTTAGTGCCAGACTTTTAGCATTTTTGTACTTTTTGTTGATGATTTCCCTGTTTAAACATCCCCCAAGCATAGTGTTGGAGTGCTGTCTAGTGTTCCTAACCACAAGGGGACTATGATGTGTCTTGTGGAGAAAATGTTGTGTTAGATAAGCTTCATTCAGGCATGGTCACAGTGCTGTTGGTTGTAAGACCAACGTTAATGAAATAACACTATATATGTTAAATATGATGTCGTTAAACAGAAACACACATAAAACAAGGTTATGTATTGATCAACTGACAAAAATGTTGTGACCAGAGGCTGGAAGGAACCTAACCCTATATTTCCTCTAAGAGCAATTTTTTCGTATTCACTAATTAAGTGTCCAAGGTGACTTTATAGAACATAACTACCACAAATAACAATCATTAACTGTACTTACATTGAGTGGAAAAATGTTGGGAGGCTATTGTAGGCAAGAAAATAGTTTGAGCAAATGAATAGAGTTGGATAAATTAGTCATTGTTTAAAATAGAGAACAGGCATTGCTAACTGGAATCAAGGTGCAAGAGCAATTGCAGTAGATAAGGTTTAAGATGCCAGATTGTGGGGGGTCCATTATATCCAGCTGATGATTTTGGACTGAATCTTGTAAATGGATTTGGAGCAAGGATGTCATAAAAACCTCTCTGGGAGAAAAAGAATTTGGTAGGGATGAGCAGGAAGAATTGGGCTGGGAAAAAAGGCAGCAAGGAGAGTTCTCGCTATGCACCCGCCTCAGCTGACAGGGATTTATTGGTGGAACAGGAAGCCAGTCCTCTCCAGGACTTGATGGTTGATACTGAAGCCACAGAGTGAGGGAGAAGCTGACAGAGGTGAAGCCATTTCAGGGAACTGGAGGAAGGTCAGGGAGAAAATTCAAAATAACAAGGAAGGCAATTTAGGAAAGATCCTTAACTGAATGACGAGCCAGTGTAAATTTTGAAGTCTGTGGGTGGTGTGGTTGCACTCCTTCATGTGTGTGAAAACAAGGTTCTGAGAAGACTAGGCAACCCCAGGGGTAGCCATGGAGACTGTGGAAAACAATTCCAAATATGTGTGTTTAGTTTCGGGAGCTGGCTCATCTGGATCCCTGTGTAATTTAACAGTTATAGCAAATTTCTAAGTCAAGAAGAACCAGACTATTCCTTGTTAGGCTTATCTTTTCTTAGGGCTATTATTTGAAGTTCATCGTTTTCCATTCAGTTTCAAATCTTGTATCAGAACACACGTATGCTCACACAAGCACATGCACGTGCACACACACACGCACATGTACAAGCTGTTCTGTGGCACTCAATGAACCATGTCAGTACAGTACATAACAGCTGCAAAAAAAAGTCAGCGGCTGCTCCGAAATCACAGTGGGCAATGTCTGACATATTGAGAGTGGCAGCTTCAGATTTCTGAGGCGGGCTGCCCTGAAGCAATCTCTTAATATTTATCTTGTAATATTTCCGTTAAAATTGACTTTCAAAAAGTAAGTGGAACGAAACTACTCATGAGTCACTGAGGTTTTATTTTTAATAAACCTGGATAAGTATGCCTCTCTGGGTTTTTAATTTCAGAAGAATTAGGCATCAAGATAAGTTAACATGACACTCATGTTTTTCCTCTGCAACTGAAGGTTTTTCAGTCTTGACCAGGAATCTCAAACTACCAATGTGAAAATAGGTCTCTCATCAGGAATTGAGTTTTGCCCTAGAATTCTCAAACTTAAATACAATTTCCTCAGGAAAGACTCTCCTTCATCCTCATTTAGAATCAATCATTGCCTCCTTAAACTCCTTCAGCTCTTGCCTGCATTAGACTATGGTGCTTTTCATCATCTGATTAGTTTTAGCAGTGTTTGTATATGTGTCTTTTCTCTTGATTGTCAGCCCCTGCAGGTCAAAAGCCATATCTTGTTTATCTTTCTATATCCCACTCTCCCTGGTGTAGTTTTTTGCTCAAAGGAGGTACACTGTTGAATTGCTTGGGAATAACTCACCCACCACAGAAACATCGGTTCTAAGTAATCCAGTTGGTGTTACTAGTCATCTGAGGCTGCCTGTAGGTGAGAATGAGTTTCTCATCTTCTTTGTAACAAAGAAGATATATTTTGTGAAATAATGTCTAATTATTTGAATAATGAGAAATGATATCAATGGATTAATCCTTTCTGCAGGAATTTTTTTTTTTTTTTTTTGCCTAAGCAACGTGTTATACAGGGCAGCCTCAAAGATTAACAAAGAAAACGTGGTAACTCTGAGGAGGGTCTACTAGGATTACAGGAATGAGGGTTCACTCTTTGGGAGGGAAAAACAAAAAAGGGGAGGAAAATGGGAAAAGGAGAGCTTCTTTATAGATTATTTTTAAGGTCTCAATTCTGCTAATGACATCCACATGACTTTATTTTAATTAATTAATTCACTTATTTATTTTCCTGCACTTCCCAGTAACAAACACATAACTTTATGTCTACATAAAGACATCCTTGGTTTACCTCCCTAAGACACACACAGTCAACACAGGGAGTTAACCATATCAAGTATATGTCTAGGGCCACAATTCAGCTTTCAAACACATCTCATCTTCTGCCTTTCATTGAATTCACATGCTTTTCAAATAATACAGAAATAACATTAGAAACAGAGTCAACTCATATGAGTTCATTTTTCTTTATTTTGAAACTCACCGTGACTGACAAAGTCGCTAGCTTTGCATTTCTTACTTATACTCCCTACATTCTTGCACCCACTCAACCTCTCAACCAGTGTTTGTGGAGTGAGCACTCCATGCAATGCCCAGGGCTAGCCAAAGAGATAAACAAATTTCACAGTCACAGACTCAGGCGTCAGTCAATGTAATGTTAGATTCCTGTAATCAACTTAATTTCTGAGTGCTATCCTTCCTGACACAGAAGTAGTCAAGGAACTTTGAAGTAAGCTAGTCAAATTTATGGATTTCTCGGTGTACCCAGGTTTGTATTTCACTTACTTGCTTAGTTTACTTTCTTTTTCTCTCTCTCTCTTTCCTCCCTGAGTTGACTCTGTCAGCCTCCATCCCTGTTGTAACCATTGAGATGTCTGGAAATATGCCTTAATTAGAACCTAAGTAATCTTTTGCCTAATCTCTTGCCATACCGACAGGTCATACTCTTATCTCACCAACATCTCATAAAATCCAGAATGGACCACATTCCTACTGTATTTCACAGAATGAAGTGGAGACTCTCTAGCATTGCATTTGTCAGAATCCTTGTCTAATGGAAGAGATAGCCATGTCTCCCACCCTATCCCTTCACAGACTGGAAGCCAAGGGGTATATTTCTTTTGTCTCTTGGTTTGACTCTGCAACCAGAGTCTTTTCTCCTGTATCTTGACTTCATTCCTTGCTGTCTGTTCTACACCAGCTCTTGTTGTTGTCAACTTCAACCTAGTATTAGGGCCTTGCTTCCAGATCACTCCTTTTACTTGATGGTTTATGTATTAGTCAGTGTGGGTTGCCGTAACAAAATACTACAGACTGGGGGGCTTACGCAACAGAAATTTATTTTCTCACAGTTCTGGAGGCTGGAAGGCCAAGGTCAAGGCGTTGGCAGCATTGGTTTCTCCTGAGGCCTCTCTCTTTGGCTTGCAGATGGCTGCCTTCTCACCATGTTCTCACACGGTCTTTCCTCTGTGTGTGAATATCCCTGGTCTCTCTTGTGTGTTCAGATATCCTGTTATAAGGGTGCCAGTCAGACAGGATAAGGGTCTACCCTAAAAAAAAAACAAACGCTCATTTTTAACTTAATCACTTCTTTAAAGGCCTTATCTCTGATACAATTTCATTTTGGAGTACTGGGGGTTAGGGCTTTAATATATGAATTTTGAGGGGACTCAATTCAACTCATAACAGTTTGCTTTCAAAGTTGTTGACCCAGGATGATAACCCATCTTTGATTAACGATTAACCTGTTTTTAGCAATGCAATAAAAAAGGCCTATATGCTTTCCATTGAAACTAATTCTTAACCTGTGGGGTTTCTTTTTGTTTTTGTTTTTGTTTTTTTTTTTGTTTGTTTTTTTTTTTTTTTTTGACAGAGTCTTGCTCTGTCACCCAGGCTGGAGTGCAGTGGCTCTATCTTGGCTCACTGCAACCTCTGCCTCCCGTGTTCAAGCAGTTCTCCTGCCTCAGCCTCCTGAGTAGCTGGGACTACAGGTCTGCACCACCACGCCTGGCTAATTTAGTAGGGACGGGGTTTCACCATATTGGTCAGGCTGGTCTTGAACTCCTGACCTTGTGATCTGCCTGCCTCAGCCTCCAAAGTGCTGGGATTAGAGGAGTGAGCCACCATGCCCAGCCTAACCTGTGTTTTTATAAGGAGTTCATTCACTGTAGTAGACACCTTCCAATTGCACTGAAAGATTATATTTCAATTAACATCTCTAAACACATGAAACATTAACCTGGTATGTGTAATTGTAGAAGATTTTCTCTTTCTTCCAGAAGAATTGATTACCACCAAAGGAAGAACACCAGATTTACTTGGTTAGTGCTTCGATATTGTATACCAAATTCTTTTTTCCAGGAAAACAAATAAAATGAATGACACTATGGTTGGAACAGTATTCATGCTGTAAAACTGTCACATGAGTTGGTTGATACAAAGTAAAAAGTAATTTAATAAATGATTTTTAAAGGCTACATTGAAATTGGAAAAAGATTGAAAAATCACTATTTTGGTGGAGGGGGATAATGCTTTTATGTGTTTACATTTTCCATTAAGGCTGTCAAATGAAAAACAAACCCTGAGAATTCTAGATCAAAGGGACCTTAATATGATGACTCTCCTAAGTGTGGTGAAGGATGGAGCTGCTGTTTCACTTTTAGCACAGCTTGAAGTCCAGCTTCTCCTCTCTGTGTTAGATAAAGTGCCTAGGAAGGGAAGGGGACACTTCAGAAGTCAGTAATGATAGGAAACAGGATAATGAGAGCCACATTTACTGAGGGAACATTTTCATTAGACAGCTCATGACTTGAAAGCAGCAATCATTTAATAACCCTTTCTGCTTCTCTCCAGCCACCAGCCCCACCGCCCCCGCTTCCACGTACATTTTTTTTTTTTAGTGACAATTCTTTTTTTTTCTTTATTCTAAAAAAAACAAAAAAACCAAAAACAGGCTACATGTGCAGAACGTGCACGTTTGTTACATAGGTGTACATGTGCCGTGGTGGTTTGCTGCACCTATTGACCCACCCTCTAAGCTCTCTCCCCTCATCCCCCACCCACAACAGGTCCTGGTGTGTGTTGTTCCCCTCTCTGTGTCCATGTGTTCTTAATGTTCAACTCCCACTTAGGAGTGAGAACATGTGGTGTTTAGTTTTCTGTTCTTGTGTTAGTTTGCTGAGGATAATGGCTTCCAGCTTCATCCATGTCCCTGCAAAGGACATAATCTCATTCCTCTTTATAGCTGCATAGTATTCCACCATGTATAGGTACCACATTTCCTTTATCCAGTCTGTCATTTGTGTGCATTTGAGTTGGTTCCAAGTCTCTGCTATTGTGAATAGTGCTGCAATAAACATACGTGTGCATGTGTCTTTATAGCAGCATGATTTATAATCCTTTGGGTATATACCCGGTAATGGGATTGCTGGGTCAAATGGTATTTCTGGTTCTAAATCCTTGAGGAATTGCCACATTGTCTTCCACAATGGTTGAACTAATTTACATTCCCACCAGCAGTATAAAAGCGTTCCTATTTCTCCACAGTCTCTCCAGCATCTGTTGTTTCCTGACTTTTTAATAATTGCCATCCTAACTGGCATGAGATGGTATCTCATTGTGCTTTTGATTTGCATTTCTCTGATGATCAGTGATGTTGGGCTTTTTTTCGTATGTTTGCTGGCCACGTAACTGTCTTCTTTTGAGAAATGTCTGTTCATATCCTTTGCCCACTTTTTGATGGGGTTGTTTGTTTTTTTCTTCCACATACATTTTGAAGTTGCTTCATTGTACTTATTTTACTCTTATGTCCTTAAAAAATTCATGACCAATTTAAATTGTACTTTTGTGAAGACATATTTGATCAAGTGCAGGTGTTCCGATTGCTAAATGCAGGAAACAGAATGTAAATAGTGAAAGCCCAGGGTCATTTTTCTCTAACAGAGCTCTCGCCATTCCCACTTTCCTTCTGGGTAAAAAGCGATGTTCCGTGAGGCTGAGGCATGGGGAATGGGTATTTGATTCAGTGCAGCAGTGTCTCTCTCCCTCAGCACAGGAAAAGAGGAATTTTGTATGATTTTGCCTTTTATATCATAAATGTTAACTTGAAACCTCAAATAACAGGAGGTACTCTTTCAATCTCTCAATCTCGAATGTTGTCATATTATTTACAGTTAGAACAGACATAGCCATCAAACAACACTAGCATGAAACCTTCTTCCAAGTCTCATTGCAGTGAAAATCCACTCTTCCCTCCCAACTTCATTCTTTTCCGTTTGTGCATCTTACAGGGGCCAGCAGATGAAGCTTTGCAATGTCATGGAAAGGAGCATTTCTGTCAGCTCTGTTTCAAAATCCAATAGGAAGAAGTATTTTTCTTTTCTTGCTCTTTCTTCCTCTCTTGTGGTTTTGGCTTTCTAGCTTGGTTGTTGAACAGATCCAAGGGGTTCAGATGAGATGTTCTTTCCTGTCAAACAGGATCCCAAAACCTTTTGAGGTTTCTCAAGGACTTGTCTCTATAAGCCGACGAGTCTGTTCTCTTTCTTCACTGTTGCCAGAAAAGTAATTAGGCCATTTTTCTAATTATAGTAATCTTCCCCAAATGGCATATAACTTCAATCCAAATGCCATGTAAATTGGCCAGCAACATTCTGCCATGAAGCACTTTACCAAGACCATTTGAACGCAGCAGCTTTACTTTGTGTTAAGGCAAAGTTGTCTTCTCTATCCCAGTTATGACTGGGTTTTCTTTCTCAGTGTCTTGCTCAAGAGGTTACAGTATTTTTTTGTGTGACGAGCATGGACGGTAAGTATTCCTTTCAATGGCATTTTGTGTAGAGTTGTGTCTGTGGTGGACAAATTAAACGGCTTTTGGAAAAAAATGTTTATTCTCAGTAAAGCAGAACAAGATTAAATTGTTATCATGTTGCTATAGCGACCAAAATCTCTACAGATAGAATGAGTTTCTCTGTGTCACACAACACAGAACTAGATTTTTCTTTCCTAAGAATAATCCCTTGTAATTAGCTTTCTCTATTATGCTAACCAAGGAGAAATTAGGTCCTGCTGCTAAGTTCTCTGGTCTGAAATATGCTCACAGCAGGTAAATTGCTACTTTTGCTTGTTCCATTTGTCAGAACAAAGTTTTCAAATAGTATATCCTCTAGAAATTTGATTTTTCTTTGCCTGATCACTCTCCTAGTTTTTCTGGAAGGGTTTACTGGACTGGGATAAGGACATGAGGGAGAAGTTTCTAGAAAATGAAACTGGGCACTGAAATAACGAAGAGTAAGGATGAATTTCTCCAGGAAATGACGAAGTGGATTTCTCTGGGAAATGATGAAGTTACGGTGATTGAAAAGAAGGAATAAAACTGGACAGGAATTCAAGAATGAAAAATAGAGTTAGCATTTAAAGTGCAGTGATGAGGGGGGGAGCGGGGAGGGATAGCATTAGGAGATATACCTAATGCTAAATGACGAGTTAGTGGGTGCAGCACACCAGCATGGCACATGTATACATATGTAACTAACCTGCACATTGTGCACATGTACCCTAAAACTTAAAGTATAAGAATAATAAAAAAAATAAAAAAATTTAAAAATAAATAAATAAATAAATAAAATGCAATGATGATATGTCACAGTTACTGAGTGGCTTGTAGATGTTGCTTAACTTCATGGCACCAACCCAGACAAGTTTATTCCTTCAGAATAGCGCCGTCAAACCATTAAAACCTGGGTGCTTATGAGCAGAAGAGAGTGCATGAAGCAAAACGCCCAAGTTATTTTTCCAGAAATTACATTTAGTAAATCAAAGGCGGTGCCTTGGAATCTGCATTTTTGCAAGCTTGCTACGTCATTCTGCTGAGGTGGTTCTTAGCCAACACTGTTCCCTATTGCTCTGGGGATTTTAAAGGATGCAGACTGGCAGATCAGCTCAGAGCCCAGTTTGAAGCCCGTTCTACCAACTGAAGTAAGACAAGTGAATAATGCCATGCAGGCATGGCATTATCAAATGCCTGAATATCAAAGGTATGCACCTTAATATCAAAGGGACAGAGAGAATAAAGTGTGGCCAGTGTCAGGTGGGATAGATTAGAAATTTTTTTTCTTTCTAAAAGCTATTCAGGGGGGAATAATGGCCTGCTAAAATGAAAATTAGATTGTTGAGAGCCATGCCATGAAGTATTTTAAGGGGGACAATTATTTAGATTTTCAGTAGAGAATAGTAAAAGGAGCTATAAATGTTTTTTAAAAGAATAGGATATAAAACTGTACATTTGTGAAAAGGGTACCATTTTACAGTTGGGAAAGGCCTTAAGCCCTATTCTTCAGAGATGTTAAAAATATTAGAATGGGGGACTGGCCCTTCTGAAAGAAAGAGGACTTTTTTTTGAAAATAAAATCTATACTATTTATTATTATTTCTGTGGATCACCACCACAATATATACATTTCTTTGGCCACTGGCTGAATTTTGTTGTATCCTCCTTAGACTTCGAGTTTAATCTTTCTCCTGGATTATGTACCTGAAGAGCCTTAAAAAGTCACTCAGGACAAGAATGCTCATGTCAGTGAACCATAGAGTCTAAATTTCTTGATTGCCTAGAGGTAAAAAAGAGGGCAAAGGAACCTTGGATTTATTTAAATTCGAAATGTACTTTTGCATAAAAAATAACTTTCCAACCAACATTTCTTGTAGTCTGTTTGTAGTCACATGCAGTAAACTCCTCTGGGATAGAAATTTTTAATAAAGATTCCTTTGTTGCAATACTTTTATGTTCAGGAACACCCTTATGAAAAGCCAGTTTTTTAAAGGGGCATAGAAACTTGTAATAAAAATGCTACTGAATTCTAGGAACCTACTTCTTCCAATAATCCCCATATTCCCTGTTTATCATCACCCTCATTAATCAACAGAATAGTCCAGTGAGACTGGTTGTTTTTTAGTAGAATAATTGTAATTTGTAAAGGGTCAGAAGGGATATGAATATAAAAAGATTATAGAAAGTTTCTTCAGCTCTACTGTCTTAATCCCTAAATAACCTTGAAGGGCACTAAGGCAGTACACTAGGAAGAATAATTGTCAAGCTGAGATATCAGATCCCAACTTCTGGAACCTGCAAATGTTACCTTATAAAGTAAAGGAGTTATTGTAGAGGTGATTCAGCTAAAGATCTTGAGATGGGGATATTGTCCTGGTAACTGGATGTACCCTAATTCCAATTACAAGTGTCTTTATAAGAGAGAGGCAGAGGGAGATTTGCTACACAAAGAGGAGGCAATGGGACCACAGAGGCAGAGACTGGCGTCATGTGGCCACAAGTCAAGGAATGCTGGCAACCACTAGAAACTGGAAGGGAAAGGAACAATTTTTACTTGGAGCCTTTGCAGAGAACATGGCCCTGTGGTCACCTTGATTTTCACTCTGTGAAACTGATTTCAGACTTCTCGTCTCCTGAATTGTGAGAGAATACATATCTGTTGTTTTGAGACTTCACGTTTGTGTTAATTTGTTATAGCAGCCCAAGGCAACTAATTCAGGCAGTGAATTCTTCCCAAGCACCCTTCTTTTGACTTGTAACCTGGTTTGCAGCACAACAGTCATCTGAGAAACTTCTTAACAATTTTGAATTCCTGTGGCTCATCACAGGTATACAGAGAATCAGAATTTTTAGGAATAGGATCCAAGGATCTGTATTTTTTTCACAGACTGCCTAGGTGAGATTCTGCTGTGCACCAGGTTTGATAACCATTTCACTAGGATGCTCTATTAGTTTCCTATATCTGCTATAAA
The DNA here is from genome assembly GCF_000001405.40 of Homo sapiens. NCBI lineage: Eukaryota > Metazoa > Chordata > Mammalia > Primates > Hominidae > Homo > Homo sapiens. The sequence continues at coordinate 19,859,517 of NC_000012.12, forward strand.
AAAAATCACCACAAATGTAATGGCTTAAAACAACACGAGTTTACTCTTAGGCATTTCTGGAGGTCAGAAGTTCAAAATTACTTTCACTGGGATAACATCAAGGTGTCAGCAGGGCTGATTACTTCTGGATGTTCTGAAGGGAAGATCTGTTTTCTTGCCCTTTTCGCTTCTAATGGCTGCTTATACTCCTTGGTTTGTGGCCTCTTTTTGCCATCTTCAAAGCACATCGCTCCAGTTTCTGTTCTGTCATCACATCACCCTCTGACTCTCACTTCTGTGAACCTCTTATGAGGACCACTGTGATCACGTTAAGCCCACCTAGGTCCTCCAGGATAATCTTCTCATTTTAAGATCCTTATCTTGATCACATCTGCAAAGTCCATTTTGCCATATGAAATGACGTTTTCAGGTGCCTGGAATTAGGATGTGAATATATTTGGGGAGCTATTATTATTCAGTTCACCACAGACCCCATGATAACACCTCATGTAGAAACCATAGATGTAAATGAGCTTCAATAACAGGGGGTCATGCTTAATTCATGATGTATTCACCTGCCTTTTTTGTGCTTATTTTTTTTAAAAGGCATTGGAATAAAAACATTTACATATGACTATTATCTTTGATACTTTAGTGGCAGATAACAAAACATGCAAAGCTGCTGATTTCATGAAAGTATTATTATTACAACATTACAAATTGTTTTATTTGATTTTATTTTTGCCTTTGCTTGAAACTCTCTCATGAACAAATTAATTTAAACGTTGAGAAAAGGGGAGTGGCCAGAAGGGAAGCTTTTCACATTCCAAATTGTCATCATTCAAATAAATACATGTTCTAAGTAAAAGCACAATTCTTGGTCTGCAAATGTAGGTTTAGGCCATACCAAACAAAAATTCACATAAATAAAAACTGAGCATTACTATGCAAATGTAATCATAAGACAAGCCCTCAAGGGCCCCTTTTCTAACAGTTTACCCCCTCTAAGCACTTCTTTATAAAACTTCTCAGGCTGTACTTTCTGTATCTTTTATTTAATATAGAATACCATAGTTGAAGTAAGTGGTAATAGACACCACAGAACATGTAAATGTAATTTCTTTACGTTTTATGTTGATTCTGTAGTGATGTCTCCTTTTCTCATAACTCATAGTAATAACTTGTGCTTTTTTAAAATTAATCTTACAAAGCTATACATTTTTAATAGCTGCATCCCACAAATTCTGATATGTCTTATTATCATTTAGTTGAAAGTATTATTTATATAAATTGCTTTTTTGTTGACCCATGGATTATTTAAAAGTATATTGTTTATTTCAACCCCTATATACAATATATATCCTTAATATTTTAGAGACCTTAAATTAGTATATTTTTCATTTCCAAAATAATCCTGAAATTATAGCACATATTATTTCATTTACCGTCACCTTTCTTCTTTTGTGCTATAATGGCCATATATTTTAATGAAATTTTTTTTTTCCTGGGTATAGAGTAAGAGCTTGATGATGATTTTCTTTTAGCACTTTACAAATGTTAATATGTTGCCTTCTGACCTTCATCATTTTTACTGAAAATGATTCATCAGCCCTGGTGCTATTAATATTTCTTTAAAAGGAGTGTGTCTTTTTCCTTTGGCCACTTTTAAGAATTTTCTTTGTTGGATGTGCCTAGGTATGCTTTTCTTTATATTTGAACTGCTTGAATCTCATAATATGTTTTGAATTCATATTCTGAAGATTTTCATCAGCTTTCCAAAACTGTTATTTAGGACCTCTTTAGAGATTGCTTTTGGTCTAGTCTCTCATTCTTTTTCTGAGATTCTAATTGCGTACATTTTAGGTCTTTTCACTTGGTTTCATATGTTTCTTGTGGTTTTTTTTTCTGTATTTTTCATCCTCTTTTCTCTATATATTTTAATCTTGATATTTTCTACCCATCTATGTTCACTATTCTTTTTCTCTGCTTTGTCTAATTCGCTGTTACATTCATCTATCCCATTCTTAGTTTGGGCTATTTTCTAGAATTAAAATTTATCTTTAAAAAAATAAACTCTAGTTCTTTGGTCAAATTCTCTATCTTTGTTCGTATTTTCGTGAGCATATTAATTATTGATATTTTAAGCTTTTTCTTAATAATGTCACTATCTGGGTTACCTTTATATTGTCAACCCACTCACCCCAATTTTTAGTCTCATGATTCTGTTTTCTGGCTTCTTGGTAATTGTTAAATGAATGCTGGACATTTGTATAAATATTTCTAGAAGCTCTGGCTTATGCTTTATTCTTTCAGAGAGATTTTAATTTTCTTCTAGAAGGTAGTTGAAGCACGGGAAAATCACCTTGATCCAATTGAGTCCCAGTTTCAGTTTCACCTTTATCCAAGAGTTTAGTCCTTCAGTGGTATCAGCAGAAAGCCTGAGGTTTTTATCAGTGCCCTTCTTTATAGACAGACCCTATAACCCAAATTAATTTTTCCCCAGACTGCCAAAATATCTACTTTTTAACAATTTAGCAGTTTCTTTCTGATTGTTTCTTCAGCAACTTGCACTATACCATTAAGGAGTCAGCAAATAGCCAGATGCAGTGGTGCACTCCTGTAGTCCCAGCTCTCAGGAGGCTGAGGCAGGAGGAGCCCTTGAGCCCAGGAGTTTAAGGCCAGACTGGGAAACATAGTGAGAACTAGTCTTTAAAAAAATACAGATAACAAAAAGAGTCAGCAAATAATTTGAAATGGAAGTTGCACGTAGAATTTTGAGGTCACTACTGCATGGTTCTCTTTTCTTCAGGATATTGGCCCCTCAAGTCCTGGCTGTGTTGGTATCTCTGAACTCCTATTTTTGTTTCTTCAGTTTAGAGATGCAGTGAGAAGTATTAAGCCACTCCTCTCTGTTTTGATTCTGTCCTTTCAACTGCGAAGTGTCAAATGTCCCGAAGGAACAAAGCAGTAGGCTAAGGTAGAGCTCCTCTCTATTTACTCTCTTCCCTTTAAGAGTTTGGCTCAGCCGGGCGCGGTGGCTCACGCCTGTAATCCCAGCACTTTGGGAGGCTGAGGAGGGCGGATCATGAGGTCAGGAGATTGCTACCATCCTGGTTAACACGGTGAAACCCCGTCTCTACTAAAAATACAAAAAAATTAGCTGGGCGTGTTGGTGGGCGCCTGTAGTCCCAGCTACTCGGGAGGCTGAGGCAGGAGAATGGTGGGAATCCAGGAGGCGGAGCTTGCAGTGAGCCGAGATCGCGCCACTGCACTCCAGCCTGGGCGACTGAGCGAGACTCAGTCTCAAAAAAAAAAAAAAAAAAAAAAGAGTTTGGCTCTTTAGGTCTTGGTTGCTTTGGCAGCTTTCCAATGCTTTCAAGGAGCTTTTCTTTTTGTGTGTGTTGTTTTTCTTTTGTTTTTGGAGCAGATTAGTTTGGTACAAGCTGTTTTATCACAGCCACAAAAAAAAAAAAAAAAAAAAGAAAGAAAGAAAGAAAGAAAGAAACCTCCAGTTATTAGTTTTCTTAACCTGGCATTTCTTCAACTTATTTTTATAATGGGAACTTTTTTTTCTTTTGGTCATTGGATGAGCATTTCACAGAAGATCATTTAGGTAACACTACCCCAGCTGTGTCAGTCTATTTACCATTTCTCAAATGCACAAAAGTATTTTTTCTTTCATGCTATTGAAACTTCTTTCCTCACTGCCCAGAATGACCATGCCCATACTTCTTTTGTCTGCTGAAATCACACCAAACTCTACTTCTCTCATTAAGGATTCTGTGATTCTCTGAAGTTAAACAAAAACCATCCCAAATGCCATTAGATTCTTTGAGATGTAGGAGGTGCTTATGTTTTCTTTTTCTGGATAATGGGAGCCATGTAAATGATAATTTTTCTTTATGGGCCACCAGGAATTTCACTTTAGTAAAGTTTAATAATAAATGTATTAGGCCTATTATTTGTGTTGTTTTTAACTATTCTTGAGCTTTTATTCTGACTGGTATTTTCTCTAACTCTTATTATGTAAGTATTTGTTTTTATATAGGTTCCTATACATTTTTACAAATACTTTTTAAAACAGACCAAGAGTAAATAATAACAATCAAACAAAACAAATTTCTTCTCAAGGCTGTTTCAATTAATTAAGTTGAACCTCATTTTCAATCATTTATGACTCATATTTTTCCACAACTAAATTGTAATTTTATTGATGGCATAATTATTTCTTTGCCTAGCACGTATACTTGGGGAACAAAACATTGTCTAGATTAATTTTGTGCTTTAGATTATTACAATTATTATCAATTTTGTGCTTTAGATTATTATAGTGGTATAAGCAGACCCTCTGGGACCCAGAGTACCTGGTTTGATTCTCACCTCTATCTCTTACTGCTTGAGATCTTGGGCAACTTGCTGAAACTCTTTTGCCTTATTTTATTCATATTTAAAATGGTCATTTGTTTGCTCTAGATTAAATAAATGGATACATATATATATAAGGCACTGAGAAAAGTATCTGGCACATAGGAACTCCTCAAAATATTACATAGGCAATTTGAAAAATTGTTATAGTCTAATATTTGAAATGGTGAATTTTGTAAAAATATTTCAAAGTGCCAGAAGTTATGAAATGGCCCTGTAGTAATGTTCAAAATTTGCTAGCTTTGCAGTCATGTAGCTGTTACTATAAAAAGTGAATAAAAATACAGTTGCATTAAGAAATACAAAAAATAATTTCTTCTAAAGCTTGTATTTTAGCTTCCTTATACTGGTGGTAACACTTTCAGAAGAAGTAATAGGATTAGAATATTAGCATGCTAACACATTATTCATCAATGATTAAGCATGCTTTTTTAAATGTATCAGTGATAAGTTTAGAAACCCCCGGTAGGGTAATGCTAACTTAACTAAAAGTCATATGATCTGTGTATTACTATTGGTTATGATCACTGACATTGTTTTAATAAATAATATTAGTATGTTATGTGTGTGATTGGCCATAGTAACCTGCAGATCCTTCCTTTGCCTGAGCTTACACTTTTTTTTTTTCTTTTTTTTTGAGACGGAGTTTCACTCTTGTCCAGGCTGGAGTGCAATAGCGTGATCTCGGCTCACCGCAACCTCTGCCCCCCAAGTTCAAGGGATTCTCCTGCCTCAGCCTCCCAAGTAGCTGGGATTACAGGCATGTGCCACCACACCCTGCTAATTTTGTATTTTTAGTAGAGACAGGGTTTCTCCATGTTGGTCAGGCTGGTCTTGAACTCCTGACCTCAGATGATCCACTGGCCTCGGCCTCCCAAAGTGCTGGGATAATAGGCACGAGCCACCACACCCGGCCCTGAGCTTACACTTTTGTATGAATTCTCTGAGGGAAATTTGTGCCTCAAAAGTGCAAGGTAAAATAACTTTATTATCAGCTTAATGTTGGACCTAATCTTCATTGTAGGACTCTATTAAGCAAGACTGGAGGTTTCTGTTTTGTATACCAGGTGAACCTAAAGAACAAAGCCAGACAATAGATCTTTGCCTATTTTCCTTTACTCTTATGATGACCAATTTTGAAACTTACCATCTTGGGCCAGGTGCGGTGGCTCACGCCTGTAATCCCAGCACTTTGGGAGGCCAAGGCAGGCAGATCACTTGAGGTTAGGAGTTTGAGACCAGCCTGGCCAACATGGCAAAACACCGTCTCTACTAAAAATACAAAAATTAGCCAGCCATGGTGGCGCATGCCTGTAATCCCAGCTACTCGGGAGGCTGAGGCAGGAGGATCACTTGAGCCCGGGATATGAAGATTGCAGGACACCTCGATTGTGCCACTGTAATTCAGCCTGGGTGACAGAGTAAGACTCTGTCTCAAAAAAAGAAACTTATCATCTTAATGGAAAAGAATACCCACTTGGAACTACCATAGAAAACAAAGACAGAGTGAGTAAAAGCATTTGACCATATGCCTAGAGCCTGGCTGGTCTAGATTGCTGGCCTGGGGTTTCCCTAAGATAGGAGTAGCCTGAGCCAGTGAGAGAGAGCGCATAAAGATTTCAAGGAAAGCAAGATGACCAGGTCTTTGGAGTAGCTTGGGCTCAACGTGTTCTGACCCCCATGTAAAGAAGAGAATTGGAAAGTGAAGCCAAACAAATAGGTGCTTAGGCCTTCTCACTGGCCTTACTGGCATTCTGGCTGCATGAGTGGAAGAACAAGAAGTGTGGGAGAGTAAGAAAAAGACATAGGCATTGTTCTGATGGTGAATGAGACCTGGGATTTGTTGTAGTCACCTGGGCTTCTAGAAGGAAAACAATCTAAAAAAAAAGTGTTGTTCTGATAAGTTTGGAAACCTAACTTAGTGTTGTCTCCACTCACTAAAGCAATGGTGAAAACACTGTCCTGAATTTGATTGGTCCAGCTTAGAATTTCAGAGGATATCTTGTTTTAGGTCTGGAATCTTTATTGTAAAGGAGTGAAAAGGGAGTGGCTATTAAAGCCAATGGATGTTTTATAATTTAAAAATGTCTTCTACATATAGTGGAGCCCTGTTATCAAAGCCCAAATTACCTCATTGAAAAACAAAGCTACATAAACGAAATTGATAGTAAATGCTTCCAACAATTTATTTTATCACACACACATTCACAAATGTGCACACTGGTTCATTGAGCAATATTTTGTTATATTGTCAAGCTTCTATCAATATGCATGTATTAATTGGAGTTCAATTTTTTTGAATGTCATTATTCATAGTCTGCAGTTTCTAATTTTATTTTTTAAAAAGTGGAATGAGCTCTTAAATACATTTTTAGAGTAATAGGAATTCAGGATCTTTCTAACTTTTTTTTTTCTCCTAAGTTTTGTTTTACCTATGTTTAACACAATAGAAATTGTTATTCTTAATTTTTAAAATCAACTCATCTTTATCATATTTTTTAAAACACTCATGTTTCAATGTTTTTTCATATTTACATTGCATCATTTATAAATTTAAATTGTGTAATTATGATAAAGTAGGGTAGGTATGCAAACAAATACAGCAGATTTTTATTATCAGTCCTTTAAGGAGCAGAAGTGCTTCTCAGTTCTGAGACTCTAAGGACTCTTGGTCGTTTCAGAGTGAATGAGGAATGTTGATTAATGGGGTAAAACATACATACTAACAGAGCATAAACAAGAAAAAGAGTTTAATAATCTAACATTTTAGATAAGTTATTTGCAAGTGGAAGTTGATTGTGATATAGTTTTCAAGTCCTTTGCAAAATCCAGTGGCATTTTGTCTACACAGATTTTCCTGAGGCACTTTCTGCACAAATGCACACAAGTACGCACCTCCTGCCCCGCAACTTTCCATATCATCTTTTAGATCTGGCAAAATACTCTCTAAGGCTAGACCAATTTTGGCTCAAACCAGGTCTGAGCTGCTCTTTGGAATTTGGAAATATTTATATCTAAATTTGAGTTGGTTACATAGTCCAAGTTGGGGGAGTATAACAGAATGCATTCAGGTCTGAGAGCCCAGTCTGTGCGCACCCTAATAGGAAAGACACAATGGCAGGAGAGCACCATTAGTGCTTGATTATGTGCGCAGATTCACCACTAGCTTTTTGAAGCTTGTCCCTCTTTTTTTGTGGTTGTCTTATATATGTAGCAACTAGCTCTTTCTGTATTTGGCTGTGATAGAAAAGATAAAAATAAAGGTAGGGTTTTTTAGATGATTTTTAATGCAATCTGAAGTTAGAAGCAGAATGTTAATAAAACATGGCACAGTAGAAAGCTTTCTCAATGAATGCTTTCAGAATAAGAATTTCTGTCTCATGTAGTCACTTACTCACTTAGCAGTGCTGTCAGAGTCTGAAGCCTATGTGGGTGGCAGCTTCCAGGGAATATGAATATACATGAGTGTGTGAAAATAGGGATATTAAAGGTAGCTAAAACCTTGAGTCATTTATTTTTCTATTTTCAACTTGGCCCTTAGGATAAAGCTGCACAACAAATTTAGGGATACCAAGTCGAAAACAAAATAACTAGAGTGTGCTGGATATTCCTAAACTTTATTAGATCTAAGAGAGCATACAAAACATAGTGATAAAAGAGACAGCGAGTGAGCTGTGTTTTAATAATTGAATATTGAATATTAAAGAGAGACTAGCAATGTTTTTATGGATTTTCCTTGGACTTTCCTGTGAAGTATTAAATAGTTTCCACCCTAATTTTCTTGCATTTAATAATTTGCAATCAGTTCATGCATTCATTCACTGAGTAAATATGTAAGCACCGTCTGTCTGTGATATTGCACTATCCCAAGTCATTTAAAATCTGATTAAACAGCTGAGGGGAACAGGTAATGGTAACAGAACATGAGCATGGTCTAAGCAAATATTACAGAAGAGAAGAAGTGAATTGGCACCAAATAGTCAATATGTCTTTTTGGCTTAATGCAACCTAGCACTGCAGAGAGGGAGGACTGACAGTGACAAAGTAATCCCTTTATCACTGTGTCTTGGAGTTTAAGTATTTGCTTTTCCATTAGGAATTAAAGAAGGCTAAATTTATATTTTATAGCTTACAACTTTTAGAAAGGAAACTCTCCTTGAGCACAAGCAACTATGCCTTTTATTATTTTTTTCTAGGACTAGAGTTCCTTGTACTTATGGTTTGTTGACATGTGCCTGGCCTCTTGGAGTACGTGCAGTTAGTAATATGCGGTTTAGAAGTAACAGAAACTAGCTGTGAATCAGCTTACACAACTGGAGGAAAAACAATCAGTCATGACAGCAATAATTAGAATTCATCAAATTATATTCATATTCTCTCCTGTAACTTCTTTATTCTGATAATCTCCAATGCACATTAAGAGCTAATTAGAGAAGAATTGTTCCATCCAACTGACATTTAGTTACTCATAAGCCATTGAACTGCTAGAGGCTGGACTATGTTGTCTTCTACAGTAGTTCATAATTAAGATGTTATAATGCACATAGACATTGTGTATGTATCTTTAAACATGCATAGGAGTTCATACTATATATTTCATTATGCCTAGAAATTTTTCATATTAACCTACCTTTTTCCCATTAGTTTTAAACAAGGAAAAAAGAAAAGCAGGAAAGCAGTGCAAATAGACGCCCGGTTTTACCCTGTGAGTTTTGGAGAATTTAGTCTTCACCAATTGCCAGATAGAAGAGTAGAAGTTGATTTTCCCTGGTAGATTTATTTAGAATCAGCCTGGAAGCAACTTCTGACTTTTATTTTGTGGATGAGAGATTCCCATGACAGTGAATTAAGTGAAGTGTGAAGGTCTTGGGTGCTAAGCCGGTGTCCTGCTGCTGAGCTGAGTTTGGTTGGTATTGCAGAGTAAATTGAAGCCAGTATAACAAGTCATTTGCACAATGTTAGACTAAAAATGCCTGTAAAAATCAAAGCACTCACATAAAAAAGATTCAACTAGAGAAATAATGGGACTCAATTTTGATGATCAAGAAAATCATCATAGAAGATTTTAGGAGGGCAGCACAAACGTCTCACATGATGAAGAAGGAGACTGATAGGATGGAAAGATGGCTGGATTCTCAAATAGGGGAATGAATAAAGAGAAGTAAGAACTTTGAAATGGCAGTCTACTTGAGATCGTACACATAAATGCATGTTTGTGGGAAAAGTCTACTGCTTGCGAACACATTTGTTAGTGAACCAAAAATGCCCTGTGGGTTAAAGCATTTCCCCACCCATCAGCAATTGAGGACAGCAAAGTACATGTTTAAAAAGGAAATTAAGTTCAATAGCTTCTGGTATGTTTGAATGGGAACATACATCATTTTTGCAAAGCTTCAGTGATATTCTTTAAACTGACAGCAGGTCTGGCCACATTTCCTTCAGTTTCACATAATGATTGAACTTGTGAACTCTCCTGGCTTCAGACATTTCAATGGTGTTGGCTCTTTTCAAACCTTCAGCTTGGAGGATTTCTCATAAATTTTATTTGTTTTTATTGTGAATTTTTAAAATTATTTTATCCAGTTGCTCATTGTTGGTGAAAGCAATGGAAAAAGTTACCGTTCATATTCTTGGTCTTTTTGGGTTAAATGATGTCACCCAGCACTGACCGGGGTGGGGGTGTGTGGGGAAAGCGATGGAAAGAATACTGTGAATCATACACAGGCTACGGGACCAAGAAGGTGAACGCTTGCATGTCTGGCTGTGAGTAGCTCCAAAGAGAAATTAAAATTTCATTTATTATCAAAAGAGGGACTATGTCTCTTCTGAATACATTAGAATGTGGTTTTTACTCTCATTGTGACAATCTTACCCACTAATACCCATCAAGAACACATTCATTTCTAGGAAATGTTGTTTGGAATACTTGGAAGAAAATTCTCTTTGCTTCTCCATGGAACTACCTCTTAGCTCTCTGTGCAAACAAAGAATGGCTTCCCCTTCCTTTCATTTTACACCTGCATTCTATATGATAATGGGTAGTGTATGAGCATTTCAAAAAACTACCCACAATATTTCAAATTATCATTAATTGTGTAGAAGTTTTTTTTCCTCTCACTGAAGAATTTCTGACTATATATTTACATGGCCTTTAGTAATTCCAGCATTTTGGGATATGTACTTTTATCATATGTCATGCATTTTCACCATCCAGAAAATCATGTATTAGGAAGCTGTGAAAAAAGCACCTTATGAACACCTACTGTACACTGAGGACTTTACATGGGCTATTTAAGTTAATATCCATAATAACTTGAAGAGGTAGACATTATTTTTATTTTAAAATGACTACATTTGTCTAGTGTGTTCAACAAGAAGTTTTTAAATCAGGATTTGAATAAAGTCCTTTTCTTCCCCAAAGCGTAAGAAAAAGATGAAAATAAATAACTCATAATCTCACACCTGAAGGCAAACACTGACAGCATTTTCTTATACAACTTATACTTTTTATAAAAGCTAAAATATATGTCTCACCCTATTCCCCGCCTCTCAGTTAGGGTCTCTGTCAGCAACAGAATTCCAATCAGACGGTTCAATTGAGAAGACCTCAATGAAGGGATGATTTGCTGAAGTGTGGATAGGGCTGCCAGAGCCAGCAGGGGGGTTGGGGTCATGAGGAAACTGAGATGGCAGCCTATTACCTCCCTAGTCTAAGAGGATCTGGCAAAAAATAATGTCACTGAAGCCCAGTGAAAGCTGGAATACTGGAGGAGGAGCTTCACACCGGGAACTGTAGTCTAGGAGGGATGCAACGACTGCCACAGCCACAGGGCAAGACTGGAAAGAAATAACCTGACCTCCAACTCTCTTTCCCTCCTCTCATTTTAGTCTCCTATTGGTCTTCTTATTGGCAGAACCTAGCTGGAAGCCAGCCTTGATGGGAGCCCAGGTGCAGGGTTAGCCTCTCAGAACACAGAGAAGGGCAAAGAATCGTGGAGGAGTGCAAATGATGAAAAGCCCACACAAGGTTTTGCTATGCATAATCGTTTTCTGTTTCAGTAAAATTAACATTTATCAATGGCTTAATAGCAGTTTGCCACCTGAATATGTCGTAATCTTTTACAATGGGATATTTAGGTCATTTGAGCATTTATTATAATAATGCTATAATAAACACCTTGTAGAAAACACTTTTGTACATATCTTTTATCATGTCCTTTGAATAAATTCCTGGAAGAGGAATTGGTGTTTGAAGGTCTTTGCATTTTTGAGATGAAATATAATATAACATAATGTGACCATTAAGTATACAGACTCTTGAGGACAGATTTTCCACGTTCAAATCTTGGCTTTGCCATTTACCAGCTGTGTGGCCTTGGAAAATTAATTAACCTCTCTGAGACCCAGTTTCTTCCTCTTTAAAACTGGGCTAATAATAACATACGGCAATTTTTAAGCCTAGTTAATAAATGCAAAACATTCGTAATACTATATGACTTGTAATTACAATATAAATATTAACTATTGTTATTTGTAAGGCAACATTTTTTTTTCTTTTTTGAGATGGAGTCTCACACTGTCACCCAGGCTGGAGTGCAGTGGCGTAATCTCGGCTCACTGCAACCTCCACTTCCTGGGTTCAGGCGATTCTCCTGCCTCAGCCTCCTGAGTAGCTGGGATTACAGGCAGGTGCCACCATACCCAGCTAATTTTTGTATCTTTAGGAGAGACAGGGTTTCACCATGTTGGCCAGGCTGGTCTTGAACTCCTGACCTCAGGTGATCCCGCCCGCCTTGGCCTCCCAAAGTGCTGGGATTACAGGCGTGAGCCACCATGCCTGGCTGACAACATATTTTGATGGGAACACTTCTACACTGCTGGTGGGAATGTAAACTAGTACGACCACTATGGAAAACTGTGTGGAGATTCCTTAAAGAACTAAAAGTAGAACTACCATTTGATTCAGCAATCCCACTACTGGGGATTTACCCAGAGGAAAATAAGTCATTATATGAAAAAGATGCACAAGCATGTTTATAGTAGCACAATTCACCATTGCAAAACCGTGGAACCAACCCAAATGCCCATCAATCAACAAGTGGATAAAGAAACTGTGGTATATATGTACAATGGAATACTACTCATCCATAAAAAGGAATGAATCAACGGCAATTATCGCAACCTAGATGGGATTGGAGACTATTATTCTAAATGAAGTAACTCAGGAATGGAAAACCAAACATCGTATGTTCTCGCTCATAAGTGGGAGCTAAGCTATGAGGATGCAAAGGCATAAGAATGGACTTCGGGGACTCAGTGGGGAAAAAGGGTGGGAAGGGGTGAGGGATAGAAGACTACAAATTGGGTTCAGTGTATACTGCTTAGGTTATGGGTGCACCAAAATATCACAAATCACCACTAAAGAACTTACTCATGTAACCAAACACCACCTGTTCCCCAAAAACCTATGGAAATAAAAAAAAAAATTTAAAAAAGACAGCATATTTTGAAAAACTGTTCTTCAAAAAGTTTGTACTAGTTTACATTTTCTTAAGCAGTCTTTAGGGGACACATGTCCCCATACTTTCACCATTTCTCTTAATCTTTGCCAATTTAATAGACCAGAGATAGTATCTCATTACCATTTTAATTTTTAGTTGAAATTTAATTTGGAGATGAATTTACTTCCTTTAATATAGAAAGGATTTAAAAATCATGTAATACTTTAGGGTCATTATGAACATCAATCATCATAGTACTGTGGCTGCACATGAGTGATGGCTAATAGAGAGTTCTGGTTTGGAAAATTGGCTGCAGTGTTTAATAGCTTAGTGACTATGTAAATAAGGTACACTAATGAATATTCATGAAATCTGTAGCCCAGCTAAATGAATGCTCTATCAAAGGGGTTAAATGAATGCACAGATTTTCCACTATGAAACACTGGATATATAACAGATGTACAATTCCAGTGTGGGATGCGCCCACTACTGTTTCCAAACAGCCGCCACACCGCTCATGAAATCATCCTTGCACCTGCTCATGCGGTGTGCATCTGTGCTTTGTTGGCGGTGCCACTGGCATCAATGTAAGAGATGGAACTAAACGTGATTGTTTTGTATCTGTAGCTGTTAGTGCATGGTAAGATACTTCTGGTGATAATTTTATTTACAGCTTCCTCTCTTGTGACCTCATATCTCCCCTCTCAAATTAGTTATTCAAATGCGTCACTATCACCATGCAGCAGGCTAAGCAATTCATCTATTCTTGAAAGAAATCTGCTCGAAACTAGAAGTAGAGATTCCTCTTTAAAGGTTAATAATGAAATTTCAATTACTTTTCCTTAAATGTAATGGGTAGATGCTTTAGATCTGACTCAACTATGACAGGCAAGCAAGCATGTGGGGAGGTGATGACAGTGGAGAAAAGTGATGTCTTCCTCTTGCTGGCAATTTAGTAAAAATTGCTGACACACTGAGGCTATCCAATTAGGTCCTATCAGTCAATTTGTGTAGTGGCGTCTAAGGGGGAAGAAGGCTGTGGCATATACATTTTCATAGAAAAGACTGATTGACTTTTTTATTTTTTGTTTTTATTTATTTTTAATTTAAGGATAACATCGCACGTATTTACTGTGTACAACAGATTGTTTTGAAGTATATACATATTGTGGAATGCCCAAATGTAGCTAATTAACATAGACAGTACCTGACATAGTTACTGTTTTTGTAAGGAGAATACTTTACATCCACTCTGCAGTTTTTAAGGATACAATACGTTGCTGGGCGTGGTGGCTCACGCCTGTAATCCCAGCACTTTGGGAGGCCGAGATGGGTGGATCACCTGAAGTTAGGAGTTGGAGACCAGCCTGGCCAACTTGGTGAAAGCCGGTCTACTAAAAATACAAAAATTAGCTGGGTGTGTTGGCAGGTTCCTGTAATCCCAGCTACTTGGGAGGCTTAGGAAGGAGAATCACTTGAACCTGGGAGGTGGAGGTTGCAATGAGCCAAGATCATGCCATTGCACTCCAGCACTCCAGCCTGGGCAACAGAGTGAGACTTTGTCTCAAAAAAAAAAAAAAAAAAAAAAAAAAAAGAAAAGAATACAATATGTTGTTGACTATAGTCAGTGTTTTGCACAATAGGTCTCTTTAACTTATTCATCCTATCTAGTTGGAATTTTGTATGGTTTTCACTAACATCTCTCCACCCCTGACCTCAACCACCTCAGCCTTTGGTAACCATTCTCCTCTCCACTTCTATGAGATCAGCTTTGTTAGATTCCACATAAATTTGAGATCATGTGGTATTTTGCTTTCTGTGCCTGGTTTATTTCACTTAAAAAATGTCTTCCAAGTTTGTCCATGTTGTCACAAATGACAGGACTTCCTTCTTTTTAATTACGGAATAGAATTTCTTTGTGTGTGTATACCATGTTTTTTAAATCTATTGATCCATCGATGAACATAGGTTGTTTCCATATGTTGGCTATTGTGAATAACACTGCAATACATAGGAGAGGGCAGCTATCTTTTTGACATACTATTGATTTCATTTCCTTTGTATATGTACCCAGTAATGGAATTCCTAGATCATATGATAGTTCTATTTTTAACATTTTGAGGAAACTACATACTGTTTTCCATAATGGATATACTAATTTACATTCCCGCCAATAGTGTGCAATATTGAGAAGATTTGCCACATCCTCTCCAATGTTTGTTATCTTTTGTCTTTTTGTTGATAGCCATTCTAGCAAATATTAGTGATATTTCATTGTGGTTTTAATTTGCATGATTAGTGATGTTGAGCATTTTTAAATATACATATCTTGGCCATTTATGTGTCTTTTTTTTGAGAAAAATCTATTCAGCTCTTTTACCCGTTTTGAAATCAGTTTGAGTTCCATGTATTTTGGATATTAACCCCTTATCATATGTACAGTTTGCAACTATTTTCTCTCATTCTGTAGGTTGCCTCTTCACTCTGTTGATTGTTTTCTTTGCCATGCAGAAGTTTTTAGTTGGATAATTTTTATGATTAATTCTTTTAGAAGATTCTTTAGCCCAAAATTTTCTCTCAGAAGATTTTTTTTTTTTTTTTTTTTTGAGACAGAGTCTCTCTCAGGCTGGAGTACAGTGGCATGCTCTCCGCTCGCTGCAACCTCCGCCTCCTGGGTTCAAGCAATTCTCGTGCCTCAGCTGCCCAGGTAGCTGGGATTAGAGGCGTCTGCCACCATGCCTGGTTATTTGTTTTGTATTTTAACAGAGATGGGATTTTGCCATGTTGGCCAGGCTGGTCTGAAATTCCTGGCCTCAAGCAATCCACCCGCCTCGGTGCCCCAAAGTGCTGGGATTACAGGCTTCTCCTAGAAGTTTTATAGTTTCAGCTTTTAAATTTAGGTTTATGATCTATTTCAAATTAGTTATTTATGTATGGTTTGAGGTAGGGTCAAGGGTCATTTTTCCCAATGTGTATATGTGATTATTCCAGTTTTATTTGTTGAAAAAATTTTTTCCTCCATCGATTGCCTTGGTGCCATGAAAATCAATTAAATGTATTTGTGTGAATATATTTCTTAAATTTCTATTCTGTTTTATTGCTCTATTTGCCCATCATCGTGGTTTTCAAAGTATGGTCCCCAGATCCATGGGGGTTTCTGAAATTCTTCCAGAGGGTTGTGAGGCCAAATTATTTTCATAATAATACTAAAATAAAATTTATTTTTTTCACTAAATTGATATTAGTACTGATTGTGTAAAAGCAATAATAGGTAAAATTGTTGGTGCCTTACTATGAATCAAGGCAATGGCAGCAAACTATACTTACTGCCATTGTATTCGTTACTAGAACTTTCAGTACAATGTTAAAAGAGAATGGTGAGGGGGAATTTTTTGCCTTGTTTCTGATCTTAGCGTGAAAGATTCTAGTTTCTCATCATTAAGTATGATGTTAGCTGTTGGTTTTTTGTATGTACTCTTTATCCAGTTAAGAAAGTTCCTGTATATTCCTAGTTTGCAGAGTCTTTATCCTGAATGGGTGTTCGGTTTTGTCAAATATTTTTTTCTGCATCTATTGATATGATCATATGATTTTTCTTCATTAGCCTGTTGATATGATGTATTATATTACATTAATTGATTTTCAGATGTTGGACCAGCCTTGCATATCTGGGATAACTCCCACTTGGTTGTGGTATATAGTACTTTTCATACATTGTTAAATTCTATTTGCTAAGATTTTGTTGAGGATTTCTATCTCTATGTTTATTTAGCATCTATGTATTGGTCTATAGTTTTCTTTTCTTGTAGTATCTTTGGCTGGTTTTGGTATTAGGGTAATTCTGGCCTCATAGAATACATTAGAAACTATTCCGTGTGCCTCTATCCTTTGAAAAAGATTGTAGAGAATTGTCAGAATTTCTTAAGTGTTTGGTAGAACTCACCAAGGAATTCATCTAGGCCTGGTGCTTTCTGTTTTGGAAGGTTATTAACTGTTGATTCAATTTCCTTAATAGATAGGAGGCTATTCAGATAATCTGTTTCTTCTTGTGTGAGTTTTGGCAGACTGTGTCTTTCAAGAAATTGGTCCATTTCCTCTAGGTTATCAAATTTGTGGGCACAGAATTCTTCACAGTATTCCTTTGCTATCCTTTTGATGTTTATGTGATCTGTAGTGAGGTCTTCACTTTAATTTCTGATGTTAATAATTTGTGTCTTCTGTTCATTTTTCTTGGCCTGACTATAGGCTTATCAATTTTCTTGATCATTTCAAAGAGTCATCTTTTGATTTTGTTGATTTTCTCTATTGATTTCCTATCTTTGATTTCATTGATTTCCGTGCTAATTTTTATTCTTTCTTTTCTTTTGTGTACTTGGGAGTTAATTTGCTCTTCTTTTTCTGGTTTTCTAAAACCTTCTAATTGTCTACTTACAAGGTCTAGACACTTGGAAGGTTTTAGATCTTTTTTTTCTTCCAATATATGCATTGAATACTATAAATTTCCCTCTAAGCACTGCTTTTGCTGGATTACAGACATTTTGAAAAGTTGTATTTTCATTTTTATTCTAGAATTATTTTTAAATTAAAATTTCCATTTGTTTGCTGCTATAATATAGAAGCACAATTTACTTTTGCTTATTGACCTCATACCCTGCAATCTAGCTCTATTTCTGACTTTGTTCGTGTGTGTGTGTGTTTATTCCTTAGCTTTCTCTATGTAAATAATCATGTTATCTCCTTATCGAGACAGTTTTACTTTCTTTTTGATCTTTATGCCTTTATTTATATATTTTTTGCCTTTTATTTAGATTGGAACTCCTTATAAGAGCTTCAGTAGTGGCCTTTTCATATTTGATGAGGTCGATAACAAGAGCTGTTGTGTGGTGATGGATTTTTTGTAAGAGAAAACTCAGTGGGATCCAGAAAAAAAAGCCTTGAGGAACTTTAGGATAGGAACTGAGATTTGGTTTAGTCTGGATAAGGACTCTGACAAAAGCTACCTGAACCTTGAGGAGTGTCTAAAATTTGGAAAAGGACTCTACTCAGATCAATCTGGTTTCTGAAAAGGAATCTATCTTGGAAAACTGCCACATTTAAGCATTTTTCTTAGGATAATATGAATACTGTTGCTCTAATTGTGGCAGATTGCTTGCAAGGGATTCCACCTCCAGCACCCCTTGCCTGAGCTCCTTCCTTAAACACAGTGAATGCAAGCACTCTGCCACCTTCAGCTGACTCTTCCCAGACAGCAGGTGCACATGGTGCTACCACTGGAGTTGGAGAAGGGTGAAGACTTGGAAGTCATCACGTCATCTCTCATTCACAAAAGGTGGGGGCGTGTGATATATATGCCTAAGTTAAAACATGGTCATCCATCATAAAACATTGTTGATGTGGCAAAGGGAATCATGAGAGCAAAGCTTTCAGAGAGTTGGTTAGCGCCACTTAGGCAGAAAATCGACATTGCACTTAACTTGTATTGGCCTGAATTAGAAGAAAGAAAGATGTGACTTGAGACACTAGTTTGAAAGTCGACTGTTTTCTTTGTCACACAGAAGTCTATATTGAGCATTTGCACTGTGTTCACAATACAAGATATTGTAGGAAAAGAAGTTATACTAGCTCTGTCTTAAACAGTGATCGGAGAAATAGCTGCTTTGTACCGTTCAAAATTTCATGATGTTATTGAGATAATGTAAGCTAAGGACTGGAAGTCCTTGGGAGATGTGGTAAACACACATACAGCAGCATATACATTAAAAACCAGGAGAAAAATGTGGTGCTTTCTCAAACCAGAGTGTTTATACACAGAGGACTTTTTGAAATAAGGGGGCTAGAAATTCTTTTACTGCAATCTGCTTTCCTACTGACTTGAGATTTAGGCTCATTTATATAAGAAGTTATGTTAAAGAGATTAAGAATGAAGAATAAGTGAGCGACATTAATTTACCATCACTTATTAAGGATTACTGGTATAGTAGGAACAGACCTAGGACTTAGAGACACACAAATAAGGAAGAAATAGCCCTGTCATTAAGATACATTCATATTGGGGGAAAAAAAGGATACTTTTTCAAATAATTGTAATGAAGTTAAATGATAGTACAAATTTGAGAGATATTCATAAGGACACTGAAGTTTAGGAAGGCTTATTGTCAGATATATTTACAAATATATAGCTATATATGTATATTGTCATTAAACTTGAAGTTTAATATACATCTAATTGTAAAGTGGTTTTTGGACTCCATGATTTTCTATATTTTTTGTTGTTTTATCTATTTGGTATGTAAATTGTTTGCAAGTGAATCAGCTGAGATTTCATTTAGTAATTTAACAAATGTTTGTTGATCATCTACTACATTCTAGGCATTGTTAGGCCTTAAGAATAGAGATGATACCATATAGTGGACATCATCACAGAGATTAAAATCTAGTTAAAAGATATAGGAGTGAACAGGTAATAATGAGGTAGTGTTAACAAGTCATCTTATATTCTGGATGCACAAAAGAAGGGCAGTCCAGTCTGGGTTGAGGGAAGAAGCAATCAGGAAGGGCTTCCAGGATAAAGCATTGTCTTGAAGGATAAACAAGAATTGGCCAGATAAAGTGGTTGAATGCCTGAGATTGGCATAAGAAGTTTCAAGTAGGAGTAATTGTAGCTCTATTTCTAATAGGTTGCTATGAAATAGAAAAAGAAATGATGGGATATAGTCAGAGAAGAATGTTTGGATTCTTTCCTCTGGGTATTAGGAGTGGGGAAATCACATAAGGAGATTTGTATTTTAGAACGTTTGCCTACTAAATAAGACTCCATTTGGGCAGAAATGTTCAACATTGCACTCATAAAAAAAGGGCTGATAAGCCATACTGGGACAAACGGTGTGTACACAGAGACACACATAGACATAGACTGAAACACATATGTGTAACCATAGTGCCTATGTCTAATGGAAACATATTTATTATATGATTATTAATAATAGAAAAAGTGTTATATAATTATTAATAATATAACCAATTTTTAATATTGCATTGTTTTGAAAGGCTGAAGTGGAAGGATCACTTTGGCCCAGGAGTTCAAGACCAGCATGGACAATAATAGTGAGACCCCCGTCTCCACAAAAAATTTTAAAAAATCATCAAGGCATGGTGGCACATGCCTGTAGTCCCAGCTACTTGGGAGGCTGAGGTGGGAGGATCACTTGAGACCAGGAGTTGAAGGCTGCAGTGAACTATAATTGTGTCACTGCACTTCAGCCTAGGTGACAAAGCAAGACCTTGTCTCTAAGAAAACAAACAAAAAACAACCTCCTCCCCACCAAAAAACCCATTACATTTGATAAGATGACATTATTCCTACTTTCCCTTTTTCTTTTTCTTTTTCACCGAAATATTTGTTAAATATTTCCAGCTAAAAGATACCCTGCTTTAGGCATGTACAGTTACATGTATGTGCATATATGTTTTCTAGACCATTTTAGGAGGAAGTATTGAGACAAAGGTAAATGCAAAATCATTAGCATTCTTGGAGTTGACTTTTGTGTTTTTATTGTTCAAGCCTATGTGAGCAAGTTAAAACCAGGTATAGGTCAAGTTCACCTAGTAGACGAAGATAAAATTTGTGTGTGTGTGTAAAATATACCTGGTCTATAGGCCTCCCACACTGGTCATTTTTAGTTGGTGCACAAGCTTATTTAAGGAGATGATTTTCCTTTCTTGCCTCATTTTCTACATATGAGATCACTGTGCCTTATTTTCCCCACCTATGTGACCCTTTTCTGCTTTGTCATTTTTGACCTCAAGGCAGGAAGAGATAGTAATCAGAGAAAGAATTGAAGAAGGATTTTTGTGGCATCAGAACTTTTGGAGTTGACTTGATGAGTTCCAAGTAGTGTTTGACTTTGTACTAAGCCATGGGCAGCATATTTAAAATGCTATCACATGAGCTAGAAATTGCTGAGAGGCTCAACTTGATATTGGAATGGTTTAGAATTGCCTGTTTGATTTGGTGTCTCCTGGGTGATACTTTCTTTGCTTTTCCTTTTGTTCTTACTTTTCTTTGGCTTATACACCCTCTATCCTATAATATTACAATAACCTTTACTTAGACTGAGTGAGAAGAAATTTGTTAAGCAAGGCTAACTTTTCTCTCTGTTTTTATAACTATTGCTTTTTGCTTACTTTTACTGTAGAATCACTCTGGTCCCTATCTAATATAGCTAAATGGAGAATAATTTCCTTTTAAGTAAACTTTAAGACATGTTGAGTTAGGAAATACAGCAATGTTGATGATGATTGGGAAAAGGGAAAAGTCTTACATATGGAAAATCTAACCAGAGCTGTGACAAAATTTTGATCTGATTGAAAGAAGAAAAGAGAAAATTGTTCCAAATAGCAACATGATAATGAACAAACCTGAAGCATAGCTTCTTGCAAGTTTCTACATTATGAATAACTTGCACCATCTTATCTTCCATTGCTTCATTTTTAAGTAATACAACAGACAGAAAACATGCAGCAGGAAGGACTAAATACCTTTTGAGAGAATGCTATTTGCAGCCAAGTTTTGTAAGGCTCAGGCATTATAGATAGATTAGATTAGATTCAAATGTATAATTCACAGTGGCTTCTTCTAGCAACAACATCTAAATGATGAGACTCAGTTGTTGCTTCTAATAGTAAAGGCAAAGAAAGAAATAATTGGAGAAGAGGAGGAGAGAGAAAACAGTAGAATTTGCGGGAAAAAATAAGCCTTACATATGCCTTTTTACTTATGCAAATTTGGAAAATGGAGCAGAGAGAAATGAATTAGGCAGCTGTGTGCTGCATGGAATATCCTAAGTGATCTGATAAATATGTATGTCGTACTTTACCTACTTAACACAGTGTCGTTTCAAAACAAAAGTATTGATTGTATTAATGAAATTCTATTGTATTACGGCCAGAGAGGTGATTCTCTTACAAAATATAAAAGAGGCTGGGTGCGGTGGCTCATGCTGTAATCCCAGGACTTTGGGAGGCCAAGGCGGGCAGATCATGAGGTCATGAGATCGAGACCATCCTGGCTAATATGGTGAAACCCCTGTCTCCACTAAAAATTACAAAAAATTAGCCGAGCATGGGGGCATGAGCCTGTAGTCGCAGCTACTCGGCAGACTGAGGCAGGAGAATCATTTGAACCCGGAAGTTGCAGTGAGCTGAGATCGTGCCACTGCACTCCAGCCTGGGTGACAGAGAGAGACTCTGTCTCAAAAAAAAAAAAAAAAAAAAAGTAAAAGTAGTTTTGTTTTTAGGTTAGCAAACTTTCCTTAGCTTTTATATACATGCCCCCTCCTTGCAAATTCTGCCTGCGAGTATAACTGATTAATCAATAATACACTCAATAAAATATTTTTATCTTGTATATATCCACTGTTTATTCTGATTGCCTTACTTTGGTGAACATAGTAGCCATGATTGGACATTTTATGTTGTTGACACAATGATCTAGTTTTACTACATGAGGGTACTGGAATTTAAAAGGAAAATAGCTTTTAAACTCAACTTGAATCTTTATCTCCAGTTGATGCAAAAGAGTGTCCTGAGTGCTTTTTAAAAGTACAAATGCTCAATCTCTAGGACTCTTTCACTAAACCAGAAACCCTGAAAAGGTAGTCTCAGTATTTGCATGCTCCATAAGTGTGACAGGTGAATCAGCTGATCAGGTTCCACTGGGCTGGAAATGGTTAAGGGATCTCCAATGGCATCTCAATTGATTACTTCCTCTGAAAACTGTTTCCTTTAAACTAATTAGCAGCCATCTGACCAAGGCATCATATTTCTTGTCTTTTACCTGGTTTTGTGCCCAAGGTCTCTGATTCTCAGTCCCCTAGGGGACAGAAACAAGAGATAGAATACTGTGTCATGGACTTGCTTGTGTCAGGGAAAAGAAGAAGAACTTTCCTCGTATGCATTATTGTGAGTCTGTCTTTTATAAAACTACCGTGCTTCTCAAGTCAGTGAGAGCAGCATTCAGATGAGTTGTGAGGATTAGGTGGTGATAGCACAGATGTCTCCTCAGCTACCTCTCTCTTTATCTTTCACCAGTAATAATATAACAAATGATGTTTTCACATTTAAAGTCATGATCCCAGGGAGGAAATTCTCACTGCAAGCTGTTGCCAGACTAGAAGCCACTTGCGCCAGAACATTTTATAGTCCTCCTTGGCTCTCTGACCACTCTTGAGATGGAGCCAGCATTTTACTCTATTTTGACTTGGGTTATAATGATTGTTTTCCCAACAATAATTATAACATTGTATACCAATCCTTTTCATTGCTGGCAAATATCTTTGACTCTTGTAATGCTAGTAAATTATTAGTCTAGGTATTTTATGATTAAAAAAGTATGAATTAAATATACAACTTGCCTATAAGGGGTGTATAGGCTAATAAGAAAAATAAATCACACATTAGTAATTAAAACTGAAAGGAAAGTCATTCATGCAGTAAGGGAAGTACAAGGTAACTGCTATGGCGGAGTTCAGTTGAGGAATAATGTACTTCTAGCTGGGAGCAAGAGATTGTGGGAGACATTGTAGAGAAGGTGATTTGTGAATCTGACTTTGAAATAAATCTAAACGGTGACCTCTAGAGATGTGGTTGTTGGCAGACAGAGCAAAGTGGCAAAGGCACAGGAAGGGTGAGTATGGAGGCCTTTATAGGAGGACTATGAATAGTGCAGATTGGCTACTGGAGAGTGGGGTCCAAATTAAAGAGAACCTTGGTTCTTAGCTTACGGCATTCAGACTTGCTCTGTGGTTAATTGGAGAGGCAGTAAAAGTATTTTCACTGAGAAGCACATTGTTTTAGTAAGATTATTCTGGCAGCAAGAAGTAAAAAGGGAAGAGACTAGAAAGAGGGAAGATATAGTTGAGGAAAAGATTGTCTACCTCTTGTCATGCTTTAAAACTAAACTCAGCTGGTGTGACTCAAAGATTTTTAAAATTTACAGAGCAGTCAGGGAATTAACTCTCTTGTGGAAAATTCCATTAATGACAGAATCTGGCAAGATAATGTCATTAATAGTAGAGTCTTTGAATTTCAAGACTATATCCAGATGATGTTTCTGCTACTACTACTTCATTTTTCTAGGATACATTTAATTCTTTAAAGTGCTTTTACATTTAAAGTGTGGTACTGCATCCTCACTTTATTTCAACAATGTACAGTTAAGATAATAGCTCACTGTAAGTTGCGGCACTAAAGTTCTACAGGAAGTAAGTGGCTTCCCTGGAAATATCACTCGATTTTGCAACTTGTAACATTTCTCTTTTCCCATTATCTTTCCCTTTTCTAATTCAAGTGAATACAGGAGTGCTGGCTTACCTCAGAAGTAGTCATTAGTTATGTATAAATCCTCTTTTTACTCATTTAAGGAAAGACACTTTTCCTTGTGTATACAACCACAAGTTCTACCTTTTATTTTAGGAAATCAGACTCTTCAGTCATCTGAAATGGTTAAAAAAAAATGTCTGAGAAGGAATAAAGGCATACTTATCCTTGGGAATAGAAGTGTACATAAAATTCCAATTAAATTATTATGTGAAAAAATCCTTCTGCTCCTGTGTTTCTTCCTACATCTATAAGCTCTGTAGGTTTAAACATGCTTCCAAGAGCATTTAACACTGGCAAATTTAAATGCTGATGAGAGGTATTTGAGCTGATCTTTTTCTTCCTCACCGCGCCTAATGGATTACTAAATTTAAGTGCTCAGGGCATAGTTTTGCCCTCCTTTGTGGGTGCCTGGCTCTCATTGACGTCAGTGGGAGCCCTGTGTCTCTGTAGGGCAGAATTTGGCACTTCCATGTAGAATATTTTTAAACTATAAAATTGAATTACAAAGGTATTGCATCTGCTTTTTATATAGTCATTGTTTGGTTTATTAAAGAATGTTTCATAAATCTAGCCAATTCTGCAGGACCTACATATTTAGCTAAGCAAACTATTTTTAGAAATTACACAAAAAGGAGAGTGAACTTCCCTTTCAATTTAAAATCAGGGTTGCTTAGGACTGGATTTACAGAAAAGAGAACAGTATGCAGTTGAAAATAAGCTTATTATTAAACTATGCATTTATTTTTAGCAAACATGCTGGGTAGTAAAATTTAGTTTTGCATTTTCATTGTGAAAACACAAATGAAATTGGTAAACAAAATATTAAACAGACCTTACTACCAACTTAAACATACCATTGCCTCTTTTGTTTTTCTGATAGCATTGGTAGAATTTCATGGAGTATATTTATGGTGCCAGTGTCAGAATAAAGACAACTGAGGGTTCTTTCCGGTTACCTCTGGATCCCACATCTTTAGCCAAAATTTTTATTTTAAACCAACTTTCTTGTGCCCCTTCTTGCCCACCTCTTTCAACTCCAGTCCAGGGGTAGGGCAGGTGTTTCTGAGGGCAGAAGTGGATGGACACCAGCCCGCCTGGGCAGTGCTTAGCAAATAAAATAGAACCATGCTTTGTCCATCATTTGATGGATGCCACAGTCCCTAAGGTCCTGATCCTATCTCTGAAATTTGTTTTCTGAACAGGAGCAATGCCGAATTTTTATTTTTCCATGCATTTGTTGTGTGTCTGAGTAATTTTGATAGTGTATGGTCCTAGATAACGTGACAGGACTTTCACATCCACAGGTCTGCAACACTTTGCATCCTCTGTCATTGGATGTTATCGTCATTGACAGAATATATGTCAAACTCCTTGAGGTCTTTCTCATGTTGCAAGCTGCATTCTAACCCGTTAAGAATAGCATTTTTTGGAGGACTTGCTTTGAAATGTACAGAAAAGAACTCGTACTGAAAACCCTTGGGTTTTTGCTAACTGTGCGGTTTTAACTCTGTTCACAGATTTACCCTCTGAAATAGTATAATGCTCATAATTTTAAGTGTAAAGAGCACACACTTTTGGTAAAATTCAATGAATATCACCTGGAAATATTCGCCTTTGAATTCCAATACAAAAAACTTGAAGAAAAATGGTACCACTGGTAAAAATACTAACATAGGCCAATTCCAAATCTTGGGGGAGATGTAGAAAGTTCCCCTGATTTTGTATTTCATTGTTTTAAGTCTGCTTCTTTGGAAAACATGCCAGCAAGAGCACACTGGGGAGAGAGCCAGACATTTCTGTGATCCCAGCATGTTTGAATGTTGCTACGGTAGACATGAAAATAAACAACGAGAACCTCCTATTCCAAGTGGAAACATTTCTCTTCTTACTGAAAAATTATAGAACCCAACAGGACACAGTAGGAGATATTATAATTCAGCAAGACCGGGAGCACTTGGAATCCTTGGGCTTATATATCATTTTGTTCCACCTCTTCCTTTTATAGATGAAAAAATGGCAAAGGGGAGAAATTAAGTGATAACTGCACAGCCAGGTAGTGACAGAGTTGGGACTGAAGCTGGGTTTCCTGGCTCATTATTCCAGTGTGGTTTCTTCTTCAGTAGGCCTGAAAAATTTTTAGAAACTATTTTTCCCCCTTCCTCTTGCCCTTCTCTATGCCTTCCACACTCAGAATTCCAGCAGGTATCCCTGGTGATGAGGGGATGGGCTGGTGGCATTGCTAGTATTTGAATAATCTCTCCATGTATTGGCAGGAAAAAATTGAATTTTGCTTCTCTCTCCTCCCTCCCACCCTACCACGTTACTCTTCTCTGCGAATGTTTAAACAACGTTCTGGTATGGCCTTTGGACTATACCCTTCATGAAGTGTGTTTTATAACACACCAATAAACACTTGCCCAATGTTCTCTTCCTTTAAATCTCTTTTAGGTGACTTTGGAAAACTGAAAAAAATTGGCATTTTAACAAAATACTTCAGGCTGTTTACCCAAAGGTTTGACTAAGGGTGGAAATTTCTAGGTTCTGTCAGGTTGGTTGAAAGGACTTTTGAGCACAGTAATCATTTGGTATAACACAAGTCACAACAAAGGTGACTATTCTGTCCATTTGTAAGTCAAGCGTTGGCTTCTGTTTTCTGAACTTTGTTGAGACTGGAAGGGATGTCTAAAACACTCTTGAAAGGGACATTCAAGAGTGTTTTAGAGTTTTAGCATAAATGTCATTGGTGCATAAAACCCACGGAGGACCTATGTGCTCTGAAGGGCTTAACTCCAAACAAAGCAAAACAAACAAAAAGTGAATTTTAGAGTCACTGAGACAAGATCAACTTGTAGATATGTTCCCCTTCCTTATTGAGATATAACTTACGTAGAGTGAAGTGCCTAAAATGTAACTGGCTAATCTGTATACGTGTATACGTCCATGCAACCACCTTTCAGATCAAGATAAAGAATATTTCCAGCATCCCAGTAGGCTTGCTCATGGAAATACTTGTTAAAATGTTCTCACAGTCTTTTGTAACACCACTAAATATTTATAATGTTTATTTGGCTGCAGACGTTAATGTCGTGGTAGCCATATTTTTCCTCTTCCACTTTACCCTCTAAACTTAAAAGTGCACATTCTTTATCAACAATTATTAAGATAAGAGGAAGATGATGAATCAGCAGATGAAAGCTGAGCTCTGTAATTTTATTAGCCATTAAACTTGGCTGGCAATAAGAATTGGGCCTAATTCCTCTAAAAACTTTTTTTTTTTAAACTGTGTAGGACTTTACTCCTATTCTTCACAAATTCCTTTACAGGAATTGTTTAAAATACATAGCAGGAGTAAGGTCAATAGCAATATCCTGATTACAAGTTTTGTCTGCCTCCAAGGAACTAAAAAACTGTGTATCAAATCTGTTTTCAGTGTCTTTTGGGTATCTAGAAGGTTTGAATGGAGAAAGTTTAGTTGTGGACAATTAAGGGACCTATTTAAGATCATAAAGAAAGGTCAGTTTAAACCATATGAAAATTTGGTTCTTTTGAGAAATGAAAACATTTAAAATGTTAGAAACTGTAATCTCATTCTTCCAGACTTTATGTTTGAACTTTCCACTGCTTCTGCCAGTCATCCCTGGACTCCTAAGATTTTGAGCATTTCATTTTGCCATGAGAGAAACTAAACCCGTGGTTTGGGGTTCATTGTATTTAAGACTTGTGCAAGAGCCTTTAACACTTCACTACTTCTGCTCTAAATAAAGATTCCTCTCTTCTAGGAATTTAGAAAATATGACTTCCGCTTCAGTGATTTGCTAATAATAAAAAAGGACAGAAAAAATGAAAGTTTTGTTTTCTTTTTGGTCAAACTTATTTTTTCTTTGAAATATTGCAAATAGCATATCAAGGTATAAACACTTGTCTGGATCTAAAACATTGTTTTGTTTTCTATTTTGGGGATAATCTTTCCTTTTGTCTTCTTTGCTTGAACTTTTCCCAGAGAGAGGGGAACACTATCTTATCTCACATGATGTTCATTAGCATTTCAGAGTTTAAGTAAATGAATGGATTGTGCAAGTATTGAAATGTTTTTGCTTCAGATTATTTAGATAACAAAATTGAGCTGACTTTCTTAAAGCATTAGTGTTTCTTATGTCATAATTTAAGATTTTGATTTCTGGGCCAGGCGCAGTGGCTCACACCTGTAATCCCAGCACTTTGGGAGGCCGAGGCGGGCGGATCACGAGGTCAGGAGATAGAGACCATCCTGGCTAACACGGTGAAACCCTGTCTCTACTAAAAATACAAAAAATTAGCCGGGCGTGGTGGCGGGCGTTTGTAGTCCCTGCTACTCGGGAGGCTGAGGCAGGAGAATGGTGTGAACCTGGGAGGAGGAGCTTGCAGATCGCACCACTGCACTCCAGCCTGGGCGACAGAGCGAGACTCCGTCTCAAAAAAAAAAAAAAAAAAAAAAAAAAAAGATTTTGATTTCTGGGTAAGATTGTTGAGAATTGGAAACTGGCAATTCAAATGGTGAATGTCTTAAGGATACTTAACATTTCTGCTTTTTTGTAAGATGGAAACTTTAGAGTATGAAAGGTATATGTAAATGGAAGGCAACAGTGCAGTGAAGTCATGCCATTTTCTTGGATTATTTTTACTAATAGGATATTCATATTATTTGACCTTTTGCTCCCTCTGTCTCCACTGCATTTAGTTGTGGCATCCAGAAGAGGGAAGGTGAGTTTCCCGCTGTATTCTCCACTGGCAGATATGACATGTATAAGGTTGTATTCTTTTGGGGGAGTCACACTTGGGTAAGCCATTCGTGGGCAAGAAAGAGACCAAGAAGATGAGTTAATATCTCTGTCATATGAAGTACAGTGAAAGGAACTGGGCATATTTAGCTCATAGATGAGAAAATGTTTAGGAGAAATATAAAGTAATTTTCACATATTTAAAGGGCAGAGAGGGGTCACAAGCATATTCAATGATTTATGACCCCAAAGGGTAGCACTAGAATTGATGGTTACTAAACCATTTTGATTCTTATTCTATAATGTCTTCTGCTCCTTTCTATTTCAAAGTTAATATTTTAGTTCACATGCTCCTTAATATTAATACTTCCTGATCTATTGTAATAAGGTCTCCACTTATCTCCCTGCTTTGAACAGTTTCCCCTTTCAATCCAATATGTATATTGCTTCTAGCTTAATATTTCCAAAGCATAGTTATTATCGTATTACTTCCTTGCTCAAAACCTGTCAGCTGTCCCCTATTGCAGCAGTATCCTGACTGGGGTACACGTGTTGCGGGAGGCTTACAAAGACTTCTCAAGAGATACTTAGGCATAGATAATTTTATGATTATTAGTATCCAAATTGTCAATTTTTTTCAAATTGACCTGCCTGCTGTGAAGATGGGATGCAATTTGTGAGTTTTCCTTTCCAGTGATTTCTTATACAATTGCCCGTCTCCGACCTGACAAAAGAAATGCCTAGCCTACTCATCCTGAATCCTGTGCATTAGCCCAGGTTGCAGAATTTCTGGTGTTAAAAAAGTGGCAGCTTGGACTCTAATAACATCCTCTTGTTGATAAGATAGTATCTCATCCCTTGCTGTGAATAAAATTAAGGTGAATCTAATTGAATTGTTAGATGATAGTTCCAAATAATTTTTTATGATAGATCATTGTGATTTCTGCCATATAACCCAAAGGTCCAGAGAATTACATGATATTTCTATAATAGAACTCATTTCACTCTCATATACTTATTTATATGATGCTTATAAACATCTATAAAAGCAAAAACTAAGGCATAGAATTGATGCTGAATCTACTTTTTGTGATAAATAATATTCATCCACTTATACGTGAAATAAGTTTTTTAAAAAGGCTTAATCTAAAAAAAAAGGCAGACAATGGTGCAGTGCCTTTAAAATAATGAGGGAAAATGATGTTTAAATGAGACTATATAACTAGTCAGATTATAAATCAAGTGCCAATAAAGACATGTGCAAACAAAATGAATAAAAAGGCACATCTATCTTATTGAGGAATACATTTCTAATAATATTTTTACTTTTATATTTAATAATGATTTATCAAAATTTGTCAAATATTTATGTTTTAACCAATTGTGTTCTGATAATCATTGTAATGATAATTTACTGTAGAACATTTTTGGTAACAGGAAATAAATTTCCTTTACATCTCAAACATATTTTTGTTTCAGAGAAGTAAAAAAGTGTGATTGAAAAAAGACTGGGGAATTTTAGGATAAAATTCTATGGAAGAAAGGGAATGAAAACAGGAGTTCAAGAAAGAAAAACAAACTGTAGAATTTCTAACAGAACATGAGCATATATTTTTCAAATAAATGATTTTGAATTCCAATGGATACATTAAAAGAATGCTGTAGCAAGCATTTTTTTAAGTCAGCATTTATAATGTTCCTGGAAATTATATTCTTGCAAGTATTTAAACTATTTATGATATAAAATATAACATCATTGTAAAGACAAAATTGTACAAGGAAGTATACAGCTTTTTCAAAATTCTTTGAGGTATATTTGAGCAAAATATTTGAAGGCCTTGGAATAGAATCCAAAATCTTTAGCATGGCAGTGACAGTCCCATCTATGTTTTCAGCTTTTAATTTTTTATTATTATTCTTCACCTACCATAAATACTTGCCAGACTCTCCTACTTTCTGTTCCTGGAAAAAGTTCTGCATTTTTCATTGTTTGCACCATTATCTCCATGTGGAATGCCCTTTTCTTCCCCTTTTCCACTCTAAAAATTCTACCCATCTTCCAAAGGACATATGAAGAGCCTCTCTTTCCTGGAGCTATTCTTGGTTCTATCCTCTGACATCCTACAGCACTTTTCCTTTTATTTAGTGGTCATCTAGTTTATCCAACTTTACCTCTGTATTAGAATATTTGTGGTATACAGATGAATAAATTGTGTTCTTCAACCTTGACTAGTTCCCAATCTGTATTTGAAATCCCCATATTCAATGCAGAACAAAAATTAGAGACTTTTAGTCACTGCATATTGTTTCATGCACTGATATTGAGGTTTTTAAAAATTTCCTAACCAAAATAATTTTCTTCAGATTTTGTGAATCCAAACCTCCTATCAGATAACTTAACTACATTCTTTCTATCTATTTCACATTTACTGCTAACAAAGACTATAATCTGGGAAAAAATGGATTTTCACCAGATAATACACCAGCTGGTGTTTTCTGTTTTACTGGTGATGTATTACTCTGTAGCAAGTGTAGCAAGGTCTTACTTATTCTCAAAAACATGTAGATATATCCAGTGCTGGAAAAAAAAATCTAAATTAATTTAATAGAATAATATTTATCTTTGTGCAAAGAGAAAGTATATTTTACATAGAAAGATCTGAAATGCCTGTTTAAGAACTTGATGCACTGTAATACATTTTGATTGGGGTGTGTTTAAAAAACAAAGCAAAAAGCAAATAAGAAAAGGATGCTGTGCAATTAGATTGCCTCAGACATCAAAAACCTGTATATTTATGTTGTACTTGCCTACACAGAGGAACACTGACTTGCTTTGGACACAAATTCTAACAGTTGGGGTAAGTAGCAAACATGAGTGAGAAGAGACAGGCTATACTAGACAGTGAGCTCCTTAAGGGCAGGAGGTGTGTTGTCATTATCATTATTCCCATTACATATTTTAGAAACAGAAACAACCATTACATA
This sequence comes from Homo sapiens, assembly GCF_000001405.40. Lineage (NCBI taxonomy): Eukaryota > Metazoa > Chordata > Mammalia > Primates > Hominidae > Homo > Homo sapiens. Next base: position 19,891,543 of record NC_000012.12, read on the forward strand.
TTTTACCGTATTTCTTTCCAATACTTAAAACAACCCTGAAAAGCAGGCGATTATTAAAATGATTATTAAATCATTTTAAATTATTAAAGTGATTATTCTCATTTTACAGATGGTGCAGCTGAGGCTCAGATATGTAAAGTAACTTTTCCAAAGTGACACTTTAGAAATGCAAGATTGGAGATTCAAGCTTGGATTTCTGTTGACGGCCTTACTTCTGAAATACCTTGCAAAATTATAAAATGAAGAATAGTAGGCATTGTTTAAATATTTATTGAATGTTAAGAAAAAAAAAAAAAAGGCTGGGCATGGTGGCTCACGTCTGTAATCCCAGCACTTTGGGAGGCCGAGGCTGGCGGATCACCTGAGGTCAGGAGTTCAAGACCAGCCTGGCCTCCAGCCTGGGCAACACAGCGACTCTGTCTCGAGGAGGGGTGGGGGGAGGGGCAGGAAAAAAAAAAAAGCTTTGTGACAGGAAAGTTTGCAGGTCCTGATATGCTTTGGTTGGAAGAGGAGGCTCTATAGAAATAGCAGCAATAAGAGATAACTGCCCAGAGTTTTCAGGTTGGGTGGAACTCAGATTTTACGACCGTAATTGAAAGAATTCCTAAGCCTCCCCTAGTGAAATTTTTCTGTTAGGCACTTGGAAGTAACTGGCAGTTTCAGGGAAGCAATTGAGAAGGAGGTATTTCCTTTGCTAAAAGGATAATAGTTCAGCTTATTCTTTCTCATAAATGGAAAAGAAGGACAAGAGCATTTGGATTATATATAATTTGCATGTTACAGTACATAAATTGGTCACTGCCTGATGTGCAGTGATTTTTCCCCAGTTTCAAATTCTTTGGGAATGTGTTTTTATTCCCTGTATTTTAAACATATGTTGTGAAAGGGATTAGTCATATTATTCTATGACTTTGCTTCCCTGCCAGGCAATAATTGGTAATTGTTCAAGGGTAGACAACAAACTTGAGCTAGTCTAGTCATAGACAGGGTTACAATTTATTATCCAAATGGGGTCATTTTTTCCTCAACTTTTTATTTTGAAAAATTTCAAGTATACCAGAAGTATCAAAAGAATAATACAATAAATACAATATGCTGAATTACCTAGATTCTACAACTGTTAACGTTTTGTGACATTTGTTCTATAGCTCTTTCTCTATCGATATGTCCTTTTTTCCAATTCATCTGAAAGCAAGGTGCAGACATTATTACACTTTTTCCTTAAATACTGCAGCGTGTATTATCTCACAGACACAAAGAATATTCTTCTTCATAAGCCCAGTATTGCCATCACACCCAGCTATTCCCCAAACATTCTTTGTAGGTGTTCCTCCACTTCCCAGGATTATGTATTTCATTCAGTTATTATGTTTTGTATTCTTTTTAAATCTCCTTTTCAATATCATTTATGCAACTGACATTTTTCAAGAATCCATGATGATGATATTAATCCAGAACGTCCCACAATCTGGGTTTTTCTAATTTCTTTCTTATAATTAGCTCCAGATTAAACATTTTGGCAAGAATGCTAAATAGGTAATGTTATGGAAACAGGCAAACTTTAGAGACTGGGAGGGTGCATTATTAGTCATTATGCTGAAACTACAGGTATAAACTGGAATGTTGGGCCATGCTAATCATAGAACCCCACCTACAGCCAAAATAGCTAGTCTGGGAATTGGCACAGGATCTAAAATGGGCCAATAGGAGTTCTATTTTTTTTAAATATTTTAAATTGATCTGAGGAAAAAGGACTCCTACAGATTGTTGCTAAGCTGTTTGTCTGAAGCTGGGAAAGATTTAGATGTAGGTAGAAAACACAGTAAGAGGGTCCTGATGGCATTTGTCCTTTCATTTCAGGTTCTCTCTTAAAATCAGGTTCACCTTTGTTCTTTTAATACAATTTATTGAACATTTATTATGTGCTAGACGATTTTTAAGTGCTTTGCATGTATTAAATCATGTAATCCTCCTAACACAGTTCCATGAGATGGTTTTTATACTGTCCCCATTTTAGAGATGCCAAGGAAGGAAAGCTTGATTTACTTGCCAAAGATTTCACAGCCAAAAGAAGATAATGGAACCAAAAGAAGAATCCATAGCACATGATCTTGATCACAGTGGTAGGGTTACACCAGAAGGGATGAGACTCCACCTACTGTTTACTCTTGTGCTTAAACTAGTCAGCTTGGATTTTTGTCTGCAATCCCAGAGTCCAGGTTAATACACTTATGACTTCCAGTCTTCAGATATGAATGGATAAAACCCCCTTCTCAGACCCTGTTTTTGCCTCTTTTAGACACAGGCCTTCATTATGATTAGGAGCGTGCTCTTAATTAGGAGTTTTCCAACAATTTGTTTGTAAGGCCCTACAGGATATTACTGTAAGGAGTACATTAATAATGAAAGAATTTTGACAAAGACAGGGTTGAAGCTTTGATAATAACTGTTTAGTCAAACCTATTAAAACATTGAGGACATCAATTAAGAGGAAATAATATTCTACACATTGAACCTCTTTCACTATATTATTATCTAAAAGCAAATTGTTTTAAGAGGCTCTATTCTTAATGTGTTGGAAGACTGTGTACTCAGTTTTAAAATACAAAACAGAAGTTAGTATGAAGGAAGTGGTCTTCTTGATGACAGGGACAGATGACAGGGTATTGTGAAATTTTAATATGTAGCATGATTGGTTGTAAATTGTTCCCACATAGCTGAAGTAATTTGCAAATAAGAGATGATGAGTCAGATCTTCCATGGGTATGGTAATACATGCCAGTGAATAAAATCTGAAGTTACATCGGTATGATTTAATTTTGAGTTACATTGCTGTCAATTCATGTATATCAATAGAATCACTCCAAGTTTTAGGACTCCAGGTATAAGTTTTAGGATGTGTGTGTGTGTGTGTGTGTGTGTGTGTGTGTGGTGGTGGGGGGCTTCCTGAGGCTAAAGTGCAGTGGTGCAATCACAGCTCATTGCAGCTTCAGGTGTTCACCCACTACACCCAGCTAATTTATTTTTTGTGAGGACAGTGGCTCGCTATGTTGCCCAGGCTGGTTTTGGACTCCTAGCCTCCAGCGATCCTCCCACTTCCGTCTCCCAAAGTGCTGGGATTTCAGGCACGAGCCACGGTTTCTGGCCTGATATTTATGTTTTTAAAGATGAAATATAAAACTAAGATATCGTCCAGAGGCATAAGTTCTATACCCATTTTTATACTAACCATCAGTATCTGAGTATTTTTCACAATAAATTTGGAATCAACATTTGACTAAGAAGATTAAAGAAGAGTCACATATATGGGTTAAAGGAAATAATGTTTCTGTTGATAGAGCATCTTTACACGGGAGCTGTTGTCGCTTCTATTTTAAAGAAGGAAAGGTTGAGTCATCAAGCTACTTGTTTCAGGTCAGTTAGTAAACAGTGGATCTGAGACTAGAACTCGGGTTTTTCCCACTGCAGAGAACAAAGATTTCTGTCACATGCTGGTGTTTAAGAAAGAATAAATGGTGTAGAATGAGTAAAAGAAAGTAATCATGAGTGTAGCACAGGATTGGCGGTAAGCCTTGATTTAGAATATTTGCTGATGTAATAAATATGCTAAAGAAGGGTTAAACAGTGTGATCGTCCAGTTATTTTGATTTTATGTAATTTCTTTCCTTCATATGTAAAGAGAATCAAATATTAACGCTGGTACTGATATACAAAGGTGAACTATATTTCAACAAATATAGATTAGACTTTAGTATATTTGTAATACTGTATTACTGAAAAATAGCAGAGCTTAGAATATTTTTACACACATTTTCCCAGCTTCTTTTATTCCTAGGGGCATAGACATATGAAGTATTATGGTGCCAAGTTATATTTTTTATTTCTAGTGAATTTTTCCTTTGACTGTAGGCTAAGATATTTTAGTCAGACTTCATTTCTTTTAGGAATTGCTTTAGCAGACCTAGACTAATTTTCAAGAGTGGATTGAGTTATTTTTGAATACTCATGTCACATATATTTTCTCTTATCTGGTTTTTTTCGCTTAGTAGAAACAATTTGTCCTTCTCTTTTAAAGTCCATGAGAAATATACATTTATTAACCTCCCATACTACCCCCCCATTACATGTACATGCAAGTATAGATTTCATCTTAAATTAATCCCTCAAACGCTGCTATCAGAAAAGACATTTTAAACTGTCATAACAAGATCTTGCTGGTGACAGCAGACTTGGAGCAAGGCTAGAGTGTGATTCAATCATTGTTAAAAGTTCATGTTCCTCTCATTACATTCTTGCTTTTAATTCTCATAACCAGCCAGCAATGACAGATGAAAATATGAGCTATTTCTTTGTGTTGGCAAAATCACAATTCAAGAAGACATAGTTTCCTTAGTTATTTTTACAGTATATTGTTTATAGTACTTGATATGGTTAGATGAAAAAAAATCTACTCAAACTTTTTTTTAAAGATAAAAGGAAAAGCCTTGAAATGTTTAGTTACATAACCCTAATGAAATATTTTCTTCTGTCTGCATAGGTACAGGTTATTCTGATGGGATCCAGAACTAAATGAGGCATAAACCTCAAATATGTTTAACATTATGCTAGGTAGTATATATTTTAAAAATGCGTTTACATATGCTATAGATTATCTCCCTAGAAAATTGTTATATATATGTGTCACACATATGGTATTTTGCTTACAATTTAAGTTGTTTGTGAACCTTCTGATGCACATTCAGGGATCCAAATTAGGCACCACTGATCCATTAGCAACTTGTGTGGTTGCTATGGAAATGTTGGGTAGTGTACTTTTAAGTTACTAAGGCTGACTTGTATAAGGCACCTGTTTGGTGTTTTGGCTCAACCCTGATTGGAGTGGGGTCTCTCCTTGGTCTCTCTCTGTACCTGTATAAGACCCCTCTGCTCTCTCAAGCTGCTTCACTGGCACTATACACAGGGCAAATTCTCAAAACTTTTCTTCATTGTAATCACTTTTATTGAAAAATATCTTATTAATGGCAGTACATCAAAACGTGGCATTTATTTCCTCCTTCCTCCTCTTCTTTCTTCTTCTTCCTTCTTCTTCCCTCCTCCTCTTCCTCCTCCTCTTTTTTCTTCTTCCTGTTCCTCCTCCTCCTCCTCTTCTTCTTCCTTCTTCCTCCTTCTTCCTTCTTCTTTCCTTCTTCCTTCTTCCTTTCTCCTCCTTCCTCCTTCTTCCTCCTTCTTCCTCCTCCTTCCTCCTCCTTCCTTCTCCTTCTTCCTTCTTCTTCCTTCTTCTTCTTCTCCTCCTCCTCCTCGTCCTCCCCAGAGACAGGGCCTCACTCTGTCATTCAGGCTTGAGTGCAGTGGTGCGATCATAACTCACTGCAGACTTGGCTCCTGGGTTCAAGCACGCCTCTTACCTCAGCCTCCAGTAGCTGTGACGTGCATGCCATGACATCTGGCTCTTTATTTTTGTAGAGATGTTGCCAAGGCTGGTCTTGAACTCCTGGCTTTAAGCAATCTTCTTGCATTTGCCTCCCAAAGTGTTGAGATTATAGGTGTGAGCCACCATTCCTGGCCCTGGCATTTCATAATTCCCAGATGCACTTGCTACACCTAAGCATTTTTGTTTTTGTTTGAATTTTCAGTGAGAGCTCCCTTTGCCTCATCAAATTTCCTCTCCCAAACCCTAATCTCTTAACAAAACTGGAGTTCTCTGTCTGTATTTACAGCTTCTCTCTCCTTTTGCTAGATTAATGAGAAGCAGTTTCTCTATTAGTGAGTGGAAAAAATTGGAATTTGCTGTTGCCCACAAGCCATTCAATAAAGAGCTACACTATTTCCCTATTTCCTTAGGAGGATCAATGAGTATTTTTTTGGTGATAAAATATGGCATATATAACTGGGCAACAATAAAATCTTGAGAAATTAAGGATTTATTTATAGTTCCTCTGAAAATTGCCTACGTTTATTCATATATTTATAGTATTACAAAGTTACATATGAAGCAATAACTTACTGATACATTTGTAAAGACTGCCTAAGGAATTCAAGAAGAAGAACTTAGACATTTTGATACCCACAAAGGGCCAAGTTATTAAAACAACTTGAAACCAGTTGTCTATATAATGAAGACTACCTAAAGGAAAAAAATTACATGTGGCCACTGACTGTGAGCTTTCATTGTCTTTGCAAAGCAATTTATTAAAAGATTGGAAATGTGAAAGAGAGCTGGCACAGTTACAAACTTCAGAGCATGCTGCACATGGTAAACTATTGGCAAACAAAGCATAGGACAAATCGTGGGCATACAAATTAATGTACAAAGGAAAGTCTTGCAGACATATGATTGAAATTCCTGATTAAGTATTTCAATTTAAACTCTACTGAATTTGGGTACTCCCACAGCAAAATCTTATCTTGCTTCTGTTAGAAAGAATTATTGAAGAAGTGTCCAGTTAAAGCTGAAATGATTATGACAAGCCTGTGTTATAACTATGTGGTAAATGTCTAGTCTTAGCTCTAATTGGTCTTATTTTAATGTGTTTATTGTTTAATTGCTTGTGAGAATGATTTATTCTTTCATAGAACTGAGATTAATGGTAACTGGCAGCTTTATTGGCATTGCTATCAGAGAAATGACCAAAAGTCTCAAAATAGAATTGAGAAGACAGATTCTAGGCACAGGGTAATGTCAGACTAATATAGCTACATGATAACTGTATTTTAAAAGTGTTACTACTGCAACGTTTTTTAGTGTGTCCATTAATGTCATTTTTCATTTTCATTTTTTAATGTATGGGGTTGAGATGATACTATGGGATTGAGTATAATTGCCTTTTATAGAATGCGTGGGACTGATATTTTCTAAAAATGGACAAAAATCCAGCACTTAAAGCCATTAATTTGAAACCCTAAGGTTTCTTATATCTTCTGTAGAATAATATTTTTGGTGAAAGTTTGGAAAACTATGTGCAAGGATAACATCTTTTGGGTATTCAATTTTGTTAGATTGCTCTAAGCCTTTACGTATATTTGGAATCTACGTCATATATGTACAAAAGTGGCCTTGCCACTTACATAGATTCATCTGTTGGTAGATAGAAAAAAACCCGATATATCCTTTGCATATTCATGTTATTGTTGTGTTTTCTATGTCAGGTCAGATTTTCATATTAACTAGCTTTGGAGGTGGGCATTGGAGAAGACTGCCATTCCACATATTACGCATTTTTAAATATAAATTCAGATTGTTACAATACAGCTAAACATGATGAGAGGTCTTATATTCTTCAGGGAACAAAGTTCAATAATACAGGGAATGCATTTAAATGGGAAAATATAACCTATAAAATATAAGAAATTGCACGATAGCTATTTGGTAGAACAGAATGAAAACTCAAGATTTCAGTGAAGAAGAACCTAGAAAATATATTACTTTGTTTTCTATTGTTTTTTCTTTATTATGAAATATAATATGTATGTAGAAAAATGTATAAAACAAATACTTGTCATGTGGACAAATAATTATGTGGTAAACACTGTACAATCACCATTGAGGTCAAGAAATACAATGTAGCCAGCTCCCAGGAAGTCCTCAACCATGTTTGTCCCTCTCTCATCACAACCTCATCTCTTTGACCTAGAGATATCCATTCTGTGGTCTTTTCTCATAAAACTGTAAAGAAAAGTAGGGAGCACTAATCCCTCATATCCATCTCTAAAAACTGCATTTTAGTTTAGTTGTTTCTTTAAAAAAGAAACTCTGCTTGAATGGCCTCATATATTTCTTTTTGCCTACCAACTGTATCTCAGTATTACATTTATGAGACATATTCACAGTCATATATGCTATAGCATAAAGTTTATTTTCATTGCTGTATAGTATTTCATTGTATGACTACACCACATTTATATCTGTCCTACCATTGGAAGACATTTGGCTTGTTTCCAGCTGTGACTGTCCTTGTACTTGTATTCGAGTGTGCATTTATACTAATTTCTCTAGACATGAAATTGTTAAGTGGAAGGAATGCAAATCTTCAATTTTACCAAAAAATGTCAAATGGTTTTCCAGCAATATATGGGATTTCCCATTGCCACATTCTTACCAGCACTTAGTATAGTTAAATTTTTAAAATTTCTGTTAGCCTGATGAATATATAATGATTGTGGAAATTTGCATGTCCCTTATTACTAATGAAATTGAGCAACATTTTGTACATTTATTTGTCATTTAGTTTTTTTTGTTATTTTGCCTAGTTACAATTTTGCCCATTTTTCTTCTGTATTATCTTTTAAAAATTTATTTATAGAAATGATTTTAATATTCCAGTTACCAGTTTTTTGTTTGTCCATTGCAAATATCTTTCTCTCTTTTTTGTAATTTTTTTCTTTATAGTTCTTTAGATAAGAAGATGTCCTTAACGTTACATAAAAAATGTATCAATCACTCCTTCATGAATAATTTTGTTTGCACCTTATTTAAGAAATCTTGGCTGAGCGTGGTGGCTCATGCCTGTAATCCCAGCACTTTGGGAGGCCGAGGCAGGCAGATCACCTGAGGTCAGGAGTTCAAGACCAGCCTGGCTAACATAGTGAAACCCCATTTCTACTAAAAATACAAAAAATTAGCTAAGTGTGGTGGCACGCACCTGTAATCCCAGCTTCTTGGGAGGCTGAGGCAGGAGAATTGCTTGAACCCAGGAGGCGGAGGTTTCACTGAACCAAGATCGTGCCATTGCACTCCAGCTTGGGCAACAAGAGTGAAACTCTGTCTCAAAAAAAAGAAAGAAAGAAAGAAAGAAAGAAAGAAAGAAAGAAAGAAATCTTTCCCTACCTTAAAGTCATATAGATATGTTTCTCTATTATTTTATAAATACTTATAATTTTACCGTTTTAATATTGGTCTTTATCTGATTGGCTTTAGTACATTTTGTGACTAAGGGTCTGATTTTATTTTACCCTACATGGATATTCAATTTTCCTGGCACCATTTACTTCAAAAGCTGCCATGACTTTACTAATAGATTCTGGTATTTCTGTCATATACAGATGCCCATACCAATGTGGCCTGACTCTGAGCTCTCTGTCACTGGGCTAGTACCACACTGTTTTATTTACTTCAGTTTTAAAATAAGTCTTGACATCTGTTATAGCAAGTTCCCTTACCTTGTACTTCTTCAAAAGTATTTTGGCTATTCTTGACTTTAGAACTTTTGTGTATATTTTAGAATCAGCTTGTCAAACTCTATAAAATGACTATTGAAATTTTGTTTGCAATTGAATTGAATCCATTCAGCTGGGAAGAATTGACATCGCTATAATAGGGAGCTATCAACCCCTGAACATGTTTTTAATTTCCATTTATTAGGTCCTTTTTACTGTTTCTCAATTAGTTGCATAAATTTCTCTATAGAAGTCTTATATATATGCTCATTGATTTATTTTTAGGTACTTTTTATTTTTGATACTATTGTAAATAGTACCACTTTTAATTTTATTTTATAATTGTTTGTAGAAATAAGTTTTTATATTGATTTTTGTATCCAGGAACAATGCTAAGTTTTCCTCATTAAAAAACTATTTGTAGGTTTTTTTGGATTTTATATAAATGCAGTTATTTCCTCTGTAAATAATGACAGCTTTATTCCCTTTTTTTAATCCTTATACCTTTTATTTGTTTTTCTTGTCTTATTGTACTAACTAGAACCCCAAAAACAATGTGAATCACCATTGTAACAGTAGATATTTTGTCTCGTTCCTATCTCAAAGGAAATTATTTCATCATTAATTGTTGTAAGTACCAAAAACCATGTTTTTTAGATACCCTCTAATCCAGGAGTTGGCAATCTATGTATGGTTCATGGGCCAAATGCAGCCTGCCACCTATTTTTGTAAAAGAAGTTTTACAGAACCCAGCCACACTCTTTCATGTATACATTGTCTATGGCTGTTTTCACACCATGATGGCACAGTTGTTTAGTGTGACAGAGATCATATGACCTGCAAAGCTGAAGTTATTTATTATTTGGCTCTTTAACAAGAAAAAGTTTGCCAATTCCTGTTTTACCAGATTAAAATATTGTTTTCTATTTTTACTAAATATCTTTTATCATTAATAAATATTGAATATTGTCAAACGAGATTCATACATTTTGTGCATTGAGATAAGATGATGGTATAGTGAATTAAATTGTCATTCTCGTGTTAAACTAAACTTATATTCCTGGAAGAAACTCTCCTTTGTTAAAATGTACTATTTTAAAAACATATTATTGGATTTACTTTGTTACTATTTTGTTAAGAGTTTTTGCATCTTTGTTTATAGTTAGATTGATCTGAATTTTCTCTTACTGTTTCTTTGGGTTTTGGTATCAAAGTTATGCCATCCTCTTAGAATGAGCATAAATTATATTTGGATAGCTAGCCAATGGAGCCATTTGTGCCTGGTGTTTAGTTGTGGGAAGACTTCTTTATTGAATCAGTCTCTTTCATGGTTGTAAAATCCTATTTCCTCTTTCTTTTTGAGTCATATTTTTCTGGGAATTTGTCCATTTGTCCTAAATTTATATTTATTGTTATAAACTGTTCATAATATTCCTTAACCTCTTTAATATCTACAAGCTGTTCCTTTTGTCATTTTTAATATGGTTGTGTCTTCTCTCTCTTTTACTTGTTTACCAGTAGTTTATCGGTTTTATTATTATTTTCAAAGAAGTAACATTTGGCATTGATTCTTTTTATTGTGTGTATACTTTCTAGTTCATAAATTCCTCTACTAATACTTAGTCTTTTTCCTACTTTTTTTTTTTTTTGAGACAGAGTTTTACTCTGTCTCCTGGGCTGGAGTGCAGTAGCATGATCTCGGCTCACTGCAACCTCCGTCTGCCGGGTACAAGCGATTCACCTGCCTCAGCCTCCCAAGTAGCTGGGATTACAGGCGCCCGCCAGTACACCCAGCTAATTTTTTTGTATTTTTAGTAGAGACGGGTTTTCACCATGTTGGCCAGGTTGGTTTCGAACACCTGACCTCATGATTCACCCGCCTCAGCCTCCCAAAGTGCTGAGATTACAGGCATGAGCCCCCATGCCCGGCCCCTACTTTTTAGGGGTTTAATTTGATGTTCTTTATCTAATTTACTGAAATGGATGTTTAGCTAATTTTTTTTTTTTTTTGAGACGGAGTCTTATTCTGTCGCCTAGGCTGGAGTGTAGTGGCCTGATCTTGGCTCACTGCAAGCTCCACCTCCCGGGTTCACGCCATTCTCCTGCCTCAGCCTCCCCAGTGCTGAGACTACAGGCGCCTGCCACCATGTCTGGCTAATATTTTGTATTTTTAGTAGAGATGGGGTTTCACCGTGTTAGCCAGGATGGTCTCGATCTCCTGACCTTGTGATCCGCCTGCCTCAGCCTCCCAAAGTGCTGGGATTACAGGCGTGAGCCACCGTGCCTTGCCTAGCTCAATTTTTTAGCTTTTATTGTTTCTCAATGTATGCCTTTAAAGACTAAAGTTTCTCTAAAATAAGATGTTCTTAATTTGATATCTTGCATTTTAATTTTTTTATTTATAACTTTTTCTGATTTGTAAGATGGCTCTAACTCGAGAAATTTTCTAATATTTTAAAAATACTAATTTATAGATTATATTATGTTCATAAAGCTTTCTCTGTATGATTTTCTTGGAAATTTGTTAATATTCACTTTATCACTCATATGGTCAATTAAGTGTTCCATGTGAACTTATAAAGAATGTATATTCTGTAGTAGATTGATACAGTGTTACATATGTCCAAACTTAAGTCAAGTTTGTAAATTTCGTTCTATTGTTCTATATCATTATTATTATTTTTTTTCTTTTGATACGGGGTCTTGCTCTGTCGCCCAGGCTGGGGTGCAATGGCGAGATCTCAGCTCACTGCAAGCTCCGCCTTCCAGTTTCATGCCATTCTTTTGCCCCAGCCTCCCCAATAACTGGGACTACAGGCGCCCGCCACCATGCCCGGCTAATTTTTTTGTATTTTTAGTAGAGTCGGGGTTTCACCCTGTTATCCAGGATGGTCTCGATTTCCTGACCTCGTGATCCGCCTGCCTCGGCTTCCCAAAGTGCTGGGATTACAGGTGTACGCCACCGCGCCCAGCCTATCTCTTTAATTTTTATGCCTCCTTATGATACGGAAAGGACGTGCTGGGAAGGGAAGAGCGTGGTCCCTTTAAATGATGGGGGAGCTGAAGGGAAGTGCTGGGTACAGGAGGGTGTGGTCCCTGGCTAGGCCCGCCTCTCCCCCCCAGCCCAACACAGACCTAAGTGAGGACAGACATTTTTGTATTCCTGCCCCAAGTGTTGCATTTCCCAAGATCACCCTGGCCTGCCATGCCCCCATCCTGTGCCTATAAAAACCTCGAGACCCCAGCGGGAACACACAGGCAGCAGGACGTTGAGAGGGGCAAATCAGCAGAGGAACACACAAGTGGCTGGACGTTAACGGGGATGCAGTGACAGGCACCAGCACGCAAGCAGGCCACTGACTGGCCGAATGACTTGGAGTATGGCTGGGGCAGTTGGAGGAGAGCCCGGGCCATCAAGCAGCCTGACTCTGGGGGAAAACCATCTCTCTTCTGGCTCCCCCATCTGCTAAGAGCTACTTCCACTCAATAAAACCTTGCACTCATTCTCCAAGCTCACGTGTCATCCAATTCTTTAGGTACCCCAAGACAAGAGGTACACCAAGGCAAGAACCCTGGGATACAGAAAGCCCTCTGTCCTTGCAACAAGGTAGAGGGTCTATTTGAGCTCGTTAACACAAGCCACCTACTGACAGCTAAACTGAAAGGGCACCGTGTAACACACGTGCACTGGGGTAAACATTCATAAACACGCTCAGCTGTAAACATTCACCCCTGGACACTGCCTTGGGGTTGGAGCCACAGCCTACCCATCTGTATGCTTCCCTAGAGGTTTGAGCAGCGGGGCACTGAAGAAGCGACCCCCACCCCCATCACACACCCTGTGAGGGAGACAAGGGAACTTTTCCTGTTTCACTTGTCCTATGAGTTAGTGAGAACAGCATGTTAAAATTTCTCACTACAATTTTGGATTTATCTATATTTTTTTGTTTTGTTAATTTTACTTTAAATATTTGAGGCCTATTCGAGGTTGTATTATTATAGGAAAACTATAGAAGAAAAGAAAATGAGGTTATCTAGGAGGACTCCCTGGAAAAACTCCCTGGAAAAAGTAGAGATTGAGGATTTAAAATGATAGTCATAAACCTCTATAATTATTTAAAATGCACTAATGTATTCTTTTTTTTAATAATCATCAGATCTGTGAATTAAGAAAGGTTAAAATTAACCATACTGATGATTCTAAGGTCAGAATATTGCCCCAAGTCACAGGCTACTTAATGACTGGATCAGGTCCAAGATATGAATTTGTGGAGTCATTTTCCAAGCCTGTGTCACCCCTCTTCCCTTAGCACATCCTGACCCAAACATGCTGCTTGCCTGCTGTGTCTTAAACTCATTAGGACATTCCACCCTCAGGTCGTTGTATTTAATGCTCCCTTTTCCTGGGCAGGTAGACATCTGTTCATGTTAGCTCTTCAGAGAGCTCTTCCCTGATCATTCTGACCACTCTCTATTCCCTTAACCTGTCTTATTATTCTTCAGAGCTCTTAAAACTATCCAACATTATGTTGTCTCTTGGGGTATTAAATTATCATCACTCTCCCTTCTGATATATGAGCTCCAAGACACGAGGTTCTTTTTAAAATTCCTTGCAACATTTTCACTGTAATGGCTGACATAGAGTAGGTGATGAGTAATTTTTGGCTGAATGAGTGAATGAATGAATGAACCTTTTCTTGAAACAAGTATGTTGATTCATCGAAATGGTTTGATCAAGAAATAATTATAGAGGTTTTCTGAGTGCAAATAATTCTTTTTAGCGTGATAGAGAGGTAAAAGCAAGAATAAAACAATATTACAGACTTCAAACTATTTATAATCCAGTTGGGGATAGCAGATATATAGAAATGATATAATCTGAACATGACATAAAAAGAAGGTAATACAGGTAATCACAAGATCATGAACAATTAATGGCCAAATATATTATTTAAACAATAAGTGCTATGAAGGCAACACAAGGAAGTGTCACTGAATTCTTAGTAATACAGAAAACAAAAAAAAAATTAAGAAAGAGTATGAGCTGGGCATATTACTGGTTGTTCAATGACTGCCTTTTTTGTTAAAAAGGAGGAGAAAGAGAGAAAGTGGAAATGTATAGTTATCAAGAAGAGAGATAAGCAGAACCTCACTTGTTCCCTTAACCAGGCTATGAGTATCTCTAGGGCAGAGACAGTATTATATTCATAGCTCATTTACAAGTAGTTAGAAAGCATATCTATATCTATGATATTTATCTGTTTATCTCCATATGTATGTATGTATGCATGCATGTGTCTATCTAATCTATGCTTGGTGATTGGCAATGGGACATCAAGATGTAGGCATCTCGCAGCCACAGGATTTTGCAAAATGAGTTGGTAAATATAAAGCAGGCTGGTAGATTTATGTATCATTATACCCTAAAATTTTATTTTACTTTTTCTGTACCATCTTTTCTCTGGCTGAGAGACAGAGACCTTGGATTAGTGAACATGCTTAAGACATCACTTCAGTCCCTTGACAAATGAGGAATGGCATTCTTTTTATTTTGATTTAGTTTTCCATTCTTGCTTAACCTGGACATGTCTACCTTCTGGTTTTCAACATATTATAGATAATTTCTATAGCTGAATCCAAAGTCAAATACTCTAGAAAAAAACTCCCTAAGAAAAAATATTTTACATTGGATTTTCAGTGGCATGTGGACATATTTCGTTTCTTACCGTGACTTAGTTTTATCACTTTTGACTAGATGATTGGCAGTTCTCAGAAAAATAATGATTCTTAAATATTTTACACCTTTAAAATAAAATTCTCCCCACCAATTTTTTATTTTAAAATAAATCCACAATAAGAATTTCCTCTTTGGCCAGGCTTGGTGGCTCATGCCTGTAATCTGAGTACTTTGGGGGCTCAAGTTGGGAGAATCCAGGAATTCGAGATCAGCCTGAGCAACATTGCAAGACCCTGTCTCTACAAAAAAAGTATTTTTTTTTTAATTAGCCACGTGTGCTGGCACATACCTGTAGTCCCATCTACTTGGGAGGCTGAGGTGAGAGGATTGCTTGAGCCCAGAGTTCACAGCTGCAGTGAGCTGTGATCACACCACTGCACTCCAGTCTGGGCAACAGAACAAGGCCCTGTCACTAAGATATAAAAAAAAAAAAAAAGTCTTCATTATTTCAGCAAACTCTACTGCTTGAAATATTTTAGTTGTTTGACTCTAAATTATATATCGGCATTAAGATGAAGTTTTCTTTAAGAACTATAAGTAATTAAAATACTGCACTTATTCTTCCTCTTTGACCATAAAACCCCCTCAGTTTTTATTTTTCACCTGACCTAAGAACATATCTGGAACTGTGAGGACTACTGGGTCCTTAGGGAAGAAACAGATGCCTACTAAATCTGGATAATTTCCTTTCCTAATTAGGCTATTAATAAATGTAGCTTTCCTGTGAAAACTCTTCATGGTTTTTATTACCATTTATATGCCAGTGCCTTGCGATTTTATACTTCTGTTTTAAACCTCTCTTTTGAGATTTACGCTTACTTTTCCAAATTCCTGCTCACTATTCATTTAGTTATTCCACAGGTGCCTCAATATATTTATGTACTTGCACAGGTACCCCCTGAATCTATAAAAATAAACAAATTTTTAAAATCTCAAACTGAATCCATCTACTTCCCAATAGACCTATTGGCTCCTTACCCACTATTACCCTATCTCAATTACTGCCACAGCCAATTACCCAAGGCACAAGCTGGAAATCGGGCTTTTCTTAACTTTTCCTACTTACAAAATGTTACCAAATTTTTCCTTAGTTATTGCTTGAAAAACTTTCATGTAAATATCTCTTAAATTTCTTCCCTTCATCTTCATTCCCAGTTTTACCACTTACTTGTTCTATTACTGTTTTGGTCTATAACTTTTAGGCAAGTTATTTAACCATTTTCTACTTAAGTTTTCTCATCTGTAAAATGGGGATAGTAATAGGTCTTACTGTATAGGATTTTTGTGAATGTTAAATGAATTAATACATGTTAATTGCTTAAAAGGGTGTCTAGAACAGAGCAGGTGCCACAATATGTTAATTTTTTTTTTTTTTTTTTTTTTTGAGACAGAGTCTCGCACTGTTGCCTGGGCTGGAGTGCAGTGGCATGATCTTGGCTCACTGCAGCCTCCACCTGCTAGGTTCAAGCGATTCTCCTTGCCTCAGCCTCCCAAGTAGCTGGGATTACAGGCGCCTGCCACCATGCCCAGCTAATTTTTTTGTATTTTTAGTAGAGATGGGGTTTCACTATGTTGGCCAGGCTGGTCTTGAACTCCTGACCTTGTGATCTGCCTGCCTCGGCCTCCCAAAGTGCTGGGATTACAGGCACGAGCCACCGTGCCCAGCCAAGTTGTTTTTATTATTATTGTTATTGCTCTTACTATTGGTACCAACATACCTAAATTCAGGTTCTGATTAACTGCTGTCTAGAGTATTTCACCAGCCTCCTAATCTTCCCTTCAGTATCTATTCTTGTTCGTCTCAAATTTGGCTTCAACAACCCCTCAGAGTACACTGTCTAAATCATAAATTGGACCCTACACTGTTTAAGATAGGTTCTTAATAGTTGCCAAAAGTATCAGTGAAACAATAAATGGATTAAAATGTCTCCAATATCAATGTAGCAAGGTTTCAATGAACAGTTTTAAAATTATGAATAAATGAATAAAATATTTGGAATACTCTTTGCATTCTCTATATAATTGCTTGTAAGCTTTCAGGTTTGTTTTTGCATGTTCTTAATTGTCTTTACTGTGTAATTTTTTATGTATATAATGTCAAAAGCCAAGATCTAGATTTACAATGAGTCTTGTACTGATTTTTCTTGGGTCTCTCTGTCCTTGCTGATCTCTCATTCAGCTTCCAATTATTTTCTCATTTTGAAGACATTGTCTTTAATTGCTCCAAACACCTTCTTTTTCTACATATCTAGCTAGATGTGCTTTCCCAGCATAATTACTTTCATTATTGATCTTTCCAAGCACGGAAAAAGAACATCACACAATATTACTTTTGTCGTGGTTGCAAGCACAGTGTGGTTTATTCTCAGTCTTTACAATATTCTAATCTATTCTAAATGTACCTTTCTTATTTGGTTCAACTAATTATCCACTTGAATTTGCATAAACTCAAATCCTAGGAAAATAACATTCTAATCAATAAGTGATATCCAAGGCTGCTCTTCTGCCAAACTCTGAAAAAGCCAAGAGCATCCTCCACTTCCTCTTTCAGTGCCCTTCCTCTTTTTCGTTTCCATTTCCCAACCTAATGATGTAACCAAGATAAAGACTTCCTCCCAGCTATCTGTTAAAATGTTTTTTTCTGACGTGGATGAATGATATATGGTCTTAACCTTGCTAAACATGTTTGCATTTCAATTGGAAATTACTGAGAGCTGAAATGCTGTCCAGGGCCAAATGAATATTCTAGGAGTCGAATTTAAGGCACAGATACCAGGAGATGTCTTGGCACATGAAGGTTTTCCTGGAACTTTCAAAGCATAGTGAAAATGTATTTAGAAAGCCAATCCACATTTTCCTTCTAAAGATTGCAAACTTTATCTATTTTTATCGTACATATTTATGGTGGACAACATGAGATTTTGAAATATGCATACATTGTAGAATGGCTAAATCAAGCTAATTATGCATTGCGTGACATACCTATCATTTATTTGTGGTGAGAACATTTAAAATCTACTCTTTTAGCAATTTTCAAGTAAATAATAGTTATTAACTGTAGTCACCATGTTGTACAATCAATCTCTTGAACTTATTCCTCCTGTACAACTGAATTTTGAATCCTTTGACCGATCTCTCCCCTTTCCTACTTCCCCTTTCCCTCAGCCCTTGATAACCACCATTCTACTCTCTGCTTCAGTGAGTGTGACTTTTTAAAATTCCACATGTATGTGAGATAATGCAGTATTCATCTTTCTGTGCCTGTTGTATTTCACTTGTTAAACACAATTTACAGGAAGCCATTGGTTTGGACCGAGCTCCTGCACTAGGCCCAACAGACTAAACCTAAATGGAGTTATTCATGCTAAAGTTCCACACCACCAAGCTGAAATTAAGTTGTTTAGCTGATTCTCCCAGAAATCAGGAGAGATAGTAGTCAAATCCCCAAACAGGCTAGTTTTACCTGCAGAAGGGAGTCCCCTCTGCTTTAACTTTTACAAGGAAAGTAACTTTGAAACACCCAATCTACTTTTTGTTCTCTGTTTCTGCTCTCTGTGTCTCTGTTTCCTTTTCTGGGGATAAAGCTAACCTCCTTTGTTCAGCTAATTGAAACTCTATCTGTCTATCTATCTGTATATCTATCTATCTACCTACCTACCTACCTATCTATTTATTTAGAGATGGTGTCTCACTCTGTTGCCAGGCTGGAGTGCAGCGGCAGCGATCTAAGCTCACTGCAACCTCTGCCTCCTGGGTTCAAGCGATTCTCCTGCCTCAGCCTCCTGAGTAGCTGGGACTACAGGCACGCACCACCACACCCAGCTAATTTTTGTATTTTTAGTAGAGACGGAGTTTCACCATGTTGGCCAGGATGGTCTTCATCTCTTGACCTCATGATCTGCCCACCTCGGGCCTCCCAAAGTGCTGGGATTATAGGCGTGAGCCACTGTGCCCGGCCACTCTTTTTATTTTGTAGAATGAGGTGTTGTCCACTTTTAGAATTGCAAATAAAAGCCAATTAAGATCTTTAAAATAAATTTGTTATAATTTTGTCGTTTGACACAATTTACATAATGTCCTCCAGGTTCATCCATGTAACAAATGACAGGACTTCCTTCTTTTTAAGGCTAAATAATATTCCATTGCGTATATATACCATGTTTTCTTTCTCCATTCATCCATTAGGTTGATTCTGTGAATAATGATGCAGTGAACACAAAAGTGCAGAGATATATCTGACATGCTGATTTCATTTCCTTTGGATAAATATCCAGTAGTAGGATTACTGGTTCATATTATAATTCTATTTTTAATTTTTAGAGAAACCTCTTACTGTTTTCCATAATGACTGTACTAATTTACATTCCTTCCAACAGTACATGGGTTCTCTTTTCCTCACATACTTGCCAACCAACACTTGTTATCTTTCATCTTTTTGATAATAGCCATTCTAACCACTCATCGTGGTTTTTATTTGCATATTCCTGATGATTAGTGAAGTCGAGCATTTTTTAATGCATCTGTTGGCCATTTTTGTGTCTCTTTTTGAGAAATGTCTATTCAGGTCCTTTGCCAATTTTTAATTTTTTTCTATTCGGTTATTTAGTTTCTTGCTGTTGAGTTCCTTGTATATTTTGGCATTATCCTTATCAGATATATCATTCGCAAATATTTTTCCCATTCTATAGGCTGTCTCTTCACTCTGCTGATTGTTTCCTTTGCTGTGCAAAAACTTTTTAGTTTGAGGTAAACTCATTTGTCTATTTTTGCTTTTATTCCCAATGTTTTGGGGTCATATCCAAAAAATCATTGCCAAGACCAATGTCATGGAGACTTTCCCCTATGTTTTCTTTTAGTAATTTTATAGTTTTAGGTCTTATGTTTAAGTCTTTAATCCATTTTGAGTTAATTTTGGCATACAGTGAAATTCTTTCCCTCCCTTCCTTCCTTCCTCCCTCTCTCTCCCTCTTTCTCTCCCTTTCTTTCTTTCTCTTTCTTTCTTTCTTTCTTTCTTTCTTTCTTTCTTTCTTTCTTTCTTTCTTTCTCTCTCTCTCTTTCTTTCTTCCTTCCTTCCTTTCTTTTCTTTTCTTTCTTTCTTCCTTTTTGCATACGGATATCCAGTTTTCCAAGCACCATATATTGAAAAGATACTCTATTCCCCATTGTATGTTCTTGGCACTTTTATTAAAATCAATTGGCTATAAACATGTGGATTTGTTTCTGGGCTCCTTATGCTGTTGCATTGATCTATGTGTCTGTTTTATGCCAATAACATGATAGAGCTTACAAACTTTAAGAGCATAGCCTGGATTTCATTATCTTGTATCTTTCCACAGTATGCCAGGAGCACAACAAAGATGACTAGGGCATGAAGAAATACAAGCTGAGATTGAGAAAGAAAACTTAGGCCAAAAATCTGGAAGTATCCTTTAAACCAGGGGTCCCTAATTCCTGGTACTGGTTCATGGCCTGTTAGGAACCAGGTCGCACAGCAGGAGGTGAGTGGTGGGCTAGTGAGCAAGGCTTCATCTGTATTTATAGCCACTCCGCATTGCCTACTTTACCGCCTGAGCTCTGCCTCCTGTCTGATCAGCAGTGGCGTTAGATTCTCATAGGAGCACAAACTCTATTGTGAACTGTGCATGCGAGGGATCTAGGTGGCATACTTCTTATGAGACTCTAATGCCTGATGATCTGTCACTATCTCCCATTACCTCCATATGGGACTGCCTAGTTGCAGGAAAACAAGCTCAGGGCTCCCACTAATTTTATGTTATGGTGAGTTGTATAATTATTTCATTATATATTATAATGTAATAATAATAGAAATAAAGTACACAATGAAGGTAATGTGCTTGAATCATCCTTAAACCACCCCCAACCTTGTCTGTGGAAAAACTGTCTTACACAAAACCTGTCCGTTGTGCCAAAAAGGTTGGGGACCACTGCTTTAAGCTAACATCCAATTTATCACACTGAACCAAATATGCATTCAACTCCATAGTATGTCTTGAGTTGATTTTTCTCCCATGTTTTTACCACCCTCTAATTTTGCTCAAATTCATCATCATCTCTTCACTGTACCACTGAATGAACTTTCTAATTGGTCTCCCCCTTTTATTATTATCCCTTGCAATTCATTCTTCATACTAGTAATCAGTAAGTAATTTATTTAAAATGTAAATGGAATCATGTAATTTTCTTGCTTATGTTTCAGAGGTTCGCAACTGTGCTTAAGATAGAATACAAACTCAACATTGTCTTTGAGTCTCTGCAGGCTTCAGCTCCTGCCTCTCCCTCTAGCTTCATCTTTTTCATTTTGTCTTATTTTCATCTTTTTTATTAAGGTATAATTTACAAATAAAAATTGCATATATTTACAGTATACCACATGATGTTTTGATATAGGTATACTTTATGAAATATTTAAATAAAGCTAATTAACATGGCCCTCACCTCACACTTACCATTTTTTTGTGTGATGAGTACATTTATGATCTAAGCTCTTAATAATTTTAAAGTATAGGATAAATTATTATTTACTGTGGTTACCATGCATTACAGTAGATCTCCAGAACTTATTCACCCAGTCTAACTGAAACTTTGTACAGTTTGACTGACCAGCATCTCTCCACCCCGCACTGGCTCCCGCCGTGCCCTCCCCTCCCCCGCCCCAAACTGCATGACCTCCAGTTTCATCTTGTACCATCACTCTTTGCTCAGAACCAGCAAACACAGCTGGCCTCCTTCCAAAGCTCAGGAGCACTGAGCCCTTTACTGAATCAGGACTTTGCACTCATGCTGTTCTGCCTAGAGCACTTTTCACTCCACTCGCTGTTCAGGTTTCAGCTGCAGGTCACTTCCAGGAGAAACTTTCCTAGATACACCAAATCAATTAGCCTCCACCTGTTTATTTTTCTCATTCATTTTCATACCCAGATATTTTACTTCACAGTGGTAGTCTCAATTGGTAATTATGTGTATTTATTTATTAATTATTTATATCTCTCCCAACTAGACTCCCAACTCCCAATTATACCTTTTGCTCTACTTTTAACTCTTATCTGAGGCCCCAATACTTTTGTGTGTTTTTCTTCATTTTAAGTTAACCGATTTGATTGTCTTTTTTTGTTTGTTTGTTTTGTTTTCTCCACTAAACTGTGAGCTACACTGCTGGGCCTTTTTTCTTTTTTTCAATTTAATGTATCACCAAATCTTTGCAGATAGTAGTTACTCAATAAATGATGATGATAATTAAATTGTGCCAGTGTATATACCTTGGTGGTCCTAGGTCCCATTGCCCGGTGACTGAAAGAACACAACATGGGAAGCAATAAGCTTCTAGAGGCTTGAATATGCATGTTTTTAAAATTGTATGCAGTATACGCCTGTACATATGGGATAGTTGGGGCTCAGGACACATCATCCCAAAATATGACCATAAGAAACATATGCCACCTCAAAATATACTACTCTGGCATACTTTAAGCGGAGAACTGCAGACACGAGAGGAGTACCCCTGAAAAGCTGTTAACACTGAAAATTTGTGTGATAATAAATTTATATCCATGAAGGAAATCTACATTAGTAAAAATATCTATATCTAAAGGAGGGCTGCTCTGAGAGACCTTTTATTTATTATTATGCATAATAGGACAACCTTTATTCATTATACATTTCCTCTTCTCATCTTTCCATAACTTCTGTGGTCCTCATCCTTCCTCCCCATTAGCAGCTTCAAGTTCCTATTACTTTCTATAGCTCAGTATGCTAGATAAGCTTCAATCATCTGACCCTTCTTCAAGTCTTACATTTTGTGGAACTCCCATATGCTATGTAGGTAATTTAAATGGTTTTTCTCTTGTTAATCTGCCTTATGTTAATTTAACTTTTTGCCCAAACAATCCAGAAGTGTGGAGGGAAGCCACTTTTTCCTCCCGTACAGGAGAGTACACATCTGAATTTTAGAACAGTATGAATTTCATGCAACTTCATTCTTTTAAATAAAGTTAATTCTCCAAATGCAAAATCATCTGTGATTTAAATTTTATGCTTTCCTAACTCATTTTATGTATGTTAATTTACATATTATGCACAAAAAAATAAAAAAAAACTCCTATCACGTGTCTTCATTTTTGTTCCAGAACTGTGGGCACGTTATGTATGCCAGCAAAAGGGAATTCAAGTAACCAGATTAGAAAGGTAATTAAGAATGCAGTTGAGCAAGATACTCAGTCCCCAGTCCTATGCTGGAGTAAGGTATGGTAGAGAGAGAGAAGAGAGGTGGGCAATAATTGTAAGTTCAGTATCAGAAATAGTGGGTTTTGGAGAGGAAGGAGTTTTCGAATGTCTGATAGGAAGCAGCCATTTATCAGCTTATTTGACCCTAGACATGTCAATTAAACTCTTTAGGTTTCAGTTCTTTTTCCTTGTGGATGAAAGGACTAAACCCCATTAGAAATACTTTCCTGCTCTATGATACTTTGATTCTTACTTTCTCCGTAATGGTGGGAAAACAAGAAAGAATAATCTGAGAAAAAAAGGATAGGAAAAAGATAACAATTATTAAAGATAGAGAGATGCAAAAAAGAGACATGATTGCTGGTTATGAAAGGAAAAATATTTTAAAAAGTAAGAATTTAGGTCTTCATTCATCCCCCTCTGAGTTTCTTGAACAAATATTTATACAGTGCTAGTCAATACTTACGTAGCACTGACTACATGCCGTTTTAAGGGCTTTATAAATATTAACTCATTCAACAAGAATATAAGTTTTACTATTATTCCTATTTCATTGCTGAGGAAATAGGCACAGAGAGTTTAAGTAACTTAATCCAGGTCACATAGCTGGTAAGGGCCAGAGCTGGATTTCAAACCCAGGCAGTCTGGATCCAGAGTTCATGCTCTTGTAATGCTGATTTTACTGTTAGAATTTGCCATACATTTTCCTCAGTGAAAACCCCCACATCAAAGACAAAAACTTATTGAACTGTAACAAGTATAATAAATCACTCCAGACATATTTAGGCTAACACATACCCTATTTGTTTCTGTGTAATTACACTTTCTCAAGAGCCTGCCACAATTGGTATCACTGTTTTCTTATGAACTCTTCAAGCAAGACTAATGCAAAAGGGAGAGGATTGTTCTTTGTTCAGCTGCAAACCAGGTGGCACAAAGCACAGAGAAGAAAGCCAGGCTCCAGAGAACGTGTGAAGGCAACCAACTCTCAGAGACACTTGCATAATTAGTCAGAAAGCATTTTCCTTCAAATGACTGCAATTTTTAAAAGCGCTATCCCATTTTTCTCCCATCACCCTAATTAAAAAAAGACAACAAAAAACATACAAAAAAACCTTCCCCAAAGCAAGACTACTAAAATAAAATGGTCTGGCTGTGAGCAAACATTTGAAGCTTAAGTGTTATGTTGACCTTGTACTGCAGGAGGCAGCATCTCATTAATAAAACAATGACCATGTGTTTTTGTTGTTGTCCTTGAGGTTCTTTTTATGTTTGTTTCAGTATTGTGAATAGGACTGTGATTGTCTCATTCTCTAATATGCTTGATTTCTATTCAGAAAGTAAACAACTGAAAGGTTTTGTAAAGGGGTTAGAACCAGTGATTGTTGCTGATTTACTTCTGTGAAATTGAGTCCCTTTCCTTTTCTATTGTTTGTCTACTGTTAAATTTAATTTCTTGTGCTCACAATTAAAGTTTAAAATATTAGAGTCGGAGGAAGCTAGGAGATCATTTCTCTTGATTTAATTCTCTGATTTTACAGATATGGAAACAAGATCAGAGTGGTTAAATGGCTTGTCCAAGACAGCTAGTGGCATAGCCAGGACTGGCTTTTCCACTGCAGGTTCTGTGCTCATACCAAGCTTCATTGTTTGATCAGTCTGGAGTTGAGCCTCTGTAACACCCTCTTTTCTTTTTCCCAACCAAACACATCCTTCTTCCACCTCATATCCCTTTATTTTCTTTCATCCAATCCAATTTATTTTAGTAGGAGATTAACAATGAGTACCTGTGAAGTTAATGTTGATGTCTAGAGGGTAATTCAAACTTGCTGAACTTCAAGCAATGAAATGTCTTGGGAGCCATCCATCAGAGGTGCTTTGAGGCTATGCTTGCAGAGAGAGAAGTCCCGACTGCTGGAAGCTAGGGCTTCCTTTATTCCAGGGTATTGCAGTGATGTCAGTGTGTGTTAGAACTTAGCATTGTGCCTCTGGTCCTGCTGCACTGACTCTCCCCTCCCCCCATCATCTTTTTATATTTTATTTAAATATGCATGAATTTCTATTAAAGTCTCTCTTCTTTCTTAAGAATTAAAATTGGTATCTCAGGATAGAATCTGTACTCTCCCACTCCCTAGAACCCCAAAGCGTTCCTGGATTTTCCTGTATTTGCTTCTTTCCAAAAAAAAAAAAAATCTTGCATTTTGCCCATCAAATTTCATTTACAACACCCCGGTCCATAGTAATATTTCCTTCCTTTACCCTAGAACATCTGTATTGATAGCTCTTGTCTTACTATTGTTAAAAGAAAAACTTTCATCAAATTAAATTTATCAGAGCTTAATTGAGCAAAGAATAATTCCTGAACCCACAACCCTCAAAACGAGAACAGGTTCGGAGAGCTCCAGTCCACAGTGTGGTCAGGCAGCATTAATAAACAGAGGAGGAAGTAAGATGCAGAGATAGCTCTCCTGGTTACAACTCGGTGTTTGCCTTATTTGAACAAGATCTGATCAGTTGTCCACCTGCAATTAAGTGAAGCTCAGCTGTTGTCACTGGCTGAGACTCAGGTATTGTTACAGGAGTACTCCTAAATTAGGTCTTCTGTTAGTTTATGTGCTAAGTGAGGCTGCAGTTTGTTATGAAAGGACTCACATCCTCAGGCCAAATTTAGTTTAACACTACTTAATGTTCAAAGTCTGGCCTCTCCAGCTAGATGATAACCTATCCCAGGTTATTTTCACATCCATTTTGCTGTGGAAGATAGGCATCTATCTAGGGGATTAGCTAACTCAAGGCCCAGCCCCTCTCCTAATCCTTGCCACCACAATAAAAAGGATTTTGTGGCTAATTTGATTTATCAAATTTCAGGATGCTGATTAGGCCACATTTGCCAAAGGGTTGATACTCGTTTAAAGGTTACCTATGGATATGACCCTTTCTTCTCTCTTTCTTCCAAGTGGCTGGCAGGCAGGCTGATCCATAGGGCAGTCTGGCCACCCACCTTACTCTCCTCATTTAAAAAATCTGGGGTAGCTGCCTGATCATAAAATTTAGATTTGGGGCTAGGTAGAAGGAAAAATCACTCTTTAATTCTTGAATCCAATTAACATAGAGCTCCACGTTGGGGTTTCAGGCTGTGCCAATATCAATAAAGTGTTGTTTGATTTTGCCTTTGCTCCTTTATGTCTCCATGAGATCCTTAAGGAGAGATAGTATGCCTGATACTAATATAGGATTTGGGTATTTCTACACAGTTTTTTTAAGTGAGCACATTAAAGATTTACCTTTTTAATTAGCCCTAAGTGTGATAAATCTGGTTCAAAGGAGTATACTAGAGAACAAGTGTAGTCACTGAAAGAATAAATATTGAATGAAAGATTGCTAAGTTAGGTACAATCTAGTCAATGTCCTCTAGAGCAAGTAAATATAATATTGGGAGTTATCTTTTTTTTTTTTTTACCTGACAGGAGTCATTTGGATTTACTATATAACATCTCTACTAATCTCTAGGAGACAAAATTTATTTTCATTGTTATTTGTCAAGAATCATTTGCATCATTATAAGTTTTCTTAAAAAAATTATTTTAAGTTCCAGGATACAAGTGCAGAACGTACAGGTTTGTAACATAGGTAAACATGTGCCATGATGGTTTGTTGTACCTGTCAACCCATCGCCTAGGGACTTCTCCCTAACTCATTTTATGAGGCCAGCATCATCCTGATACTAAAACCTGGCAGAGAAACAACAAAAAAACTTCACATCAATATCCCTGATGAACACTGATGCAAAAATCCTCAATAAAATACTGGCAAATCAAATCCAGCAGCACATCAAAAAGCGTATCCACCAGGATCAAGTTGGCTTCATTCCAGGGATGAAAGCCTGGTTCAACACAGGCAAATCAGTAAACATAATTCATCACATAAACAGAACTAAGGACAAAAACCACATGATTATCTCAATAGACACAGAAAAGGCCTTCGATAAAATTCAACATCCCTTCATGTTAAAAACTGTCAGTAAACTGGGTTTTGATGGAACACACCTCAAAATAATAAGAGCTTTTATGACAAACCCATAGTCAATATCATAATGAATGGGCAAAAGCTGGAAGCGTTCCCTTTGAAAACCGGCACAAGACAAGGATGCCCTCTTTCACCACTCCTATTCAACATAGTATTGAAAGTTCTGGCCAGGGCAATCAGGCAAGAGAAAGAAATAAAGAGTATTCAAATACGAAGAGAGGAAGTCAAAACTGTCTCTGTTTGCAGATGACATGATCCTATATCTAGAAAACCCCATTGTCTCAGCCCAAAAGCTTCTTCAGCTGATAAGCAACTTCAGCAAAGTCTCAGGATACAAAATCAATGTGCAAAAATCACAAGCATTCATATACATGAACATTATAAGTTTTTCTACAAGTCAACATCTACCCTCATTGAGTGGTAAAATACCCTAATCAATAGTAAATTGTAAATCAAACAGAGGCAAATAATTTAGAGAATTGAATAATCTTTGAATGTGTGTGCTACACGTGTGTGTGCATGACTTGAAAGAAAATGTAGTCATCCTTTTGCCTTTTTCCAAATTTTGGATATTTTTTTCCTTAGCAGTCCCACATTATAATCATAAATAATCTCTAAAAATAATTCTTGATCTCCAAAAAAAAAAAAAAAAAAACCTGGTCTTTGGCCCGGTTCATTTACAAAGATATAACAAGAGTATAAACTAATATACTTAGTTTATGTCACCTTATAGTATGGTCAGCAAATACAGAGATTAGAGTGCTAAGCAACTACCAAGACCAGAAAATTCTGCAGATTTCTTAAGAAACCAAGATTGTATTTTGAATAGGCTCTCTACAGAAGTTTAGAAACATTGTATTAACAAAATTTTAAGCATATGCAGAAGTAAAGTTGATCCTGTAATAAATACCCCTGTACTTGTTTCCCAGCTTCAATAATTATCAACCCTTGGCTCATCTTATTTTTTCTATAGTTGCCCTCTCAACACTAAATTAATTTAAAATTTTCTTATATCTTTATTGAAGTATAATAAAATACATAGGTTTATTTTAAGCCTTGGTATACATGTGCATAATGTGCAGGTTTGTTACATAGGTAAACATGTGCCACGGTGGTTAGCTACACCTATCAACCCATCACCCAGGTATTAAGTCCAGCGTGCATAAAATGCATATGTTTAAAATGTGTAATTTGATCAAGTGACATTGGCAATGTCAATTTCATTGACGTGTGTATATACCCATGAAATCATCTCTAAAATCCAGATACAAAACATTTACAGCACAGCCAAAAGTTTTCTCTTCCTCTTTGTAATCTGTCTCTCATCTATCTTCAGGCAACTACTGACCTACTTCCTGTCTCTGCAGATTGCATTTTCTAGAATGTTATATAAATTCAATTATGTAGTATGTACTCTTCTTCTTTGCTTGGCTTCTCTCACTAAGCATAATAATTTTGATGTTCATCCTTGTTGTATGTCTCGATAGTTTAGTATTACATGATACGGATGTATCACAATCTGTTTATCCATTCATCTGTTGATGGCCATTTGGGTTGTTTCCAGTTTTTAACTGTTAAAAATACAGCTGTTATGAGCATTCATGTACAAATTTTTATGTTTGGGTTCTCTTGTGTAAATACCTAGCAGTAGAATAGCTAAGTTGTATGACAGGTAGCTGTTTAACTCTTTATGAAATGTCAAATTGTTTTCCAAAGTGGCCATGCTGTTCCACAAAATCTGATATGGTTTGAATTTCTGTCCCCACCCAAATCTCATGTTGAACTGTAATCCCCTATACACAGGATTGGAGGAGGGGTCTGGTGAGAGGGGATTGGGTCATGGGGGCAGATCTCCCCCTTGCTGTTCTCATCACAGTGAGTTCTCATGAGATCTGCTTGTTTAGAAATGTGCAGCACCTCTCTCGTCTTTATCTTCCTCTTTCTCCGGCCATGTAAGATGTGCCTGCTTCCCCTATGCCTTCTGCCATGATTGTAAATTTCCTGATGCCTCCTCAGTCATGCTTTCTGTACAGCCTGAGGAATTGTGAGTCAACCTCTTTTCTTCATAAATTACCCAGTCTCAGGTAGTTCTTTATAGCAATGTGAGAACAGACTAATACAAATCCAAAGCAGTGAGTGAGATTTTCAGTTGCTTCATACCTCACTGAGGCTTGGTAAGATTATTTTTATTTTTTAAAATTTAGTCATACTGGACGGCCATGGTGGCTCACACCTGTAATCCCAGCACTTTGGGAGGCCGAGGTGGGAGGATCACGAGGTCAGGAATTCAAGACCAGCCTGTCCAAGATGGTGAAACCCTGTCTCTATTAAAAATACAAAAATTAGCCAAGAGTGGTGGTGGGCACTTGTAATCCCAGCTACTCGGGAGCCTGAGGTAGGAGAATCGCTTTAACCCGGGAGGCGGAGGCTGCAGTGAGCTGAGATTGTGCCACTGCACTCCAGCCTGGGTGACAGAACAAGACTCCATCTCAAAAAACAAAAACAAAAAACAAAGTCATTCTAATGAATGTGTACTTGTATCTTATTGTAATTTTAATATGTAATCTCTGTAATGATTAGTGATGTTGAGCATCTTTTCATATACTTCATATTTCATATACTTTATATCTTCTTTTGTGAAGTGTTCACAACTTTTGCCCACTTCTAAAATTGGGTTTTTGTCTTCTCATTGAGTTGTGAGAGTTCTTTAGATATTCTGAATCAAAGTTTTTTGCTGTACATATGTGTGGCAAAATATTTTGCCCAGGGGTTTGCCTTTTCATTTTCTTAATGATGTGTTTCAAAGAGCAAAATTTTTAATTTTGATGAAGCCCAATTTATAAAATTTTAAATTATTTGTGGTCTTTGAGTTCTGAGAAATTTTTGCTTGCTCTAAAATCTCAGAGGTATTGAAATAATATGTATGTTTTCATTGTTGATTTCCAACTTAATTCTATTGCAATCTGAGAGCATACTCTGTAGAATTTTGATTTTTAAAAATTTATTGAAACCTGTTTTATGGTTCTATGCTCTATATTGGTGAATGATATGGTTTGGCTCTGTGTCACCACTCAGATCTCAAACTGTAATTCCCAGAGTTGGTGGAGGGACTTGGTGGGAGGCGACTGGATAATGGGGGTGGATTTCCCCCTTGCTGTTCTCATGATAGTGAGTGAGTTCTCATAAGATCTGGTTGTTTAAAAGGGTGTGTGGCACTTCCCCTTTTGCTTGCTCTCTTCTGTTCTGTTATGGTGAGATGTGCCTGCTTCCCCTTTGCCTTCCGCCATGATGGTAAGTTTCCTGAGGCCTCCCCAGCCATGCTTCCTATACAGCCTGTGGAACTGTGAGCCAATCAAACCTCTTCTCTTTATAAATTACCCAGTCTCAGGTAGTTCTTTATAGCAGTGTGGGAACAAACTAATACAGTGAATATATCATCTACATGTACACTTGAAAATCATGTGAATTCTGCAGTTGCTGATTTTGTTAATTATGTCACGGTGGTCCATGGTATTTTTCAGATTATGTTTTTACTGAGATTGTATCTGGCTGTTTCCTCAATCGCTGTGCATGAGATGGTAACATCTCCAACTTTGATTGTAGAATTGCATAATCCTCCCTTTAATTTTGCCAATTTCTGCCCTCATATCTTATATATTTCAAATCTCTGGTAGTAGATTCATACATGTTTATGATTTTATGTCTTCCTTTATTATTTTTATTAACTCTGGTAATACTATTTGCCTTGAAGTCTAACTTATCTGATATTAATACGGGCACTTCAACCTTCTTATTCTGACTTTTTGCTTCGTATATATATTTTTAATCGATTTTATTTCAACTTATGTCTTTATATATAAATTGTGTTTCTCTTGGGTAGCATATATTTGTTCTTGCTTTTTTAATCCATTCTGAGAACCTCTGCCTTCTATTTGGATTGCATAGTTAATATTTAATCAGATTACTGATATGATTGGATTTATGTCTACCATAGCATTTTTTTCTTCTGTTTGCTCCTGTGCTTTTTATTCCACTATTGTTCTTCTCCTACCTTTTAAAAAAATTATTCGAATATTTCTAAAGCTCTGTATGCTACATTTTGGATGTGGTTTGTTTGGCCCCTCCAAGTCTCATGTTGCAATTTGATCCCCAGTGTTGGAGGTGGGGCCTGATGGGAGGTGTTTGAGTCATGAGGGCAGGTCACTTATTAATGGCTTGGTGCCATCCTCTTGATAATAAATTCTTACTCTATTAGTTTCTATAAGAGTTCCTTCTAGAGCTGGTTATTAAAAGTGAGCTTAGCACCTTTCCCCTCTCTCTTGCTTCTTTTCTCTCGCCATATGATCACTATACAGGCTAGCTCCCCTTGGCCTTCTGCCATGAGTGGATGCATGCTGGGGACCTCCCTGGAAGTTAAGCAGATGCCAGCACCATGCTTCTTGTACAGCCTGCAGAAATGTAAGCTGAATATAAACCACCTTTTTTTTTTTTTTTACAGATTGCCCAGCCTCACATATTCCTTCATAGCAACACAAAGGGACTGAGACAATATATAAGGTATTTTGTGGCTTTTAAGCTATACCTCTTTGTATTATTTATGTTTAGTGATTTTCCTAGTGATTTTATTGTATGTCCTTAACTTTTGCAGTCTATTTAGGATAAATGTTTTATTGCTTTTTGTAAGATGTAGAACCCTGCAACTACACAGCTTCACTTGCCTTCCTCTCCAGGCTGCTATTTTTATGCCATAAGTGTCACGTGTATCACATCACATACATCTAAATCCCATAAGACAATGTTATAACTTTTGCTTTAAAGTCATATGCATTATTTATAAATTAAGAAGAAAAAGTAGTCTTTTATATTTACTGCCAATGCTTACTAATTCTTATGCTCTTCATTACTTCCTGAAGATCCAGGATTTTTCTTTTTCTGTGAGGGGTTTTCTGGTTAGAAAAAAAAAAGAAAGAAAAAAGAACAATTGGAATACCTGACAGACAAATTCTAAAAGAGCTGTAACACTTATATAGGGCTTTATATGATATCATTTCTCTCTCTAGGCTGAAGAAATTCCCTTAGTCATAGAATAGACCAATTTCTTAGGAGGGCTTTGTAGAAACTGGTACAACAAACAAATCACAGCATTTATTTAAAAATGGTAGGTTTATCACACGAGAATAATGACATATATTTTCATATATAAAACTCCAGAAAATTCAACAAATTTGGTTGTGCAATTGTTCTGTCAAATTATATCCTTGTAAAATGGAGGACAGACTCTTACTAATGCTCTGCGCAAAAACTACACTAACCATTAAAAGAAAAGAGACTATATTTGTTTATGAGTTCCGAGGGGTTAGTGAGAATAACATATCACCTAAACATGTGTTAATATCTTTAAATGAAGGGATAGCAGTAGATCAAGATGAAAGAGACAGTGCTTATCTCATAAAACTTAAAACTATACTTAAATTTTTCCAAACAAATAATCACAATCAGTTTCTCTCATCAGCTCAAATCTGGTTTTCTGCTGCTTCTTGAATATACATAAGTCTGTTACTTGAAGTATCAGTGAGTAGAAGCACTTGGTATAATCCTTTCCATCAAGGTCCTGGGAACTTCCTTCTTTGTAGAAAATCCAATTCATAGAACTTTTAGGAGAGACAAAGAAAAGAAAAATAAACTACCCATTGATGAGAGGACAGCCCAGGTCTCAAAAGGCTGTTTTATCTTGCAAAAGTGAGACAAACAAAAGACCAAAACAAACCCAATCACAAACAAGTAAAATACCATTAAAAAGATGATCTATCATTCCTTACTTGTCAGAGAATAAATCTTGATCTTTACATGACAGAGATTACAGAATGGGCAGACAAGAAAATTGTATTCCTCTTCACTGCTGTCACCAACTGGGAAAGCAAACCAGAATCAGAACCAAAGATGCACAAGGACTGGGAAAGGAAACAAAGCCAGAGTCAGAAAAACAAAGCAAACAGAAAAATAGAGCCTAAGAAGGGAAATTTTGATAACCACTGGAATCACTCAGGGAATCAAGAAAAGACATGCCTGGTTCTAACAGCCAGTGATGAATATTTCTCAGGTGACACAACTTAATTTGTCCAGCTCATATGTCTTCTTGGTGGAATTTCCAAAACTTGGTGGAATGCACTTCTTGTTGGAATTTTCAAAAACTGTCAAAATATAATTTTCAAATATTAAAACGACATTATTGCAAATATAAAATGAGCACATTAAAGATATATTTAACTCAGTGAAGGAATCAGCAGGATGGGAAATTTGGTTTCCTATAATCTATTTAATAGCAATCTACTTCTTTCACTCTGACATACCACATAGTACCTTACACATAGTTGATATTTATGTGTAGTCAAGGTTATTAATTTTTGAAAGTTACTGCTCACTTTTGACTACAGAATGTTATACTTCTAACATATTCCATTGTTATCTATGTTTCCAAATACTTTTTATTCTTGAGATCTTCAGATTTTTTAAAATTAATGTCCTTGCATTTTCCAAGTCACTTTTTTGAAATTATTGACTTTCTGTTGATTTTACATTAAAATTCCAATTTTGATTTTCTCCTTAAACTATACAGAAAAATTCAGCTTCATGTCTGGATTGAGAGCATTGTTTTCAAACTTAAAAGTTGAGACTCCTTTTGCAGGAAGGAAATCTTCATGAACCAACAATGTTAACAAAATATTTATTATGGTATGATTTAAATGTTTACAAAGATAACATTAGGTATAAATTTCTTACGCTTATAGCTCCTATACAAATGTAAACCAAAAGTATTTTTAAATTTAATACAAAAAAACCACAGAGCCAATACCAAGGGACTTAAACGACTAATTTTATGTGACAGATGATGTCAATTTATTAGAACTGAGTAATTTGTTATGTTGGCCTAAGAAATTAAAGGTTAAATTGTGGAAGATTTAAGAGTTATAATCTCTAGATCAATAGTGTCCATTTTTTTTTTATTTTTCATTTTCAATTCATCTTGGTAAGAATTTAAAAGTTGTACACCCCACAGTATGTGTGTATGAGCATATATGTATGTGTTAATACGCACTACCACATTAATAAATATTGTTCACTGTAAAACATACAGGGAAAACAGAATTGATAAAGGAATAATACAAAATTTAAATAGAGCTTCTAGTAATGTCTCTTCTGCACTCCATAAATAACCTTGTGCTTTTTCTGAGATGTGTGCCCGCCCTTTAAGGTCTGACTCCGTCATGAAATTTTCATGATGAACTGTCTCCATCCAAGTGTACCATCTCACATGTAGATCCTGTTCTCCTCCAGTTCTCCCCTAGGGACTCATTCCAGTGTTAATTTCATAGTGGTCCTACTTTGCTGCAGCTGCCATGCTTATTATGACAGTTGTTGGATTGGGTGGGAGTGATGTCAAAGAAGCAAGAAAGCATGTACTCTGGGAACATGAGCCTGGGCAATGAACTGAGAAGCAAATGTTTATATTTAAAAACTGTTTTCTTTTCCCTTTTACAACTGCATAGAAAGCCAATTAGCAGGTTAAGTCATGAGTGGCTACAATTAGTAGCATGTGGTTATAGAACCTGTCCAGGTTTGATATGGGCTCTGGAAATTTTTGAAGGTCTTGCAGTTCCCTGGAATCTTCTAACTAGGCAACTGCTTTT
Organism: Homo sapiens; assembly: GCF_000001405.40. Lineage (NCBI taxonomy): Eukaryota > Metazoa > Chordata > Mammalia > Primates > Hominidae > Homo > Homo sapiens. Next base: position 19,926,388 of record NC_000012.12, read on the forward strand.
CAGCCTCTGTGTCATTTGGATAGCAGAGCAACATACTGATCTCAACAAAATGAAATAGTCAAAAACAACTCCCTCAATCCAAGTTCCAGTTCACAAACATTTCCTTTTTGTATGATAGATTTCCAGTCTGTCATTTATACCTCCTTTTCCTGTTAGAATCAGACTGGGCAGGACAACCTTAGATCATCTCACAGCAGTTGTTCACTGTTGGACTTGGTTGACTTTTTTCTATTTTATCGTAATGTGCTTCTCACATTGTTTTACCAGTTAGTGACACAAAGTGAAAAATTAACAATAATATGTAAAATTTCCCTTTATCTTCATGGAAGAATAAACAAGAAGACTGTGAAATAAGATGTTTAGTTGAATCAATTGCTAGGGAAACATAACATCATCTGAAGAGAGTTTTAAATTTCATAATTCCTATTCTTGTATCCATTTTCCCTACTCTCCTCACCAGGCTCTAATAACCCATCAGCATATATTGGTTACAGCATGGGAATGTATATTTTGCTAAATTCTCCTAAGGTGATTCCAATAGTCCTCTCCTTAAATCCTGAAGTTTGACCATAAGAGTTTTTACATTTTTATTTTTAATTAATTAAATTTTTGCTGTATTTTATTTTATTGTGATAAGAACACTTAACATGAGCTTTACCCTCTTCACAGATTTTTAAGTGTAGAAGAAAGTATCGTTAACTATGGGCACTATGTGGTATAGCAGATCTCTAGAATTTATTCATCTTGCATAACTGAAACTTTATGTCTGTTTTGATGTTTGATTAACAACTCTCTGTTTCCCCCTTCCCTAGCCCTTGGCAACGACCATCCTACTCTTTGCTTCTATAAGCTTCACTATTTTAGATACCTCTGATAAATAGGATCCTGCAGTATTTGTCCTTCTATGACTGGCTTATCTCACGTAGCATGATGTCCTCAAAATACATCTATGTTGTTGCATATTTCAAGATTTCCTTCTTCCTTAATGCTGAATAATATTCCATTGTATGCATATGCCACGTTTTCTCTATTTTCATCTGTTAATGTGCGTTTAGGTTGTTTCCATGTCTTGGCTATTATAAATAGCAATGAACATGGGAGTGCAAATATCTCCTTGAGATCTTGATTTCAATTCTTTCGGGTAAATACTCAGAAGTGGGACTGCTGGATAATATAATAGGTAGTTCTATTTTTAATCTGAGGAACCTTCCTAATGCTTTCTGTAGTAGCTGCACCATTCTGGAAAGTTTCTATATTGTTTCATTTGTTTGCTTGTGGTGAAAGTGAGAAGAAAATAATTTTGAAGATTATTTTTCAAGGGAGATTGTGGTGGACTTTTTATTCTTTGCAAAAGAAATAGAAATAATATGACTTGAATAGTTGGGAGATTGATATGGCAGAAGACCACAATGAGTTCCTTGCATACTTCTTATTTATGAGTCTAGAAATGTCATTAGTTATTTCTGAATGCGTGTCTGTAAAACAAACACAAAAGACGCCACAGACATATGATGTCTTGATTATTCTTGAATTATGGTGTAGGATGTCACCATGTCAGGAGAGGGGTGAGGATTGAGGTCAAAATTATTTGGACTAAAATTGCAAGTGGCATAAATGTTTAAATTTAGGGAAGTGATAAATTAATTAGATTATTACTGGTAACAAACCAAGACCTATGTTCTAGTGTTAGAGTAGCCCTTGCATTTTGGATGAGTTACTTGTCCTCTCTAGTCTTCTGATTCCTCATCTGTAAAATAAATAGGCTGGACTAAACATAGCTTTCACGTGGTGTTATAGCAGAATTCTTCTTTGAATGAAATAGGGAAAGGAAACAGAACATGTCAAATAGGAAAAGAAGAGTCTGTTTTGGTTGAAGTAGGTTGCTAGAATCCCCCTGTCATTCATTCATTCATTCATTTGAGATGGAGTCTTGCTCTGTTGCCAGGCTGGAGTGCAGTGGTGCGATCTCGGTCCACTGCAACTTCCACCTCCCAGGTTCCCGCCATTCTCCTGCCTCAGCCTCCCGAGTAGCTGGGACTATAGGTGCGTGCCACCACGCCTGGCTAATTTTTTGTATTTTTAGTAGAGACGGGGTTTCACCATGTTATCCAGGATGGTCTCGATTTCCTGACCTCGTGATCTGCCCCCTCAGCCTCTCAAAGTGTTGGGGTTACAGGCATGAGCCACCATGCCTGCCCCACCCCCTGTCTTTTAAATTAGCTCCTAAGGCATCCTCAGAAAGAGAGCTTCCTTCATGCCATTCTGACATTACTGGTTTGTGGATCAGCATTTGAGAAGCTCTGGGTTCTTTTCAAGCTCCAAAATTCAATGAATATATTGTATGTGGTTGGGTGGTATAGTAAGTTTATTTTAGAGTGGATGCAAATTCTACCATTTATTTGTGTTCACTAATTGAAAACTTTCCTAAGGAAGAGGTATTTTTACTCCTGTTTGAGTCTGATTCCCTTAATGTAGGTGCTGCTTTTGCAGTACTCACTTCATCAATTGTCTCCTCTCTTTCCTGGATCTCCTGATTTGCATTGGATTCTTCACATTCTCAAACTTCTTTCACATTACCATTTTTTCATTTTTCTCTCTCTCGCACACCAAAGCAAACAAAACGTCTCCATTCACACTTCGTTCTCTTTGAATTACCACCCTAGTGAAAAAAATAATACAAGTTTTCCATCTCTGTTTCCTCACTATTCATGATCTATTGCAATTTGGCTTCATTATTACCTGTACATGAAAGTTCTTTTACTAAATTTACCTCTTGTCAAATCTAATGAAAATTTTCAGTTTTTCTTTTACATAACACTTTAAGTCATTCAACTCTTTTGCGTCACATTTGAACCATAAATCTGTTCTTATGATTTATTTACTGGTTTACTTTGTAGGCTCTTTTTTCTATGCCTGCTTTTGATATGTGCTGTTTCCCTTGTGCCCTTGGCATTTTTTTTTTTCAAAAACCCATTTTCATCCATGTTGAAGGCTCTACCTGCCACTTATCTGTTGATAGTCTAAAAATCTGTACCTCCAGTTCAAGCTGTTCCCTAGATTTCAAGACCCATTCATCCAATATGGGTATCCGAAAAGGCATCTCACACTCAAAATGTCCTTAATAGAATTCACATGGTTTCTGCACATACTGTGCCAGCTTTCAATCGATTGCTTCTCAGCTCCAATTCTTCTCTTTATTGCCTTCTCTATGATAATGGAGCTAGTTCCTGTCAGCATTTCTCCCTTGTCAGCTGGCATGATGTTAAGCTTTGTCAGTAGTGAATTTTGAAGGGCACTACAGGAAGGAGAGGTTTCTCTTCCTGGTTCATGTGCTCCTCTTTATAGGCTCCAGCAGCACACCATGGTCAGCAGCCAGCAGTGATTGACACTTTCCTGTGGGCCACTTTCCTCAGTACCCCAAGAGTAGCTTTCCAGTGGTTTCTGCATCCTGGCACCTCTTATGTGTCATTCCCTCCAGCATCCCAGCTGTTGGAATCCTAATGTGTTCTGCTGGTGTGGGATGCTAGCAAAATACTTTATCATCACTGGGCCATGGCTGCATTTCTCTGTCAAGGTCTGGAATTCAACTTTGGTGGGAGATGAAGGTCTCCTTCAGATTTGTTGCTTCCTTGGGTGTTATATCCTAGCCCCAGAGGTAGTGGCTGCTAGTGGATATCTACCATTTCTGTTGTCTTCAAAGTTTGCTTCTTAGTAGGTTATCCCTTATTTTAGCTAATAATTCTATGTGTTAACATTTCTCTATTTAAAGTACTGTGTGATTTCTGTCTCCCCATTTGACCTAGACCCATATGTATACCTCCTTTTTGTATTCTTCATCACAGAGACTATAACTACCAGAACTCATTCTTACTACTAATATCTAATCAATTGACAAGTCTTATTTACACATTCTATTTAATGCCTTTCTTATGCCTCTTCTCCACTTTATCCCTACTATCTTTGCCCTTGGTTATACCATATTATCTTTTACTTGGGCTCTTACAGTAGACTCCTATCACTGTGTTACAGCTAATTTTGATCAATATAATAAATATAACAGTCGTTTAGTTGATCTCTTATATTAGTCTTATAAATTAGACCTATCTGCAACTCTAGGGCATATTTTATATCAGATAAAAATGATTCTGCTTTGATTTTATGAAGACCTTTGAGAATACATCTAAATTGTTATGTAAGACTTACTTGTGACTGGTAAGCTCAGTTTAGATAATGAGCTCTCAAGAGCATACTATTGAACCAATTTAATTTGCTTCATAGCATCATTGCACAGTGGTTAAGAGTATGGACTTTGAAGCTAGCCTGCCTACTTTTCAGTCCTGACTCTAGTATTTACCAGCCATATGACCTTAGCAAAATGTTTAACTTCTTTGTACCTCAGTTTTCTTCTTTAACATCGGTTTAATAATATTACTTAATTCACTAAATTGTTAGGAGGATTAAAGTCTTAGAACATTTCTTGGCAATGAATAAATGTTAGCCATTCTTGTTATTGCATTGATTAAATAATTAGAAACTATATTTTTTCCAAAATATATTTAATGCTCTTGTTACTTGTTTTTCAGTATTCTATGATAATGATAAAGGTAATGATGATGATGATGATGATAATGATGATAATGATGATATGGAATGCAATCATTAAGGCTCAAACACGATTCTCTTCTCATTTTGGCAATGGCCTATAAAGCCCTGCCTCACAAGTAAGGGGAAACAAGGGAGAGAGTATGGATAAATTAATATGAACTGATCACAATTACAGGAAAACAAACTCAAAGGGCACAAAGGAACAGTCATGTGTACTGTTTTTGAATACAAAGGACTTTTTTTTTTTGTCCTCAGAAAACACTGAATAGCCTGTTGATTTCTTCCTGGCCCCAAATCTTTGGGTAGTACATTTCTTTTAATGAACTTGATGTTTTTATTTTCTAATTTAGATGATACTTGTTTAAAGCATTCCGCATTTCATCATTAAGAGCTCTTCTTTCAGCAAAAGCTCTCACATTATTAGAAACACTTCTGGGCAATTAAGAAAGGAGACTACATGAACTCATCCACTTGACAGGGCCTTTTTAAATGTTTTTTGAAAAGTTAGCTACAGCTATAATCATTTAATTACTTGATATTTGTCAAAACATTGCTGATTTTAGGTACTTTAATGACTGACAGCAAAGCAGGCAGAAAACTAGCACAACATCTGCCCACATGGAAATTACTTATTTGTGACAGACCTTTGCAACCAGCTCTCACAGACCATTCCAGCACTGGAAAGAAAGTGTCTACAGAAGGGCTGTAAAAAAAGCCCCAGCAACGTCAAGGACAACTGGACTTGAAAAATTTATTCATGACAAAGAGTATTGGAAAATTTCTGTGCCCTTTAATGTATTTAATGAAAGTATTTGGTTAAACTGTGATCTCAAGTATTAATTTCTACAGCCTTAAAATATTTGACTTTGTAGAATTTTCGTCTTTGTGTACTCTCAATCATCTCCAAATGGTAAGGCTCTTGCTTGGAGAAATTATGTGGCTCAAACATGTTACATTTCCAGATGGGCATGAAGAAGAATTTTATGGAATGTGATGGGTTCTAATTCGTCATAGGACAAAGTCGCCAATGAATAGCAAATGCAAAGCAGATTTTTCAAAAGGTGTTACCATTTTTCATTATTTACCTAGGAAATAGGTCTCCCCCAGGGTGGATAATCATTCCTTTTAGTAACTGATACAAAAGACTAACTGAAAAATCCTAAATTGAGATAAAAAAAGGAAAAATCTTACTTTCTGACCTCTGTTTAGTGTATTTTTCTCTCAGAATGAGAAATGTGTTTGCTATTTGATCTGTATGTGTGTGCTTATATAGGAATGGGTCTCAAAAATTTCCACATCAGTGAGAAATACCCAGGAAGCTTGTTTAAAATTAAAGTTGTAGATCTCATCCTGAGAGTGCTGGTGTAGAATTTGCAGATAATTCTGATGGAGGTGATCAGTAGACTACACTTTCAGAAAAACTAGTTTATGAACTAGAGAGGGAAAAACTGAATAATTTCAACTGAAAGAAGAGATCATTTGACTGTGTTATGGAAACCATGCCGGGTCCTAAAAATACAGAGATTATTCAGATACATTCACAGGAGGAATAAATTTTGAGCTGTGCTCACTCTCATAGCACTGGTAGGAAAACAGGGCCCCTCCCAGTCTTCTGTGCAGTTATTTAGTAAAAACAGAATAGCTCCAGGGGCTCTCTTCACAGCTTTGCTAAGTAGTGCTCTTCAGCACCGCTCTTGCCTCTTCTCAATAGAGGTTGTGATTAATTTGAAAGTTGTAGGCATTTTACGTGTATAATGCCACCCATGATGAACTTGAATACAATTACTGTAGGTTGACTAATGCATTTACTTGATTTCGTTATCCATATTTTGAGTTAGTGCTTCATTATGCCAATTTATGCAAAATAAAACAAAATAACATTTTGAGCCAAGAACACTGTTCTTCTTTTAGAAAGAGTTAATAGAGTAAATTAAATCAAGTTCAAGAGAATGAACATCAGAGGAACACATGAGTGTCACATCTGCTGTCATTCTGGGGAAGCTCTTCTCAGGACTCTCTTCAGAGCCGTCTCAGGGGCACTTGGTATGGAAACACAACCTCCAAATGCAAAGGAGTACTCAGTGCCTTCCTCAAAGTTCAAAAGGCATGCAGAGTCAGGGAATGAAGATTTTCCTGTTGGCTGAGGATCAACATCTTGATGTTTTGGACTTACTCTAAAAATTAAAGACAGGAAGACAAAGAATTAATGAGCAAGTTTTCATAGTCTGATTAACAACTTCCTAGAAAAATTTATAGCTCCATTCCTATGTTTGGGAAAAACAGATCTTCATTTTCTCTGCAATGTACTATCTATCAATATTATGTTTTTATACTTTCTATTTGAAGAAAAATCCTTTGAGTCTTAGACTTTTTATTTCAAGTAATGTAAATTTCAATTTAATCTCACTCTTCCTAAAATATGTTAACTTGACTCAAAATAGTCCTTAGTAGATGAGCTTATTCCCCAGTATAATATCAGTCATTTACATATAGTATTTGTGTCCACTTATTAGTCAACCAATGCTAATTTATTGGACATTTACTGTAGCCCTAATTTTGTGACTGTCACAAACGATATAAGTATTTGTCCTTTTCAGCTAATCTACACTTAGTTGAGCAGAAATGTCATGAAACATAAAAAGTAACTAATAATTCACTAAAGAAAATGCTAAGTGCCAAATGGTGATGCAAATAAAAAACAAGCACAGTTGCTGAGAACACAGGAGAAGGACAAGCAAGCTCTGGGAGTAGGTGGGAATGTGCAACAGAGCAGCAGAAAGCTTGGGCATCACTTTAAAGGATGATTGGAATTCTATACGTAGAAACAAGTTTGTGGGGGAAGATGGGGATGGAAGAAGATCTTTCAGATGGGCAAAACAATATGAGAAGTCTGAAATTTTATAATGACTCAAAAAAATTAGAGATGAAAACTTAGAGTTGGGGGGAATAAGGTTGGGAAGACTGAGAATAACTGTGAATATTACGTGAATGAGTTTGAAATGTATTCTATAATAAATGTGAAGATTCTAAGATTTTCTAAACAGGGGAGTGATCTGAGTATGCTTGTCATTTGTGTAGCATTAAGAAAAACAGGAAGTCGGGTATTAATCTGGCAATCATGTGCAGGTTGCATTTGACTGTGACCATTGGTGTTAATTACTCCTCAGTTGTGTTTCCATAGCTCTATAAACACACATCTTTTGTGGTACACCATAAAACAGTTACTTTCTTATATACAATAAATATTTAGAGTGCTTACTATGTCCCAGGAGCTCTTCTAGGTACTGTTATTACGGTGGCAAATAGATAAACAGTCTCTGCCCTAATGAAACTTACATTTTAATAGGGGAGACAGACCAGAATAAAATAAAATCACTCTACAAGATACAGCATTGACTCAGATAGTGATGTGTTATGAAGAAAGTATAGAAAATTTGGACCTAGAGAATGACAGGTTGAAAAAAGACTAGATGGGAGTAATCAGGGAAGGTCTCTTTGAGGAGGCAGTGTTTTGTGTACACCTAAAAAAGGAGAAAGGAGGAAGATATTAGAAGAGCTGGAGGTCAGGTATTCCAGGCTTTAGATTTTATTCTATGTGTGACAAGAAGCAATTGTGAAGTTTTATTTCATGTATTTATTTATGTTTTTTTAGCAGAGTAGTGATATAAAGTGATTTCTGTTGCTTGGTGTGGGCCCTCTTCATGGTTTGCAGATGGCCCCTTCTTGCTGTGTCTTTGCATGATGGAGAGATGGGGGAATGGAGAGAGAGAGTGAGAGAGGGGAGAGAGAGAGATTGATTTGAGCTCTGTTCTCTCTTCCTTTTACAATAATGGCACTAAGACACTAATCCCATCATGGCAGCCTCACTCTCATGACCTCATATAAATGTAATGATCTCCCAAAGACACCACCCCTAATACCATCTGATATGGTTTGGCTGTGTCTCCACCTGAATCTCATCTTGAATTATAGCTCCCATAATTCCCACATGTTATGGGAGGGATCCAGTTGGAGGTAATTGAATCATGAGGGGCGGGTATTTCTGTGCTGTTCTTGTGATAGTGCATAAGTCTCATGATACCTGATGGTTTTATAAAGGCGAGTTTCCCTACACAAGCTCTCTTGCCTGCCACCATATAAGACGTAACTTTGCTCCTCCTTTGCCTTCCGCCATGATTGTGAAGCCTCACCAACCATGTGGAACTGTGAGTCAATTAAACCTCTTTCTTTTATAAATTACCCAGTCTTGGTGTGTCTTTATTAGCAGCATGAGAACAGACTAATACACCATCAGAAAACTCAAATGTAAGTCTTTGATATAAAATTTAGGGGTGGGGAGCATAAACATTCAATTCACAGCAATCTACTATGTGAAGAAAGTAGCAATGCTGCTGTCACTCAAAATGCCGTGGCTCTTAGGATCCTGCTCGTATTGAAATGAAATAAATCTTGCATCTGTCTGAAGTTTCCTCATACCATTTATTTAATGTGAGCATCATTATTCATGTTCCTGCATTATCCTGTGTAGTCTGAGTGAATACTGGTTTCCAATTACCCTATTGAAGTTACTGTGCTTTGTTGGTGATAATCACAAATTCAAGCCTTGCCCAGAGGATGCAGGTAAATGTTAACAATAATTCATTTTCTGGTCATTTTAAATTTACTTTTTAGAATTTTACAATGTAAATGTAAAAATACCATATCTTCCAACTATGTCTTCTCTTCAGCTCTTTTAGGTTGTAATCATACATTCCTCGAATGTGATCTTTTTCAGTGTTGACCCATCACTGCCTTCCATATGCCACCACCAATGGGGAGGAGCGAAAAGGACCATTAGCAAAGTAAGAATAGTTCTCTTCACATCAGGAACCTATCTCCCTCATTCACTGTGGCTTCAGGCTGACCTAGGAGAACATGGCCTTGCCACATTGATCTGAGGCAAGAACATCAGTCAGAATGGCCTGTTTAGGTGTTGCAGAGCAAAGGTCTTGAAATCCCTCAGAGGAGATACATGTAGATACCCCTAGAGGAATGTTGAGACTACAGAAGGAGTGGGGGACCACCCTGGGGGCCAGCAGTGGAGGAGGTGGTCAATGAGTTAAGAACATTTGCCACTACTGCTACCCCTGCCATGCTCCAGTGCTTTAGACCAGAGACAGCATCATAGTCAGAAGATGGACAGGCAAAAGAGTACACATGGGCCCTACGTGAGGCTCAAGCCCAGTGGATTTATAAGCAGAGCTCAAGGGTGGGAAAGGTGGTGTGATAGGCAGTCTCTAGGATGGTCCTCATTGCTCCCCATCTCCTGATATTCACGTTCTTGAGTAATCACCTTTCTTTGAGTGTGGGCTGGACTCACTACTTGCTTCTAATGAATAGAATACGGTAGAAGTAATGATACGTCACCCCTGAGATTAGGGTACACAGAGACTGTAGCTTCGGTCTTGAGCATTCTCTCTCTTAAAATTTTTAGCTGAGAATAGCCAGCTGCCATGTTGTGAGGCAGCCCAGTGGCACAGCCCCTGTGTGAGGGAGCAAGTCCTGCCAGCAGCCCTCTGGGTGAGCTTGGATGCAGATCCATCAGCTCCTGGAATCTTCAGAGGACTGTAACTTCCTGGAGACCTTGAGCCAGGGACACTCAGTTAAGCTGTTCCCAGACTCCTAAACCACAGAAACAAAGATAATAAATGTCTATTGTTTTAAGTCTCTAGATTTGGGGGTAATTTGTTATGCAGGAATAAATAACTAATACAAGTGGAGAGAAAACTCATTGTATAGATAGTGTTCAAAATTCTGGAGCTAGATGAGATACCTAAAGGAAGTGTGTCATTAGAGAAGACCAATGATAGAGCCTTGAGGCACCAAGGTCAGAAGCGGAGGAGGGGACAACAGAGAGGACTATGAAAAAGTGGCCAGTGAGGTACAGGACAAACCAGGGAAGGAGGGGGTCCTCAAAGTCCAATGAAGAATATGATTTTAGAAGGGAAGATTTTGTTTTTGTTTTAAAGTAGGCTAAATAAGATGAAAACTGAGAGTTGCTTATTTACTTGGTAAAATGGAGACCGTTAGAAACCATAATAAAAGAAATTTCAGTAGAGTAATGGAGATAAAATCTGATAAATGTGGATTAAAAAGAGAACAAGAGGTGAGAAAGTGGAGAGAGCTCATATGAGCAATATATTCAAGGAGTTTTGCTATAATGAAAATTATAAAAATGGTGTAGCAGCTGGAATGGCACATGAAATAAAGGAAAGTAATTTAAATATGGGACATATTACAGCACGTTTGAATTGATGGGAAGGTTAGTAGAAAGGAAAGACTGACGTAGGAGAACAGGGAAATAGGTTAGTTTCACAAGCTATTGTTTCAGCTACTGTAGGCTGGAGAGGATGGCGTCCTGTGTACAAGTGGATGTAGAGAGGAGCGCTTATTGTTTGTCTAGGTTTACAAGAGACAAGTCAGATTATAGGCAGAGATACAAGCGACTGGTATAAACAAGTGACGGGAAATGGTGTAATTTTTCTTTTGATCCCTATTATTTTCTCATTGAAATAAGGGAGATGGGTAAGGAGGAGCTGTTGGATGTTTTAAGAGAAGGAAGGTGTTAGATAGGTTGTTCAGGGGAAGAACAAACTATGAGAAAAAGATAACTGTGTTGCTGAGATTTATAATAAAAAACGTAACGTCAGGTGAGTCTGCATGATTATGATGGTGCTAATAAGATTGTGTTTGCAGCTGGGCTTGGTAGCTTATCCCAGCACTTTGGGAGGCCAAGGTGAGGGGATCACAAGATCAGGAGATCGAGACGATCCTGGCCAACATGGTGAAACCCTGTCTCTACTAAATTACAAAATATTAGCCAGGCATGGTGACGTATGCCTGTAGTCCCAGCTACTCAGGAGGCTGAGGAAGGAGAATCGCTTGAACCCGGGAGGTGGAGGTTGCAGTGAGCCGAGATCACGCCACTGCACTCCAGCCTGGTGACACAGCAAGACTCTGTCTCAAAACAAAAAACAAAAAACAAAAAAGATTGTGTTTGTGTTGTTTTCCTCCAGCTCAGCTACTCTGCTGTAGCTGTGGATGAAGAAGAAGGGTGAAGTTAACCAGGGTTTGGGTTTTGCTCTGGGAACGTGCCACAGGAAAAAAGAGACAAAGGATCAGAAGGTGTCTGTGACCTGTGATCATATTGATGGATCATGGCATCTAAGCTGAGTAAATAAGGAAAGAAGGGAATGCAGGAATGGGGTGATGGACAGGAAATAAATAATGAGATCATCAGTTGGAGGTCAGCATGGGGTTTGCATGCTGGCAACTTCCTCCACTGTCTTCTTCCCTTATATAATCTCTCCATCCCTTGGTCACAGGCTTGTAGCACTCCGGCCATAGGAAACTATCTGCCACCCCCTCAGATAGATCAGGCTGTTAGGTACATGCACTTGCATTTTTGCATATGCTTTCCTCTTAGTTTAGAACACTTCATTTCTTCATCAAACTGTTCTTTCTTGACTCTAACAGTCACTTCCTCCATGGTATGCCTCTAGCAATGATCACAGCATCCTGTAGTTATATTTTATGTACTTTAGTCAGTTTCCCTAATTAAAATGTGAGTCTTGTAAGAGCGGAGACCTTATATTATTCATGTTTGTATTCCTGGCACAGGGCTTGGTCTACATGAAATAAATGGCCTATGTTCCTATGTTTTTCTGGCATGAAAGAATGTTTTGGGGGAACTGCAGTAAAGACAACAGATGAGGAGGCTCCTCTCACAGAATATTTTATTTCCACTCTCACATCCTCCATTATAATATTCAAGAGGCATATGCTTTTTGAGAGCAAATATATTTTAATAGTACTTTTATGTGGTTTCCTTATGTATTTCCTAATTTTTATATCAGCTTCATTTATAAACAGTAACAAAGTAGAAATAAAAGTAGGATCCTGTAGCTAGATCCACAGCAACTCTCTGTATACAGAGGAGACAGAAACTCCTCATTGACATCTACTTTATTCTTTGTGGACAGGTAGGTGAGTCAGTAAGAACATGTGTAATAATGACAAGGTTACAGGTTAAATTTCATGAGAAGCATGTTGTCTTTCATATTTATCTATCCAAGTTTGTACATAATGGTGCGGAAATGTGAACGAATTACTCTAACTCTACCAGCTCTTCTGGAAGAACCCCTCAGTTCATGAAGTGGAAACACAGTAGTGATTGCATAGATAACATGGAAGAGCATTCACTTGGCAACTATGATTAATTAAGAGTTAATTCAGAATAACTTATAAAGATGGAAATAGTAAACTGAGCCAGAGAGATTAGCAGGCAAAATTCTTGTGGAGCAAACAGAGAGGAAAAAAAGATACAAGTAATTAAATGTAACATATAACCATGTTTATAATGAAAATATAGGTCAAAGCTCACTAGAGCAAATATTATTATGACACTTTCTGCCCAGAGGAAAAAAATTGTAAACCCTAGTTAAGGATCCATTTTTAAGCATGATTACTATGCAAAACAAAATTACAGTACAGCAAACTAACATTTGCAGTTCCATAGGGCTTATTTTCATATTTATAAAATAGAAACACGGAGTTCTGATAGGTATTATTATCATTTTGTCATTTAATGACATGAGAAAAATTAGCCTAAAGTTGAACAAAGAACATGAAAATCAGAAATATTATTTTATATTGTTCCAAATTGACATTGGTATCATAGGAATAAAAAAGAAAATATTAGTGTTGGTAATAAACAATGTTATGCACTAGAATAAAAGGATATTCTTCCATAGAGTAGACATATTTTATTCTTTTTAAGGACAGAGAAGACATTTAATTATTATGGTTATCACTTATTATTATTGAAACAAACCAGGTGTGAGACCTTTCTTGAAGTGCAGATTCTTTAATTAAAAATTATTACTAATTAACTTATATCCTCTACTATGCCAAGAAAAATCTTGGCCATGCTGGCAATGCTTAAAAATTTAGAAAGTGGCTACATTTGTAGAGGTGTAATTTACCATTAAATTTTATTAAAGTAGATAATATTTTGATGACAGTAGAAAATGTTTTTATTACAGCATACATAAGGATGCCCTTAAGCTTATCCAATTTTTCATTTTTGAGTGAGTGTACTAACATTTCTCCTGCAAGGCAGTGAATGAAATTTCAATCACGAAAGGGTTAAAAACATTGGTTAGAATTGAAGTATATTCTATTTTCTAGAATTCACATGCATAGTTTAGAAATGCTATCACAGCACATTAAATGTTATTATACTGATTATTTATCACATGGTTAATTATGCCTAATGCAGAGTGAGAGTTTACTGCAACTGATTATAATTAGATGTGTTTGGCTGCAGTTAGAATTCATAATGGTGCAAGGTTTATATTTTCGCTCGGTATGTGAAAGGGAAAGGCTTTAGTAATGAATTTATAGCAATAATTAGGTCATAGATTTACTGCTAAATGCATTACAGTTAAGCAATTCTATATATACATGTCTCAGGACTGAATGCATACGCACATATTTATCTGCAAAACATAACCAAAGACGCATTAAATTGCTGAAACAAATTGGTTTTCTTTTGCTATCTGGTTTTTAGGTCATTGTTTCCAAGGCTCTTTGAGATCACTGAATTGAGAGGTGTGACTAGAAGTCTTTATACATATATTCAATAGTGCAAGACTCATTGAAATTGCTGTAATAAATGATTACCAAATTCAGTTACATATTTTCATTAGTCTGGGCATCTATGCAAGCAAAGCCTATTAGCTGGGAAGGATTACAGAATAGGGCATCTAAAATTTCCTTGCACAGCACAATAAATGCCTTCAATAGGATGTCAGCATACCTCTTGTCCTTCCATTTTCTGTGGTCAATTATAATAAGTTCTTTCAAAATTAAGTTCTCAGGTTGGAAATTGTGAATATGACTATTTCTACTTTATCCTCTTTTGTGCAGGGAGCAAACTCACCTCAGAAGTCACATCAGAAAGTACATTTAGAATTTTTATTTTTGAAGTACATAATTCAAATGTAATTTTTAAATTTTATATATTTTAGTAATAAAATACATTTCATACATTTAAATGTTGTCACAAGATTTTGTTGTCTATCCTGTTTAGTACTTTGATAGTTGCCTGAAAGTTGGGAAGAAGAGCTAATATTTCAAATGGCAAAATAAAAGTTCAGAGATCTGCTTCCCGCCGTGCCCCGCGGCCAGCCGGGGCAGCCGGGAAGCGGATGGGGCGGTGCATCACTCGGGTCCGCTCCACACCGTCGCCACTGCTGTGGTAGCCGGTTGGCCGAGGGGCCACGATAACTGGTTGCCCGCAGTAGGAGCAGAATTCGGTATGTACCGCCGCCAGGAAGATGGAGGGGCCTTTGTCCGTGTTCGGAGACCGCAGCAGTGGGGAGGCGATCCGCTCCCAGAACATTATGGCTGCAGCTTCGATTGCCAATATTGTAAAAAGTGCTCTTGGTCCGTTGTCTTGGATAAAATGTTGGTGGATGATACTGGTGATGTAACCATTACTAATGATGGTGCAACCATCCTGAAGTTACTGGAGGTAGAACATCCTGCAGCTAATGTTCTTTGTGAGCTGGCTGATCTGCAAGACAAAGAAGTTAGAGATGGAACTACCTCAGTGGTTATTATTGCAGCAGAACTCCTAAAAAATGCAGATTAATTAGTTAAACAGAAAATTCATCCCACATCAGTTATTAGTGGCTAACGACTTGCTTGCAAGGAAGCAGTGCATTTTATCAATGAAAACCTAATTGTTAACAAAGATGAACTGGGAAGAGATTGCCTGATTAATGCTGCTAAGACAATCCATGTCTTCCAAAATCATTGGAATAAATGGTGATTTCTTTGCTAACATGGTAGTAGATGCTGTACTTGCTATTAAATACACAGATATAAGAGGCCAGCCACATTATCCAGTGAATTCTGTTAATATTTTGAAAGCCCGTGGGAGAAGTCAAACAGAGAGCATGCACGTCAGTGGCTGTGCACTCAACTGTGTGGTGGGATCCCACGGCATGCCCAAGAGAATCATAAATGCAAAAATTGCTTGCCTTGACTTTAGCCTGAAAAAAACATGAAGCTTGGTGTACAGTGGTCATTACAGATCATGAAAAACTGGACCAAATTAGACAAAGAGAATCAGATTATCACCAAGGAGAGAATTCAGAAGATCCTGGCAACTGGTGCCAACGTTATTCTAACCACTGGTGGAATTGATGATATGTGTCTGAAGTATTTTGTGGAGGCAGGTGCTATGGCAGTTAGAAGAGTTTTAAAGGCATTGCTAAAGCTTCTGGAGCAACTATTCTGTCAACCCTGGCCAATTCGGAAGGTGAAGAAACTTTTGAAGCTGCAATGTTGGGACAGGCAGAAGTGGTACGGGAGGGAATTTGTGATGATGAGCTGATCTTAAAAACACTAAGGCTCATACATCTGCATCGATTATCTTACGTGGGGCAAATGATATCATGTGTGGTGAGATGGAGCGCTCTTTACATGATGCACTTTGTGTAGTGAAGAGAGTTTTGGAGTCAAAATCCATGGTTCCAGGCGGGGGTGCTGTAGAAGCAGCCCTTTCCATATACCTTGAAAACTATGCAACCAGCATGGGGTCTCAGGAAGAGCTTGCTATTGCAGAGTTTGCAAGATCACTTCTTGTTATTCCTAATACACTGGCAGTTAATGCTGCCCAGGACTCCACAGATCTGGTCACAAAATTCAGAGCTTTTCATAATGAGGCTCAGGTTAACCCAGAACATAAAAATCTGAAATGGATTGGTCTTGATTTGAGCAATGGTGAACGTGGAGACAACAAACAAGCAGGGATGTTTGAACCAACCATAGTTAAAGTTAAGAGTTTGAAATTTGCAACAGAAGCTGCAATTACCATTCTTCGAATTGATGATCTTACTAAATTACATCCAGAAAGTAAAGATGATAAACATGGAGGTTATGAAGATGCTGTTCACTCTGGAGCCCTTAATGATTGATCTGATGTCTCTTTTATTTATAACAATGTGAAATGCAATTGTCTTGTACCTTGAGTTGAGTATTACACATTAAAGTACAACAAGCTGTTAAAAAAAAAATTCAGACATCTGTGTTAACAAACCTACACATGTGCCCCTGCACCTAAAATAAAAGGTAAAATAAGAATTCATACATCTTACTAGGCAGAAATCAATTCTTTGTAAATAATAAGAATATGTGTAAAGTCCATCAGTTAGTTCAAAATTAACAGGCAGATGATGAAGTCTTAACTTTGCAGCAAAATGTCAAAAATGCGTTTGGGTTTTAGTGAACCACAGGCTTAAGAGCAGCCAAATGGTGCTTAAAAAGTTAAAACTAAGAGAACTGTGCTGAGGTTAAGAATGGTTAATGAGATTCCTGGATCTAAGGTATTTGCATCATGTCTCCTGGCCTGTGTTAGGGCCTAGGTGCTGCAGGGGCATTCCTTATCTGGAGTCCATCATGGTGAGATGACGGGAGAGGAGGTAGAAGCGTTCCCAGGGTGGTTGAAGTGAACCTGGGCAGACGCAGAAGAAATTGATAAGACCTGACCTCCAAGGGAGAATCGAGGTCACTGCACGTGCTCAATCTGGAGAAGAAAAGACATCATGGAGACTCAACTGTGTGCCAAAAATTAAACACTATCATTCGGAAGTGAAAATAAGTTTATTTTTCAGTGTTCTGAAGCAACTAGAAGTCAAAGTGATGAGAATATTTATATTATTTCAATAAAAGAAACTTTCCTAACAGAAGCATGAACCAGCACTGGAACTGCTCATCTCACAGTGAGTCCCTGGACATCTGAAGTGTGCAGATGGGAGCCAAATGCCCAGCTTGTTCAGGCATAACATGTGGAGGAGAGTCGTATGACATAGGAGCTTTGCTCTGATGACCTCCCATGTCCCTAACTTCTTTATGGTTCTTTAGGTTATCTGGACGTTTTAGGAGGCATATTTTGTTATTGTGTTCAACAACACATAAAAGCATCTGAGGTTAATAAGTATTCCATCTGGGAAAAGAGAAACAGAATTCTAACTACTGAAGGCCAAAATGTATATAACAAATGGTGGAGTTTTTAACTTGAGATTCCTTTTTTCAGTCCTGTGTACAAGGAATATTTCTGCTGGTGATTACTTTCAGTTGCAACATTATAATTCACAGAATTGAGTAGGAATTACAAAATATAGAAAAAGAAAGAAAACCCAAAACCGTTAGAATCCACATGAATTTTAATGATTTATTAGCATATGCACAAAGCGTGAATGTTAAATATGGCAAATTGATTGATCTGAGGCAAACTTCCAAGGGGAAAAATTGCTACATACTCTCTCTCTCTTTCAGTTAACATCTGCCATGTAGTGGAGGTTCCAGAGAAAAAGTGAGAGAAGCTGAGTCTGCACCCTCAACATGGAGGAAATAAGCTCTCTTAGGACCAAGAACAGAGGACAGAGGAAGGACTCCAGCATGATGGGCACCAAGGGATTTTGGTCCTTCTGAGAAAGAGGAGGTAAAGTGAATCCGTGTGGTCCTTGCAATTGTTGGTGGTAGTGGGGTGTTGGAACTAGGAAGGATCACCCTTGGAGTCTGAGAACACGTAGAGGAGAAAAGCAACAAAAACCCTATGTCCAAGAGAATGTCAGGGACGGGTTACCTGCTGAGGAAGTGGTAGTAGGTAAAGCTTGCTTTGCAGAACTAGCCATAAGAACATTTACTGGGGGAAGTATCAGCAGATTGAGCCCCTCAGGCCTGAGCTGTTATCTAATGGTGTTTCTGGGCACTGACATCAGAATTAAAGAACATTTGTGAGTCTCCAGCTTTTTCACAACCTGTGGGGAAGCAGAGAACTCTAAGGGGAGAGGGAGGAGCAGAGTTGTCTGGCAGTGGATGGTTCACTAACGGCCTGCAGGTAGCAGAGAGAGAGAGAGAGAGTGTGTATGTGTGTGTGTGTGTGTGTAGTTGTGTTCAGAGACACTTTTCCACCCTTTAGGACAATTGCTTAAGGAATACCTGTAAGGAGGGAAACTGAGTCTTTAAAATATTTTCTCCTTTTACTGCTAAATAATGAAACACAATCCAGAACCATGTTGAGTCAGAGTGCAACTTTTCAACATTTTCTTGTTGCTTTTAAAGCAGAATGGTCCCTTCCACCTTGGCAGAAGGGAGAGCTGTTGATCTGCCGTTGCTCTGTAATAATCGTCTAGGGTTCCAAGCTGGCCCAAACCGAGCTTTGGCTTAACGAATTATGGAGGCAACATACCTTTTAAATAAAGCCCCACCTAGGAGAACTGCAAAAAAGAGAAAAAAAAAAGTACCTGTAAGAAGACTGCATGCGGTGGCTCATGCCAGTAATCTCAGCAGTTTGGGAGGCCAAGGTGAGAAGATCACTTGAGCTGAGGAGGTTGAGGCTGCCGTGAGCCCTGTTCACTCCACTGCGCTTCAGCCTGGGTGACAGAGTGAGAATTTGTCTCAAAGAAGAAAAAAAGAGTACCTGTAAGGAAAACAAACAAACAAGCAAACATAAAAGCAATAGAGCAAGTGCTGTTGTTTAAAAGCATTCCCAGCACCATTAGCATCTGGGTACCTCCATTAGCATGTCTTTTTCTTTTTATTCCCCATATCTAGGCCTTATCACAAGCCTGTTATTTATCCATCCCTCTGCCACTCTCTGATTTAGGTTGCATCATCTCTTGACTGGATCACAGCCACAGCATTCTAATTACCCTCTCTACCTATCGTCTACCCTGTAGCCAAAGCGATCTTTTTAAAAAGCTAAACAGATTATATCATCCTCATACTTAATGTACTTCAGTGGCTTCATTTTTCCTCTGAGGGTAAAGACTAAAGTCATTACCATGGCCTATGAGCCCTGATGTGATTTGGGCTCTACTCCTGTTTCATGAGTACTAACCTCTCTCTCTTCTTTATTCTCTGCCTACTGTAATGTGTGGAATAACTGCTGTAGGAACAGCACAGATGAAACTCCACCAGAGGACATGGAGAGATTTGGAAACAGGAAAAAGGCCTTACTGCCAGTGTGCAAATATGAAATAAGAGAGATCACGAGAAAATATATCTGAGGCTTAAAAGAAGAGAAAGGTCCAGTATTTCAGCTGCAACCAGGAAACAAAGGATTCCTCCAGGGTTAATGCCCGGTTTGGATACCAGCTGTCATTTCCCATTACAGCTTGAAAATTTTGCAAGAGCCTGCCTATTACTAAGCTTCATGACATTCCTCTCTGGTCTTCATGATAGTCTGCAGAGTCAAGGGCTGATCACAGCTAAAGTCCAAAGTCCTTTATGAATTTTCATCAAAATTAGATTTCCGGAAACTATGCCTGCTCACAGTGGCTTTTAGGTATATGATAGCAGAACCAGCAATTCAATATTCTTTATGGAGAGTTGGAAGTGAACCAGCATAATTCAACTGAAATTAGAGAGTGTAGGGGTTAAGGGGTATCTCCCAAAGGATAGGTGGGTGAATTGATGTATTAATTAATTATTAATATTAATTAATAGGTGCTATAATAAGTGAATGCTGATGGTTCAGTGGCTTAATAGAATATGTTTCTTGCTCACATAAAATCCAAATCGAGTGTTTGTGGATGGCATTCCAGGCAGTGATTCAGCAACTCGAGCTTATTCCATCCTGTCAGTCTTCCGTCTCCTGCAAACCCTAGAGTCCAGTAATTTCAGTGAGCAGATGGGGAAAGAATGATGAGGAAGGCACAACTGCTGTTTATCTACTTCAGCCTAGAAGTGACTCACTCTGGCTCATGTTCCATTGGTGAGAACCGGTCATATGGCTCTATCCTAAATGAAAGTTGGGTAGCTGCTTTCCAGAACAACACCACGGAAGAAGAGTATGTTTTTGGTAGATAGCTGGTAATCTCTGCAACAGAGTGAGAGAAAAATCATGTTTCATCTGTTGATTCCTACCTGTTATTATTATTATTATTATTATTGTTTTAATTTTAAGTTCAGGGGTCCATGTGCAGGTTTGTTACATAGGTAAACTTGTGTCATGAGGGTGTGTTATACATATTATTTCATCTCCCAGGTATTAAGCCTAGTTATTTTTTCTGATCCTCTCCCTCCTTCCACCCTCCCGCTGTCTGACAGGCTTCAGTGTGTGTAGTTCCCCCTCTGTGTGTCCATGTGTTCTCATCATTTAGCTCCCACTTATAAGTGAGAACATGCAGCATTTGGTTTTCTGTTCCTGCATTAGTTTACTAAGGATAATAGCCTCCAGATCCACCCATGTCCCTGCAAAGGACATGATCTTGTTTTTCTTTTTCTTTTTTTTTTAACCTACTCATTATTATGTATTAATTTTTCTTCCCTTAGCAATAATCACTAAGTTGAATTATTTATCATTTGTTGACTGAATCTAAAAACAGTTGGACTCTCTCAGGAGAGGAGAGAGACTGGTAGGATTTCCCGTTGTGAGAAAGTTTGCTCCATTCAGTTTTTGTCTACAGGATGAATAAGCATTCTTTCTCTCACTGTGGTAGTGGTAGGGTGTGGGAGATAGCGAAATTCTTGTTTGTTTGAGATCTGCCTTGTACTCCCACTTAGACTCATGTCCAATGACTTAACGGCATTTTATATTGATCACACACATAGTTGAGGGGCTTGGTGCAGATATTATTTACTAGCATGAATTTTTGTGTGTGAATATTATATAGTAAGAAGTAATATTGTTCAGTATATACATTTTCTTCGTGACATGAAATAAGACAATGAGTTGTTTTTTTCCGTAATCCACTCACAATGGACAGAAAGAGTATTAACTAAAATGTTTGAGGGTGAAGAATAAGTTAAGAGTACATGGGGGAAAATTACCTGTTCTACTAAGTAAGAATACTTAGTATTGTCTGTTAATGCAGAGGGCTGGGCCAGAGAAGGTGAGTAAATGTTAATATAAGAGATTAACACACTATGGTTGGGTGCAGAGTCTGAAGCAGATCGTTTGATATTGTTGTTTTATGCTCTACTACATCTAATTAGGTAGATGACAACTTTAAGAAAACCCTTTCTTCCTTTACTAATGCCAAGGAGGATCAGCTCAAGAGCCATTTGTATGTCTTTCTTTCTCTGATGTTTTTCATGTTTGAATATTGGAAGGACAGAGAAAAAATTCATTTGCTTAAGAAAAGCAAATAGACTGGGCACAGTGGCTCAGGCCTGTAATCCCAGCACTTTGGGAGGCCAAGGCAGGCAAATTACCTGAGGTCAGGAGTTCGAGACCAGCCTTGCCAACATAGTGAAACCCCATCTCTACTAAAATACAAAAATTAGCCGGGCTTGCTAGTAGGTGCCTGTAATCTCAGCTACTTGGGAGGCATAGGCAGGAGAATCGCTTGAACCCGGGAGGTAGAGGTTGCAGTGAGCTGAAATCGTGCCACTGCACTCCAGCCTAGGCAACAGTGCAAGACCGCCCGCCCCCGCAACCGCCAAAAAAAAAAAAAAAAAAAAAAAAAGCAAATAAATGTTCTGTGACTCTAATGGTTGGAGGTTGGGGAGGCAGAGCAGGGTATCTGCTATGAGGGAAAATTAAGAAATATGGATTCATCAATTGAAATTTTATTCAAGTCCCATGTACTTACCTAGGGTGGCATTTTAGTAACTGGTGCTGACTCAAACAATGTTTTTTGGAGATATTTTACCCATATTAGAAACAGGTGAAAGGATCTTGGCCTACTGTTAGGATTCATTTTCACAGTTAGCCCGATCTCGCGGTGGTTGTATATTTGCAATAAAATACGTGGGTGGACAGAGCAGAGGATTATCCCTGAGATGTAGAATAGAAAGATTAAGGCTGTGACATCAAGATGATTCCGCTGCATACAAAGCCTGCATTTCTTTAGATATCAGGAATATCTGCCAAGGGGAGGCCATCAGAGAGTTCCATGCACCGAGGGTTCTATTATCTGTCAGAACACAGATCTAGACCTAAGCAGTGGGCATTACTAGCAGGCACAATTTTCTAAATATCAATATCACTAAAATATGGAAACAGTGAGAGTTGTCTCAGAATGGAATAGGCCACTTTGTATGATGGAGTCCTCCATTACGCTGGACAATGATTAGGGGTTAAATACTTTGGCTAGATTTCAACCAGGTGACTTCTGAGAGACTGAATATACAAATGGACAATGGCTAGACCATACATAAAAAGAGAACCCTGATCCACAGTCTGCAGCAACCAGCCCAGGAAATCAATTCATAATCTCTAGTAACCAGTCCAGGAAGCCAACCCACTATCTATAAATCAGACATGTAGGAAGTCAGATCATTATCTCTAGCAACTGGTCCAGGGAGCCAAACACTAACCCCTGTAACAATCAGTCTCAAACAACCAGGAATTGATTAATAACTGGCAGCTTCCTTGATTCTTTTTCCCTTTTTCCAAGTTAGGTCCAACCAGAAAAAGCCAAATATGCACTCCTAACCAATCACACAGGTTGCCCTGCTTCTAGTTAGCCCATTGACAGCTTCCCCATGCCAACAGCCTCTAAACAGGGCTGACCTGAAACTTTTGCCTTTTTCCGCTCTAAAGCTTTCCCACTGCCCTGCCTGCCAGTCTCTGCCAAAATGCAAGTGATGGAGGCTCTCCTGCTAGAGCAATCTCTGAAGAAATAGCCTTTGCTTGTTCTCATTTGCTTGGTCTTCATTTGTTTCCACAATTCTAATGATCTTCTGATATTTAGATTCTAAAAATCTAAGTAACAGGAATTCTAACGACAAATTAGTGCACCCATTAGCCCATGCCAACTTCTCAGTATTGTGACATCACTGCCTCCAGGTTTTTAGGCTCACAGCATTGGAGGTGCCTGCGGTAGGGGAGAGAGCCTCGTCTGGGTAAAAAGCCCAGGTGCACTCCTTGCTGGGAACATCTCCTGCCTGTGCGACTCTGTGTCTTTAAGATTCTCTCCTTATCCCTCAAATGGGAGTGGTACTAATTCACTGTGTTTCTTTTTTTTTTTTTTCTTTTTTTGAGACGGAGTCTCACTCTTGTCCCCCAGGCTGGAGTGTGATGGAGCAATCTCGGCTCACTGTAACCTCCGCCTCCCGGGTTCAAGCGATTCTCCTGCCTCGGCCCCCCGAGTAGCTGGGATTACAGGTGCCTGCCACCACGCCCGGCTAATTTTTGTATTTTTAGTAGAGACGGGGTTTCACCATGTTGGCCAGGCTGGTCTCGAACTCCTGATCTCAGGTGATCTACCCGCCTCAGTCTCCCAAAGTGCTGGGATTACAGGCATGAGCCACTGCACCCGGTCCAAAGTGTTCCTTTTTTGAGACGGAGTCTTACTCTGTCACCCAGGCTGGAGTGCAGTGGCACGATCTCCACTCACTGCAACCTTGGCCCCTGGGGTTCAAGCAATTCTCCCACGTGGGTAGCTGGGACTATAGGTGTGCGCCACCATGCCTGGTTAATTTCTTTTTTTTTTTTTTTTTTTTAGTAGAGATGGGGGTTTCACCATGTTGGTCAAGCTGGTCTCGAACTCCTGACCTCAGGTGATCCACCTGCCTCGGCCTCCCAAAGTGCTGGGATTACAGGCATGAGCCACCACGCCCGGCTGTCACAGTATTTCTTATGGATTGAAAAATACAATGCATGGGAGAGTAAAAATAAATGCTTAAAGAGTTTGTGTTGTGCTTTCAGTTTCACCCAACACATACTTTCACAGAACTTACCATGTGCCCGTCACTGTTCCAAGTACTTGATGAATAACTCCCCTAATCCTCATAACATCCCCATGATGTTGGTATTAATATTATACCCATTTTAACAAGGAGGAGACTGACCCTTGGAGAGATCCAGTGCTCTTGCAAAAGTGTACAAGTAGTGAGTAGTTTGTGAAGAACTAGGACTAGGATTTTCTCTTGGCTCTTCTGATACCTTGTTCATTACAAATTCTCACATTATTTATAAAAAATATGCCATGCCTTAACTAATTTCTTTTGATTTAGGCACAGCTGTGGCCCAGATTCTAACAACCTTTCACTTAGACTACCGCCACATTCTAAGTTGGACTCTTCATTTACAAGTTCTTTTGTCAACAAATGGCAATAAAATAAGATTTTTTTTCTATCAGAGGTAACTTATTTGATACTTCCCAAAAGTACCCAGTTGCCTTTGTTATCAAACTCCAAACCTTGTGCCCACAAACTTTCTAACAAGTATAACTAAAATGTATTGACCATTTTATTATACACCAAGCTTTACACTAAACATGACATAGATAATATATATAATCTATATATAATCTCATTTAATATATATTTAGAAAAATAACAATATCACATATGTTAACTTATATCATATGTATTATATCACATGTATTATACTATGTATTATATGAGTTTTATGTACATCTCTTTTTTATGAAAATCTGATTTTATACATCTGCACTGTCCAATATGCTAATATTTAATATAATATATATACATATATATAATCTCATTTAATCTTCATGGAGTGGGTACCATTTTGAGTCCTCGATGTGAGGATATTGAAGCCGAGAGAGACTATATGACTAGCTAGTGGCCAGTGGATCTAGGCTAAGTCTGTCAAGTGTCAATTTCCAGGCTGATCACCTCTACTTCCTTCCTCCCTAACCTCTGTTTGCTTTGTGTTGATAAGTTTTGTATAAAGCTGTCTATTTTATTTCCCATTCTACTCTCTTAAATCAGCCTCGGGTATATAGTGTTTCATTCCAGAGTCTTTCTTCTGCTCAATCATTTTCCCCTCATCTCAATCAAATCAAATCAAATCCCTAGTCCGGGAAACACAGCTTGCCTCTCAATTGCTTTTTGGTGAATGCTTCCCAGGCTAATGCTATCAGATAAGCCCTCAACACTTGTAAACTTTACATATATTTTGAGTTGTTTTGATGCAGCTTTTTCAATCTCTATCATTTAATTTACATCTGATCCTTACGTAGGTGTTCTGTTTCTTTTCTTTGTATCTCTTCACCCTAGTCTGTGCTAGATAGAAAACAGTAACATTACGGAAACCTCTGCCAGGCATGGGGAATGTTTTTATGTCTTTAGCCCTCTGAACTAACCAAGCTCTTCCAGCTACTTATCACTTATTCACTCATTTACTTTCACCAAGCTCCTAATCTACTTTCTCAGTTTCAACAAATATTTAGCATCAACTGCATGAACACACCACACAACATGCATTCAAAGTGCAAACCCTATCCTAATAGTAAAGAACAAAGAAAACCTTGTATAACAGGTGCTATGAAAACAGTATCAATTTCTACTAATTCTTATTCCTCTAAAAAGAAAAAGCAGAGTTAGTTGGCTTCCTATTTAACTAGGTTCACATCTTTATTCTACTCATTGCCTCCCCTCACATTTCTGTAGTTGACTAGGAAAAGGGTACATCATCATATAATTTGCCAGTCACAGCCCTTTCTTTTTATCTTGCTTTTGCGTCTGCCGTATATTGTAATCACAGTGTTAGTGTAAGCTGTAGAAAATCACATTTGTATGTGGCCTTGTCCTCACATAAATGTATCCTATATATATATTTCTGTAAAACACATAACTGCTTGCACAGATACACAGATGAACACAATCATTGGAGAATGTAGCTGGTAGGATGAGAGGATGCTTGGCTCAGTAAAGGGAAGAGAAGTAAAGTCCAAGGGACCCTACTTCTATCTTTCCTCTTAGAATTGAGTTCTTCCTTGGCTCTCGTGTTTTATTGTTTTAACTTAATATCACATGTATTATACTATGTATTATATGAGTTTTATGCATGTCTCTTTTTATGAAAATATGATTTTATACATCTGCACTGTCCAATATGCTAACCACTAGCCACATGTGGCCATGCTATACTTGGAATGTAGCTGGTTCAAACTACTCTAAGCCTAAATAGATTCCATATTTCAAAGACCAGGTAGGAAAAATGTGACATTAAATATCTCCTTAATAATTTTTAATTTTGATCATTTGTTAAAATAACATTTTACTATATGTAGTTAAATAAAACATATTTTATTTAACATTTAAATAAATATTTCTATACCTTTTTAAAGGTATAGAAATTAATTTTAACTCTTTCTTTTTACTTTTAAAATATAGCTACTAGAAAGCCAGCACACACATGGCTTTTGTTTGTGGCTCTTACCGTATTTCTATTGGAGAGTGTTATTATAAATGTCAGTGATTGTGCAGATTATTCAGACCTGCATATATGCATGTTGTGTGGTGTGTTCATGCAGTTGGTGCTAAATATTTGTTGAAACTGAGAAAGTAGATTAGGAGCTTGGTGAAAGTAAATGAGTGAGTAAGTGTTAAGTAGCTGGAAGAGCTTGGTTAGTTCAGAGGGCTAAAATTTGCTGCCAGATATTTAAGAATCTAGGTATCATTAGATATAATGGAGATGCAGAGGCAGGAACTTTACAAACAAATGCTGTGGGATTGATAGAAAATAAGGTATGATAACTAAGGCATCCCGAAGATAGTCAACAAATATTTATTGAAGACATATTAGATGCCAAATTCTGTTTTAAGCATCAGTGATATGAAATTGATTCATGTGTCACATTTTACCAACACTCCATGAGCTCCTGGCCTAGGATGAGAGTAGAAATACATACAATTAACAATGATCCAGTGAGACAGCCAGTCAGAGTAAACAGTATTTGCTGAAATGCCATGTGTACAGTACAAAGGAGTAAACAAGCTAAGTTTTAGAAGACCTTGGGCAGCCAAATGGCAATTAGATGAGAGTTTAATCATGTGAATGGGGGTAAGGGCTCCACAGAGGTTGTCCTGAAATTCTTACTGCTTGTTTTCCTTGGAATAGTTCCATAGGTAACAGGCTTGAAACAGAAGGGAGTTCTGGAAGTATTATCTGAGAGAGTTTTTAACTAACTTGATACCGTACTTATGGTAACAGAAAATGTGTTAAGTGTAAGTGACTGAGTGTGCATTTTAAGCACTGGCCAGATTTCCAACTGCCTAACAACAGAAAAACAAGCACCTGTAGGCTATTCCAGGCATTCTCTCTCCAGGCCTTATTTAGGTTTATTTGGTTGTGTTTGGGAGAGAAACCAGCTTTCAAGTGAAGCAGGTGTATCAACATGTTTGGGTCATTACTGTGCAATGCGGTAACCAAACTTTTTACATCCCCGTTATATTTTCTAGCAGCAAAGGTGATGTCCTCAACTGTGTGCCAGGCAGTGGCTGTACCATTATCTCATTCAGTTTTGTGCCCATTCTAAATGCAACATTTCATTTGGTGACATTTCCAAAGTAGTGTGTAGGAAAGTTGTTCATGTGATGCTTATAAAGGTCACAGGGCTAACATTTTTGCCCACTTCATCTGTGAGAACTCGATAGAGAAAAACACTTTGCCTTCTTTCAGGAGAGACATAAAACAGAGATCTGGTCCACTTGTGGATATCGAAGCACCTCTGTGGTCTCATGCTAGGGTGGTTGATTGGCTGCAGTGTCCTGGCAAAGCTTACATTGCCTGAACTGTGCTCATAAGGAGTTATTCTTTGAATTCATAGAGCTGAGTGGGTCAACAGATCCTATATATAGTAGTGAGAATCCAGAAGATAATAAGGATAGGATGAGTGAAATTATCTTATTGATTTAATTGATCCATAGAGTTGCTATAAAAATTTCCAATTCAACAAAAACATTTTTATTGCCTAGTGGTATACTTTTTCATATAGCTCAAGAAAAGTCTGTAAAAGAGGTACCATTATCCCCACTTAACAGAAGAAGAAACTGAGGCTCAGAGACATGAAATAATGGTCCATTGTTGCCCAGATAAGTTCTGTGTTTCTAATTCGATCTTAGGATTGTAGACACTGAAACGAATGCCTTTCTTTCTATGCCATGCAACTACTCATTGATAGCAGTGAGGGAGGGCTCGCTAGGTAAATCTCAACTCCTGTCAACTCTGACGTTCTTTTTCTTTCTTTTTTTCTTTTTTAGTGACCTGAATATGCCATTTAACTTCTCAGACCCCTTAAACAGAGAAAACCAGTTGCTTCTTTCAGTGGAGAATGAAACAATATATTTCCTATTTTTAAAATAGGGAATATAATGGCGAGGCTATATTCCTGAAAAAAATGCAGAAACAATAACAATTTGAAATATGACAAAGTAATACATATTTCCTTTTCTGCAGTCACACACACACACACGCACACACCCTGCTCTTTTGAACCTGATAGGATCTCGTATAGCAATTACTCTTTTCTCGAAAATGGAAATGTTACAAAAATAAATTATTTTTCTAAAATAGTATACTAAGTACATCCTATTTCCCTAGAAAGCATGCAAAAACTACAAAAAATGGCCCTCAAATAGTGGACTTTAAAAAAAATTTTTTTTTGCATCTTCCTAGCTTCTCTTTTATTGCTCTTGTTCTAGAAGCTAGAATGTCCGTCCTAACCAACTGACAGTCATGTATCTCCCTTATCAGATCTTTTTCTCCTGGGAAAGTAATGGACTATTCAGGTGCCTTTAGTTAGTTAGGGTTTAGAAACAGTGTTGGCAATTAAATAAAATAATTAGAAAATCAAAACTGGTTAAATAATTCAATTAATATTGACATTTTCAAGATTTAGACTCTGATATTATCAGCCCCTAAAAAACAAGGGTACATATACACCATGAATCCTGCCCTCAAGTAGATCAAAGCATTGTAGATGGAGAAATATACTGAAAACAAATGCTACATGCTAAACAGAAAGGGGGTTGCTGAGCGGAGGGAGTAATTATTTATAAAGGGAAGGTTGAGTAAGTTCACCAAAGAGTTCACAGAAATATCATCTAAACTATGTTTTGAAAGAGATTGCAAGAAGAGAATTCCAGATGAAGGGAAATCATGGACAAACGCCCTGAGATTGAATATAACATTTGGATGTAAAACCTAAAGAAATAATTCTTGAATAACTTTTAGGTTACCTGACTCTTGTGAAGAAGCTCTGTTTGGGTAGTTTGAATTTTTGTTTGTCCTCAAGGCACCTCAGATTATTTTGAATTAAGAAATGGGTTGGTACAAAATATTTTGTAATATTTGATTGGCATGCTATCTTGTTAAATTTCTTTCTACTTAAACATGATCAATATACATTAATTTAGTTCATGTATTATATAGCATTCCAGAACAGGAATTAGTCTTGATGAGGCATTCTTCATGATGTTGCTGTTGGAAAACATCAAAGTATCTCCAGACAACCTGTTAATTAAGAAAAAGTAAATTTATGAAAAAATGACTGCAATAAGAGTGAACACCTCCTGCAGAGTCTCTGAAGAGGGAGTAAGAAGAGGAATATTTATAGGGCTTTGCTGTCTGGGCTCAAGTTCTTTAAGGGAGAGTCTATTAAGGTAGGGAACTGATTGGGATTGGGCAAAGTTTGTGATAGAACAGGCTTTATATACAAAAATATTAAAAGACAATGTTTAAATTCTCACCAAATAAGAAGAAAATAGTTTATTCAGCAATTTATGTGAACATATTTATATACCATAAGTAAAATAACTAGCAATAGTGTTCTGAAAATATTTTCCAAGTGCTCATTATTAGGAGCGAGTAAAATCTTTGGCCAGGGAATTACCAATGCTCTGGTGTATTTTAGGTTTTATTCTTTTGTCACCGAGGCTGCTTCTGTTCTATATATGTATATATATATATTTTTGCATAGGTTATTGGTGAATAGGTGGTATTTGGTTGCATGAGGAAGTTCTTTAGTGGGGATTTGTGAGGTTTTGGTGAACCTGTCCCCTGAGCAGTATACACGGAACCCAATTTGTAGTCTTTGATTCATCACACCCTTCCCATCCTTTCCCCCTGAATCCCAAAGTCCATTGTGTCATTCTTATCAGACTGCTTCTGTTCTATTTGTACCTTGCTGCTTTGACTGACTGAGAATAGTCAGTTTCCTGACTCAGGGAACATATTATTATTCACAGAGACTTCTCAGTACGGAGTTGCTTAAAGATCAAATTTTTAATGCAGAGTCTTTATCCTCCCTATTGAAATATATCTATTACTCATGAATAACCAAATTCACTTCCTGAGAGATATTTTAGTTATTATTGTAGCTCTGGTTGATATCTCTACTTCTCTTGTCTCTGTCCTATCATTGAGGAAATGAGTTGAATTGTACACTGTTGTATTATTTACTTAAAACATTTAAACACCAGCAGTATGATGTAGAATGTATATTATCTATTTCTTAAAGGTGATTAAATATCATTGAAAACACTTGGGAATATACATACAATTAGGCTACATTGAAAGGTTCTAATCTAGTAGTTCTCAACTTTGTCTATAAATTGGAATTACCTAGGAAGTTTGAAACATAATAATGACTGACCCCACCCCCAGAAATTCTGATTTTTATTGGTCCTGGGTGTGGAAACTTAAAACCTCTCTCCCAATGATTCTAACATGCAGCCAGGATTGAAGACTACTGCTCTAATCGGACACATACTCACAAAGTTGCTAAGCTACAACTGTTCTTACCAGAGGTCAGCTCTAGAGCATTTATACATTATCATGAATGAAGGTATAAAGGATTTGTTATTGATGAAATGTGTGGTGTTTAAGATATACTGATTCACTAGAAATACGATGCAGCTGCCTCAGCCTTGCTCACACAGGACCTAAGAATCGAGTGGTCTGAGCCACCTCTGCCCTGATTTAAGAGTGTCATCCACCTCATGTCCCAATGGAATATTAGCTGACTCCTTCCACTAGGGCATCTGTTTCTAATTAAACTTGTAAGGCTGGGACTTCGCATATACAGAACATTTCATACGATTGTTTTCATGGTTGCTTGCTAATAAATGTTGGTATGTGTTACCAAATTCAGTGTAAGGCCTCCTTTTATAATGGCATATCTCCCAGAGATGAGATTATAGTGGAACGACACCCCCTGCCCTCCCTTACCTTTAACCATTGGAAGTTAATGATAACTACCTTAGGGCCTTTTGCAATATGTATAGTCTTTTGTAGGGAGAGGTTTCCAGGTGAACTTCCAACTACAATAGAATTCTTCAGAAGCAATGGTGGGGACACTATGAAACTGGAACTGCTCATGTAACAATATTAAAATCTGCTTCGGTTGAGTTTTTATAATCTGTCATTTGGGCTGTATAGTTATGTTACCCAATACTCTGATAATGGCTGTGAAAAAAATCTTCTGAGTCTGACAGAATCCTTGCCCTTCTATTTTGTCCCCATGATAAGTTTATTGGGATATCACTTATATACAGAGAAATGCACAGATATTAAATGTACAGATCAGCCGGCATTGAACAATTGAATACATCTGTGTAACTCTAATCAAGATACAGAACATTATCATCAGCCCAGAAAGTGTACTTGTGCCCCTTCTTATTTAATAACACCCTCCCACACACACACCAAGCATTGCTAATTGATTAGTTTTACTTAATCCATTATTTTATTTAAATGGAATCATATAGCACGCACTCTTGTGTCTGATTGCTTTTCCTCAGCATAATGCTTTTGAGATTTATGTGTTGCCTGTTTGAGTAGCCTGTGCTTTCTTATTGCTGAGAAGTACACCATAGAATAAATGCCACAGTTTGTTTATCCATTCTCCTGCTGATGGTCAATGAGCTATATCCAGTTTTTAGCTATTATGACTAAAACTGCTATAAACATTTTATACAAGGGACATGTTTTCCTTTCCCTTCAATAAATATCTAGGAGTGGAATTGTTGTCATGGGTAGATGTGTGATTGCCATTTTATATGTCCACAACCAATGTATCAGAGTCCTAGTTGCTCCACATCCTAATCAATATTTGTATTCCATCTTTTTCATTTTGATCATTCTAATGGTGTGTAGTGTTTTATTGTTTGTCATTGCATTTTTAATTTTCATTTCACTGATGACTATGTTGAACACATTTTATATGCTTATTCAATATTTTTTTATATCATCCTTTATGAAATATCTATTACCTATTTTTAATTGGGTTGTTTACCATTTTGTTTTTGAGTTGCAGGGATTATTTGTTTTGAATTCCAATCTTCTGTCATTTATGTGTTGCGAATATTTTTTCCCAGTCCATCTTCTTAATAGAAGTTTTGGTAAAAATAAGTTTTTAATTTTGATAAATAAGATTTATCACTTTTTTTCTCTTATAGATAGTGCTTTCTCTGTCTTATCTGAGAAATATTTGCCTATCTCATGGTTGAAAAATATACCTCTATGTTTTCCTCTACAAGTTTTATAATTTTAACTTTTATATTTGGGTCTGAAAATCATCTCGAAATAATTTTTGCAGATGGCAACTTTTCTTTTCCCATTGAATGTACTTTGGTGTTCTGGCTAAAAGTCATCTGATAGTATATGTGTGATCCATCCCTTCTATTTTGAGAAACAAATTTAATAACCATGAAATAATAGAAGAATGTGCAATTGCATGATGAATTATGTGCTATATATGCTTACCAACGAAAGTGTTTTTGTTAACATAGCAGAAGACAAGCATCCTGTCATACTTCCCTTATTTCTCATTAAAATATTCAGGAAACATCATGAATCATCATAAAATAGCAACAAAAGTAAAAAGCAAAAGTAAAATACCAAAATCTAAGGAATTTTTCTAGTAACTGAGTTAGTTAAAATGGGTTGCCTTGTTGTGAATCTTTTTTCATTCATTATACTCAGCACTCAGTAAACATTTTCATTCTGGAGATTCATGTTCTTTAGTTATAAAACATTTTATTGTATTAGTCTTTTTTATGATTATCTCCCCACCAGCATCTGATCTGTTCTCTTTCTGGAGTTCCTATTAGTTGCATGAAATATCTCCTAGGTGAATCCCCATTATTCATATTTTTTTCTCTTACCCATCTCATTGGCTTTTTGTCTTACTTTCTGGGACATTATTATTATGGAATATGGGCTATTTCCAGGATATTGTTTTCTAAGACTTCTTTTGAATTTTGTACTGCAGAAATTATACTTTAAAATTCCAAGAGCTCTTTTTTTTGGATTTTTTTCTTTATTATACTTTTTCCTTATTTAATTGATCTGTTAACATCTTTTAATTCTATGACAATGTTATGATTATTCTTACCTGCCTTGTCTGTTGTCTGCACATTCTCTGTTTCTTCCTAGCTACTTTTTCCCATTTGTTCATTTTCCTAACTACATTTTATGCTGGATTCTTTCCTTAAATGCCAAATAATCATTGGCTGCCCATTCATTTGAGTGAGGAGATAAAGACGTGGTTGGAAGATCATTGGATAGGGGTAGGCTTATACACTGATAGCCTTTACTCTAGGAAAGTCATATGACAAGCTAGTTAGCTTTGTCATTAGGGGACCTACATGTTAGTAGATGTGAGTCTTTCTCTATTTTCTCTAGATAAAAGGTTCTGTAATATTCTGTCTGGAGACATCAGCTTAGCTGCTGCCATTCTGGAGCCAGGTGGGCAGGGGTTTGGGAGAGTGGCTCTGTGGTTCAGTATATTAATCCTCTGTTTTTGGTATGGCTGCACACTGGCCCGTCTTCGTACCTGGAACTTGGGTTTACTCTTGGAAGGTTGCCCACAGAATAAATCTTTGGTCTCTTGCTTTCCTCCTAGAAATTCTCCATTTTTGGAACAGATCTAACTGCTTCTGTGTGAGTCTGTTCTCACATTGCTATAAGGAAATACCCAAGACTGGGTCACTTATAAAGGAAAGAGGTTTAAATGACTCACAGTTTAGCATGGCTGGGGAGGCCTCAGAAAACTTGCAATCATGGTGGAAGGCAAAGGGGAAGCAAGGCACCTTCTTCACAAGGCCGCAGGAAGGAGAATGCCAAGCAAAGTGGGAAGAGTGCCTCGTAAAATCATCAGATCTCATGAGAACTCACTCGCTCTCATGAGAACAGCCTGGGGGAAACCAACCCCATCATTCAATAACCTCCACCTGGTCTCTCCCTTGACACAGGGGATTATAGAGATTACAATTCAAGATGAGATTTGGGTGGGGACACAAAGTCTAACCATGTCAGCGTCTTTTAATAATAATTTTTCAAAAATCACTTTATACC
The DNA here is from genome assembly GCF_000001405.40 of Homo sapiens. Taxonomy (NCBI): domain Eukaryota; kingdom Metazoa; phylum Chordata; class Mammalia; order Primates; family Hominidae; genus Homo; species Homo sapiens. The sequence continues at coordinate 19,961,108 of NC_000012.12, forward strand.
ATTTGCTTATTCTTGCTTTCTATAGTATCTGATTTTTGAGTCATTTTGCATTGTCCTTTGTATTGTTATTCTGAGGCTCCACAGGGAAAATCAACTGGTTTTCATTGGTTTACACCATTGTAGGCGCTTAGGTTTGACTCTTTTCCATTTTGCTAAGCCACTGACCATTCTTTCATCTGTTTTCATATTTATAGAAATAGTTTGCATTATACATGTTTCCTTGCATCAAAGATAAAATTGAGTTTTCTCTTTCTTGTTCTAATTATTTTGGGGTGATTCTTTGAGAGGAGAAAAAAGTGAAAATCTTTTAACTATTTATCTTGAAATCACTCATCTAATTGACTTAAAAAAAAGAAACTCCTTTAGACTAATATAACTATAAAAGAAGAAAAACATGTCTATTTCTTTCTCTTAGTAGCAAAACTACTACGATACTTGCATCAAACCTTACTTGAAGAAAAAAATCTAACCTGAAAATGAAGGCGAGTATAAATAGGACTATTTGTTTCTGACAAGTGCTTGAATGAGTGATACATATGCTGAGTATAGACATGCAAGGGTTCTAACACACAATAGAATACACTCTTACTCCTACCTCTTTCTTAGCTTAGATATTTTGTATCCCTGTTGCATTTGTATGCTGAATCTCACATGGGTAAGTATTCATATAATCTTTATAGAAATAAATAAAAATGTTACCTTCTTAGGATATTAGGTGGCAAAAAAGATTAATTCCATATTTATTGTTCATGTGTATACTGATACAGTCACTAGAGACGATACTTGGTGACTCACAAGATTAATTTTATTTTTATAAAATGGATCCTCTACAATGGATTACTTGCTGTATCTTGGAGCAAGGCAATTCTTGAGCTACTTCAAATATTTTTCCACTTTATTGGAGGCTTAGTATATATTATCCTTCAAATGTGCTATAAATCCGTTTAAATTAAAAATACTTTTATGCTTGCAGTTGGACGTCCTTTCACAGTTTTACAAAAAGAAGAATATAGCCATTCTATTTTATTTTACTTAAAACCATTTATTTAAATTCTTGTTGGAAAGTGGATTAGGTAACTACCTATGAGAATGATGTAGGTGATACTTTTATTGGGCCATCAGCCCTTTCCCCTCTCATCCCATTGCTCATTAAGAGACTTATCTGACCTTCAGGGTTTCTTGAGAGCCAAACCCTGGCAACGACTTCTGCAAATAACAAACAACAGAAGCTGGTTGGAGCGGCAGGGTAAGCAGACTGTCATTGGCAACTTTTTGGAATTATGTCAAAGCGATGCAGCAGCAATCCTTTAACATTGCTGCAGGCTTTTACCATGCCATCAAGCGCTAATCAATCAAGATGGGAAGATAGGCCCAGCACGATGGAATTAAAAAACTAGCAAGGTCATCATCCTACACAGCATTAGATGGTTTCCACCTGCCCCCCTCATCCTTTTTTTTTAGTATGTTTTCCCTAAAACTTTTAAATCTAGAGTAGGGAGAACGTCAGCATTTAAAAAGAACATCAGCGTTTAAAAAGAGACATTGTAAATATGGCTGTGAAGATCACATGCTCCAAAAGACAATTAGGTCAACATATTTCTTCTTCTTTTTTTTTTTTTTTTGCATGATGTAGGTTAAGAAAAGATTCCTACTAAAGAACGACTGAACTTACCTTACAGAATATATGGGATGGATCTGGAGGTGTATAGGATGTGTCTATATCTACATTGATAAACAAAAAATGAATTAGTGGTTGAAAGTGAAGAAGCTGGATAATTTAAGATGAGGAAAAGGCAAAACTACAGATAATTCATATTAAGCTTAGTATGTTGTTAAAACTCACTAGCTATCATTTTAGATAACTTTTATAATAGACAATAACAGTGTTAAATTTCTTTTGGAAGGTAAAAGGAAAGAAAAATTACCCTGATCATCAAGGTGCAATTGTAAGAACTTAATGAAATTTTCTTCTAGTTTAAGATATTACTATACACAGTAACATTTAGCAGATTATGTAAAGTAACTGATTTCATTTTCTAAGAATTTATTTCTTTAATTTTTAATTTTGCCACTATAAGATTCACCTAGCTTTATATTTAGCAGCAAATTTTATTTTTTGTTTTTGTGACAGAACCTTAAGAATACTGAATGATCTGTGCATGGGAGCCATCATTCTGCTAATTTCTTACAGGAATAAGAAATGTATATTGACTTGAAATCAAGTTTTAATTGTATGGCACATTTCTATACTAGTTTCCTAACACAGTATGCCAGCCATTGGACTTTGGAAAATAAATAATCCTCAGTAACAGGAATATAGATTAATTCACAACTTTTAACTGTGATAACTTTCTCTCTTTGGAAGACATTTTTAGAGACATAAAACTGAATACATCTACCAGCACTGTTCATTAAAGCTTATAGTAAACGACTAACCTTCCCACATCTCTGACACTGAAAACTGTCAGGATTGTTGATTTAGAAGAGGCTTATAGACAAGGAAATTCAGAGTCACAAAAAAAATTTAGAGATCATCTCTCAGCCAATACTGCCTAGATTTTTGCGTTTCTAAAATAACGCAGTCTTTATCCCTTTAAGTGATAAATAAAATGTTATTAAATACTTTGATGCTAATATTTACCCTTAGCACATGCACTGTATTAAAAAGTTCCTAAAGAAGCATAGCATGCTGAATCTTTTAAGGTTGGAAATCCATCTCTAAAGGAGAAATAGCCATCTTTCTTTCAAAGGATCATCTTAGCAGCTGTACTGTTCATTTTTGTCCATTTCTTGATATTGCCTCCATTAATTAGCTTCTTTTTCTTAGACTTGCTCGTAAGTCTAATGTCCTTTCACCAGCTTTGATTTCTTGTCCTTGTTTTGAAACATTTTCTTTCATTACTAAAATTCTCAGAATGAGCTACTCTTTTTGCACCTGTTTTATTTCCACTTATTGTGAAATCTTTGCATTTTTGATCTTTGACTCTCATATCCAACAAAAACAGTCTCCTGAAAGCTCTCACTTTCTGTTCACCAAATACAGCGACCACTTTCTTGACCTTAGTAGATTTTAATGTTCAGCAGCCTGCTGCGTTCTGAAACCACATTTAAATTCTCCCTGTGACCAAAGTTTCTTAGCATGCATTAGCCTTTCAAAACCTGGCTCCCAGCTCCTTTCTTGCACCTTCCCTGCAGCATCTCCAAATCCTCCACTCTCCTGGCGGTCCAGACTCTGCTGTCACCCCCTGTACTGGCACTGTCAGACCCTGCTGTTCTACTATTCTCTATTTGGACTGCCTGTTCCTGTCCTTGTCCCTTATGTAACTCCTGAACATTTGTTTTATTCATTTTATTCATCTTTCACCTAAATGCCATTTTCTTCAAAAACCTAACCTTCTATCCTTCAATTCAGAATTAATGGGTGTTTCTTGTGTACTTTCAGATATTGTATTTCATTGTAGTTCTTACATTCATTAATTCATTATGCTGGGTCAACCAGACACATAATATCAAGAGCTCACACTCTAGTGAAGAAACGTACTTGAAAAGATTTTAAAATGCTATTAAGTAGTATTGTAATGGTATGCACATTTGCTCTGGGAGGCTAATGGAGGGGCTGCCAAAATTGTGTGAGGGAGCTGAGTAATGCTTCCTGAATGTGAAGCATGAATTGGAGTTCACCTAGCAAAAAATATGGGAAGGGTTTTCTAGGGCTTTGTCCATCTATTCAGAAAACATTCACGTAACACCTATTATGTGCCAGGCATTGTATTAGACACTGAAGATTAAAAATCGAAAAGTTATAACATCAACAATGGTGATAAAAACACCATTGGCCCCTTCTTTCTTTCCTAAAGAAGACAGAGAACATTGACAAAAGAAAGTTTTTCTAAAATTCAGTCTGGACATGCTTTCGGAGTCTCTGCCGTATTCCTTTCATATGCTAGAGTTACATGTGTTAGCACATAGTAGGCACTCCAAAATATTTGTTGAAAATTGAGAACAAATGAATGAATACTCTTTACCCATAGTGGCTGTCATTGCCATCATAACTGCAGTCATGTATTTAAACAATTATATTTTGTGTGAGTATAAACACAAAATATGGAAGGTCTGAGGATCAGCTAACCCACCATTGTAGCAGCCAAAGATGGCTAAAAGAGGCAAGAGGGATTGAACAGAGTCCTAAAGAAAAAGTACGAGTTTATCAGACAAAGTGTAACAAGTTCATTTAGAAGCCAAGAATCACAGAGGCTTTATTGTATTCTGGAAAGGTTAATAACTGCCATGGCTGGAGAATAGGGGGAGTGTGTAGGAAGATTTGCTAAAAACACATTCTTGGTTGACACTGCTGTTGCTCCTTTGATCATGGATCCTGATTTCTGAGTAGTTGCCTCTGTCACTCTTGCCTCAGGATCCCAGATATCAGTGGGAGAAGTTTTAGAGAAGGCTGTGAGATTTATATCTTCATGAGATCTGCTTGACTGCATTGCGGAGACTAATTGGAGTCTGGAAAGGGAAGATAGAGGGAAACAAGAGACTATTTTTCACTACTTATGTGAAAGATGTAGGTAGCCTAGCCTAGAGTGAAACCATTGCAAATGCATTTAGGAGATAAAATCAGCCAGTGAACAGGGTTGGTGTTGGTGGGAAGTGGGAGCTGATAGCAAAACAGATGACAAGGATGTCTCTTAGTGTTATGGCTTGTGGGCCCAGATAGATGGTGGTACCATCACTGAGATAAAGCATATAGGGGAAGGAATTCGTATGAGGAGATAAGTTCTATGTTGGACATACTGTGTTTGAGGGTTTTTCTGTATTTTTTTTACTAGGTAGCAAACTTCTTGAGGACAAGGCTTATGAATTGTCACCATTTTATGCTCAGAGATGAGCTTATAGTAGGTGCTTATAATACAAGAGTTTCCCTGTCAATGTCATATATGTATATATTAATTTACATATATGGTCATATATATATTTATATGCTATATATATAAGTAAATATATATATAAATATATTTTTTCTTTTTGCAAAAACACATAGCTCTAGTGCTGAATTATGGTTATTCTACCTTGAAATTTAAACATTTCTTAAATTATGTAAAATATTTTAGTTTCATTATAAAATATTGGTACATGAAAGGAATTATCCCTTTAATGTATTTCTTGTTTTCCACTTGTTTCAAGTGGTAAAAATAAGAAAATTAATTACAAAAACTTCTATAATTTTTTGTATTATACTTTAAGTTTTAGGGTACATGTGCACAACATGCAAGTTTGTTACATATGTATACATGTGCCGTGTTGGTGTGCTGCACCCATTAACTCGTCATTTACATTAGATATATCTCCTAATGCTATCCCTCCCCGCTGCCCCCACCCCACAACAGGCCCAGTTGTGTGATGTTCCCCTTCCTATGTCCATGTGTTCTCATTGTTCAATTCCCACCTATGAGTGAGAACATGCAGTGTTTGGTTTTCTGTCCTTGCAATAGCTTGCTGAGAATGATGGTTTCCAGCTTCGTCCATGTGCCTACAAAGGACATGAACTCATCATTTTTTATGGCTGCATAGTATTCCATGGTGTACATGTGCCACATTTTCTTAATCCAGTCTATCATTGTTGGACATTTGGGTTGGTATACTTTTATAATTAAGATTAATCCAAAATTATGATTAATAAAGTTTAATTAGTGAAGAGAAGAGAACCTCTAAAAGTTGGGGACACTAATTAGGTATGTAATCTAGAGCTTTTTTTTTTTTTAACTGGTTTGAATCTCTTTATAGAATAAATTTGATAAATGGGAAGCATAAAAAGTGTGAATGAAACAACAAAATATTGTTCCTCTAAAGTAAGGCAGTAGAAGTTTCTCACTGTTATTGATTGCCTCTCTGTCAGGAATGTTGATCTTTTATGGATCTAGAGCCCACAGCTTCTAGTGACGCAGTTTGAAGATACTCAAATAAAGCCATGCTAACCCCAGAAAATAAATTGCACAGAGGTATCTCCTGGTTGGCAAACAGCATGGACATTCTAATGTTTGTTGCCAACAATTAGTCACCTGACTCCTTTTATGGGTGGCTATCTGGTGACTGATGTAATGGCAAGCGTGTATTGTTCTTATTGACCATGTGTTAAGGAGCCACGGGACACAGACACTATACAGAACAGATTGTAAGAAATAACCAAGATGGATGAAGTGCTGGGTAAGAAAACAGCGACAAGTGTAAAACTGTCACATGATTAAATCTGGAAAAATACTCTATACAATGAGGGTATTTATTGCAGGAGCCACCGTTGAACAATGCCATCTTCATTCATCACATCTTTCATCCACTCTCCTGCAAAATGTTTTCTCATACTATGGAGCAGGTCCATCTGATGCAATTAAGTTTTCTTCATTAGTGCCACAGATTTTCTGAATGCCCTGTAGAAGCACACAGATTGCCCTTTCTCTTCTTCTCTCTTTAGTATTTTAGTCCTATGCAACCCTGCTGTTTACAAAAGAGAGAGATAGCTTTGACAAAGACAACCAGGATGATGAATGGAATTTAATTTATGCAACATTCACGTAGGGTGAGTCCTCTGGGTAAATCACCATGGTAGCACTTCCTCCTCCCTCTCCGTGATATGTTCTGCTTGGCTGACTCAACTCCCTCTGAGAAGCTTGGCACTTAAGGTTATGTAAGCAGTGCAGAAATGTTCAAATATTCATCACAAGTATGGCTACATGAAAGAGAAGAAAAAACAAAAATAGAAGGAGGAGTCTGAGGTAAATAGCTGTTTAAATCAGCAAGGATAAACTGAAGAACAGAAAGGGATTTGGATACCTAATTTAGAATTAAGGAATTATTCCCTGAGGTGATAAATAAAATAGATTTGAGCCAGGTTTAGAGGGCTAAAATATTATTGACTGACCTTTAGTCCAAGCTGATTTCAATCCCTTTCCCATGCTACTCAATAAAGCCAAAGAAAATTATTTTATTTCATCATGGGAAGATAATAGTTTCTTCCATTTATAAAAAGTTAGCTAATTATTGTTATGGCTTATATTTTTCTTTTCTTTTTCTTTCTTTCTTTCTTTGTTTTTTTTTTTTTGTTTTTTTTTTTTAGGCAGAGTCTCTCTCTGTCGCTAGACTGGAGGGCAGTGGTACAATCTTGGCTCACCGCAACTTCCACCTCTGGGGTTCAAGCGATTCTCCTGCCTCAGCCTCCTGAGTACCTGGGATTACAGGTGTGCACCATCATGCCCAGCTAATTTTTGTATTTTTAACAGAGACGGGGTTTCACCATGTTGGCCAGGATGGTCTCGATCTCCTGACCTCGTGATCTGCCCGCTTCGGCCTCCCAAAGTGCTGGGATTACAGGCGTGAGCCACCATGCCCAGCCTATATTTTTCTTTCTTATCAACATATCCACTCATTCATATTGTAAATTGTTATCTATCCAGAAAGGATTTCCCGGAGATTAGAATCAGCAGACAGCAGCATATGCCCAACTGTGAGTACTGAAAAAATATTGAATGATTTGGGCCTGACTGCAGAGATGATTTAAGAATTTAGTTTGCTCATTTTCTAGTAAGGAAAGTATTCTAACCATGAGACTAAGCCCTTCATAAACCAACAAATAAATTAATTAATTAACAAGGGACTTTACTCTGAAATGGAAAGTTTCAGTCTGTGTCACACTGTGTATTAATTTATCTTATAATTAGTGTCACCAATGAATGATTAATTTATGAAAAATTATAAATGCCTAAGTGTGCTAAGTTTCCTTCTTTAATTGGTTGAGAAATATAGGTGAATATTATCACACTGCTAAAACCACTTGGGTATATAAACACTGATATTTTTGTTAATAGAGAGAAGGAATAGAGCTTAGTAAATTTGTTTGGGAAACACCTTTAGGTCTCAATTTAGCTTTTAATTTTTGGATTAGATTTACACTGTTGACTTGGAGCCATTTTGCATACTTGTATAAACTATCTAGGTACCAAGACAAGAGAGTGTATAAATATAATATAGATGTTTTCTTATGAGCTAAAATGGAAATTATTCTCTCACTCTAAAAAACAATTTGCCTATTATCAATTCTGGGAAGATAGACTTTGGCTATCTCTTTATCATTCTTTTAAATTTCTCATAGACATCCCTTATAAAAATGACAATTTAGGAAAGATTAAACAAATTCATTTGGAAACAAATGAAAACAATGTTCAATTATATTAGATGCTTTTGCCTTTATATACTGATAAAGAACCATGAGCAAAAAAAGCAAGAAAATATAGGCCATTTTGCTAATATAAAAATAGAATTTGATATATGTACCAAGGGTTGAAAGTGAGAAGGATGTCTCCATTGCCACTGCCCTAGTTCAGACCACCCTCTCTGTTGTTTAGACTGTGATACTTGATTCCTAACTGTTCTCCGTGTTTTCACTTCTGTCTTTCTCCCATCCATTCTCTGTAAAAGCTAGTGATTTTTTACACCCCATGGTCTCTCCTACTTAGGGCTGCATGCACATATTATACATCAGTTCCTTTGCCTGGACTATCAATCCTGAAGTCAGCTCTCTTTGAAGTCTCCTTCTCCAATAAGTCTTCCATGACCATAATTCCTGACGCAAATTCCTGCCTCCTCATCTCCATTGTCCATCTGCTGTTCATGGTACACCCAGTATGCTTTTATAGCTGTTATTACAATTTTGTAACAATTCTATTTATACGTGTTTGTTTTTTCCTTTTCACTAAACTAAGATCTTTGAGAGCCTCATGCAGCCTTGAGAGTAGGCACTCCGAAAAAAGAGAAGGAAAAGGAAAGGAAGAAGAAAGTAGTGGCAGAAATAAGGCAGAGAGGAGGAGCTCATACAAAATATTTGGTGAATAAATAATTGGCTACTTTTTTGGTGTGATATGCCCAAAACTCTCAGCTTAAAAAGTTTACTCATGGAATCAATTATAGACTTAAAGGTAGCTTAAAGAGCCATTAAATAGAAATAGATCTTTTAAATAGAAATATTCAAAATTAAAACGAGTGAAAAAAAAAGATAAATAATGACCTAAGGCACATTCAAACAAAGTCTGAAAGAATCCAATGTTCTGGATGCTTATCTGATTTAAATGTGCAGACTTCTCAGAGTTCTGTCATTACTCACAATTACGCTGACAGTGGAGTTCCCAAACATTGTCTGACCACCATCTGGTTCAACATTTTCAATCACTCCCTGGAATTTCATTTAGTGCTTCCAGGCATTTTGGTCAGATACTCATTTCTGCAATTCCAATTTCAAAGAAATTGCAGAATCTGAACAGCAAATCATTTTAAAGGAATTTTCTCAGGGAAGGCTAGGAGAAAGTATCATGCCACTTCTTCTCTTCTTTTAAAACTCATGTGATAAATGCCTCATTTAATTTAGCATTATCATGTAACTTTTTTTTGGGCAATCATGTATGTTGTGTTCTCAGATTCACCACAAATAACTCTTGGTTTAATGCCAGTTTAGTGGATGTTTCATGGCAAAAAAAAAAAAAGGACTATTAAAATAGAGCCTGCTGATGAACATGCAAGCAATTGCTCCTTTAGTTTTGCATACTGAAATTATTTATCATTGCAAAGCATCTAAAACGTACAGCAGATAATAACCCTTGGACTGTCTTATTTGATGCTAAGTATAAGATGTTAAATAATTTGGATAATATTTGAATTTGCAAGTTATGATTTTTAAAAATCTTTTAGTTTAAACATTTTTATTTTTGATAATACAAGAATCATTAGTCTTTTAGTCTATTTAGAAAAAAGTTTGGCAACAATAATTTTTAGATATGGTATTGCTATTTATTATGTGTCATTGCCATGCACAGTGCCGATTGTGTATATTGCTGTGTGTCATTGCCAAACATGGCATCAGTGAAGTGGTGGTGTGGTTTTCATGATCAGTGGGAATGCATGAAAGAATTGCTATTTGTTTCTCTCAGAAAGGAATGTCTTTTGCATAGAACCTTAGTTCCTTATTTGCCCTCAAATTATTATTTTTGAGTTTATTATGTTAAGTAACTTGCCTATCTAATTAATTAGGTTCTCAAGCTGTGCTTATCCAACTCTCCCTTTCTGTATCCATTGCGGATTTCTGCACTTGGTGCTACAATGTTACTGACCTCAGTTCCTGGGGTCTCAGTGCAATAGAAATTCACATGTGGCCAAAAATGTTTTCCCAGAGGAGGCTTCCTTGGAGCTTATGCCCAGGCATAAGGGAGGCAGCGCGAAAGAGAGAGAGAGAGGATTCCCTGCCTGACACCACAAAAAGAGCTGGTAGGGCTTTTTTACTGGACAAACAAAGCACAGGAATTGACATTAAGGGTAGGGTATGCAGGCTGGGCAGGGCAAAGCACATGACGGATAGGGTGTGCAGGTCAGCATATCTGGTTGCCATGGTTATCTTGAGTAATGGGCCACCTGGTGGTCTGGCCATTGGCAACAACGATGTAAATCAATTGCTCAGCATTCCTTCCAGAGGCGGGACACTGTAAGCTTGGTTATTTCCTAAGGCCAGTTCCTGGAACTCTTTGAGTAAAAGGCATGGTTAAACATTATGGCATCAGCGAGGTAGTTGTGTGGGTTTTGTGATCAGTGGGAATGCAGGACAGAATGCCCTAGTGGGGGCGAGCTGAAGCCAAGCCCTGTTCTGTCTCAGCAATACTGAGTTTGAATATATGTCTCATTTTTGTAACATATTGTGTTACATCCTTGTGCTGCTGGTTTTCCACATTCTTCAAACCTATTTGGCTGCTAGTCTTTCCAATGAGAGAGTTATGTTAAACTTCCCAACTAACATTTAAGATCTTTTGTTTATTTTATTGATTTGCCCTTTAGCTATACCTATCCACAAACCTCCAACTTTAAATCAATATAAGCAATCCCTTCTGCTTCTATGCTGTGGCTGCCAGCACCATGGGAGAAAAGTCACACAACTGTGTGGATTGATGCCATTGCAAATTTATGCTTTCCCATCTCAGCTGGCCCTGCAACTCAGGTCGATAATCCTTTTAGCAATCTCTGGTCAGTTCCCATGCCCATTACTTCAGCTAGCATGCCAAATTTTAACCACTCTTCTCATGCCCTTTCTGACCACCCCTCAACCTGCAGCCATGAAAAATGAGAAATGATCTTGCCTCCTACCTTTAAAATAAAAGTAAAAGAAAAAAAAATCAGCCCAGGAACTTCTAGCACTCAAATTTTTCTGTACTTCAGTACAATTTCTGTTTTGAATTCCTGTTCTACTAAGGTGGCAGAAACTTAATTCTCTCAATCAAACAGTGATTCCCACTGGCCCTTTACTTTCTCCCTGGGTTGTGACTACGTTGGGGGAGGGAGGTGCCTAAAAAGGCATAAAGGGCTTTCTGCTCTTGATGTCATCTGGCCGCAGAGGCATCTTCTGAGCCCTCTCTCCCCTATCTGGTTCTTGATGAGTCATTGACGTGGCTTTCTTAGACATGTTTGTTTCTGTGTGCATGGCTTTTGAGTCGGGGACCCCTCCCCTACTGATATGAAACTCTTGGGCCCACTTTGGGAGTGTTTTTTGCTTCTCCCAGACAAAAAGCAGGGATGTCTAGGAGATTGCCGGAGGCTCCATCTGCTTAGGCCTGTGGTTCTCCACAATGGCTGGATGGAAGAATCACCTGACAAGCTTTACAGCTACCAATACCTGGGGCAGGACTTCTCAAAGTGTGGTCCAAGAACAGCATTATTCAGCCTCACCTGAAGACCACTGAGAAACTCAAATTCTTGGCACACGCTAGACCTACTGAATCAGAAACTGTGTGGGTGGTGTCCAGAAATCTGCATTTTTTAAAAGAAGTCCTCCTGGTGATTCTGATATCCACTAAAGTTTGAGACCCTGCCCTGGGAAAGGGCCTGAGTATTAGTGTAGTTCCCATGGAGTTTCAGTGTTTGACCGGAAATGAGAACCGCTGGCTTAGACATATCAGGAAACCACTATTTTGGGGGGTTTTGTCACCTCCCCAAGACTCGGCTGGGGGAAGTGAGATGTCAATTCTAACTGATTTAGAACCCACACGTGTATCATGTATCTGGGGCTTCTTACCTCTCTGGATTAGCTCTGCAAGCAGGGCACAGAATCCCTGTCTGTATGTCCTAGCCACGTCCCACCATTTTTCTTCTGACTCTTTTCCCTCTCCTCTGCTTGCAGAATCCTTTTCTTCACACTCCTGTGGGGAGTGTGGATGAGGAGAGAATCACTCTAGTTCATGATGTTTTTCTCCAAAATGTTTTACTGTAAACTTTAAGAGCTTCCTCTCTGTTCTCCCAAGGACCTAGGATTTTGAAATCCAAAAGCCAGGCAGGAACCCTGCCCCTCCACTCTCTTTACTTCCTGTTGTCGCATCAAAAACTCAAATGTGCAGGAAAATTAGTTATTTTTTTAAAAAAACCTATATTTCAGTTAAATTTTTAATGTGTGCCCCCATTCTCCTAAAGTGGGAGAAAGTTCATCTCAGGTGGTCAATTCAGGAATCCCCTCATACTTTATGCTGAGTTGTATATGGGTGTTTTTTCTGGTGGGGTCAGAGAGAGCTAAGTAACACCAGGGCATCTCATGGGTGGAGAGGATGGCAAACCTGAAGGAGCTGCCTGGGAGGAGAATGAGCAGTGATTCCTCAGGGAGCTGCACGAACGCTGACGTGTAGCAGGTTGGAACATGAGTGCATCAGTGAATCTCTACAAGGCCGGTGAAATTGAGTGCTGTATTTTTTCACTCTTCTCCCCGGTATCTTGGAAGTTATTAGAGTCCAGAACTTAGATGCAACCCTCCGAAAATAGGTGTGTGAGGAGTCACTTAGTTGATATACATTAAGTTTCTGTGACTCTTGGCATACTCTCAAGCTTGAATGAGAAATTTAGTTAAGTAAGAAAAAAGTGAAGAAAGTTACGTTACCTGGGAATATGGCCTGAGGTTGCTCCTGCTGTACCCCTCTTTAATAGTCTTTACCACATTCACTTTTTTCTTTCTTTCTTTCTTTATTTTATTACACTTTAAGTTCTAGGGCACACACGCACAATGAGCAGGTTTGTTACATATGTATACATGTGCCATGTTGGTGTGCTGTACCCATTAACTCATCATTTACATTAGGTATATCTTCTACACATTCACTTTTTTAAAAAGTTCAAGGATTTATTTTGAAATAGTTTCAAACATAGAAAAGTTAAAAGCACATTATAGAGGCCTGCTATGTACTCCCTTGCTGAGATTCCTGTTACCATTTTCATGTATTTGCTCTGTCATCCCCTTTTCTAAATTTTTCTCCACGACTGTTAGTCTTTTTCAGAACTATTTGAAAACAAGTTGCAGTCATGATGCCTCACTACTCCTAAATGCTATGGTATGTGATTTCCCTAAAAGAGGACACTCTTTTATCTGACCCCTAGGAAACCTTCAAAATCAGGAAATTATTGGTACAATACTATTGTCTAACCTACAGACCCCATTTACATCTCTCCAGCAGTTCCAACAATGTGTCTTTGCCTTCTGGCCCCAGAATATCATCTGGGAATGCGTGTTGCATCAAGTTGCGTCTCTCCAGTTGCCTCCAATTTGGAATACAGGTATTTCCCCTTCCCCTGTCTTTCATGCCGTTTATAGTTTTAAATAACCGAGGATCTATGTTCTGTATATAGGATGACACTTGGGCTGGGCCTGTCCAGTGTTTCCTGATGACTAGTCCCAGGGTAGGCCGTCTTGGTAGGAATACCATAGAAACGATGCTGTGTTTCTCTCAGTGTGTCCCATTCTGGGTACACCTGGGTGATGTTAACCTTTCACCTTGTCATGTTGGTGCCATTTCCTTCACTGTAAAGTCACTGTTTCTTCTTGTATATGAATACTAATCATAATATTGTATGTGGAAGATGTCCCAAGATTATGCCCATATCCTGTTGTTATCAAACATTCATCGACTACCTTTAAGCCTCTATTGACAACTCCCACCTGCATTAACTATCATTATCATGGTTAATAAATATACATTTTTTTCTCTTACCTGCTACATTTACTTGTTGGAATTCTAGCATACGAAGAACTTTCTCTTCCCATTGTTTCTTTTAAATTAATCAACATGGCCTCATGGATTTCTATTTGATTCTTGGTTTTTAATCTGTTGCTATCATGATCAATTTTGATATTTGAATATGTCCAGATATGACCAACAGGAGATCCATTCAAGTGACTCTTGTGTCTTTTTGATATCTCCTCATTATTCTTTGAGCACTTTCTTACTTTCTATTCTCCAAAGATATTTCTACCTTAACGTGTACTTTCCCTGCCCTGATCCTGGAATCAGGATGAACTCCTGGTTCGAAGCTCTGAGCTCTCGATGTATTCATTGTTAGTGGGACACGATTGCTTCTGAGTCCTCTCAGCATATAAAGCTAGGAAAAAAAATTATGTGTGTGTGTGTGTGTGTGTGTGTGTGTGTGTGTGTGTATAAAAACATAATTTGTATGTTTGTTTGAATAAATAGATAGATCCAACTTCCAGAAACCTGGCTCTTGTTATGCTCAGTAATTCACCTTGTTGAGGTATAATTGATTTCCTAACCACTCCTTCCCTCTCCACCTCCATGAGTCCACTCCATGTGCCGTACCTTCTGAGATATCAGCAGGCACACTGCCTCTGATTGAGGCAAATGGATCCATCATCTGCTTGGGTCTCTCTCTTCTCCCATTTCTCACCTCCTCAGGAGCCTGTGGACACCCTGCCACAAATCTTTCTGTGCTCCTTCTACCCTCAATACTACCATGCAATACCCTCCCCTGTGGTGGGGAAAGGAAGGAAAGAGAAAAGAAGGAAAAGTGGTAAGAAAAAGGCTCAAATTCATTTTAATTATTTCCCTCCAGTTGTTTTTTTTCCCTTTCCAAGCTTGACGTTCTTGATATTGAGGACAGGAACTGGTATTATATCAATTTTATATTCACTGTCCTTTATAAACTGACTTGTATGGAGTAGGCCTCTGTAAATTGTTAATGAATTAATGAATTGGTCTTTCCTCTGGATTTATACTCTTGGTTCACTTTGGACATTTGCATTAAAAGTGATATTCATTTGCAAGATCTTGCCAATGACTCCGTTTGCTTTTTAATGCTGAGTTGATGAGCGCAACTTGCTGTTCAGCTGCCTGGAGCTGCTGAGGAGATCATCATGGTGGAATGGAAGGATGAATGCATCATTTGAAATGCAAGTTCCATTTAGTTTCTTTGATGAGAAGTATGTTCAGATCAGAGTCCTTTTGAGTCTCCTCTGATAAAGAATAAATGACTGTTTAGTAGATACCAAGTTTAGGGTAATCCCATTTTTGATTCACTGACTTTGTTTATTTCAGTGAAGGATTTGGGGTGTTTCTGCTAAGTTCTTAACTTAAAAAGCAATAGTTTTCTGAAATTTAGCAATTTCTGCCATAGCCACAAATTATATACATTATTGCTTTGTACCTGTTAAACTGTATTGTATAATCAATTTGTTGAATGATTGACTTTTTCCACTAAGCCATAGCTGTCTTACCTTTGCATAATATTTAGAGTAGTGCTTAACACCGAATAGATACCCAATACATATTTATTGAAATAAATAATTGCTATTATGTGTTCTAGATTATTTGCTGATGTTCATCTCTCTCACTATGAGAACTTAGGTAATGTTAACTATAACTTAAGTCAATTGACTGATTATCCAATTTGAATTATACCTTTAGTACCCATTCTCTACTTTGTTCTCATAAATTTTAGACATTTTTGTCCTCATTAGCTGATGAATGCACCTCTCTTTCTTACCTCAAGTAGAGCAATGGATTGAGGAAAGACACTGTGGATAAGTGTCAAAGAAGGAGAAATCTGCTGGTATGGAAAGTGGAAGTGTGGAGAGAAGCTCCAGCACCTGTGGTAGAGTAGATGGTAACACATAAAATCTAGAATTCTTTTAAAATCTCTTAAAATTTTATTTGTGTAGCTTTAAGAAAGAGGAAAAAACCTATGATTTTTACCTTTAAATTACAATAGATTGCAAAAACTCAAACCATAGGTAAGACGGCATATTTCACACACTTTCCACCCACTCCTATTCCTGGAAGATATTACTAATCAGTGAGGGCATTATTTCCTTCTGATTTTGGACTCTCCCTCCAAAGTTTTCTCAATTCATGTCCTAGATAACCAATCAGTCACAGTTGATTCTTGAACTGAAAGTTTTTGGCATGCCCACCATGAGGTTTTAGAGCAATGAACTCATTCTGTCCCAAAAGGTTCCCCTTTCTTCCCCACTAGATCTAGAATGAGTATACTAAAAACCCTGTTCCTACCACAGGAACATCTCATTTTTCCTATATAGTTAAGACTGCATTAATGTCAACTTTCTGATGTCTGAAAATTCCAGGTTTAGAAAGTCCTAGATTGCACAGCTTTCGGTGTAAAAATTATTATTCTTTTAAAAAATCTTTTCTCATTCTTTTCCTTAATACCATCTGTGAAAACTCTACCATCCTGATTCAACATAAGGCTTTTCATATTTAATCATTCCAGATGTTGAGCTATGATAGGTCTTGACTAACGGTATTCATAGTAAGTCTTATTTTTAAGTGTGTACTCTGACCATTGAGTTGATTATGCAGGTATAAATAAAAACATGTTTAAGCATACTATGTGGTTTTGCTTTTTGCCTTTCTTTCTCTAGTATCTGGGATCAATCAAACCAGCATGCAGCTGGATAGAGGTAAAATACATTATGCATAAAGCCTCATCTTTTGCAATATTATGTAGAAATGACTCTTTCATATTTGTCATCCTGATCTAAGAGAAAGTCAATATCTCAGATGTGATATCACTGACTCTTGGACCATAATAAAAGCAGGTAATGTCATAAAGGATTTGCCATTTACGTCAGGTTAACTGACCATTAGTTAAAATCAATCGGTTAAGTTGTATTACATATTTGCTCAATTGAGCTTTTAGAAGTTTTCCTATAGTAATGGTTATTCTTTCCAACTGGAGACTAGTTG
This sequence comes from Homo sapiens, assembly GCF_000001405.40. Taxonomy (NCBI): domain Eukaryota; kingdom Metazoa; phylum Chordata; class Mammalia; order Primates; family Hominidae; genus Homo; species Homo sapiens. Next base: position 19,978,168 of record NC_000012.12, read on the forward strand.
TAATCAATAGCCAGAACACTGTTCTGCATAAGGGTGATGGAGTAAATGTAATGCTCTTCATCTGCTTTAATCAAGGTTCATGATGCTACAGAGGAGACAGTTCCTCACAAGAACATCTGGCAGCCAGAGTGGTAATATAGGTCAGCTTCAGATGTGAATGTTTGGAATTACTTAGTTGGAACAACACAGTGTGTCAGCATTAGCCCACATGTAATCAGAACTGTTCCTGTTATGGGCAGGGAAACTGAATGACTGAGAACCACATGTTAACCTCTCTTTATGGCAAGGATCCCAGAAATACCAATGGGAACTGCACATGTTGACTGGAAGAGAAGATGTGACCTATCTACTGTCTTTGAGTTCCCAAGCTTCACTTGGTAGGTCTGGCACCCTTTAAAGTAAAATTTGAGTACTGATGGGAAGTTTTTCTTTAAACTAATATGATGCTGACATTTAATCAGTTCTTGCTTTCATTGAAAACAAACTCTCAGATACGGACCTAAATCACCCTTTTATCAAAACTAACTTGCCATAGTAAAATATTTTAGTGATACTTGCTTTGATAGGTATTCATTTGGGAGGGAGGTGAAGAAGAAAATACTTGTTTAGGATGTCATGGGAACCCTCTAAACAGCTGGATATTTACTTGCTATTGTTTTCCAGTTGCAATGGAGCTCATCCATAAATCCCAGTCCTGACATACTCTTAATCCTGCATAGATCCAAGGAAATGAAAAAAAAAGGCCATGAGGTAGAATAATAGAATAGGAAAATGGAATAATTAGGTTATGGGTTTAAACTTTTAAACAGTCAATATGTGATGAGATTAATAAGGAAAAACGTTGAGGCTTTTGAAGATATAAAAAGCTTAGGGAGTTCTTCCGTTTCAATCTCTGTCTGAAACCAGATTCGTTTCTCTGCTTGTTCACTGTTTAGTTGGAGGTTTTTTTGTTTTGTTTCGTTTCGTTTTTTATTTAGATTTTACCTTATCCTTACCTACAAAATTTCCTTTGTTGCTCAGTCAGCTAGTATTTCTTTTGGCCATTCATAATAGAGGTCTGACTGTAGTTACTTACTACATGGAATTTATTTTTCACACATCAACTTTGTACTGAAGTTGGTGGCATGGTTGGTTCATCTCAAGGTATCATGTTCGTATTTCAGGTAGAAAGAAGATAGTAAGATTGACTAGAAAGGAGCATGTTAACTCTGTACCTATCCTTTTCATCAAGAAAACAACAAATCTTATAGAGACTCTTCCCAGTAGACTTCCCTTCACATCGTGTTGGGCAGAACTATGGTCACATGGCTTTGGTTTCAAATAAATCTCTGTGGGAGATGAGCATTTTTAATTTGGCATATTTCTACCCCAAGAAAAATTGTAATTCTGTAGGTAGTGATGAAAGGGCAAGTAGGTATTGCATAGGCAACTAGCAGCATCTGCCACAGTTAACTTAAGTCAGCTTCAGAATGTTCTTGTTTCTTTTTCCATTAGGAAAATGGCACATATAATTCCAGATTACAATGATCTCTTAGTCCAACCAAATCATTCTTCATGCTTCCACAAGTTCTCTTTTTAAATCACAGATCTGAGTCACTCCCAGTTTCTTCGGGAAGCAGTCTGGGTTCCTGTAACACACATGCTCTGACTCTGCTTCCCTTTTGAGCCGTTTGTTTCCTCCTGGCACATGCTGTATGTACCAGGCCTTCTGAACCACACGTAGTACTGAAAATCCCAAATATTCTTTCATAATTCCATGTATTTTCATGTGCTACTTCATTTGCTTACATTGGTTGTCCCTCATGAGTCTGTGAGTCTATTGTGAAATGAATACTATGTTTTTTGGGGTTTTTTTTTTTTTTTTTTTTTTTTGCATGGCTCTGCATTGTCATTGCCCTCAACATTGGGGCCCAGTTGGCTATTGCTACTCTTGCTACCATACAGTGCTTTGGCCATGGATCCATTGCTTTCTCTCACTCTTTTGAAGTTGTCTGTCTGTCATCCCCATGATACTGTGAGTTTCAAAAGGGGTCAGGTTTTATTTACCCATGTCTTATTCACATGATTAATTCAGTACCTGGCATAAGATAAGCCCTTGATAAATATTGCTTGGATGCATGAATGAATCAACTAATTAGTATTGCACATTGTTACATTAAGGATCTCTGCTTCCATTAAAAACCTCACAGTACTGTTTGGTAAGATCAGAGTAAATTGACATGAATACTCTTGATAAATATGTTAATTTCCATGTAGTTGTTATGATATATTTAGCATAAATAACTGTTGTTCTATAGGGAAAACATCTTGTGTAAACAGCATGTAATACAAGGCCGGTTCATTAATGTGTTCTACAGTACATGTTTAAAGATGTTAGATATAATATTTAAAACCTACAATGGTCATACAAAACATGGAGAAAGCCATCCAAAGCCTATGTCACTAATGTCTGCAGAAATCCGTGGTGCCACATATCACTAGGCTCAAGAACTGCATAAATATTTTCTTGCAGGCATTCTGAAGTGAAGTAGCAATGGTTGGATAGAAATTTCACCATTCACTTCTCCAATTTCAAGAAAGTCAAATGTTTATTAATTTTTCATTAGGTAGTTGTTTATATACATTTTTAGGTATTTAGATTTTTTTTGTTTTTATGTAATTTTTTTGATATCGGGTTTTAAGGAGCTATATTCAGAATTAATAAAGTCTTCCAAGTCAGTTATTACTTTGAAATATTTTTGCTTTCCTTATTTGGTTTCCTTATTTTTCTTTTGTTTTAATGTTCATTTTTAAAGTTTCCTTTAAACTATTTATCTCTGCATGCCATTGTTTGTGTTAGTTTAGTTCAAGGAGTTGTTTCTGTGTTTTCTTTTAGGGAGGTATCTATTCTGCATAAATTCAGATGAGACAATAAAAACAATGATTTCAAAGTTCCAGGTTTTACAAAAGGAGCCTGTGTTTGTGAAAACCTTCAGAGGATGGAAACAGCAAATACTGTTGTAGGGGAAGACAATTGTTTACCTAAGAAAGTGTCCTGTATTCAGATTCTCCAGTTTCTAGTGACACTGGATGCCTATGGATCACAGGGACTGTGAGATATGTCCTTAGGAGTAAAGTTTTGTTGTGACGTGTTATATTCAGTGTTCAAGTATCCGTGGGTTGAACGATACTTCTCTTTCTGTCTGTGAGCATAAACTTGACTTCAGAAGAGAGCATGGGGTAAAGACAAGCCTCTCTCCTTTCCCATACTTGAGTAGTAGCATATGAAGTCTGGAAAGACATAACTAGGTAAAATATTTTATATTACTGTAGTAGGGCTTTACCCCATTTCAGAGCCTTCCTTTATCTTTCTTGTTTTTAATTCTGTAATTCACGTCACACTAGTCTGAATTGGTTTTCCTTCTCCAAAACTCCCTGGCCTATATCATAAATTTAACCCTTTATATGAATTGCTTTACATTGTTTTCCAGTTGTTTCATATCTTGTCTTGATGCTATCGATTGTCAAAGACAGAACAAGGCTGGTTTCACAGTGGGCCTCTTTTCTCAAAAATATCCATTCATGGGAATGAGAGAGAAGTTACATAATAGTTTTAATGAATAACATTTTTGTAGTGATCACCTTCAAAATTTCAAAATGCTTCTGTTTTTCAAAAAATAAAGATTGATTTTGAAATTAAGCTTTATTATTTATCATATTTTACAGAGATACATAGATTGGAGATATTTGCCTTTGATTATTCAGCTAGTGGTAGAAATGCAAGACATGTCAATTTTCTTGACTTTCTAAGCTAAACCAAACTAACATGAACATAGAGAGTTGTGTGAGTTGTCTTGAGCAGGTCTCAGGCTAACTCTGGTGCCAACTCATTGCCAAGATTAGTAAACATAGACACCCCTGCTGTGGTTGCTGTCAAACATGGTAAAATGAATGCTCCTGGTCAAAGCTTGGGGGTAGCTTGGTGACATTCCATTTGCAAACAGATTGCTGGTGTTTGGCTTGATAAATACACACATACACTCTCTTAAGAAGAAAAGTAAACTATGGCCAATTCTGTGTCATAATATAATCCTCAAGTCAACAAATTACAAGGGAAATTTGGAAAGCATTTTTTTGGGCTATCTTTCCATTATACGCCGTGAGAATGTTTTACCTTAATCAGTGGCTTTCTGAAAAGTTCTATGATTGAGGTTTTTTACAAACCATATGGTTTTAGTATACGTCTAAAAATCTTCTTTGCTATTTCCCAGATATTGAGACAAATTTGACCTTTTTTCAATTCGTGAAAGTGCCAGTAATTAGCAATGTTATTCAAATGCATTGCCAACAATTAGCTTGACACACATAATAATTTAAAACTAATTAAATGCTATGTTGGTGTCCCCCCAAAATTCAGATGTTGACACTTAATACCCAATATGATAGTACGAACAATTTGGGCCTTTAGGAGATGATGTAGGCTACTCCATTATGAAGGGGATTTGTGCCCTTATAAAAAAGATGAAAGGGAGCCTGTTTGCCCCTTAAACCACTTGCAGACACGTAGAAGTTGTCATTTATAAAGTATTAAGTTGTTGCGAAAGTAATTGTGATTATTGCCATTACTTTCAATGTCAAAACCCACAATTACTTTTCCACCAACCTAATAGAAAGCTCTCACAGGCACTGAATATGTTGGCACATTGGACCTCCCAGTCTCCAGAACTGTGAGCAATAAATCTCTGTTGTTTGTAAGTTACCCAGGATAAGGTGTTTTGTTATGCAGCCGAAACAGACTAAGACACTGGACTAAGAATTCAAGCTAGAGAAAACAAATGAAAATGCTCAAAAATCATGCACTTGATGTTAGGAAATTATCCAACTATTAAGTAGAAGGTTTTCTACTTTGAGTAATCTTAAAGACAATGAAAAGTGTACAGTTACAATGCTTTCTAATATACACAACATAACCTTTTTGTTACTTCAGGTCTTTACGGCTTATATTTGTTGCATTTGTTTTGATCTTAGAAAAATGGAGAGAGGTAGATCAAGTACTCATATCTCTATGTACAGATGACAATAAGTGATTTCTCAGGAGCAAACAAGGGGAGTTATTGTGATTGTCTGATGGTTTGTTTACTCTGAGACTTACTCTGTTTCAACTTTCCACCTTTTCTTTATTTTCCGTCCCAGACAGAAAGATTCTTCTTCTAGATAGACTGTTACTTCTACTCCATTTTTCATACTTTTCTCTTTACATCTTACTCTTTTCATCTGCCAAATGTAGATAATAATAGCACTTACCTCATAAGACTAACAGAGGAGGTTGTAAAATAAAATATATGAAGCACTGTGCATCTGCATACTTTGATTTATTCTCACATTTGCTTCAGACTCGTGCACACGCAAGCATGCATAAGACACGCAAAGTACGCACAAATACTTGGTCATACCCCAGCCCAATTAGCTGTGGTGACACACTTGCTGGGTAAAGGCAAGCCTCAGTTTACTCACAAGAAGTGCAAAGTATTGCCTACAGCAGCAGTTTTCAAAATTTTTGCCTTTTTCTGTACAGTTTGAAAAATTATTGAGCTTCTCCAAAGAGCGCTTGCTTCTGTGGGTTATAGCTACTGATATTAGATATTAAACATTAGAAATTAAAACTTTAAAAATTTTCGAATATGTATTTAGATTTATTTAAAAATAACATGAATTACATGTTAACACAGGCAACTATTTTTTAAAGACTGTATTTTCTGAAACAAAAAAATTTAATGAGAAAATCTAGCTTTTTGAAGTCTGTTCTTTCTTTATACACGAGGAGACGGTGAATTCTTACCTTGGCCTGTGACACATTGAAACATACAAAGATAGATTGGCACATATCGCACACCTATGCAAATAAAGCAGGTTGAATTTGTAAATGGTATTACATGATTTATTTACTCTATTAATAAAGCACAAGGAAGCTTTGCTTACACATACTTTCCTTTAAAACCTTTAACTGAATTTTAGATTATAGTGGTGATTATCAAGATTAAATTACTGAGGAATGACAATATAAGAAAAAGTGGGCCAGGCGTGGTGGCTCAGGCCTGTAATCCCAGCACTTTGGGAGGCTGAGGCGGGCCTTGACCTCTTCACGAGGTCAAGAGATCGAGACCATCCTGGCTAACACGGTGAAACCCCATCTCTACTAAAAATACAAAAAACTAGCTTAGCGAGGTGGCGGGCACCTGTGGTCCCAGCTTCTCAGGAGGCTGAGGCAGCAGAATGGCTTGAACCTGGGAGGCGGAGCTTACAGTGAGCCGAGATCGCCCCACTGCACCCCAGCCTGGGTGACAGAGTGAGACTCCGTCTCAAAAAAAAAAAAAAGAAAAAAGAAAAAAGTGACCTGGCGTGGTGGCTCACGACTGTAATCCCAGCACTTTGGGAGACCGAAGTGGGTGGATTGCTTGAGTTCAGGAGTTCAAGACCAGCCTGGGCAACAGGGAAAAACCCCGTCTCTGCAAAAATTACAAAAAAAATTATCTGGGCCTAGTGGTGCACACCTGTAGTCAGTCCCAGCTACTATGGAGGCTGAAGCGGGAGGATCACTTGAACCCAGGAGGTGGAGGTTGCAGTGAGCTGAGATCCTGCCACTGCACTCCAGCCTGGGCGATAGAGTGAGATCCTGTCTCAAAAAGAAAAAGAAAAAGAAAAAGGAAACGGTGCTTCAATAAATTAATAACACTGGAGATGTGAAATATATATAGAAATGGAACACATTTTACTGTATTAAGTTATATTTTAAAGAAAATGCAGTACCTATTGGTCTCCTCATGACATCATAACAATTACCTATATTTACTTACTATGTGACAGATGCTGTTTGAAGTACTTTCCATTTTTAATCTATTTTGATCTTCACAATAGCCCAATGAAGTAGGTACTATTATTACTGGTTCTATAACCTTCAATAATTTCTTTAATCTCCCTGTGGATAATAAGAGCTGCATACTTTGCAAGAAAATAAATGTGAAGAATCTAACAGATGTTCTAGCACCAAATAGATGCTTAACAAATGGTAATTATTGTTATTCTCTATTCCTTCCCAACTTTCAGTATAGAGCTGTCCAAGCATTAAGTACTCATGAAAGCAGTGCTTCTATAAACTCACATTGAAAGGGAATAGAAAAGAGGAGAAAAAATAATGCATAGGTTTTTTTTTCTCCATTTTTTGTTGTTGTTTGTTTGTTTGTTTAGCTTTTTTTATTTTTTTTTTTTTTGAGACAGAGTCTCACTCTGTCATCCAGGCTTGAGTGCAGTGGTACAATCTCAGCTCACTGCAACCTCTGCCTCCCGGGTTCAAGCAATTCTCCTGCCTCAGCCTCCTGAGTAGCTGGGATTACAGACGTGTGCCACCATGCCTGGCTAATTTTTGTATTTTTAGTAGAGACAGGGTTTCACCATGTTGGTCAGGCTGGTCTTGAACTCCTGACCTCGTGATCTGCCCACCTCAGCCTCCCAAAGTGCTGGGATTACAGGCATGAACCACCACACCTGTCTTGTTTAGCTTTTTCTTCATTTCTTGTAGATCTTGTATCACCAGCATTGTGCTTATTTTCCCAACTCTTAGTATAAACATATCTTGACCTTCATATTGCACAATCACAAGTACTAAACAAAACAAAACAAAAACCAACAAAAAACCTTTGCATTTATTTCATCTATAGAAAGCAACTTTCCCTTTGAGAATGTAATTGCTAACATTTGTAATAATTCTTGAAAGTTTCCACAAAGCTGCTTGTATTTAAAATATTTTTGAAAACCATATGTGTGTGTTTGTTAAGTATGTGATGTATTTTTCCTTATCAAAAGCTGTTGATTGATATTTACATAAATATTTCATGTGAAAAGATCAGTCATTTTTCTGTGCTGCAGACATGCCTGGAAAAGGTCATTTTGCTTCTATTTGAGCATGCTAACTATTTGCAGAAAGATGGCAAAAATCTATTTGACTTCTGTGGATTTAGGTGCATCTTGGTGGGGCATACCACATTCCTCTATAGGCCCTAATTTAGACTGAGTTTGTTGTCAATAACACCAATTTGCCAAATAGTTAGTTGGGTATTTGAGCTTTCTGGATGACCAAAAATTGCGTACATCCCTATTGTCCAGGCAGAAATTACACGTTAGCAGTACCAAAGTAAGGAAATAAATCAAATACAATAAGGGATTAGGTTTGATTTTAAGAGGATATTTGATATTTTTCAGGATTTAGACCTCAGAACCACATTTACTAATTGTCTAAGTTCTCCTTCTGTTTTTCTGAGAAGGTTCTTGGTACAGTGCTGTGTGGAGCCATACTGGAATCAGAGGCAAAAGCAAAATGTGTGCCCTGGTGTACACCTATTAATATATTACCTTAGTTTGAACCAAGTAGAAGTTAATAAAAGCTCTACTATCAAAAGACATGACTATAAAGCTCCATGTTGCCCAGTATTTTCTGCACAAAATAATGCAGGGCTTGAAAAAACAACCTCTTTTTTTTTTTTTTTTTGGAGACAGGATCTCACTCTGTCGCCCAGGCTGGAGTGCAATGGTGTGATCTTGGCTCACTGCAGCCTCCCCTTCCTGGGTTCAAGCTATTCTTCTACCTCAGCTTCCTGAGTAGCTGAGACTACAGGCGCATACCATGCCCAGCTAATTTATTTATTTTTTGTAGAGATGGGGTTTCGCCATGTTGCCCAGGCTGGTCTCGAACTCCTAGGCTCAAGTGATCTGCCCTCCTTGGCCTCCGAAAATGCTGGGATTACAGATGTTAGCCACGGCACCTGGCCTCTTCCCCCATTTTAAAACACAATACCTGATGAATCTAGAAGTTCCCTCTTCCTGTCATGAATGAAGCCATCTTCTGCCTTTGGCTTCACCTGAGGGTCTCACATGTGTCGCATGAAATCAGGGACCAAGTTCTCTGGAGGTTACCTCCGCAACGTCTGTTCCATCTGTAAGATCCCTTTCCTTTCCACCATGAAGCACTATGAGCTCATTACTCTTTGTATGGAGCACTGCAAACACCTCCGGCTGCCTTCCCTTTTACAGTCAGTTGTAAACAATACCGCCAAATAATTAACATTTCTAAGATAAATTTCTGAGCATAATCACCAGAACTCCATGTCTTAGTTAACTGATCCCTTTTTTTTTAAGAAATTAAGTATACATTCCACTGCCAAACATTCAGTGGTCTCTCAATTGGGCACTGGTTTAAATTTCCAGCCTCTGGTTTAGCTATTCCCTGTACTGTAGCCAAACACTGTCCCTGTTCCTCATTCACATTGTAGGTTTTTAGGTTTTTATTTCTCTGTGACTTTGCCTTTTCTGATTCTCATCAGGATAACTTTTTTTTTTTTTTTTTTTAGACAGAGTCTTGCTGCACTCCCAGGCTAGAGTGCAATGACACCATCTTAGCTCACAGCAACCTCCCCCTCCCGGGTTCAAGTGACTCTTATGTCTCAGCCTCCCAAGTAGCTGGGATTATAGGTGCCCGCCACCACCCCCGGCTAATTTTTGTAATTTTTTGTAGAGACGAGGTTTCACCATGTTGGCCAGGCTGGTCTCGAATTCCTGACCTCAAGTGACCCAGCTGCCTCAGCCTCCCAAAGTGCTAGGATTACAGGTGAAGATGACACTTTTGTAAAGTCCATCTTAAATAAAAAATATTTTTTAAAGCTTTTCCTTACTTCCCTCTATGACCTGATATGATTTCTTCTTCTTTCAAACTTTTTGTTCTACTTTGGTGGACTCACTCTTACAAAATTTCTTATATTCTAACTTGCTGTACAATTATTTTCTTATCTAATATTTCCTACTAAATTTCAAATCCTTCCAGAATATGAGCCATGTATCTTCTCATCTTCTCATTTTTATATGAGGTACAGGATCCAGTGCAAAGTTATAAATATAATAGAATACAAAAAATTTTCCTAATTCACTATTGCCTAAATTTCTCCAATCATCATCATCCTGGTAAAAAGTGAGATTCTTCACAATTCCCTGGGTGATTCTGACTCATTAGATTTAAGTGGAGGCCCAGGAATCTATATTTTTAGAAGCGTTTGAAATGATTTTGATGATTAACACAATTGGAAAGACACTGGCTTAAATGAATTCAAATTATTTATGTATCCTGATTACTGTTTGAAAAGAATTATTTATGAGAGAGGCTAGATCCTTCATGTGTTTATTTATTGAACAGAACGTATTTAGAAAGTTCTGTACAGGTAAATAGGATGTTAGAGTTTGTTAACATCTTCACTAGAAGTTTCCTGAAACAAATGTTCTCTGTTTTGTTTTATTTCGCTCTTTCTGGCATTTATGAGATGGCGTTTTGCCATGATGGTGTTTGACTAGTGTGTTTTCAGAGTCTGAGCTGGGAAGGCAACAATTAGAGAAGGAATGTTGGGGCTTGGGAGAAAAGAGAGTCAGCTATAGGGTGAAATGTCTGAAGACTGTTTTTCTGGAATCACATGTGCCCTTTGGAGCAATGTGCAACCTTGAGTGAACTGTGATTTGGGAGAAAAGGTGCATGGCCCTAGACCTCTCACTGACCTCTGCTTGGCAGTTTTAGGCTGCTGGCAAGTGCTCTGCAGGCAGAGCCCACGGAGTACTGTTCTCAAGATGAAGCCCACAGGCTTTTGTCTTGATGCTGCAGTCAGCACTGAGGGGATGCTGGAAGCTGCACCTGTGGATCCTGTTGCTGGCCCTGCCTGCCTTAACTAAAGGCATCAGTAGGAGGAATTTGCTCTTTTATGTACAAATAAATATGTTCATTAATTTAGGGCAAAAATGAGAATTTCCTTTCAAGAAAAAGATTACAAAAGAAAGCCCTAGGATTAATGAACATAAATGATCTCCTTGCAGTAATGTTTCTGAGTATAACTTGTGTAATGTGTTTGGAATGAAATCTACCAGGGAAAGGATAGCTTCTTAATTTAATTGGCCCTGCTGGCAAGGATACTATTAATGAAGCAGATGTCTCTCTTTCAGTCTCCCTGAGTGCTTTTATAGCAAGTAAAATTCCTTTTCTTTGATCAGAAATAGGGTAGTTAACACATCTTCAGGAACTGGGCTGCTGCTCAATTTTCCGATTTAATTTTAATGATTTTTTTCTTAGCAGACTTTTTCCATGAAGAAGGGGTTTCTCTCAATATGTTGAGCCCTGAACAGTGTATTTCTCATTCTCTTTAAATAGTACTGGTTTGGAAGCTGTGGAGATATCTCCTGATTTAAGCTTGTATTTGGATGTCCACATGCTTCAGTGATGCCCTCAATAGTGATGTTCTGGAAGTGCATTTGTAAGAGAAGAATTGGGGTAGGGGTAGGTGGAAAGGGCTGGGATCTTAGATCGTGATGGAGTTGGGCTCGTACCTCAGGTGACTTTGGGCAAGGCACTCCACTTCTGTGGCACAGTGAAAGAAGACAGTACTTGACTCCCTGGGTGATCTTGAAAATTCCGTCCTATACCATTTGCAAAAAATGTCTGAATATCCACTTTGTGTCAAATAATAAGTAAGATGGTGCCTGGCCGGGCACGGTGGCTCACGCCTGTAATTTCAGCACTTGGGAGGCTGAGGTGGGTGAATTACCTGAGGTCAGGGGTTTGAGACCAGCCTGGCCAACATGGCAAAACCCTGTCTCTACTAAAAATACAAAAATTAGCTGGGGGTGGTGGCGGGTAGGTGCCTGTAATCCCAGCTACTTGGGAGGCTGAGGCATGAGAATCACTTGAACCTGGGAGGTGGAGGCTGCAGTGAACTGAGATCATGCCAGTGGACTCCAGCCTGTGTGAGACAGCCAGATTTTGTCTTAAAAAATAAAAGATGGCGCTTGCACTCAGGAACTTACAAACATGTGGGAAGATCAAGATGGAATAATTCAACATAAGGTCTAGAGAAGTCAACTATTTGTTCAGTTTCCAGGAACTGTGACACCTAACCTCACTTTTATGAGCAGAAAGCAATTCTAGACCACCCAGGGCCTTTTTGAAGAAAGGTATAGCACTTTAACCCAGCTGAAAATTGATGGTAAGTCTCTCTCATATGAAGAGCAAAAAAATTCTAACTTTCCAGTGAAACATTAGCAGTGCTTAAAATAAGTCAATAGTAAAATAAAAGTAACAAGCATTTTAGAATAATAGAATATGTCACTAATGCTTTAGAGATGAGTTTCAGCTTTGCAACATTTTCCAAATACCGAAATGCTTGTGCCTTTGCAATGTGAACAAATTATTTATTGTGCTTGTTTTGCTATTTTCTGATTACTTGTATACTTCTGGGCCACCTTTAGAACAGATTTACATGGTGATACCTCTAGATTTTCTTGATAGAGTGCTTCCAACCTGGAAAACTCAGGACTAATAGGCCTCAGTTTGTCAAATCACATTGCAGCAGGGCCAGGATTAGGGTGCAGGGAGTGAGGCAGAATCATGCACATACAGTGTCAGACCCTATCTGTAGCGGGCCAAATGATGTCCTCCAAGGATGTCCAAGATCCCGTCCCTGGAGCCTGTGAGCATATTACCGTACATGGCAAAATGAACTCTGCAGGTGGGATTAAAGGACATTTAAATGGGAAGATTATATTGGATTATCTGTGTGGGTCTAGTGTAATCACAAGGATCCTTAAGAGGGAGAGGGAGGCAGGAAGTCAGAGTAATTCCATGTGTGAAAGACTCAACCTACCATTACTGGTTTTGAAGATGGAGAAAGGGGGCCAGGAGAAAAGAAATGCAGGCAGCCTCTAGATGCTGGAAAAGAGCAGGAAGACAGATCCTCCCCTCAAGCCTCCAGAAGAAATGCAGCTCTGCCGACGTCTTGTTGTTAGTCTAGTAAGATTCATGTCAGACGTCTGGTATGCAGAACAGTACAATTATAAATGTATGTTGTTTTACACAAATAAATTTAAGGTAATTTGTTAGGGCAGCCGTAGAAAACTAATTCACTAACTTTATTTAAAATTTTGATACTGTGCTTATCATGGATTTTTTTACATTTGTTTTGATTTTTTTTTTTAGAACATTGCACTACAGTATTATTTATCTTGCTTATTGAGTTTTCTGCAGCCAAGCTGAGAGCCTCCCCCTAGGTTTGGTCCTGCAGTGCAGGCTCAGTTTTGCCCCAGGATACTTCGTTGCTGGTAGCACTGGCAATGTTAGTGCAGCCTCATGTAGAAACATGATCTGCAAATTTGTAGACCGGATCACTTGTCACTGCTCCTTGTTCAACCTGAAGAATGTGTTCAAGTCTTAACTGAGACTACAAGGAAGGGTTCGCTTTGACTCTGGCAAACTATTTATCATGAATGAACATTAGCAGCAATGTGACAAAGAACATATAAGGAAGAATTGTTCTGTGGAATACATTTTAAGCTTGGAGATGTTAAAACTGAATCATCCAAGTGTATTTCTGACACTGAATTTTATACTCTCATTTTATCACCTGTAGGAAGGACCTTTTCAACCTAACTCAGTATCAATTATTTACTTACTTTGTCTGGGTATAGTATCTTCTATTAGTTAGGCAACCCTGAGGTTAAATTCCAGACTTGTCTCATAGGCTGTCATCCTATAACTAGTGAAAGATCTAGTTCATTTTTTTTTTTTTTTTAGTTAGCAAAATAGTGTATGGTACCACGGTCCAACACAAATAACTAACATGCATGGAGAAAAACAACAAAAATAATAGATAAAACAACAACAGCAACAACATCCACCATGTATAAAGTACTCAATTTTCACATAATCCTCCAAAGAACTCTACAAGCCATGTTCTGTTATCCTCATTTCCCCAGATGAGAAAGTCGAAGCTTAGAGAGACAATAACACACAAAAATAACTAACACTTAAATAGAATTTACCATGTTGCCAGGCACTGTTCTAAGGGCTTTACTAGCTCCTTTAATCCACAGCGCCCTAATGGGCATTGTCTCATTTTGCAGATGAGGAAACTGAGGCATACAAAAGTTCATAGGCTTAAATGGAGACGTTAACTTACTTATAGTCATGCTGATGGTGAATAAATTGAGAAATAGAAATTCAAACTCAGATCCATCCAATTAAAAAATGCCATGCTCTTTTTACCATGCCAGTTGCCTCCTAGAACCTTAAACCGGAGTCTCACTAATCTAACTGGTCTCATTACCTTAGCCACTCTCCCCATTCCCTGTCATGATCATGTCATCTGCCTTTTTACAAATTCCAGGTACAGCTCTGGTCAGCTCCCTGGGAGGGGCGGACAGAGTCACTTTGCCACTGCCAAGGGCTCAAAGCAATGTCTGGGAACACCACACCCTGAAAGTCCCTTCCTCCTACGACTCCCTTGCTTGCTTCTAATCCTGGCAGTACATGTGGCAAAGGGGTAAACTGCTTTTCCCAGAAAAAAATTTATGATCCTGACAGCATGACTTAGCAGATCTTTATTGCCCTACTGCCTTGGGAAAGGTATTATCTGACCAGGGTGGGTAGTGATAATGCTTTTACATCAATAGAATCTATCACAGTGTTAAAGTACAGTCCATAGAATTTGTTTTATTCTACTTAGCAACATTTCAGGATATCTTTAAGGGGACACTTTAGAATGAAGGTCATTTTAAAAAATTCAACTCAGAGTCTATGATTTACCTGTAAGATATCTCCTTTAAGTTTTATTCAAATGTGAACGACTTTTGAGTCTTAAAAGATAACTGATTAATATTAGGTACTTTAATGACACATTTTAAATCTTTCTATTCCTAGTTGATTGTAATCTTAAATTTATTTCAAAGGGTTTATTGTAGGAAGTAAAGATTCTGTCAATTTATATTTTAAATTAATTTAAAACTAACAATGACCATGACATTTTTCTGAGATGAAACTCTTGATAACGTATGTTCTAGGATACATATTTGATTTTATATACATCAAAATATATGTTCATTTGGATGATTCTATTTCTATGCATTTAACATTTATGAATGATGGAGGATATCAATGTCATAGCTTAAAACACCACCAAGAAACAATGCAAGAAACATTGAAAAAAAAAAAAGTTTGACCAGGAGTCCAAACACCCGATGTTTGTTTCTCCCGTCACTAGCTATGAAATCATAATACTCTGGGTCTCAGTTTCCTCTTCTTTAAAATGCAGTTAATAAAATATGTCCTTCCTACTTTATAGGGTTGACTTTAAGAAAAAAATTAGATAACATAAATATAATTTGAAGAGAAATAATGTAACCTCCTCTATGTAATTTAAACTATTGAAATTTATCTTTATGGTGTCTGTTTCTTAGGGACTACATACACTCATTTCATTTACACATTTTAGTCACATCATAATTTGCATCATGCATTGTATATTTGTATTTCTTGCATATATAGAACAAGTAGCCATGACAGGAAAAGCATCTGTTGTCAGGAGAAAGTTTGACGTTTTGAGGTATACTGGATTAGGATTTGGGGGCCTTGGCTTTTGCTCCATGCTCTGTTACCTGAATGGCTACACTCTAGTTCTATTGCCATTAGAGATCGTTTTACCTCTCAGGGTGCTGGTTCTTTCCTAGGTGAAAATCAGGGGGATTGTATGAAATAGAATCTGAAAAGTCCTCTTCAGATCTATTCAGTCTTTTCTGCTGCTTTACATTTTTAGGTTTTAATGTCAGTTTTGGCTATCAAGGAGGAGATTAAAGAGCAAATGCATTATTATCTCTGTGTTTTAGTTAAAAATATAGTTTCCTAGGATTCATTTACATACTTTAAATTTGTCAGTAGCTTCATTAAACTCATGTTTAGTATAATTTAAAAATAGTTAACATTTATTGAGCATTTCCTTTGTACAATGTCCATCAATGATAGACTGGATTAAGAAAATGTGGCACATATACACCATGGAATACTACGTAGCCATAAAAAAGGATGAGTTCATGTCCTTTGCAGGGACATGGATGAAGCTGGAAACCATCACTCTGAGCAAACTATCGCAAGGACAGAAAACCAAACACCGCATATTCTCACTCATAGGTGGGAATTAAACAATGAGAACACATGGACACAGGGTGGGGAACATCACACACTGGGGCCTGTCGTGGGGTGGGGGGATGGGGGAGGGATAGCATTACAAGATATACCTAATGTCAATGACGAGTTAATGGGTTCAGCACACCAACATGGCACATGTATACTAGGTAACAAACCTGCACGTTGTGCACATGTACCCTAGAACTTAAAGTATAATAAAAAATAAATAAAGCATTTCCTTTGTATAAGGTTCTTTGATAAACACTTTTTTTACATTATATTATTTAATACTAAAAATAACCCTAAGCAGTAAATGTGATGATTAGCTCTATTTTAGAGAGGAGGAGATTGAACCTAACAGAGACTACATAAATTGCCAATGTAACACATTTGCTAAGTTCCATGTAGTGTTTGAATCCAGACCTTTGTTCTACATTACCCCATATAAAAGAATATACTTCATTTCAGTGTATTTTGTGAATTATCAAATGAGAAAGGCTTTCTTATATTAACCAAACAGTAACTCTCTGTCTTAAGATATGAAGGGCTATATTTGAACACCTGGACCTAAATATTCCTCACCCAAAAATATGACCAAAGAAAGAATTTGGAAATCCTGACTTTGAAGTAACAATGATACCTATTCTTTGTTTAGAATAGCTGTAGATCTCCCAAATTATGTGTTTTTAAAGAAATTTTACCTTAATCATGGACTGAATAATTATAGTCATATGATATGTAAATTACACATATTTATTGTTACCTTATATTCCACGCTCAACATGGGAAAGGAGAGAGCATTTACACAGCAAAATCAGTGAAAGAAGACAATTCATGACATTTTCTTTCATGGTAGAATTAGAAATTAGGATAAGGTATGAGGTTAATTGATTTATGTCTCCATGAAACCACTATGTAAACACAACTTTAGGTGAATATATTAGAGTAATGTTTGATTTTTAATTCTATCCAGTAGAGGGAGATGGCATGTTAACTATTACATTGCAATTTATATGTCCATATTTTTAATAATTTCTTACAGAATCCTAATAGGTAAAATCTGGGATAAGCAAATATTTTGATCTTTAAAAGGCTTTGGAAGTGATATGAACTTAGTTCTCATAGGGAGTTAAATCAAATAAAGTTAACTGACTTTATTTGATTGTAATAAAGTTATAATACAATACTTCAGATTTACTTGTGGATAAATGGAGAGAGTCTAAAATAATTTCATAGGGAGGTTAGAAAAGGTTTCCTTTACTAGTTAATAACTTTAAACAATTTCACCACATCCATCTTATGTTATCATAAACAATGTGGAAGGCTCTACTTTAGGTGTAAATCACAGGTATGGCAGCTGTGTGGTGCTCATTGGTGACTGGCATGATTTCTCCTTACAATGTGGAAAATAGTCACCCTCAGTCAGGATTCTTTTATCCTTGAAATCAACGATCAAATGAAATCAAATGATAGACCTTTGGCTAATAGCAGTATTTCTTTATCTTCATAAAAATTTAAATATCTTATGAAAATTATAATTGTTCTTGACACAAATCAATACTGAAGTGAAAGTGCCAGAACTTAGACATGTAGAAAAAGAAACCAGTATGCAGGAGTTGGAAAAAAAAGAAAATAAAACTTTCAATGAAGTGAAAATACCAGAAGTAGAGTCCTGGTATGCAGTAGCTCATATATTTTTTTTTTTGACCAGTTGAAGAATTTTTTTTTTTAAATCACTTTCTTGGTTCCTTCTTTAATAGAACGATTTTTAAATATAAAGTTGAGATGAATAATTTAAATGTTTTCTTAAATGGCAGTAGAAATATAAATGAGTCATTTAAGAACTCTAGACCTCATCAACCCAATTACAACCATTTAAGCATTCAGTTAACAGTCTGAAGTAAATTTTCTTCTGTCTTCCCCTCTTCTTTCTGGTAAGTGCTCTGCCAGCCTCTTCATCTCCCCAAAGGCGGCAAAACAAATACTATCAATGAGCAACTTTCATTGTTGCTCTCTAACTGAACTTAGTGCAGATTGTATCTGAATAGTTTGCCTGTACAACTTCTAGAACATTCTAGAAAAATATTGGTGAGGCTACAGGGCCTGGGTGATACCTATGAAGAGTACTCACTCAAAGGCAAAGTTGGACTAATTCACCATATCTCACCTGGGGCTACAACTAGAACATTTTATTGTTATTGATTTTATGTTTTTGTTTCTGCATGAAGCTGCTACACAGAGAAGTGATTCTCACATTGGAGAGCACTGACTCCCAGAATTTTACCATGTTACTAAGATGTTTTTAACATGATCTACATGGATGCTGTTTCTTTGCCTTCCGAGGCTGATTTTACTTTGGCTTTGGGTTAACTTCCAGAAGCATCCACAAAAGATTGGATCACCTTAAGCATGTTGTGACATTTTTAGTTTTAATACAATTTTTGCGGGTCACTTAAAGTGTTTATATCATATAGCAGATAGGATGTCATTCAAGCATGCTTATCAAATATTCTTTTTCCAAAACCTTTTTTCTCTTTTATTTCAACAATCAGAAATTTTCTCTCATACCCAACTACCCCAAGTGTGCTTCCTATATATCAAGGACAAATTAATTTATTGCTTTCTTCTTGAAGAACTTTATTATTTTAATACCTTTATTTAACTTATGCTTTCTATTATGTATGAGTGTTTCTTGTACTTCCTGGTTTTAACCAATAGTCCAGTATGAAAAGTATGACTGAATATATAAACATGATCTCCTTGGTCTTAAACTTGTCTTGGCCTATGAATGACTAGAATTAACTAGGAAGTTTTAAATCAATATTCAGACAAAGCAAAATGAAACAAACCCACTAATTTTGGATGGGCATCATTTTTGTAAAACTAGTTAAATTCCCTTCGTGTGTGAATTTCGATTATTTCCCCACTTTCTATTAAATTTTGCATTACGTAAATCATGCCCTAAATTACACAACTTACTTTACCAATTTAAAAAATGAATTGGGGCTGGGCATGGTGGCTCACGCCTGTAATCCCAGCACTTTGGGAGGCCGAGGTGTGTGGAACACCTGAGGTCAGGAGTTCGAGACAAGACTGGCCAACATGGCAAAATCCTGTCTCTACTAAAAATACAAAAATTAGCAGGTTGTGGTGGCGGGCGCTTGTAATCCCAGCTACTCAGGAGGCTGAGGCAGGAGAATCGCTTGAACCTGGGAGGCGGAGGTTGCAGTGAGCCAAGATTGCGCCACTGCACTCCAGCCTGAGTGACAAGAGTGAAATTCTGTCTCAAAAAAAAAAAAAAAAAAAGAAAGAAAGAATTGGAATTTTTGTAACCTTAACAGTACACATAGTTTTAGCACATTTGATTTATGACATGTAATAGAAAAAATTGGGGGCATATATCTACATTATTCTGGAAGATAATTTGTAACAAACAGCGTGGCATATGAAAGGGGACTTCTGAGAATGCTTAGGCATGAGATTCAAACCTTGATTAAACCCTTTGGTTGTAAATGGTTTTTGGTCTTTCAATGACTTATGAATTTCTCGTCCTCTTTCTTGTTTCATACTCTTTGCAGTCACATTGTGTCACATAGCATGGAATGGAATGATTTTATTACAATGCTTGTTAGTATAATTGATTGTGCTAGACTTAATGAACAATGCTCTCAGTGGATATTTCAGGTTGATTTATAGTGCTTTTTCTTTTTAAGCAAACATGGAACAAAGTCCATGGAGCTTCCTCTCATTGCTCATAAACATGGCCTGCTTAACATGTAGTGGAAAGAGCATATAATTGGAACTCAAAAGACCCAGGCCCAGGATTTATTTATTCCACTGGGTCCTAATTGTGTGGCATTGGCTATACCACTCTGCCAATCAGAAATTCAACTTCCTTTTCTGTAAACTGTGAATAACAATTGCTTGATCTGTTGTCTTAAGTTAGGCTCACATGGAAGAGTTCTTTGTACACTCTAAAATGCTTTATTATCCTAACTTCAAATTAAGAGAAGCATACTATTCATGCTTCACTGATGATCAAGATAAACTTACACAATAATTTTACATTCTTGATAAAAGTCACAATTTTTCACCCTGCATACTTAAAACAATTTCCTGTGAGCTGTAAAATTTGAGCCATTTAAGGAGTTTTGCTATTATACTCTATCTGGAAGCACTACAGGATTCTTAAATTTGCAAGCAGACACGCCTCGTTTCAAATTCTGGCTCTACCACTCATTAGGTATAAGACTTTGAGCAAATGTCTTAATCTTGTTGGAAGTCTCCATTTTCCTTGGAAAGGTGATCCTAGTACCCACTTGATGAAGCTGTTATGAGAATTGAGCGAGCTAGATTTTCAAAAGCACTCAGCACACAGCATCAGTGAAAGGTGGCTGTTTTATGACACTAGGGAGGACAATGCATAATATGAGGAAGGCAGATGACTGTTGACACCTGACCCAGGCCATCCAGTTATTAGAACCCATCTGAACCACTTCATGGGATGCAGTGGAGACAGGTAAGGTCTTAGTAATTGGCAGTTAACTATGTTATCAGTTATTACAGATTTTTCTCATGCCAAATATATATAAATCAACAAAAATATTCTTTTGTTGGCAAAGACAGCTTTCAAAATGAGCATGAATATAATAGAATTGTTTTCTGACTTCTTTCAAAAGGAGTTTGACAATGTTTTACCAGTTTAGATTTTAAACTTGGTATTATATAATGTTTAAAACCTCAGTTTTATTCACAAATTGCTACATCTGTGGTCATTCCTAAGTAAAGTTAACCTAGTGAGGAAGGTGTTAATCATTAAAAATTGAAATAAGTGGCAAGTGATATCATGATCAGAGTATCTCATTCTTATGGTCAAAGGTTATCTCTCCTCCTCCTTGCCCCTGACACGCTGGAGATTTTCATAATACTCAAACATTTATAAACTAACCCAATGTAATTTTTCTCAAATATGTGTAATATTTGCTCATTTGGAAACTTTCAATCCTCTGGCTCTTGTCTTTGTTTTCCCATTTGCCAGTCTTTTGGAGCATTTAACAGTCATTAGTGTGACATGACAGGGTGGGGAAAAAACATAAGAGATCAAAATTAAAATCAGTCTGACAGTCTCATACATCAGCCTGACAATGTGAGTCACCACAGGGGCTTTGTAGGAAAATGTAAAAACTCCCAGACTCTTCGTTCAAATTCTGCTTCTAGTTCTGGCCATAAAGGAGATATTTTACAGGGTGTATGTTCGTTTGGCATAGGAGGAGAAATAAATCAGAGGATGGTCTATTTACTAGGGAGAGGCACCCTCCCATGAAGTCAGTCTTTTCCAGGCTAAACCATGGGATTTCCTGAAGTAGAGGAGCAGAGAACCAAGCAAAACAAGAGTAAGATGGGTGGTGTAAAAGCACTCTGGAGGAGTAGACAGGGAAAAGCAGGAGAAAATCCACAGCGTAGCACAACTCACGGTGCCAGCCTACCATGCTTCATAACTATGTGCAACTCCAACAAGACTGCATAGAAAAGAGAGAGAGGAAAGAGAGAGAGAGAGATAGAGAGAGAGACAGAAATAGAGACCACAGAAGAGGCACTAACAAGTCCAGAAGAAAATGGATCCAGGATAATGCAAGACACACAAATCAGCAACATAACCTTAAAAATATAATGGTGCAGCAGCAGCATTGCTGGAAATGGAGAGGGCTAGGAACAGACTGAGATTCACATTTAACCATCTAGGATTAAAAGGTGATCCTGAGCATGCTATGGAAGGATGTGTCAGTGGTCAAAGGTTAGGTCGTATTCATTAGAAGGCACTTGGAAGTAGTTGTAATGTTTAAATTAAATGTTTAGTAAATTCACATATTGCTTTTTTTCCCTATAATGTATACTTAAGTAATAATAAGAAAGTCTTTTATTCAAATTTTAGTCTAAGGATGAGTGAATATATCAAAAATAGGGAAACAGTAGTGTATCCATTTTCTAGTTTTCTGCACCTACTTTCTGTTGCAGTGTTTTTTCAGTGTAAGGTATTCAAATAATATTTGTTGAATTGAACTAAATTGAAGGAGAAATTTCTGAGCTTTGTCGTTTTACCTCTTTGGCATCTGTATAAGTTTTAATTTCATTCTCAGATGCCTACTGGCTCACTCAGTGTTAGGGTCTTCTGGGTCAGATGCTCCTTGTGGGAAGTTACGTAGTTTGGAAGCCTGGAATGTGTTGTTTATGCTAATGAACACACAGCTATCTTCTCCTCTACGATGAGATTGTCATTCAACTGTCAAACAGTGCTTATCCCAGGGCTGCTTTTTATGTATTTAAAGTCTAAAGAGATATCCTAAGCTCCTCTATAAGGACTCCTGAGATGTAATTATGAGTCAGTTAAATTTGTTTTTTTGTTTTAAATCATATTTCCCCATATTTTATTTATCTAAGACCAAGCACAATGTTTTCTTTATTCCCTATCTCTTAGATAGAGTTCACTTGCTTGCCAACAATAAGTCATCAGAGCCCAGTAAACAATATCCGTATTTAGCTTCCTCTCATTAGTTTGTCTGTTTTCTATCAGTCAAAGAGGTGTCATGTTGCAGACAGATCAACATTGCTACAAGATTCTTTTTACCTTTGATTGCTAAGAGGGGTAGAATAGGGTAATTCAGCAGAGTATGCTTTTAAAATTATTTACATGGGCAGTTTAAAAGCATTTTAAGAATCTGTTAATAAAGGCTATCAGTGGAACTAGGTGAATGGTAAGTGTATTTATATGTTAGACATGGTGGGTCTTTATTACTGTGCTCTTTCTTGTAGACTAGGATTATCTCTGCTATATTCACTCAAGAAACATTCATTAAGTAGCTACTATGAACTAGTTTTGGGCTAAGTCATAAGGATTAAAAAATGAACACAGAAATTCAGAAGATACCTTCCACATGCTTCTATAACCAAGTCAAGGGATCTACCTGCATTTTTACATGAATATTCTAATTTTCTTCCGGTTACAATAAATGAATTATATATAATTCTGTCTATCTTGATCTAATCCTCTTTCTTTTTTCAAGAACTTTGTTCCTGCTTTTGCCCCTTCTATCATAAATTTTCCTTCTTTATTGCATCCTATCTATTAGAAAACAAACATGCTGTAGTATATTTCGTGTTTGGAAAACCCACTCCAGACCACTTGTTCTACTTTATAGCTTGTTAAAAGAGAATTTTCAAAAAAGACAAAGGTATGGCTCTTCTACAGCTATAAAAGAGCAAATGTTAAACATTTTATTTAACATATTATTATGGGAGGATCAGGAAGATATTACAAGCAGTCATAGAAGAATCCAACCACATCACACTCATTAGTATGGTCACTATCAAAACAAACAAACCAGAAAATAAGAAGTGTTGGTGAGGATGTGGAGCAATTGGAATACTTGTGTGCTGTTGGTGGGATGTAAAATGGTGCAACTGTTATGAAAAACAGTATAGTGATTCCTCAAAAAATTAAAGTAGAATTATTGTATCATTCAGCAATTCTACTTCAGGCCATATACTCAAAAGAATTAAAAATTAAAAGCAGGGTCTTTAAGAGATATTTGTATACCTGTGTTCATAGCAGTATTATTCACAATAGTCAAAACGTAGAAGTGTCCACTGATGAATGAATAAACAAAATATGGTGTATATACACACAATGGAATATTATTCAGCCTTGAAAAAGAAGGCAATTCTGACATATGCTTCATTGTGGATGAATCTTGAGGCCATTTTGCTCAGTGAAGTAAGCCATTCACGAAAAGCCAAATACTGTATGATTTCATCTCTGTGAGGTACTTAGGGTAGTGAACTTCATAGAGAGATAGTAGAATGGTGGTTACCAGGAGCTATAGGTAACCTACAGGGGAATGGGGAGTTATTGTTTAATGAGTACAGTGTTTCCATTTTGCAGGATGAAAAGAGTTCTGGAAAGGGATGGTAGTGATGGTTGCATAACAGTGTGCCATGTACTTAACACTACTGAGCTATATATGTACTTAAAAATGATTAAGATGGTAAATTTTATGTATATTTTACCACAATCAAAAATAAATTTAAAAATAAAAGAAAAAGGAAAGAGGAAGGCAAAAAAAGTTAAGGAAAAAAAGATGTTAAGGGGAAAAATAATATGAACAGAGACATATATAGGGATTAGGAATTTTTTTAACTTTTAAAACTAATTTTTTTAAAAATTGACAGATGACATCGTATTTTTTAAACATGTACAACATGATGTTTTGAAGCATGCATACATTGTGGAATGGTTAAATCTAACAACTGCGTTACCTCACATAGTTAACAATTGCATTACCTCACATCCATCCAGCATACCATTTTTGTGGTGAGAGCATGTAACAACTGCTCTGTTTACGTTTTTCAAGAATACAACATATCATCCTTAACTATAGTCACCTGGCTGAACAATAGATCTCTTAAATTTATTTCTCCTGTCTAACTGTAATTATGTATCCTTTGATCAACATCTCCTTATTCCCCTTTCTCCCCATAGTCATTCAGCCTCTGGTAAACTACTGTTCTACTCTCTACTTCCATGAGATCAACTTTTTCAGATTCCACATGAGTGAGATGGTGAGCTATTTGTCTGTATTAAGGACACTTAATATCCATAGTGTTGCAAATCGCAGGATTTCATTCTTATGGCTGAATAGTACTTCATTGTGTATATGTACCACATTTTCTTTAGGTCTCCATTTATTGATGGACATGTAGGTTGATTCCATATCTTGGCTATTGTGAATAGTGCGGCAATCAACATGGGAATGCAGATATCTTTTTGACATACTGATATCATTTCCTTTGGATAAATACCCAGTAGTGGGATTGCTGTATCATATAATAGTTCTAAATGTTAATTTTTGAGGCATCTCCATACTGTTTTTCATAATGGCTGTACTCATTTATATTCCAACCAACAGTGTACAAGCGTTTTCTTTGACCTACATCCTCGCCAACACTTGCTATCTTTAGTTTTTTTGATAATAGCCATTCTGGGGTGAGGTGATATCTCATTGTGGTTTTAGTTTGCATTTCCATGATGCTTAGTAATATTGAGCATTTTTTATCATATACCTATTGGGCATTTGTAGGTCTTCTTTTAATAGACATTTAATAAATGTGCAAATAGAGGCAAAAATGGCTTCTTCTGCAGTGAGAGAAGAAAGTCAATAGATCCTCTAAGGGACAGAATTTGTTTCCATATCCACAGACAAGAACAATTTTTTGCATTGTCATCATTTATGTATAAGAGACGAAGTTGTAAAATAGCCCCCATAGAATCAGAATTAGAGAACCTGGAAGAGTGTGCTCTAACCAATGCACCATTTTCCAGCAAAGCACATTTTTTTTTTCTACAAACGAAACTCTTGGAACAAGTAGACTACACTTTCTGTCATTCCCATGTATGGAAGAATAAAAATGGCCACAAGTTATTTGCAGCTCCTTACGTCAAGAGTTGGAGTCCATTGGCTGGGTGTGGTGGCTCACGCCTATAATCCCAGCACTTTGGGAGGCTGAGGCGGGTGGATCACGAGGTCAGGAGTTCCAGACCAGCCTGGCCAACATAGTGAAACCCCGTCTCTGCTAAAAATACAAAAAATTAGCTGGGCGTGATGGCGGGTGCCTGTAATCCCAGCTACTTGGGAGGCTGAGGCAGAAGAATCACTTGAATTTGGGAGGGGAAGGTTGCCGTGAGCCAAGATCGTGCCACTGCGCTCTCTCTAGCCCAGGCGACAGTGTGTGACTCCGTCTCAAAAAAAAAAAAAAAAAAAAATTAAAAAAACACAATAAGATGGAGTCCATTTTCTTACTCCTTAAATCTAGACTGGCCTTGTGACTTGTTTTGATTAATAAAATGTGGCAGAAGTGGCCTTGTGCAACTTCTGAAGATAGACCCCAGGAGGCCCTGCAGCTTCCACTCTCGCTGTCTTAGAAAGCTGCTGCCCTGTGAATAAGCCTAAGCTACCCTGCTGGAAAGACCACATGGGGAGGACCAAGGTGATCCAGCCACACTCTGCCAACCACCAGATATGTCAATAAGGCCATCTTATACCATCCAGTCCTGTCCAAGCTGTCAACTGACTATAGCCAATAAGTGAGTCTAAGTGAGAGCAACAGAGGAGATGTCTCGCTGAACCTAAGTGAAATTATCAACCACAAAATTGTGAATGAATAAATCACTTTTAAGCCACTAAGTTCTGGGGTAATTTGTTATTCAGCAAATATGGTAACTGATACAGATTTCACTAAATGGTACCTTAATTTTTCCAATTCTTCATACCCCAAAGTTTAGAGTTACCTTACCTATTCTCCTTTTTTAATATCCGGCATCTGACTTATTAGCAAGTACTCTCAGCTCTTCCTTCAAAATATATCCCAAACCTGACTATTCTTTTTGCTACTTTGGTTTGTTCTAAGGGTTATGTTTTTTTAAAAAAATAAAAACTTTTATAAAATAGAAACAAATACTATCATTTTAGCTTTAAATATATACATTTTTATTATATTTATAATGCTTACAATATTGTACTGTAATTAACTGTATAAATGTATTTTCCCCAAGTCTATAAGCAGTTTGAGGGCAGTAGCCACACCGTCCTCTGTCAAGCACATCACACATTATTTTTGTAGTGGTAGTATTATGCTAGGTACATAGTAGGCTCTCAAGGAATCTCTGCTAAATAAATGAGTGGAAATGAAAGATAATAACATAGCAATTAAAGGTCTTATTAACCCATTTATTCTGGAGGTTGCAATTTTTTGAATTTTTGCGTGAGTGAAAAATGAGACCTTGGTGATGAGCTTGAGCAGTGGGATATAAATAACCCACACATGCGTAGTGTTCCAGTGTATTGTGCATTTTCTTGACATTGATTTTCCTAAGACTGATAGTGTTATCCTATTCCTAGAAAGCCTCTGCATACCCTTAGGCATATTCTTAGTTCCTCTTGTGGCTTTTGGTGGTTTTTTGAGTATATATTTCTCTGCTACACAGATTCCATACTCCTTGAATGATTCACCCTTGTATCTCCTATGTCACTGGGTGTAGTACTTTATACAGAGTAGGTGTTAATAAATATTTCCTGAATATCACTGAACTCTGTAAACTCAGTATTAAAGTGGAAAGCTTCACTGAAAGGATGAAAAATATTTTCCAAAGACTTGAAAGTCCTTGTTAAAAATATGAGACACCAGCCAAATAAATACATTTATATACATGCAAAAAGAAAAAACAAGAAAGTAAGCAAACCAACCAGCAAAATACAAAAAAGCAAATGATTTTTTTTTTTTAAATCAGGGAAAAATAAGCTTTTTAGAACAGCAGGCTTTTTAAAAACATGCCAAATACATGTTCTTGAATAGTGTATTTTGTCTTCTCATCTTGTTTCCTCAACTCCTAAAATATTAGTGTTAAGAATTCATTTCACTATTATTGGAATATTAGACTTTTACACTTTTGGAAATATCTAGTAAATTCTGAAAATTGGAGACATGAATTAATTTAATCTTTGCACAGCATGATTACCTCTTGTTAAGAAAGATATGAGTATAAACATTCTTTAAAAAAGCCTAGTCAATACCAAACTTTCTTGTGATAGAGACAGAATCACATATAGTATATATTTTTAAGAGTGCATTGTTATCTCTGAAATGTAATTTCCTCAAATCACAAAACTTATAGTTTCAATTATCTTGGAAGTACCCATCTTTTAACTATGTGAGCTTCTGCAAAGCACCACAATGTCTGTAGAAGTGGAATTCCTACCCAAATATCTGTTCTCCTGAAAGGCTGAAGAGGCTTTCCAAGGACTATACTAATACAGAATTTAAGACAATCAATATGTTGATTCTCAGCTTCCAAGTGCACTCTTTGCTATAATTAATAAATAAAAGTTTATGACTCTTCTGTGATGGAGTACAAGCTTTCTCATCTTACCTCAGGTATAAAATCCAACTCAGGGACAAAGGAACATTACACTTACTGGGATTGATGTTGAGAATGTAGATGACTCTGTCGACCCAGTAACAGACACATCCTTTTGTAAGATGTGGCAGTTTCCAATTCTTTGCTTTCAAAAAGTAAGTAAATAAATAAAAGGAGCTCCTACTCAAACTGTTAACTGATTGATCTGTATAAGTTTTGTCACCTGACTCAGAAAGACTTGACATTGCTCTCACAAAAGGTCTTCTGTTCCCAACTTCCATGTGCATAAGTTTTTCAGTGCTTAGATTCAGAAAATAGGAATAAAATTGTTGTATTCTAGCTGTAAGAAATTTTCATTCAGATACATGAGCTAATCTTTTTTTTTAAATGATCACCTATTTGAATAAGTGTACGAATACAATTTTATTTTTAGGTTTAAAAATAGTCTATAATATATGTTATTTTGATTGTATACTATTAATAACTACAGTAACTCAATTCAGAAAAAATATTTTAACCCTTACAGCCTCATGGCTGTTACATATTGTTATGTATGACTGATATAAACTGTTAAATTTGATATACACATATGATAGGGTTATAAGTAAAATAATTTTAAGCTTAAAACATATTAAATAAATTTGTTGAGGTTGAACAGAAGTATCAAGAACTAGTTTGAGATCAAAAAGAAAAATGCAACACTTCTGACTGTTAAAGAAAAATTATTCCTGTGTTTTTAAATGGATAATTGGTATCAAATCACTGTGAAATAATTCAGAGGAAACAAGAAATCAGTTGTGTGGAAACAACACGTGCTTTGGGACTTCAGTAAAAATTTGAGAGTTCCTTAGCACAAGGGCTGCCTCTTACTCAACTTTATGTTCTCATGCCTAGCAAAGGGTCTGATTCAAATTGTAGAAAACATTTAAAAAACCTCTCCTCATGAGCATCATCTGTTTCCTACCGCTCAAGTCTGGTCAGCCTGCCAGTGCTAGACAACTGTGTCAGGAGACCACTGCCATGCCTGAGCTCAATCTGTTCCTTCAACCTGCAGCCCTGGAAACTTGATCTTCTATGAACCTTGTCACTGATTTTTTTATTTCTTTGATTTTTCTCCAATAGCATTATTTGCAATGTTGTGCAAAACCCAAAACCAAACCCAAACCCTCGCTTTAAGTGCTTGCTAGATAAGTGAAAATGGATAAGTAAAAATAAAAAGTGCATAAAGGAATGAATAAATGACAAACATAAGAATCTTTAAAGGAATGTATTAAAATGATATTTTCATAACTCAGCCTTAAGCTGGTTTATGAAACATATAAGTCATCCCAGAGCCGGCTTTTTAAAAATCCTGTGGTTTTATGTTGCATGGTTTCTATCGTGTCTCACTGTTGTAAAGACTGCATTTCAGAAGAGGCTAGATCACGCAACTCCAATTTAGTTTTACAAAATTAATGCAATTAGGGTGAGGAGAGCGATGCTGAGGCTATAAAATGAATTTAAAACATTTTTTTTTTAACTAGGAAAAAATTTCCAAGATCTGTTTAACAACTACAACAAAAATCACATACGAGGTGGGAGAGTGAAAATAATCACTAGTTTATATTTTATCGTTCAGTGGTTGATTAAAACCATGTTTTGCTGAAATTTGTATTTGCTTAACAGAGAACCATGCATGCTGTTGTAATAAGTTTGTTTTTACTTGCTACCAAAATATTAGTATTAATTTGGAAAAAAAATTAAAAAATATTTCAAGTGTACCATATAATACAGTACAGCACATACAATAGTCACAGAAATGAGATGAAGGAAATCAGTCTCTTGTAGCAATCAGGGAAATCAAGACTAATCAGGTGGAACTACTTTATTTCATTTACTTTTTCAGGGCTATTATATTAGAAAATAAATGGCAAGAGAAGAATTGATAGGACCATCAAGATTAGCCAATTTTCTTAGTAAAATAATTGTACACAGAATGATCCATAAAACATTGATTTAAGAATAAATATCTATATAGGAATTTTAAAATTAAAAAACTATGCCCTATGAGATTATTATAATAAAATCTGTAATCTTTGGGAAATCTAAAGAAGAAAAAGTACTTCAATCTGGAACAAGAGAAAAGGAAATGTTGGCTTTGGGTACTCTGTACAAATTGAATGCAAAACCATTAACTTTCATCAGTAGAAGATTCTATTTCACTATATTTCATTGGGATCAAAGGTATATGCAAACCTTAGTTATTTGTGTCAAAGACGGTTTGTGAGAAGATTTTAAATGTAATGATGATGCTGGTCAAACTTAGAAACCTTGGAAAAATTGTTAAGTCAGTGATATTTATTTTTGGGAGCTGGTCACAATCCCAAAAGACACAATCCTGAATGCCATAATTCCAAATTTTCAAATCCTGAAAGATCAAAATGCTGAAAATATAATTCTGGAAAAAATAATTTAAAAATTCCTTAAAAGAGACTGGCTTAACTTTTTTTTTCCTTAGAGACAGGGTCTTCCTCTTTGCCTAAGCTGGAGCGCATTGGTGTGATCATCGCTCACTGCTGCCTCAAACTCCTGGGCTCATGCGACCCTCCCACCTCAGCCTCCTGACTAGTTGGGACTACAGGTGTGTGCCACTACATTGGCTAGCTGTTTACTTACATTTTTCAAAGGACATTTATATAAGAAACATATGAAAACACAATAGAACACTTAAATAGTCTACTTGACACAACGAAATAGACACTAATAATACGTGTATTTTTGTAAGCATAAACAGGTATACTAATGACAGTCACACAGGCATAACTTTTATGAACAGACAAACCGTATTTATAAACACATAGGTCAAAAACTGAAATGTATAAATGCATATCACAATGGTTGGTAATTGTGTGCACTCAGCTTTGTAACTGCAAGTCATCCGAAATACTGCGATGAACACCTGAGACTTTTGACAAGATTGATCAAAAACCACTATGGGTTACAACTACATTATCACCACACCAGTTGCTTAAAGAGCCAAGATCTTGAGAAATTTTACCTTTTACAAATGCAGATGTACAAAAAGGACATCTCTTCATTTATTATGGAAATTTTAATCTTTTTATGTACATGCACAATGCTTACACACAGTCAAGATTGTGATAATGCATTTTTATGGAGGCAAATTTCTAAAAAAAGTACATAAATCAGAACTCTATAAAAGTCTACACAATTTATACCTCCAGTATTGGAAATGATGCAAAGATGAAATACATAGCATAGTAAATTATAAAAAAAAATGCTGACAATTTGAAATAGTGGGGAAAAACTAAAAGAAGAAAAAAACTAAAAAGAAATTTTGACATATGAAAAGTATATTACAGGGACAGATTGCATAGAGATAGTCCATAGGAGCTGGCCAACTTTCACCTAGCTAGCAGTTAACTGTATTTTGAAGTCTTACATCACAATGAATATCTGCTTTTTTCTCTTAGGACATGGTTCTCCTTGTATAATATGTTTACATTCATTTTCTGTGTGGTGCTGCTCTTTTTGCAACTCTTCTGATTTGATATACATTGATATTTTGTACAGAATTGGTTCCTTCCAGTGAGTTCTTGGTCTCGCTGACTTCAAGAATGAAGCCACAGACCTGTGCGATGAGTGTTACAGCTCTTAAAGATGGTGTGTCCAGAGTTTGTTCCTTCAGATGTTCAGATGTGTCCGGAGTTTCTTCCTTCTGGTGGGTTTGTCCTCTCGCTAACTTCCAAGAATGAAGCCGTGGACGTTCACAGTGAGTATTAGACCTCCTCAGGTTAGTGTGGACCCAAAGAGTGAGCGGCAGCAAGATTTATTAAGAGCAAAAGAACAAAGCTTCCACAACACGGAAAGGGACCCAAGCTGGTTGCCTCTGCTGGCTCGGGTGGCCAGGTTTTATTCCCTTATTTGGCCCCGCCCACATTCCGCTGACTGGTCCATTTTACACAGTGCTGATTGGTCCATTTTACAGAGTGCTGATTGGTGCATTTTTACAGAGTGCTGATTGGTGTGTTTACAGTCCTTTGGCTAGACACAGAGTGCTGATTGGTGTGTTTTTACAGAGTGCTGATTGGTGCATTTACAATCCTTTAGCTAGACTCAGAGTGCTGATTGGTGCGTTTTTACAGAGTGCTGATTGGTGCGTTTACAATCCTTTAGTTAGATGCAGAGTGCTGATTGGTGCGTTTACAATCCTTTAGCTAGACACAGAGCACTGATTGGTGCGTTTACAGTCCTTTAGCCAGACAGAAAAGTTCTCTAAGTCCCCACTCTACCCAGGAAGTCCAGCTGGCTTCACTTCTCAATATACGCATTCCCTATTTAATTTTCCCATTTTCTTGCGATGCTTCTGTGTTTTGGCTTTGTGGAAATCCATTCTGCATGCAATACAGAACACAAATTTGGCAAAAACAGTACTGGTGATCAAAAAGCAGCACTGTTGCATAAGTGTCTTCTTATCCTACTATGCACATAATTATTTTCAAACTAGTCAGTAACTTAGCTGGCTTCCTCAGGCAAATGCAGCTTTAATTTATTAAAAGCCCTGGAATATCATCAGCTGGAAGGAATGCCAACACAGGTAAATGAGGCATTTTTAAACTGACGTTTTCATTCTTGCCGTGTTGTGCAGGCAATCTACTCATTTGAATTTTTCTCCAAATGCATTGAGCTGAATGGAAAAAAACAAACTTTATTGGTAACACCCTGAAATCCACTCTTGGAAATCTTGATTGCACCTAATTCCAAATCTGTCACTATAGTTGGGGATTCAACTGAAATCCATTTTCTTCTTTATAAAGACAATAACAAGGTAATAGTTCTGCCTAACATGATGTGACTTTCCTGCGATGGTGATTTTCCAAATTTTAAATGTTTAGAATTTTAGATGATAGGGATTTAGATTTTAGAGATTTTGATCTTTTAGGATTTCAACATTCAGGATTATGGCACTCAGTATTGCGTCCTTTGATATTATGATCCAAACCCTTTCGCTTCATAAAAAACTGTGAAACAGCTTTTTCTGTGCATTAAAAAAAAGTTTCAAGGTGGAGTTTCTTACATTAAGAGAATCTTTTTAAAGAAAATGTGTGGTGGAGAAATTTTCGAGGAGGACATCTTTATCTAATCATTTCTAGTAAGCAAACTTTCTCTACTAGGTCAAGATCTAAGCAAACACACAAATGTGAACAACAGGGAAAGAACCCATTGACCTACCAAGACAGGCTGCCAACAGAATTTTGAAGGCTTGCCAAGATGCTTTTATGGAGGTAGAGTGAATGAGATTCCGTAAGTGCAAAATAATCCTTTTAAGACTACCCAGAAAGTAATATAAGTGAACTAGTTATATAAGATTCAGTGAGGACTACCAAAACATTGGGAAGAAATGTGGATTTTATCATTCAAGGAAATATAATTTTATTGTAAGATATAATCTTTGTTTTTGTAGTCAAATAGAAACATTCATGCCTTAATACAACGTTTGGTAAAAAGAACTGAAGAAGACACCATAGAAGATTTTAACAAACAATGAACTCATTAGCTAAAAGATTTGTCATGAAATAATGATTGATTTAGTTGTTTTCTAAAATATTTCTAGTGCCTATTAGATGTTGAAGGAGACTTTGATCATGAAGTGTGTTCTCTGAGGAGCTGCTATTTTTATTTTTATATTTGTTTGAAGTGAATTGTCCTGCTAATTCTTTAACATAAAATATCTTCAATTACATGATTCAACATTTTAAAAAGTGATTAAGACAGAAGAATATGTGCTGGGATTTATTTTTGGATCTTTGAAGTAGCAAAGAGTAGCAGAACTCCTTAATCCATAGAGTGGTTATTTTGCTGTATGATGACTCTTGTATTTACTCCCTGAATTACCCTTTCCACTAAAAAGTATTAATGAGACATTAGTAGGCTATAGAAAAAAATACTTCTGATCTACTTAGAAATATTCATGAGGTTTTCTCCTGGTGGATTCACATCAAATTTTATTTTTTAAAACCCCAAGTATTTTTATTTGATGATTAATAAGTAAGATGGAGGCTGGTAGGTGGAAATCGCCAGCAGGAAAATAAAATGCTTTGGCTAAGCCGACAACTGCTACTGTCCTCCTCTGTACAGACTCTCCTGCTGAAGACTCACGGAGGCTTATTTCAAGTCTTCTTTAGTTCATTACCTGCATGTTCAAATGGAGCTGGTACTGTGACTCACAGCTTTCTGTCCAAGAATGCGATTTGTACCTCTACAAATCTTCTACACCTTCTTCATCTAGTAAACACTTACTCTACAGGTCTCATCTCAAATCTATTACTATATGCAACTATAGTACATAAGCAAGCCATTTAAAAATGTTAAAGGAAGATATGCATTGATATGGGTTGGCTGTTTTCCCACCCAAATCTCATCTTGAATCGTAGCTCCCATAATCCACACGTGTCATGGGAGGGACCCAATGGAAGGTAATTAAATAATCGGGGTGGGTTTTTCCCATGCTGCTCTCATGATAGTAAATAAGTCTCATGAAATCTGATGGTTTCATAATATAAAGGGCAGTTCCCCTGCACATGCTCTCTTGCCTGCCACCATGTAAGATGGGCCTTTGCTCCTCCTTTGCCTTCTGCCATGATTGTGAGGCCTCTCCAGCCATGTGGAACTGTAAGTCCATTAAATCTCTTTTTCTTTATAAATTACCCAGTCTTGGATATCTCTTCATAGGAGTGTGAAAATGGACTAATAGATACATATAGGTACACATACATGTATACATAAAGCCATTCCAAAAGACTTTGCTTCCTGAAGTTTGTAAATGTAAACAAATTTATTGTACCATCATTTAGGTTACTACGTTGCTCACTAACATAGAAACAATATCTAAAATGGGTACTTATAGGGTTATTAAAATATAGTATGAATATGGCTACTGGAAAAAAGTCAAAGATATATTTTGAGGCCACTACTCTACGTCTCTTGATGTTCTCTTGTACACATTTGATATTGCACAAAAGCCAAAAGTTTGGACTCCTTTGATTAAAGGCAAGGTCAAGTAATCCTGCTGGTTCTACCTCTCCTCCCATTTCTTAAATGAAAGGATGTAGTCATATAAGGTGCTGTTTAGTAAAATGGTGCCGTGAATTCAGCATGAAATGTCTGGGCAAGTGTTTTTCAAGTTGTCACATATATACTATATTTATCTTCCTCCTTTTCCCTCCTCAACCTCAGTCCCCATCACCCAGTGTTTCATAAGGTTTTACTTTCTGTAGCTTATACTGTAAAACCAGGAGTTCCCTTCCTCCTCTCCCAAATATAACCTTTTCTAATAATATTAATTGCACTTTCCCTAACTATACATACCTCCCTGGAGATTTTGAACTGTAATTCTTTCTCTCCTCCATTTTCCTTGAGCATTTTTCATCTAGTGGAATATTCGGTGGCAAAGCTCTCATTCTGGAAGAAGTTTAGCCATGTAAGCATAGAAGAAATAAGCCAACAATGGTAAACATAGTTAATGCATGTAGTTAAGTCTTCTAAACATGTCACTTGAATGATGTCACATTTTGCTTTTTCAAACTAGGAATCAACAAAATGGAGGAACATTTGAGGTTTGTTAAGAAATTTCCCTTCTTAGCCATAGAACTAAGATATTTTTAAATAAAGAAGATCATAGTGGGCCATAAATGATGTGCCTTTCTAGGATCCCAAAATGTTTTATTGATTGAATTATATAGAGAGATTTAATGGAACCGTGGTTGAAAAATGCTTTTAAAGTCTTTGATCACTGGGATATCAATGGAACAAATGGGTTAAAACATTTTCAGAATTTAATCATTTATCTAGGTAACAGGGTTGGGGGTAAATGGCGGGAGAGAAGGGGAGGGCCGGGGCATTAATGAATAGTACTCCATGTAAAAAGAAGAATTGACTAGTAACATCTGTACTATTTAAATTAACAGGCTGGCATATATTGTTGTGCAGGTTTTGCATTGCCCAATTCTTGGGGGGGGCGGCATTCACATTTGTAGTCATTATGGGTTCCTCTATTTATAATGCCAATTTTCTAGCAGATGTTGGTTTATTGCCTTGAGAAACTGTTAGATTCCTCTAATTTTTGCAAAGATGGCTTTGGGAAGTTGAAAGATTACCTGATTACTATTAGAGAATCCTGCTACCAATACATACTTGTCTTGTATAATTTGGGCAAAATATAATATTCCTGAATCTTAGATTCCTTGTTTGTAAAATGTTTAAAATATATCTAAATGTAAGAATTGTTGTAGCATATATATGTGAGTACATGAATGTGGCCGTCACAGCAGCTGTAAGTGGAAGATATTATAAATATTGTTAAAACCTTCTGATGTTTTATTTTAAGCTGATAGTTTTTCTTTATGCTGACTTTACAGTGAGTTTTAAACATACACTTGAGTTTATCATTTGTATATAACTACTGATAGAAATCTGATGAAAAACACTAATAGTAGTTTATAAAAGATTTTTTTCAATATGAACTTTTTGTTTCCATTGTGAGAAATTAAATTTCAAAATGTAATTATTAAATGTATGCCTGACTTTCAAATGTTTTTCTATATCCAGCTAATTAAAAATATTTATAACGTAGTAGTAGTTAAATGTCATGTTCGCCTTATTAGAAAGAATGCCTTCAAATCAGTATTATCATGATTACCATTTATTTAACATCTTCAGTATGCAGGGCATTTATAAAATCTGTAGAAATTAATTTTCTCTAAATGCAACAAGCTTTATGACCAGCACTCACTGTCTATAAAAGATGACTTGCTTGGCAGAAGAGGAAACAGTTTCTTCAGACCTTCCAGCCACAGTCAGCCCTGGTGACATTGCATATCAGGTAAACCCCCAATCCCTGGCCACATTTGATTGGTCCAAGATGGAATGTGACCCAGGCTGAGACAATCAGACTCAGTCTCTTGATAATTTAAATTCAGAGCCCCAGTGACTGAATTAGACAATAATGGATATTCTACCTATAAGTTAGAGAGAGTTGGAGACAGGAAACTCAACTCACTTGAAAGCTGCTATTATGGAGAAACGAAAAAAACTGCTTTGTAGAAGATAGCCTGGAAAAGTAGAGAAGTTGTCTGAGAGAGGGACAAATCAGCTTTAAAAGTGTTTCATTTTTTTTGTTAGGGCCTAAATATACTTTCTGTATTTGATAACTCTAAGATAACCTTGTATTCTCTTCTCAATTCCCCCTTCCACTTGAACTTGAATGGTGGATTTCTATTACTTTCAAATGAAAAATACTTAAGATATTTGTCTTGTTTCAAGGAAGATTTAATACAGTTATTTCCCGAACAACAACAACAAAAGCCTTTTGTTGAGCCACTGTCCTTCCAGTGAGACACACACACACACACACACACACACACACACACACACACACACACACACACACACAGTCTTTACAGATCTGTTGAAGAGGATCATGGAGGCAGGTACCGCTTTCTTTTCCTTTATTTTTTTTTTTTATTTTTTTATTTTTTGAGACGGAGTCTCGCTTTCTCGCCCAGGCTGGAGTGCAGTGGCACAATCTCGGCTCACTGCAAGCTCCATCTCCCATCTTCACACCATTCTCTCTGCCTCAGCCTCCTGAGTAGCGGGGACTACAGGCGCCCGCCACCATGCCTGGCTAATTTTTTGTATTTTTAGTAGAGACGGGGTGTGTTATTCAGGATGGTCTCGATTTCCTGACCTCGTGATCCGCCCGCCTCGACCTCCCAAAGTGCTGGGATTTAGAGGCCTGAGCCACCGCTCCCGGCCCTGGCAGGTACCACTTTCTTTCCTCTTTCTTGCATGCGAATATGAATGAAACTGATTGCATCATTTAGGAAATGAACGCTCAGTGAATATCTTTCTAGTGGCTTCTAGTTCTTCCCAACATGCAGTTTGGAAGACCGTTAGGAATAATTTCTAGCCATTTTAGATGCATGTGATTTCCGCTGGATAAGGAACTAGAAAATAGGAAGATGGTGCCATTTTCCCAGAGGTACCAAGAATAGGTCTTGTGTGGCAGTCTTTATAAGGCACATGATAAAGCTTCATAATTTTGCTGGGTAGAAAAATTAGTATGAAGAATGTCTTTTACATCCATAACAATTGAAAATTTAGAACTGATAATTCTCTTCTGGATTATATTATATTTTGTGGGATTCATTATGTTTTTTCCTTTATTAATTGATGAGGCAAATGGTCAAATCTAGTAGTATAACGCTAAACATTCCAGCACCCTATGGAACCTACCTTGCTATCCTTGTGGGAAATTTCTTAAGGTTAAAAATTTGATTATGGGAATAATAAAATTAGGAAAACTTTTAATAACAAAATTGTAGACAATGGTTCTAGAAGGCTGAATCCTACAAATAAAATAGATCTTGGCACTTCTTGGAATTCATAGAGAAAAACACTGGCTGCCATGATAAATAGTGTAAGATGGTGATGTCATTGTGTATGATCTCTGATCAAAACCATACACTATAAAGGCCATATACTGGGTGATCATTTGATTTTCCTGTGTCTGAGGATACTCATTTGTCCCCTGTAAAACGAAATACGAATTGTGCATGTGGCGGTCATTTAACCTACCACTAAATGCAGCTAATTCTGAATAAAAGAGAGCAGCTGTTTGACAAATGCCCCCAGACTTACTGAGGCAGGAAGAAGGACTTGGGTTATCCAACTGAAATAGTGAACTAGTATTTTCTTGTGGTTTGGGTTATAATATGCTGTGCCTTTATTTCCACAAAACAGCCTCATAGTGTTGAGATTGTTTGCCAATTCCTTTCTAGTAAGCCTCATGGTAATGGCATATTATTTTTAATGGGACTTTCAGGACACCAATCAAATTTTATAAATTATATTTTAATACTTTGGGTTTCTTTGCCTTCATGAAAAGAGAGAGAACCTAAGGAAATTTGGGGAAAAAGTGAAATTTTTCCATTACAAAGGCTATTGAAAGATGAATAAATTTATAAAATGGTTTGAGGAGGTAAAAAAATAACTGATTTAACCACGTTATAACACAAGAAAATGTTGAAGACAGAAACAAGCATGGAACAATTAAGTGGAGAGGGATTCTGTGTACTTCATGAAAACAACGAGAATGTAACTCAGTTTTATAAACAAAAATTAATGCTTTATAGCCATGACCACATAACATCATTTGGTTCCCTAAAAATATTTCAGTATCCCTATCTTGTTAATTCACATTGCAAACTATTACTAACTTAACTATGTTGGGGTAAAATATTGAAATTATAGAGGAATTTTAGCAAAAGGCAATATTATATCTTCCAAATACAGAATAATTCACATTCCTATAACAGGGCCCCTAATAATTAGAAGTCCTGACAGACCTTCAGTAAAGACCAAGAAATGATCAACCATAGTAAGAATCATATTTATAGGCAAACAATGCTTCTTAAAGTACTTGATCACAATTTGTCTATTTAAGTAGTTTAATCAAAACCCTATATTTATGCAGTCTTGTTCAAAACTGTGATTTGCATAATCAAACATTGTATAGAGTATAAAGTTAAGCATAAATTCATACCATATAAAGTTTCAATTAGTGGAGTTAAATTATTGGGGCATTGTATTAGGTCAGTCCAAGCCAACAGGCAGAAGAAATAATTGTCAAGGAGAAAGAAAAAAGATAACTTGTTGATTTGTTCAAGGTCATTGAGTAGGTTGGTAATTAAGGTTATTCTTGATCTCTGCTTCTGGTTCTCCAAGAGTACTGTTCTGACCCATCATCACCATAAAGCCACCCTGTAGTTGACCTCACCCTACAGTTGAGCAATCCTTTTGCTCTCCATAAA
The DNA here is from genome assembly GCF_000001405.40 of Homo sapiens. Lineage (NCBI taxonomy): Eukaryota > Metazoa > Chordata > Mammalia > Primates > Hominidae > Homo > Homo sapiens. Next base: position 20,018,018 of record NC_000012.12, read on the forward strand.
TATAGAATGCTGATTGTAATTTCCTACTAGATATATTAAGAGATCAATTTTATTTCAGTTTTTCTAGCTCCACAAGTATATTTGAATACTACAGATGTATATTCCTCCTGATAATCACTAGGGGTAGAGAATATATCAAATTACAATAATTAAAGATTTAGATGTTAAAAGTTGGGGGTATTGATAAGAGGGAGAGAATATACTCTGATTTTTAAAAAGAGAAAAAATGAAAGAGATATAAGGAAAGGAAAAAAGAGAGAAAGCAAGCAAGTAATCAAGCACAAAGTCATGACAAAGAGTGAAAATAAATTTATTTTGCTGGTTAAAAATTAACAGGTATCATAAAACCAATGACAGTCTTCTTTGATAATGTATCAACTCAAACCCAATAAAAGTAGTTGACCAGGTCATGCTTCTGCTTTTTTTTTTTTTTTTTTTTTTGCCCTTTTATGTAATGTCATTCTTTCATTGTGATGGTGTTACCCAAAGTTGAAAAAAATTTATGGCTAAATAAACTAATTAATGTTAACCACCATTTTGTCATGTGAAGGGTGAGGATTGTAAATAAACATCAAAAGGAGTAATTGTTCTTTAGATGACGTCTGTTTATAATAGGAGGCATGAGTTATGCAATGCATCTCAAATAAAAGATGTTTTATTACCATCATTGCACGTTACCTGAGTTACTTATATGACCAATGTAAAGTTAGATAAGTGGAGAGAAATAGTCCACACTGGGGATGGGGACGGTGGCTCACTCCTGTAATCCCAGCACTTTGGGAGGCTGAGGCAGGTAGATCACTTGAGGTCAGGAGTTCAAGACCAGCTTGGCCAACATGGTGAAGCCCCATCTCTACTAAAAATACAAAAATTATCCAGGCGTGGTAGTGGGTGCCTGTAATCCCAGCTACTCAGGAGGCTGAGGAAGGAGAATTGCTTGAACCCAGGAGGCAAAGGTTGCAGTGAGCCAAGATCGCTCCGCTGCACTCCAGCCTGGACAACAGAGCGAGACTCCATCTCAAAAACAAACAAACAAACAAAAACAGATAGTCCATAGTCCACAATGGGTCTTAGAGGATAATGCATTCTGAGCTACCATTTCAAATTAAAAAAAATTGTTAACTTGTTTCCAAAGACACTGATCTGTGTTTGACTACAGCCAAAAATGCCAGCATGATGCCAGGTATAACCAGGATTTAGAATAAAACTAAAAACATGTACACACACACACTCGTAACGAGGGAATTATATAGAAAATTCATATAGTCACTTCTAACTTGAGTATTGTATGACATTGCTAAAATTTTAAAGAATATGTTTACTTATTTTTTACTGTTAATCTTGCTAGATAATTGGCAAGATAATAATATTTTTAATTTGAATATATGTCATTAAACATAACATTTCCAGAAACTTGTTAAGGAAAGAAGATAAGTATAAATGTTTATGGCATGTAAGACAGTGACTCTAAGGTTAATAGGCAAATCAAGTTGCTGTAGGAAAGGAGAATATTAAATTTGTTTTGTTTAAACCACTAAATTGGTGGTAATTTGTTACAGCAGCAAAGATAACTAATATATATCTCATAACATTCTTCATCCTCACTTTTTCCAGCTTCTAAAGGGCCTCGCACATTCCTTGGCTTGTGATGTCCCTTCCCCATCATCAAAGACAGCAACGTGAGTTAAGTCCTTACCATATCACATAACCCTGAACTTACTTCTGTCATTACATCTATTTCTCTGACTCTGTTCTTCTGCCTCTCTCTTCTACTTTTGAGCGTCCTTGTGAATACATACCCAGAATAATCTCCCTATTTTAAGGAGAAATCTTGATTCCATCTGCTACCTTAATTTCCCTTTGCCATATACTGTAACATATTCACAAGCCCTGGGGATTAGAATGTGGACATCTTTAGGAAGTCATTGTTCTGCCTACCACAGATACATTGGGCAAATAGTTACCAAAGAAAGCTGGTATAGTAATAGTAATACCTGGCAAAATTGTGTTTAAATCAAAATATATTAGTAAGGAAAGGGAGAAACTGCAAAATGATAAAATCTACCAAGAAGATATACAATGTAATTGTCAATAAGAAGTAAAGCCAAGACTTGGAGCTAGGTTTGTGTCTACTGGTTCAATGTTCCTACCAACAAAAACCTCTAAAGAACACAGACCTATAAAAACCTCTACTTGAAGCCCACTGTGCAAGTACTGGTAAATTTCTTGCCCAAAATGAAAATAATAATTATAACCTGCACCATAGGGCTATTGTAAAAAATACCTTAGGATTGAGACACACTGCAGCTATCATATAAACGTTAAATAAAAATAATGCTTCCTGTATCCTTACTAGGGTTGGGCAAATCCAGATGTATATTATACTTTTCACATATTTCAAAATATTTTCAAATGTTTTGGTTTGGGTTCAACAAAAACCTCAAGTACAAAAAAAAAAAAATAGAAAGGAGAATATTTTTTGAGTCGGAGTCTTGCTCTGTCACCCAGGCTGGAGTGCAGTGGCGCCATCTCAGCTCACTGCAAGCTCCATCTCCCGGGTTCATGCCATTCTCCTGCCTCAGCCTCCCAAGTAGCTGGGACTACAGGTGCCCGCCACCACACCCAGCCAATTTTTTGTATTTTTAGTAGAGACAGGGTTTCACCGTGTTAGCCAGGATGGTCTCGATCTCCTGACCTCGTGATCTGCCCACCTCGGCCTCCCAAAGTGCTGAGATTACGGGCATGAGCCACCGCGCCCGGCTGAAACTATACATATATTTTTAAAGAACTAGAAAAACAAGCTGAAGCTAGCCACTGTATTTAAAGCTATTTATTCCTTTCACTGGTGGCTATCACATTATTTACATTTTTCCCTTTGTTGCAAACTTACAAATTCATATTGTTCCCTTTTTTAGTATATTTTATGTACTAACTTTCTTAGTCATTTAAAAAGTTTTTTTCTGATAATATAATAGTGATATCTTTATTATCAATTAATGGAATATATGATGCTAATTGATTTTTCAGGCAGTTGACAGAACAGCAAGTTATAAATATTTTAACCATTTGAGGAGTATTCTTCCTAAAATCTAGTACATAGTTCCCTACTGAAAAGGATATACTGATAAAATATAACTTTTGTCATGTGGGCCAAAAAGATTATGAAGTTGCAATAGTCTATTTTGTTGTCATTTGACTTTTGGAGTTTTATTTAGCTTTCAGTTTTGTGTCATATCTACATACATAGGTGGATATTCCATCAAGGGCAGGGATTAGTACTCTGAGTTCAGCATGGTGCTCTGCACATAGTAAGTGGGTGGTAAATATTTGTGAGTTATATATTATGAGCTAAATTGTGTCTCCTGAAATTCATATGTTGAAATCTTAACCCCCAGTACCACAAAATGTGACTGTATTTGGAAATAGGGTCTTTAAAGAGGTAATTAAGTTAAAAAGAGGTCATTAAGGTGGGCTCTAATCCAGTATGACTGGTGCCCTCATAAAAAGAGGAAATTTGGACACAGACACATACAGAAGGAAGATGATCTGAAGACTCAGGGAAAAGGTGGTCATTGCTCTTTGATCTCAACCTTCTAGCCTCCAGAACCAGGAGAACAAAATTTCTGTTGTTTAAATCAATCACCCAATCTGTGACGCTTTGTTATGACAACCCCCTAGAAAGTACTGATAAATGATAATCCTATGTTGCCCTATGAGAGAACAAAGTTTGCCAACAGAACCTTATGCTTTTATTATTCTTATGTCTTCCTTCCTTCCTTCCTTTCTTTTTTGTCTTGTGCCTTCTTCGTAGGTCTCAAAGTATCAACTATGAACTATTACTTAAAAGTGCTTGAATACTAGAATATTCACTTGATACAAATAATTAAAACTCTCAAAGCCTTTGTGGTTGTTTTTATTTCTGCATTTCAAGTTGTATTTTGAGCTTTTTTTTTTTGGAAAGATTCTGCGTAACTGGAGTTATAGCAGCAGAGTTCTATTTGAAACTCTTTTCTGTACTAACGTTTTGACTTTGTCACTTTACTTCTCTGTCAAAGGAGACTGGTGATAATACTTTATTAGGGAGCAGTGGGATTCAAATGAAATACTGCATGTGAAAAATTACTTTGCAAACTTAGCAGTGTAACACAAACACTCATCATCATAACTAGAAGTCTGGCCTCCTGACAAATACCTGTTGACAAGTAAGGATTTGTTGTACCAGTCAGTTTATTGTTAACTAATAATAGATTATTTAAAACACTGATAGCTGTAGCCCTGTGTTGAATCGGATCATACATCAAATGTATGTAGTCATTTCTTTGAAAATAGAGGATGACGAGGAAAAGTTCTAAATTCATGTTGTGAAAGGATTGTCTGTAGTTTCTTTGGAATTTTTTTAAAATAAAGAGATAAAATTTTTTTCTTTTCTCTTTTAATAATTTTGAATTATATTTTTCCCCTAATTTAAACTTATGTTTTATTTATTTTTGATTAGTTAGCATGACATACCTTTTTGTTTTTGTTTTGTTTTTTTGAGTCTTGCTTTTGTCACCCAGGCTGGAGTGTAGTGGCTCAATCTCGGCTCACTGCAACCTCGGCCGCCCTGGTTCAAGCTTCTCCTGCCTCAGCCTCCTGAGTAGCTGGGATTACAGGTGCCTGCCACCACACCCGGCTAATTTTTGTACTTTTAGTAGAAATGGGGTTTTGCCATGTTGGCCAGGCTGGTCTTGAGCTCCTGACCTCAGGTGATCTGCCCGCCTCAGCCTCCCAAAGTGCTGGGATTACAGGCGTGAGCCACTGTGCTTGGCCAGCATGACATATCTTTAAAAAATTTTTTTTAAGAGACTAGGTGTTGCTCTCTGCCCAGACTGGAGCGCAGTGGCATCATCACAGGTCACTGAATCCTTGAAATCCTGGGCTCAAGAGATCCTCCCGCCTCAGCCACCTGAGTAGTTGGGATCACAGGTGTGCGCCACCACCACCACGCCTGTCTAATTTTCTTTTTCTTTTTTAGAGACTGAGTCCAACTGTCTTGCCCAGGCTGGTCTCAAACTCCTGGACTCAAGCAGTCCTCCTACCTTGGTGCCACCACGTGCTGGGATTACAGTTGTGAGCCACTGCACTTAACCTGACATATCATTTTTTAATCCTCTTAATTTTTTAAAAAGTTTTTTATTGTTAAATTGTGGATAAAATTGTATACATTTATCATGTACAACATGATGTTTTGAAGTACATATACATTGTGGAATAATCAAGTTACATTCTACAGTGGTTCATATGACCACAAATTTATAGAAGTTCAAATGGAATTTTTATTAACAATGGTTAGTTTAGATTTTATTTAATTTATTGACATACAAGTATTAGATATGACTCAAATGTGAGTATGTTGCCTAATGTATCTATTTTCTCTTTTATCAGTTATGTTTTATGAAGCAATTTGAAAATAAATAAATTAGCCCCAAACTATATAACCAGTGATACCCAGTTTTAAATGCAATTATTTTCAAATGTATGGTGGGTGACACCAAACAGTTGTCGGTTAGCAGCAGCCTCATGGTAATTAATGCACCTAGTTTGTTTGCCAGATTTGTCTAGCCACTTCATTATTGTCTACTTGTAAAATTCAGTATGGTGCTTTGAAAAGAGGTACAGTATTTATGTATTTATTTTTAGATTAGTTTATATTCCAATAACTTTTCAACATATTCCTATCTCTTCTTTTTCATGCTAGTTTCATGTACATGTAACACCTAATGTTAGATCCTCACACCTCTGGGTATGTTCTAAACCCTCTCAGTGAACACAGGCTTGATAGGATGAGAGGATGGCCCTTTTGAAGGACCAAAACCTTAAAAATGACATTAGTCTCTACAGAAACAAAAGGCCTCTTAGTAAAAGTTGAGGATGCAAATTTACAGCAAAAGTCTCCTTCAAGTTAGATTTACTTTGGTAATATTCAGATTTGGGGTTTTTAACACCTGTTTTAGAATCTGAAATGTGAGGAGTAGGATGTGTCTTGTTTTTTTCCTTTTATCTTTCTTTTTTGTGATAAAATACACATAACGTAAAATTTACTGTTTTAGCCGTATCCTTTTATTAAGTGCTGTTTTTCTCGAATTTTCTGTACTATTAAAAAAATCTTTATCTAAAAAAACTTTATCTAAATGAAAAACACAGCCTATTCTTTAATCCAGTTAGGTCCCAGGAGATGCTCCTATAAAGACCAATTTTCCTTTCCTTGTGATCTGGTGAGACCTGCAGAATCGTATAGAGGATTTCAGCTGCAATCTTTGTATTGTGAACTGGGCCAACAAATTGCTCCATGCTCCAAACAGATGTTTCCCTTTTAGGTTATTGCACCACTAGTGGACTGTTTTCCTTCCCTAGAGGAAATATCAGTGTGTTCGTAAACGAGAAAGCTTCTTCTGAGCATCCGAGAACAGGAGTGGCAGCAGCAGCAGCAGGGAGTGAACGTGGAAAAGTGGAGATATATGTTTTCATGAATTTGCAACCCATCCCGCATTTTAATTTTCCTCTTTTTTATGCCATTTCTTATTTCAGAGGTCACTTGATATATTATGAGCATGAATATTTTTATTTTTATCTTTAAAAATACTTCTTTGCTGATTTATTTAACATGTTTAGTACAACACAGCTTGAGACAAGGGCCAGAAGCCTCCCCGATTTACAGCATAGCATATTTTGAAGAGTCCCTCCTAATCTGTGCTAGAAGACAGACATTTTAGATTCTCATTCTTAAAAAGTTAGACTTTTCATGACAGCGAAAGAGGTACTTACTAAGAGAATATTATTCTCTGAAAAAGAACAAAGATCTGCATTGAAAGAGTAAAATGTCAAAAAAAATCTTATATTTCCTTTGTAGTGTTTTGCTTTCCATGAAAAATGATTAAACGAGTCCTCTTTCTGTAGAAAATAAGCCACAGCCTAATACAAATGTGAGTTCCTATTTGCAGATGGTGGTATTATTTTTATGGCATGTGCGATCACAGTTGCAGGCACATTTTATTTTCTTCCAAGCATGATGTTGCCATACCTATGCCTTGAAAACATAAAGTCTCTATCTTTACTGACTGAGCTGACTACCACGAAAACTTGACATGCCAGTGTGAATGGGGAGGGGGGTGTGAAGGGGAGGAGGGCAAAATGTGGGAAACGGAAAGGCATTTTACCAAAATTTACCAAAATATGACCATGAGTACATTCTTTTTTAAAGCATCATTTATGTCTCCTTCAGAAAACTGTCCCAAGACTGAAAAATCAAAGAATGTTATTATATTATCTTTTATAATATAAATTTTACTTTAATAAAATTTAATAATCTATTTAAATATTATTTTTTATAATATAAATTTTATTTAGTTTTGTTTTTTGGCCAACTGAAGGAAAGTTTACAAATTTTTCATTCAATTTGTGCTAATTTTTTGGAATGCCACCAATATTCAAGACTCTAGATTTACTTACAGGCCTACCTGGTGACTGAAGACCCAGTTCAAATTGTTAGTGCAGCCTGGGCAACATGGCAAAACCGTGTCTTTACAAAAAAAAGGCAAAAAAAAAAAAAAAGCAAAAATTAGCCAAATGCGATGGTGCATGCCTGTAGCTCCAGCTACTTGGGGATCCTGAGGTGGGCAGAACCATGAGCCTGGGAGATTGAGGCTGCAGTGAGTTGAGATCACGCCATTGCACTCCAGCCTGGGCAACAGAGTGAGGCCATGTCTCAAAAAAAAAAAAAAAAAAGTTAGTGAACAAAAATGAATCAGAAATTCAATAACTCAGAATTATATTCTTCTTTTTCTTTTGTCTATTTTTTTTTTCATTAAAAAACCGAAGCATGGTTTTTAGAGGAAGGAAGGGAGTCAGATACAATAAAACATTTTAGATCTTATTTGGGAGGGAGAAAGAGTGAGGTTTCTGAAACTGTAATTTTTCTGTGCAATGAACAGTCTAAAAGGATGATGGTATGATTAAATGGATGAAATTCTTTATGTATTAGACTTGCCTTATCCTTATGTTTTCTAAAATTGCTATCATCTCTTTTTAAATCTACTAATGGATATAGGATATACAGAAAATTGATTCAAGTTTAAAATGATAGACTAGAAATGAGCCAGAAAAGAGAGGTGGGTTGTTGGAATCAGATGGGTGATTCAGAACTCTATTAATCAATCAGTCTGTCAATCAGTTATTTAATTGATTAATACATACATTAAGCAAAATTTACATTGTCTCCTATGAGTCTGGTGTGATGCTGGACATACAAGGTGAACAGGTGTGATTGTTGTCTTCAACTACATAGTATGTACAAGGCCCACATTAAACCATTTATGGATGTTTTCTCCTCCAAGCCTCAATACCATATCATGAAGAAAGGATTATTGAGCCATTTCATAAATAAGGAGCTTGAGCTTAGCTCAAGTTAGAGCAGGTAATAGGGAGCTAAGCTAGATTTTTACTACAGTCTAGCTGTCTTAACTTTAAAACCTCAGGTTCGTTTTACACCTCATTTGTTTCATTATCTAAAGAAGTGAATTACTAAGCCTTATTGATAAGATGTCTTCAGAGAGGCAGCATAATGTCATGGTTAACATAACATGCACAGGCTCCAAGTTTGGCTTACTGGGTCAAATTCATGCTTTTCTATTTTAGGGCTGTGACCAAGTTATTGAACTTTGTATTCCTCTCTTTCCTGTTCAGTAGAATGGGAGTGTTAATAATGTCTACTTCTGTGAATGGGAATAATAATTGAACAAGGAGTAAACAAGTTAATAGTTAAGAACACATATTTTGGAGTTAGATGCTGGAGTTTTCATTTCAAGCTCTATCACCAATTAGCTAGGTGACCACAAAAGTCACTTTAATCTCCAAGTATTAATGTGTCAGTATATTGCTAGGCATATAGTGCTGCAAGTGTAAGTTATTTTACAGATGTATATAGATGCTGTGGTTTGAATGGTCCCCAAATTCAAGTGTTGAAACTCAATCCTTATTGAAAGGTGGGGCCTTTTGGGAAGTGATTAATGGACGAGTGCCTTATAAAAAACCTGGAGGGGACTAGCTTAGGCCGTTTTTGCTCTTCTGCTCTTCTGCTATGTGAGGGCACAGTGTTTGTCCTTCCATTTTTCTACCTTGTGAGGACACAGCAAGAATGCCCCCACCGGACACCAATGCTGGCGCCTTGATCTTGAACTTCCCAGCCTCCAGAACTGTAAAAAATAAGATTCTGTTATGTATAAATTACCCAGTCTGTGGTATTTTGTCATGGCGGCACAAATGGACTAAGACAATATATAATTTTAAAAATATTATTCTTAAAAGATTAGGGTGGGGTGGCCAGCTTCTTCATGCACTATGCCAATGGCATACCTGATCCAACCAATCTTTCGTACCCTATGTAAAACACCACCTCCTCAAGCTCATCTATAAAACCTCGTGCACTTCACTGTGGAAGCAGCAACCCATTTTCTCTTTTCCTTTTATTTATTTGTTTATTTATTTTTTGAGATGAGTCATGCACTGTCACCCAGGCTGGAGCACAGTGGCATCATCTCAACTCACTGCTACCTCCACCTTCCAGGTTCAAGTGATTCTCCTGCCCCGGCCTCCTGCGTAGCTGGGATTGCAGGTATGTACCATTATACCCAACTAATTTTTGTATTTTTAGTGGAGACGGGGTTTCACCATGTTGACCAAGCTGGTCTTGAACTCCTGACCTCAGGTGATCCACCCATCTCAGCTTCCCAAAGTGCTGGGATTACAGGGGTGAGCCACCACGCCTGGCCAGCAGCCCATTTCTCCAGGACTCCTCTCTGTGCAGAGAACCCTTCTCTTTCTTTCACCTGTTAAACTTCCACTCTGAACCTGAAAAAAAGAATGTTATTCTTCAATTTATTTTTAATCTTATTGTAGAACACCCATTTTTTCAGTTTGGGACTTTTTTTTTTTCATTTTAGGATAGAGATTAAGATTAACCTTTTGTTTTAACAGTCTCCTATTTTTTCTATATTTGTGCTCTGATTTCTATTATCATACTACTATTCTAGGTTGAACTTTTTAATCAACTCTTGCATAAACTGTTGAAATAGGCTGGTCTCCTGCCTTGAGTTTTTCTTCCCCTGAATCTATCCAGTATACTACTGCCAAATTAGTCTTTTCAAACACCACTTTCATCATTAATAAGCTAAACAGAACTACTCACATGAGTCATGCTTTCCCATATCATGAACTTACTTCTCCTTTTACCACTTCTTTTAATTTCTTTGAATCTCTACCTCTGTGATTGTAGAGAAAAACTCTCATTTTTGTATTATACTCATGGAATATCTAGGAGTCAGAAGAGCAGTAAATGAGCTAGAGGCAAGAACGAGAACTGCCTTTATTTAGTAAAACATTTCAAGAAATGATTTTGATTATAGAAAGACCTAAGAGCATGTCAAAGATGAGACCGAGAGATGGGTAGAGTTCAACATATATATAAAGATGTGGGAAAGGTTGGAGAAAAAATACTCAAAGTGGGGAGGAAGGGAAATTATAGGCAAGAAAAGGGCTAAGCAATATAATGAATGTCTCAAGCTGTATAAGAGATGATGATAGAATTGGAGGAGAGAAAACAATAAAAGGCTTTTAAGAACAGGATTATGGATTATAGCTAATAACAATGTATTGTATTCTTGAGAATTGCTAAAAGGTAGATTTTAAGTATTCTTACCATAAAAAATGCCAAGTATGTGAGGTAATACACATTGCATATGTTAATTATCTCAATTTAGCCATTCTACAATGTATTCCACAATTTCAAAACAACATGCAATACATGATAAATATATACAACTTGTGTGTGTGTGTGTGTGTGTTGTGTGTGTGTGTGTGTGTGTGTGTGTGTGGTGGGGACTGGGTTTCACCATGTTGGTGGCTTTCTCAGAATCTTTTATTTATTTATTTATTTATTTTTGTTATACTTTAAGTTTTAGGGTACATGTGCACAACGTGCAGGTTAGTTACGTATGTATACGTGTGCCATGTTGGTGTGGATTTAAAAATTTAAAGAAATTTAAAAAAAACTGCTCTCTGATATTGAAGTTACACTGTGTGCTATAGTGTAACCCTCACTATTATACCTTAAATATTTAGGAAATCTCTATTCTCCATTTTAACAAGTAAGGTCCTGGCAAGGGATAGTCACTCAAATTTGGTAACCAAGGAGAGTTTTAAAAGTGATTACATAAGAGATATCATCAGGATTTAGGAAAACAAAGAAGGGATAGTGCAGTTGCCTAGACCTAAAGGGGTATAGAAAAGAAGCACTAACTAGAAGGAACCCAGAGAGAGCCTCTCTCTTAGTTGGGAAGGCCATTCACCTGATATTATAGGAGCTGTAGGTAGATAAACGCAGGCAATATGCAGCAATCCACCAAGAAGGGAGCTGAAAAAATTAATTCCTTTACGTTTCTTTACCCGCCTACTCTGATCTTGCCAGCATCTTCCATTCACCAAACCCAACTGGAAATCAGTGGGCACGGGAGACCATTGAGCAGAACATAACTTTCAGACTCCCAGGTTACAAGACAAAGTGGATAAAGTGGAGAGTGATTTGGAGATGCACACAGAAAACATCCAACACGTACAAATTGTGTGAGTTATATTTGGGGAGATCAGAGAAAAGAAAGCATGTTCCATGTTTGGGTCAATACATGGTAGACAGAAGGAAGCAGCGTCAAGAATTAAGAAGCAAGACATTGAGAACTTGGCCAAAACTGGTATTAGAAATAAATAGGCACAATGTAAAAACCCCATCAGAGGAGGCTCACTAATTTTCCTCTTCAATTTGAGTGGGGATTTGATTCAATGTTATTGGAATCTCAAAAGGTAGAGTGAATCAACTATAATATGGGTTATTTGCTTATTTGTATACATATCTTGCTTTCTCTACTGTGAATCTCCCTAAAGATAAGAGAGACTGCCCACCTTTATTTCATCCCATACCCCCTAAGACAATGCCTTATAGATAGTGTGTGTTCCCAAATTATATGCTAAATGGATTAATAAATGAATGCAGTTTCCCTGCTCAGAGAACTTCCATGGCATCCTGAGATTGCCTTTTAAATACCTCTAATAGTATTGCTTCAATCCACCTTTTCAGGTACAATGCTATTTTGCTCTAGGTATTTGCTTAGTTATTTTATTTTTTTTCAATTTTTGGAAAAGATGGGTATCGCATATATTGCCCAGGCTGGTCTCAAGCTGGGCAATATATATCCCTTTTATCCCCTAATGAATTTCTACCTAACACTACAATTATAATTTTCATCAGTACAACTTACATTTTTTTCTGTTTGAATTCTCATTAAATTTTAATGTATATGATTGTACTTTAATCAAGTTGTTTCCAAAATTCTGTTCTATCAATGTATATTTGAGCATCTAACTTTAATATTAACTTCCTGGAGGCTTTTATACTTTCACATGTAAGAAAAAACTGAAACAAGCAGTAACTAATATTAGCTAGTAAATGTGGTTTGAAATGGCCAGAAAAGGTTAGGAAAATGGAGTCCTTTTATCATGTTACATAATGCAAAGTCAAAAGAAACACCATGTTCCTCCTGAGATGGAAACCTCTTGTTAATTTTCATCACGTATACGTGATTTTGGCTAAGTCATAATACACGTTGAGTTAGACCAGAGCCTATTTTTCTTCTTTTTTTAAATTTATGCTTGTATTTCTACAGTTCATATTAGAAGGAAAAAAAACAGGAAATAGAAGTAGTGTGAGTCCTAAACAATCTAAAAGGAAATGGGAAAGCTACCCAATTCCATATTTCATAGTTTAGACAAAAGAAAACATTTTTTTAATATCTACTTAAGAATATTTACACAGTTGATTTAAAGTTATATCAGTTTATGCCCTTTGTATGTTTTAGATAACATTGTTGAATTTCCTCTGACTTAACATGAGATGGACTTGCCTGTGTGCAGAGCTATGCAGGCAGGCACTCCCTCCTCCATCCCAGCAAAAGCCATTTATTAAGCAGCTGTTGTTATTAGTTTACAAAAGGTTTTTCAACACTGTGTGCTTTGTGACTTCACCTTTCAGTTTGTTTTGAGGAAAGCCACATTCCTTAGATTCTCCTCTCTTAACTCTCATTAGGCCAACTGGCAAGTTTAGATGATGTCGTTTAGAAAAATTGGTCAAAACTAGAATATAAACATAACGTGCAATATTCCTGGCTACCTACACAGCATATTTTGATACTGAATACAGCAAATCTATGAAATCTGAAATAAAGGAGCTTTGTGCCAAGTCATGCTCTTTAGGCAGCGCTCTGCAAATCTCAGAAAAAGTAGAACCCCGAACAATTTTTGTGACCTGAAATCGAAGTCAGCAAGGTTTCCCATTCAAGGTGGACAAGTAGCTACCTTTTCAACAATCATATATTTTTTGCAGTCAGACAGACTATTGCAGAGAAGCAATAGATCACCTGTCCCACCTATGGACAGGTGCCAGGAGGTGTCTGTTCCTTGAGCTCAAACATTCATGAATCAAATCTATTTGTATCTTGCTTTATTGACACCCAACACTTTCAGCAAGGTGTGAAAATGGTGTGTGAGTCAAGACAAGTTGAAGAAAATAAACCAACATGTATACAATACCTGATACTTTACTGTTACAGATCATGTGGACTTAAGTTAGTGTTATTAAAAATATTTAGGGCTGGGTGCGATGGCTCGCTCCTGTAATCCCAGCACTTTGAGAGGCTGAGGCGGGCAGATCACCTGAGGTATAGGAGTTTGAGACCAACCTGACATACATGGTGAAACCCCGTCTCTACTAAAAATACAAAAATTAGCCAGGCGTGGTGGCCCATGGCTGTAATCCCAGCTACTCGGGAGGCTGAGGCAGGAGAATCACTTGAACCTGGGAGGCAGAGGTTGCAGTGAGCCAAGATTGTGCCATTGCACTCCAGCCAGGGAAACAAGAATGAAACTCTGTCAAAAAAAAAAAAATTAGATATTAGTTACACTCAAATGGGAAAGATACTTTCTAGTTCTCTCTGATAGGAAAAATACATACCATAGCATGTCTGTGGTGTACGTATAATTTTGAAGACTGTAAGTACAACTCATCAATTTGCAAATAATTATGTATTAAAAAATTATTTGTAAATCAATTCTTTGAAGTGAAGGGTACATTCCCCTGTAGAAATAACATTATAAATGCTATGTACGTTGTCATGACAGTCTTCTAAACCCTATTTAACTCAAACTGTAGCTGCATAGAGCTTGAGTATGGTAAATAAACTACACTTACTTTATGAGAAAACAGATCCTAAGGCACAAAAGATTGAGGCATAATGTCTGCTCATAAAGTAGCCTGGCAGGAGAAATGGGACCTCTTATTTCTGTACCCCTTTCACCAACTCATCAAGGACACTGAGCCTGTTGGGGCTACAGTGATAATAGGGAAAGTACAGAAGATGCATGACTAGAGGTCTCTGATCATGGCCAGGAGAAAAGTTCAGTAGTTTTCAAGGGGAAGTGATTTTCAGGTCAAAGCAACTGTCAAACTTAGTGAAATGGAGTTTCCCTGTGAAAATGCTAACTAGCCACTTGATATAATATCTTAGATGTGTAGGACCATATTACCTATGATATAGTATGGAAAAAATTTAAATTTTTTCTCTAAGTATTTTTCTGTTTATACCTTTTATTTTCATGCTTGCTTAGTACATAGAACAGGGGGCATGAAATAAAGGAAAACCAAACCAAGCAATACATTGAGCCACCACCATCCAGGAGGGCAATTGATGGGTAATGGGTAATATAGGGTATCATGTAGTCTCCGAGTTGGTCTATTGGAGGTCTCCTTTCCTCTCTAATGCAGCCCCCAATCAGGAGATTTCTCTTCACATTGAAGGGAATAGAATATATCCATGCTTAGAACAGGGATGAACAGCAGGATGAATTCATGCAAAATCCAAGGAGAACAGAATATTGATCAAGGGGAACAAAGGGCCCCTATGTTAGGCAGCAGGGCTGTATCAGTGAACAAACTATAGAAAAGCAACTTCAAGGTAAAAATTAATAATATAAGAAAGCATAGACGGCCGGGTGTGGTGGCTCACACCTGTAACCCCAGCACTTTGGGAGGCCAAGGTGGGTGGATCACGACGAGGTCAGGAGATCGAGACCATCCTGGCTAACATGGTGAAACCCTGTCTCCACTAAAAATACAAAGATTAGCTGGGTGTGGTGGCAGGTGCCCGTGGTCCCAGCTACTCGGGAGGCTGAGGCAGGAGAATGGCGTGAACCCGGGAGGCGGAGCTTGCAGTGAGCCAAGATAGCTCCACTGCACTCCAGCCTGGGCGACAGAGCGAGACTCCATCTCAAAAAAAAAAAAAAAAAAAAAAAAAGGCATAGACATTTTGCAAAGCATTTGAGAGGTAAGCAAAGACTGCTTACAAAAGTTTTTTTCAACACTTTGTGCTTTGTGACTAGTTGATATGTAGTAATTTGTATGTAAATTTAACTTTATGCATGTAACAGGGTAAAAGTTCCTCTTATAATAATAAGGCTCTTGAAAGAAGGAAATATTACCGCAATAGAGACCAACAGAGGACAAGAATTGCACAGACACACGGAAGAGGATCACCAGCCTTGTATACAACAGAAATGCTTCTGAAATATTCCCTTAATTATTCTCGCTAAAGACTTCTACTGGTCCCTTATATGAGGATGACTGGAAAATGTGTTAGAACTCCCTTGGAGATTGCAGTATGTACTTATGCTGAAGTTAATGAATTCCAGGCTCTCAACCACTCTACTAATCCTTCCTTCATAATGCCCAGAAGTACAGAATCTAATGAAATTGATATTTGAACTAGGCTGCTTCTATGTGTCTATTATGGTAGGATTTTGAGACCCAGAATAGGAAAAGCCACGTATGTGGAACTCAAATAGAATTTTGTTTGAACAAAGTTTATTTCTGACTGTCTATATTACATGGTACAGTTGTTTCGTCACTTTCAGAGCTGTTTTATTATTCACTCTTGATTCTTACTAAAATACAATACTAGCCAGATCCATTTGTGGGTTCACAATAAACTTGTTTTTTTATTGCAAATTTGAAGTTGTGACTACCCCCTTTTCTACTTGAGTTTTTATAGCTACTATTACCCAAATAATTCAACTATACCTCAGCTTTTCTTAATTTGCTTGGACAGTATAAGAAGACAACTGAGGTCTGAGTAATACAAGTTAACAAATAGTACTTGTTAACTACACAGCTGGATGTCTCTAGATACTGTTGATTATATAAAATTATGGAAGTATAAAGTGGTGGAGATCTTAGAACAAAAGCTTGTGCAACTTCTCACTAAATGAAGGAATCCTCTTGTAGGATCTCCACTTGACCTCCTCCCTTCTGTCTGGATAGTTTCTGGGACACTGATGTCCCATGATGAGATGGTTTTACTAGGGCGGGCTCTTTGTGTGTTCACCTAAGGTACTTTCTGTACTTTCTCACTGTGGTCTTTGGTTAGTGTCTTGCAAACTCAGAATGAGCTTTTCATAAAATAAGCCATCACATATTTATAGATAATTAGTGAAATTATTATTTTCTCCTTTAGGCTAAATGCTCATGAGCCAACACATTTTGGGTGTCTAAAAATTCATTTGACCTTTTAAGAATAAAGTTCAGCTTGTCAATGTCCCTCTTCCAGTGGGTATATTGATACTCTTTTCCACAGGTTATCTGACTTGGAAATTTTAGTATGATAATCCCTTCCACCAATACCTGGATTCAGATACTGTATCAGCTCATGTAACCGGATAGTACATTTTAGCATTGTTGACAGCTTTATCATATACTGTGGTCAACTGAACTGTCTGGTCTTTTTTCAGATCAAATATTTCCACAAAAGGACTATTGTATCCTGCAATTAAAAAATTAAAAGCATGATTTTATATTTATGTATGATAAATTGCATCTCTTGATTTCATCATAGCATTCATTCCATTAATTGGAGATCTTTTTAAATCCAGATGTAATGTATTTGCTATATCCCTCCAGCAAAGTGTCATCTACACACTTGATGAGGCTGTCTCCATGTCTTCCTTCAACTCACTGGTCAACAGCACATGGTCTTGGCTTCCCTCTAGATTATTAATCTATCGATACGTACCCATTAGTTTGGTTACTGCAAAAAATTTATGTCACCATTGACACTTTTCCAAACATGTCAAAAGAGTTTGTATCATTACCTTCTTTAATTTAAATTATGATGTATCTATGTCAGTTTTCTATCCACTGTCTAATATCTTTGTTAAAGAAAGTTAATGGGGTTATTTTATCATGACTTTTCTTTTGGGATATATGCTGGCATCACAAATTTTTTCAAGAACCAATACTGAAAACATGTATATCAAACTTACTGAACTCTGGTTCACAGAATCTGTCCTTTCTGTTCTTAGATAACCAGGAAAATGTTTGCTTAGTTTGGAGTTTTGGCATTCCTCCCATCTTTAGTTTTCAAAGATTCCAGATGTTGGTTCTATAGTGAACATCTGTGCCTTGTTTCAGTTCTCTGGGAGGCAATTCAGGTGAGCTAAGAGAAGGGAATTTATTTAAATTAGATATTCTCTGACACATGTTTCACCTTCACTGTGCTCTAGTTCTTTTTAAAACAATTTTTTTCTCCCCTTTATTAACTAAAGAGTAATATCTTTATTTTCTAATTTTTTTTTTTTAGAGACAAGGGCTTGCTCTGTCACCCAGGCTGGAGTGCAGTGGTGCAATCTTAGCTCACTGCAGTCTCGAACTCCTGGACTCAAGCGATCTTCCCACCTTAGCCTCGCAAGTAGCTGGGACTACAGGTGCATGTCATCACACCCAGCTACTTTTTTCTAATTTTTTTTTTTTTTTTTTTGTAGAGATGGGGTCTTGTTGTGTTGTCCAGGCTGGTCTCAAACTTCCTGGTCTCAAGGGATCCTCCTGTCTTGGCATCCCAAAGTGTTGGGATTATAGGTGTCAGCCACTGTACCCGCCTAGAGTACTATCTTGAAACAGAAAGTGGTAACAAAATACAGGAGTAGTAACTTTTCTGATGTTTATTCATATAACATCTTCTTTACATAGTTCATCTCTCTTTTAGAGCATTATCTTTCTTGTTATACATTTAAAATTACCCATATTTTTATCCTTTTTTTAAAAATGATTTTTGTTTATCTGGGTCTTTATAACTTTTCAGAAACAATTTTGGTAGGCCAGTGACATACGTTGTATTCATCCTTGCTGACATGTCCTCCTCTATATTTCATATTTTTAAAACATCTCTTCAGGTGATTTTCTTTCTCATTTTAATTATTTGAAATTATGTTGATAGATTGCACTACAATCATTTTTAAGTTTCTGGCAACTGAATTTTGCTTATTTTTCTATCATTTATTTTCTCTCATCAGCTTTATTTGGAGTCTAGCATATATGTAGTCCTGTGCATGATATTCTAATTTATTTTTTTCCATTTTTACTTGCACTGGTAGTATTCTCAATTCCAAGGCAATATGAGCACTAACACATAAGGATTCTATAATTTCCCCAGAAATAACTCTTCTCCTTAGAGGTCAACTGACTTCTTTGCTCCTGAGGCATCCGCTTCAGTTGGGCAGTGGCTCCTGCAAGGAAGTGTGGGTCCCAGCTCTGTGGTGGCCCCTTTCTTCAGGTGACTAAGGCACCAACACCAGACAGACAACAGCCCCTCTTCAGAGGCCTCGGTCTCAGTTCTGCAAGGCCCCTCTTCCAAGCTTCTGAGTTTTACTAACCTCCTCTTGTTTCCTCAGATTTAGGGAGTGGTATCTGTCTGCTGCAGTTTCTACTTCCATAATACCTTACAATCCTTTCTGTCACATCCCCTCTGTTAATATAACTGGCCGACTTCAATTTTCTGAGTGGTACATGCACTACTGATATCAACATGAATTCACTCTTTCTTCTTTCTTTATCTCTAAGTCACATTCAAATGAAAAGTAGAAATGAACACATCATCCAACTACCATGAGCGACCAGCTTTGTATCTAGAACATTTAAGTCACCAGAGATATCTTCCAGAATTTTTTTATTCTAAAATTTATTCTTAAGTATGTCAACAAAAAAGAGAAGGATCACTGCGATCAGTAGATTTTGCAAATTTTTTAAAGCAGTTTCTATTCTTTCTCTTGTCTCAGTGTTGTTGTCACCAAACTCATTACTCTGGCTTTTATTCTATGACTCCCTTGAAATAGTTTTCTTCTGAATTCCCTGCGTTATTTCTTTATTACTGTCAAGGACAACTTGTTATTCTTAAGATGCTACAAGGAAAAGTTATGTTTCCTTAATTTTTACACCAGTTTGTCAAGCGGTGATAGCAATATGCACTCTTATATGACTGGAGATCAGCTCAGGAGGAAGTCTAATATGAGACAATCTGCGGGTTATTGGAACCATTCATAAAGTGTGCAAATTTTCTAATCTTCTCTGGACGATTGATATTTTAAAATGTTTTCTCACCACTCACACTTACAAAACTGTCTTTATGTGTGCCACAATCAATATTTGTCCACAGTATGACCGTGAAAATAACCCTAGACTGGGGCAATAGTTCCCAAACATTTTTGTTTCAGGAACACTTTATACTCCTAAAAATTACGGAGGATCCCAAAAGTGTTTTTCTATGTGGGTTATATCTATACATATTTATTGAGTTGGAAGTCAAACTTGAGAATTTAAACAATATTTTAGTTTATTTAAAACTAACACATATCGTAAATTACACCCTTTTATGAAAACTGTGTGTTATTTCTGCTTCTTGCAGATCTCTTTAATGTCTGGCTTTAATAGAAGACAGCTGATTCCCTTACAGCTGCTCTGCATCCAATCTTTTGTAACATGTTGTTTTGGTGGAAGGAAATGAAGATTCCAGCCTCACACTGATATCTAATTTGATAACAGAAGAATCTTTTAGTAACATTTTCAGGTAGTTGTGAGTAGTCTCTTTTGATATTATACAAAAATTCAAGTGATCGTTTCTTAAAGTTCAGTTGCGATGTGAGATCTGAAAGCTTGTTAATGAAGTTTATCTACTCTGTACATTACAATCTGCTGGTCTCTTGTACTTTTACCCATCCTTGGTTTTGTAACATGATATATTATTCACTTGGAAACTCTTGATTTGTTGAGTTAATACAGTCCTCCTAAATGTAGACATATTTTATTATATGTTATTAAAAACAGTTTTCATTAAAATAGCCATTGAGCTCATTTAAAAAGTCTTTAAGTATTGAGAAGTAATCAGACTCACAGTGGCAAATAGCAGTTTTCCAAAATTCTAATTTTTGCTTGAAAACTTGCATTTTATTATTGGCAATAAGCCTGTCAATTGTTTTTCTTGAAGTAACTGGCTTTTTTCATTTTGAAGGCATTATCAGCCAAATGGACAAATCTGCACAGTGATAGTTTATCTGCATTCTTTGAAGTAAAAATCGTGTTCCTGAAAAAAAGCCCTGGTTCTGTTTGCAACTCAAAATATTGCACATATCCTATTACTTGAGAAAACCATCGTACTTTGTTATACAGCAGAAATGCTTTACGTGGGCCACATTACATCACATAGAATGTTTAAAAGATGTAGACTAATGGACCAAGATTTAATAAAATTGATAATTTTTACTGTTTCATGAAGGAAATTCTAAATTGAAACCTTTTTTTTTTTTTTTTAGATTGAGAGTGTATAGAGAAGTTGTTGGGTGCCATGGCCTTATGTAGGGCTAAGGCACAAATAGCTTTGCTCACCTTTGCTTTTGCACCAACAGTGCAAATGTGAACACAAAGAAGTAAAGAACACTTTAGTATAATAATAAAAACACTGTTGATCTTTCTAACTCCTGAAAAGTTCTCTAGGACCCCTATGGGTCCATAGAATACATTTTCAAGACTGCTGCCCTAGAGCAATATTTTGATTTCACTCACAATTCAGAAACTCTTAGAGGTAAAATACTAATTCATATCTGTTGGTTTTAAAAGCACATGCTTTTTTTTTCTATTTTCAATAATCAGTTTAACCAATATGAATTTTTTTATTTTTAGTAAGAGTGTTACTTAATGCCATATCTCATGGCTCAAATGGTAGTAAATGACCAAAACAGCATAGGAGAAAGTAGCAAATGTACGTTTAGTCTCATCATAAGGAAAGAATAGTGCTAGAAAAATAAATGGTCTTTTTCTATATCATCTGTTGTAAGGACACTTTGCATGGAAAATTGGAAAGATTTTTATGTATGTTTATTCTCATCATGTTTGCCATTTTACCATTTAGCTACTCCACTTGTAAATTTTTATTACTAAAATTGTCTAATCTCATTAAAATGAGTTTATACCAGTAAATGGTGGTGCTTTTGAGTCTAAACAAAAATATACAAATTTCACTTCATTATATTCACAGTAGGCAGCTCACTCGAGCAATATTTTCCCATTCTGACATGTGCTGTCAGGATCTATGGCCTTTCTCAAGAAAGAAAGAAATTCTCTTTGCAAAATACAGTAAAAACTAAGCTTCTATTCTGAATTTGTAAATTTTCCTTTCTTGACACAGACATGAACTGCTGCTGTCTTAAATCTTGCACTCCCAAAGGAAAGTGCGCCTTCCCGCTGTCTTTTCTTTCTTTATTCTCACCCCTCCGCATATAAATCTAGTCTGCTCGTGCTTTCCAAACTGTCTACACTTTTTACAGAATAGCAACAATGGATGAGACTACTGAAAAGATGTGCCATGTTGGTATAGTAGCTATTATTTCAACAATGCCAAGCAATAGCACAGCAAAGGAGATGCAATCTTCCTAGAATTAGTTTTACTTTAAATGAGAACAATCTTAGTAAATCTGATAAATTAACAAAAATAAAACCCTCTGGTTACTTCAGATAAAGTGCAAAGAAAACAAGCTCTTTCAGTTTCCTCATTTCAAGTGAAGTTCGCAGGGGAATTATTTGACTTTACAACTTTATGATATGTTTGATGCATTTTTAGTACTTTGTGTATTTTTCATTGTAACATTTTAAATGACTGTTAAGGAGTTAGAGTGACCATCCACAGCACACATGGAAAAATGCTGCTTAGAAGCATGGGACATTAATAAGTGAACTGATATTTATATCTTAGAATTTGTTTACTTTTTTGAGAATCTCATTAGAAACCTATGCTGGGATATAAAATTCTTTAGGCAGATTTCACTAAGTAGAGCCAATTGTCCTTTGTTTCTTTTGCTGAACCCAGTATTGCATAAAACTGCCAATGCACAACCAAGCTGTAGGCTGATGGAAAACAACATCAGCCAAGAGATTCACCTAGAAGCCAGCTAACGGAGCTGGGTTCCCTTTTGGTGTGAAGGCATCAGAAGACCATCAGCTCTAGAAATAAAACTGAAAAAAAAAAAAAAAAGAAAAAAGAAAAAAAAAAACAACTCTGGCAAGCCGTGTGGAGAAAGACTATGGCTGACAACACATAACTAGTCTTTATCTTTCCAAGGTGATGTGAGAGTTCTTAATTCACTTTTATCTTTTGCAGATGCCCAGAAATAGTTCTAGGCATTTTGAAATCATCGCTAATAGAATAACAATACATACAAGTAATATGGTGCTGGATTTTGAATGGCTGTTAGTAAGACAAACAGCTCCACAAAGTCAATTCTCTCCTTAATACCCACTGTCCTAAACATTTTGCATTAGTCTTTCTTGTTCTCAGTACCTTACATAATCACATTTGCATCCCATCTGTCCCCACCCCCACCATGATTTTTCCCTCCATTTAGAAGGGAAAGTAAAGAAAAATATTTTCTTACCAAATTCTTTTGCTCTCTCACTTTTTCTGCATTGACACAGCAACCAAGCCAGCTGTCAGCAGAGGCTGCTTGGTGCTTTAGAAACGTGTATCAGCAGAACACATTCTGTCCTTGTGCCAGGGCAAATTAGAGGAGCAGCCAGCAGGGTGGTTACTGGTTCTGGTAAGGAGAGAAGCGTCTACTCAGCACTCACTTTTCTATCCCTGCCCACCTGCCCCTTTCCGTCCTGACTTCCTGCTTGCAGGGATCCTTCTTTCACCTCTCTAGGGCTGGTGCTATGGAGCTCTGAATTCACCAGTTATTATATTGATTGTGAGGTTCCAGTGCTCTTCCTAACCTGCAAGAAATAATTAGAACCCGCTCCTTCTTAACCCTACACCACTAATTTTCAAACACAGGTGTGTTGTGTAAAGTGTGAAGCATCTGAGACTTTGTAGGTAGGCAAGGGATCTTCATTTTTAATAAATATAAGGTAATTTTAACTAAAATAATCTCAAGATTAATTTTGAGAAACATTTAAAAATTGTATTTCCACCTCTTCTTAGGGCATCGTGCAACCTTGGATATGGGGAAAGGAGGACATTGGAAAAACTTCCAAGTGAATCTGATTCTGGACCCGTCCTTGACAACCATTTCTCTAGACCAGGAATCCTCAATTCTGGCTCTACCATAGACTCAGCTAGGGAGGGCTTTTTGTTTGTTTGTTTGCTTTTTAATGTAGATACCCAGATCCATCCACCCCCAAAGATTCTGATTTACTAACTATTGGTATTTTAAAAAATCTCCCCAAGTGACTCTAATATATAAGTCTCAAGTAAATGTTCTCAAAGTGTGGTTCCCAGATCACCATCACTTGAGAACATGTTAGAAATGCACGTATTCAGACCCATCCCAGATCTACTGAATCAGAAATTCTGGGATTGGAACCAGCAACCCATCTTTAGAGACCTCAGGTGATTCTAATACATGCTAAAGTTTGAAAACCACTGCTCTAGACCAAACTTCAAACTTCAAAAAAAATAGATATTTAGATAATACAGTTGAAGCTTAAACAACATGGGTTTGAACTGCAGAGATATTTTTTCAACTACATGTGGATGGGAAATACAGTGTTTATGGGATATGAAACCTGAGTATATGGAGGGCTGACTTTTTCCATATGTAGACACCAACTGCGGGGACTTAATTATATCTTCCATCTCTTCCATGTTAGTATAATATTTGCACACATATACCTTAGCAAATAATCTAATGCCATTCCTAACATAATGGTTGATTTGCTATAGGCAGAACATTTAATTAATTACAGTGATAGAAAATAATATAACCTCCCCACCAAGAGATGTAGGATGCAGTTAACCTTGCTACTCATTACTGTATCACGTTTAGTGTCAGCATTCTTCTAAAATAAGTGTAAGAACTTAAAAAATGAATAAGATGCTGAAAGAGGATGAGCACAACTTTATAGCATTTCTCCTCTCTCCCCCAATATTACATGGAAAGGGTAGAAAATATGGCATTCAATACATTAAGCAGCTTTCTAAATGTGGCTTCCTTTCAAATTCATTTTAAAGTTTAATAAAGTTGTGACATTTATTTGGCAGTTATGCGGTAAGATATTTTTATATACCAGTGCAGATTCTAAGAGTATACGAGTATCAGATTCCTTAGTCTTTATAATAACATTTGAGGTAGGTATGGCTACAATATAAAGGAGGGAAGCAAGACGAGGAGAGATGAAGTAATTTACCCAAGATGACCCAGCTATCAAGTGGCTGAGCCTATGCCCTTAGTAACTACATTATACAGGCAAAATCAAAGCTGTGGATTGGTTCTTTAATGTCTTAAAACTTTATTTTGGTCAAAACCACTTTTTCTCCATGACCTATATTTTTCTTCTTATTTCTCTAGTGTTTCTTTTTGCATTTGTTTCTAATTTTTCATTGTTTTTTGGGGAAAATGTTTTATGTCACTTCTGTTTATGACATACATTATGATTTTTCTGTTTTTAATCGGTTGGGGTAAGTAACTGAAAAAAAAATCTGCCCTTTCAATCACAGGATGTTTTGAATCTATTGTTTTAACTAAGTTGAGATGTTATTTGCATAAGTAAAAAGAGGTAAACATATTTCATTTTCAAATTTTCCCAGGCGATGTTAGCAGGTTCCTCTACTTCTTCCGAGAAAGATGAATTTGACTATTGGAATAAAGTCTCCACCGAATTTAATCATTTTCCCAGGATTTGTTTTTCATATTCTTTATCACATTGATAGGTTTCTACATGTTGTGGGTTTGGCAAGGTATTATATAGAAGGGCCAGAAAGCTAATGTCTTGATATTTCTGTGTCAAAACAGTCAGAGGAATTCAAGCTGTCAGGTGTCAGAGAAAGTCTACACCTTATAAATTCTTGGCTCAGTTTTGTAAACCTAGCACTTTTGAATAAACCTCCAGTTTTCTCATTTATGATGAACAATGTGGTGTTTTCTTGCACCATAGTTTACATTTTCAGAAAAAAGGAAGGATGAAAACAAGGGGAGTAAGAGACGGGTGTTTTCTAAAATTCTAAATTGAGTACATAATAATTAGGAGATATATCAAAAGATTAAAACTGACTAGATGTTACTGAATATTATGAATAACTTAATAGGTCTTATTTCTGCTGCTTTCTGACAGAACTGAGGATGGAGAAGTTTATTTGGACCAGTCAGTGTAGTTAGTAAGAGAGTTGATTGATCTAAGGGCCTATATTTTCAACCTCTGTCATTTTTTACCCCTCTACATTTTTATTTCTTGTACCTCTGGGCACAAATAAGATCTACAGGGCTGTGCAGGGCTGGGCCTAAGCTGGTTGGAGGCCCCACATTTTGGGCAGATCCTCAGGTGTTCACTACTCTGCTCTTCTGTATTCAGTCCCGTGGTGCTTGTGTTGAGCCATTTGTAAATCCTGGTGTAGGTGAAAGTGCCTGACCTGTAGAGGGTATAGTGTCTTGGGTGTAAATCCTGACTTGAAACCACATTGCTGCATTACTTCAGAAAAATGACTTAACCCCTCAACCACTCATTTTCTTCATTTATAAAACTAAAATACAAATATCCACCTTATAAATTTATGACGAGTCTATGATTAATAACAACACCAGCCGCAGTGATAACATTAACAGTAACAGAACAATGCAGTAGCCAGACCCTCTTCTGAAATGTGGAGCACAATATTAGCTCAACAAACATGATCTGGTATCTTTGACAACTTCCCAAATTGCTAACAGAAGATAGTCTAGATATCGAGCAACATTAGATAAAGTTTTCTGCACCAGCAGATATTAAAGAACAATGTTTGAATCCCTGAGTTGGGTAAGGTTAAAACTTTTACCCAAATTTGTATTTTTGCAACCTCTATTAATTTCTAGTGGGAGTTATGCAAATGTCTCAAAGGATTGAATCTGGCCTTAAATCATTAAAATTTGTGTGTCTGTAACTCCTTTAAGTGTTTTAGTATGACATTGGCTGTGCTTTGGGATAGATCCATGCTTTTCAAGGCAATGTTAGGCTGCATGCCTAACCTCAGTGAACACAAGTGGCCAAAGGCCTGCACATTGTTAGGAATCCTAATAGAGTTTTATACAAAAATTTTCATGGTGCTATCAGTATTTCATCAGTAGTTGGACAATCTGGTTTTTATCAATTCAGATACACAGCTTATCTGTAGACAGCCAGAAAGTGAGCGGAATATCTCCAGGAAAAAAAAAATTATACTTTCAGATTAATTCTTTCTTGGAAAACAAAAAATAACAGGAGTTAGTAATTCATGGCCAAGGAATGCAAACACCAGAGAATCAGCCATATTGGGGAAAAGTAAAAGAATATTCAATGTATTGCTTTCTTAAACTTACTGCAAAATGGCACTTGATAAAGTTGTGTCTGGGGCTGACTTTCACGAGAGATGCTTTACATTCTAAGTGATGAGAACAAAGGTTAAAAACTTTTATCTGTATCCTTTTCACTAGCGATGCTCCCATTGTTTTGAAGTGTTAAACGTTAGCTATTACCACGCATCTGCAAGTGCAGGGTGTAGAAGATTAGCTTGTTTAAATCAGCCAAAAAGTTGGTGATGCACCCTGATGACCCACATCTGTTCTTCTCCTTGAGCCAATAATGTGCATGAGTCAGAGAAAAACACACTGGTTCAGTCAACAGCAGCTCTTTTTCTTCATTTTAGAAATGACTGGGACTTAAGAGCTGGGAATGGCTTAAAAATATGTATCTAGTCCTTTCCCTGCCCAAAGGCAAGCATATGGTACACAGTATTTTCATTATGAACCATATCCTAGAAAAAAAATTTTTACAGCTTCCTCGAACACATTCAAGTGTCTAGATTCCACACATTGTAATTTATCAGTTCTTTCTTTTGCCACTTTATCTAAATTTTTACTGCTGACATCACTCTACTTTGTGCTGAAGAGATGGAGTCTCGCTCTGTCGCCCAGGCTGGAGTGCAGTGGCCAGGTCTCGGCTCACTGCAAGCTCCGCCTCCCGGGTTCACGCCATTCTCCTGCCTCAGCCTCCCAAGTAGCTGGGACTACAGGTGCCCGCCACCACGTCCGGCTAATTTTTTGTATTTTTAGTAGAGACCGGGTTTCACCGTGTTAGCCAGGATATCTTCTATGTTCTTTAATGCTATCACTGACTATGGGGTCTCAGCATGGCATTTTAAATCATCATGGTGGCACATTTTTGGTAAAAGAAATATGACTATCTCTTTACAAAAACATATAGTGTTCACTAACGTGGCCTCCTTATGTGTCCTTCGAAGCTCTTTTATATCTATGAGTGTGTGGACAAATGAAATATACAGTGGAGAATAGTAGAGACTTTGCTTTGCATTTTTCTTGCTCCCTAGAACTAACAGAATTCTTCGTTAGGGTTTGTGCTCCTTTATGTGACATCATCCCACAGTGTACGAGCTTTGTAGCCTAGGGAAGGGATGCCTCCAATACCTTTCCTAAAAGTAGATGAATGAGGCCGGGCACGGTGGCTCATGCCTGTAATCCAAGCACTTTGGGAGGTGCAGGTGGGCGGATCACAAGGTCAAAAGATCGAGACCATCCTGGCCAACATGGTGAAACCCCATCTCTACTAAAAATACAAAAGTTAGCTGGGCATGGTGGCCCGTGCCTGTAGTCCCAGCTACTCGGGAGGCTGAGGCAGGAGAATCGCTTGAACCTGGGAGGCGGAAGTTGCAGTGAGCTGAGATCTCGCCACTGCACTCCAGCCTGGCGACAGAGCAAGACCCCATCTCAAAAAATAATAATAATATTAAAATAAAAAATTAAAAAGAGATGGATGACTCTGAAGTGATAAGGTTGTTTGTACAAGACTCTCTTCTTTTAGAAGCCTTAAATTAATATTTACTGAAAAGGAAAAAAAGATGCACAAATTTGGATATAATGCATATATGGAAAGGAGGAGGGAATTTTCCATACCTAAACACAGTTCCTAATTTGATACTAAACTTAAATAAACAAATGATCCAAAAATGACAAGTGTGAAAATAATGGCACCTGTTTGGGCTGAGAAGGTGTGGTCTCAGCTCACTTTTCCCATGTCTTCTGCTTGCTGTGTCCAGCATGTTCCCCAACCTCCTTGAGTAAATTATTAGAAGGGCTAGTGGAAAATAAAGGATAGGTGAAAAATGAAGCCAAGCTCCCAGGAAAAGTATTTACTGCAATCAGCTTCCACTCTCATGAGCAATTACACTGAAGCTTTCATTTATTTGCCATTGGGCTTAAGGCATCATATGTCACAGTTATAGAATAATTCATATACATTTAATATAAAGATAGTTTCTGTTTCATTTGTTGGTAAAATCTAGATATTATTCTTGGTAATTTTTTTGTTGTTTTTTTTTGAGACAAAGTCTAGCTCTGTCACCTGGCTGGAGTGCAGTGGTGCAATTTCAGCTCACTGCAACCTCTGCCTCCCGGGTTCAAGCGATTTTCCTGCTTCAGCCTCCTGAGTATCTGGGTTTACAGGCAGGCACCACCACGCCCAGCTAATTTTTCTATTTTTAGTAGAGACAGGGTTTCACCATGTTGGTCAGGCTGGTCTCAAACTCTGGACCTCGTGATCCACCCACCTCGGCCTCCCAAAGTGCTGGGATTACAGGCGTGAGCCACCGCGCGGGGCCTATTCTTGGTAATGTTATATAAGTGAATCAGGGTTATTTTGGTTTGTCAGTGATGGAAATTCAATTCAGTCTTAATCTAAACATGAACTTATTGGCTCACATGATCAAAAAGCCCAGGAGGTGGATATAACTTTAGTTATGACTCCTCCAGACATATATTCTCAAACAGTGTCTTCAAGTATCTCTATCTTTGTCTTGGCTCTAGGTGAGCTAGCTCTCTGGGGTCTGTTTTTTATCATCCTAATCATGAAGGTTCTGTCCTCCCAAAGGCTCAACTTCCTCATATCATCACCTTGGATTTAGGATTTCCACATACACATTTTGGGGAGAATCAAGTGTTCAATCCATAGCATTGCACAAGTTAAGAACAAAGTTTGTCACAAGACTTCTTCAGTTTCAGATGCCAGCCACAAATTTGAGTGCCTCCAAACTACCCTCACCTCTTCCTGGCTGGCCAAAAATCCAGGGCTTTTTACACCCACCTCAGGTTCAATAATTTGCTACAATGACTCAGAACTCACTGAAGGTGCCATATTTGTGATTATAGTTTTTTGAGTAAAGAATATAGATCAGAAACAGACAAATGGAGAGAGGCATAGGGCAAGGTTAGGGTGGAAGGTGAGAAGTACACAGTTCTATGCCCTATTCTCCTGGAATCCAGGCATGTCACCGTCCTCCATATCAATGCGTTTACCAACCAGGAGTCTCCAGTGAGCCCTAGTGTCCAGAGATTTTATTGGAATTGTATTTTGCAGGCATGATTGATTAAATCATTGGCCATGTGATTGGACTAAATCTCCAGTCATTCTCCCCTTCCCAGAGGTTTAGTTGGTGCGAAGTTCCAATGCTCTAATCACATAGTTGGCCTTTCTGGTGACCAGACCCCAACCTGAAGTTATTCAGGGTCCCACCCTGAGTTGCCCTATTAACATAAAAAAGACTCTTCTTATCACTTAGGAAATTCTAAGAGTTTTTGAAGCCTTGTGCCAGGAATGAGCAACAACAACCAGATATGTATATTTTTTGTATTATACCACAAACACATTCTTCTAATTTCTGAACTTTGTGTGTGACATGGTTAGGAGAGGTTAAATTGGTACACTTTTTTTTTTTTTTTTTGAGACAAAGTCTCACTCTTGTCCCCAGGCTGGAGTGCAATGGTGCGATCTGGGCTCACTGCAACCTCCACCTCCCGGGTTCAAGTGATTCTCCTGCCTTAGCCTCCTGAGTGGCTGGGATTACAGATGCCTGCCACAACACCAGGCTAATTTTTATATTTTTAGTAGAGATGGGGTTTCACCGTGTTGGCCAGGCTGGTCACGAAAATTGGCCCACTTTTAGTGAGAAAATTCTGCCTGGATTCCAAGCTAAAAATTGTTCTTCCATTAGGTAGAAATGTGGATGTCATGACATTTCTGCTGAAATAGCTACCTAGTCTTCCTTAGCAGGTCAGGAACTTACTATGTAACCCTTTCAGGATATACTTTCAGGTGAGATGAAAAACTGCTTCTTAAAATTAAGTATTTATGTTTTATTGTAGGAATTGCATGTTTTAAGTTACTCACTAGAGGTAAAGCCTTAACTGATATTTAAATGTTTCTTTGGCCTCTGTTATATATAAAATACTTCAGATGCAAATTAAAGTGAAAAAAAATCAGTTTCTCTTTTCTCTAGCTCTTAAATACGGGTTTAAGAGCTGAGTAATAGTATATGTCACTCGTTGTCAAACTTTATTCTCATCCAAACAGAGCTATTCTTGTTGAACTTATTCTTGTTGAACTATAAACTGAAGTCCTTCACAGAACCTCAGGATTTGGATTAACACAGCACAAAAAAAATTACCAATAAAGGATACATTACAAAGAATTTTACAAGGCAAAACACAACTGACTAAAATAACTAGGATAGACAAAGTATATGAGAACAGAGATATGAGAGAGAGACTGTAGAAAGCTGAAGTTTCCTGTGAAGCCTACTCTGGATAAACAAAAATGAATAAAAGCCTTCTGTGTGGGGGGGAATAAAAGAAGTTATAAAATGTGTTTCAAGACACCATAGTTTATTCCCCATTTTAGCTGGAGCATAATGTATATATAGGTGAGTAATAATTTATGGTATTAAGATATTCTATCTTGTTGGCAAAGGGGGGAGTTGAAGAGTTTTGTTTTGTTTTGTTTTGTTTTGTTTGAGGGGAATTGAATGTTTTTAAGAGGGAGACTTGTAGGATGGACTGGGGCATATAAGACTTGTAGGCTAGATAACAGTTTTGGCCAGGCGCGGTGGCTCACGCCTATAATCCTAGCACTTTGAGAGGCTGAGGAGGTAGATTGCTTGAGCCCAGGAGTTTAAGACCAGCCTGGGCAACATGGCAAAACCCTGTCTCTACTAAAAATACAAAAAATTAGCCAGGGGTGATGGCATGCACCTGTAGTCTCAGTTACTCGGGAGGCTGAAGTGGGAAGATCACCTGATCCTGGGAAGTGGAGGCTGCAGTGAGTGGAGATTGTGCCACTGCACTCTAGCCTGGGCGACAGAGAGACATCATGTCTCAAAAAAAGAAAAAAAATTAAAAATTAAAAACAGTTTCAAGGAAAATTGAAAATGTTTAGGCAGGAGATAATTTCAACCAAGCGTGATAATAGATATGGAAGGAAAAGTAGAGACAGACATTGTTAACTTTGAAAAGGATGTAGTCACAGCAGTTGACAAGAAGAAATGAAGAATAACTTAGGTGAAAATACCAGAAACTTGAGAAAAATATAAGATCACATTTGGCTGACATCCAATAATACTTTTTCAGGCAAAAGAAGAGTCCATTAAAATCAGGAGGCTCTTCCTTTGTAATGAAGTACTTAGGTTTATATACTACTTGGAGAAAATCAAAGGAATTGGTTCTATTCACCCATGTATTTAAGTTTTTAAGAACATAAGATGACTCAAGAATGTATTGTAACCACAATCTCTTTGATAATCTACATTATTGTTAAAATACATGACTGCATATCAGTGTTACACATGGAAATAAAGACGTGACATTGCAGTACCAAAGAAGCTTCTCTTTATGTACACTACTTTGTGGAGTGTATAGAACACTAAAGCCACATCTGGACAATACTTGCTTTATGAAGCCAATTAGGTAAGCAAACATTGTGATGGCATTCTTACAGCTGAAAAGCAGATTTCAAAATAAAACAAAACAGGAAGGCAAGTTTAAGGTAAACATTTTCAGGATGAACACTTATTTCAAACATTGCCCTGAAACTCCCCAACAGAGTTCAGCCAGCTGAAATCTTTTGCAGATTGCTCCATTCTTGGCTTCTGTGCAGCACCCTATATTGAGGCTGTCTACAGGAAGTCATTGATTCAAAACACTTCGGTCAAACACTTTTTTCGAGGCACTAGCCAAATAATTTTTTTTAAAAGCAAAAATATTTTGCGGATAGACTCATTGAAGTACTAAGCACACTGCAGTCTGTGGCTTCTTTTCCCTGAAATCTGAATGAATTGAACAGTCTGGTCTATTTATGGTTAATTACTAGAAGCTTAAGGTTAATTACTATGTATTCATACTATTAATTCCCTTCACAAAGAGCTATGCTGGTTGGTTTACCACATCTAACAATCAGTTTCCACGAGTAGTCAGCCATCCAGCTAACCCAAGAACCAAGTGAGGAAGAGACAACCAAATCACTGGCTGTTTGTGATTGTTTTCATTCTCGGGCCTGTTTTAAGGATGAGAGAAACTGATTTTCTCCTATGGTTTTCTGGAAGAGTTTGAGATTGTCACATAAAGTCTTTGTGTTCCTGATGAATAAGGACATTTTTCTTACTTTTAGACTTCAAATTTCCCTTTTAACTTCTTATGTAGAGTTGGAAGCTTCACTGTACAAACTGATTTTATAATTGTGAGTAACTTGACTGACGAGGATAAGCATGTTTGGGCTCAGAAACCAATATTCCAAAATATGGTGCTTTGATATGCTGAACTGAAGGAGCTTCACGATCTGTTTGACCTTCTCCCAACTCATGTCTTTCAATTCCCTGTCTCTCCTGAGAATGGAATAATCACTCCATTTTAAGGTCAGCTGGTTAGCAACCTTAATTCCATCTGCAACCTTAATTTCCCTTTGCCAGGTAAACTATTTACAGGTTCTAGGAATGATGACAGGGAGTGACCTTTGGGAGGTCACTATTTGGCCTACCACAGTCATGAATGTATTTTAAAAAAATGTGGCCCAGGCATGGTGGCTCACACCTCTAATCCCAGCACTTTGGGAAGCGGAGGTGAGCGGATCACCTGAGGTCAGGAGTTTGAGACCAGCCTGGCCAACATGGTGAAACCCTGTCTCTACCAAAAATACAAAACTTAGCCTGCTGTGGTGGCACGTACCTATAATCCTAGCTACTGGGGAGACTGAGGTGCGAGACCACTTGAACCAGGAAGCGGAGGTTGCAGTGAGCCGACATGGCGCCACTGCACTCCAGCCTGGGCGACAGAGTGAGACTGTCTCAAAAAAAAATTTTTTTTTGAAAAAAAAAGAACTTTTAATGTATTCATTGTCTTTCTACTTCTACTTATTCTCCATTCATTAGCATGTATTTGTTGAGTATCTGCCATATATACAAGGTAAAATTCCAGGCTTTGGGGATTCCTGAGAACAATGAAAACATTCTGTATTCCCACTGTAGTGGGGAGAGACAGGTAAAATGGCAATTGCTGTATAACTAATAAACACTTGATAGGTGTTTCATCCAGTCTTGTTGATCATGAAAGATTTGATAAAGGAGAAGGATGAATCAAGTGTGAGATTTGAGAGGTAAGTGGTTTTAACAAGATGAAGGAGTCAGTGCAGGAGGGAAGAAGGAGTTTGAAACAGAAGAAATAAGAAGTGCACATGCTTGGAGGTGTGAAAGAGAGTGGGGGATGTTGGTGGAATTGCAAGTAGTTTCCTACGGCTGGAAGGAA
Organism: Homo sapiens; assembly: GCF_000001405.40. Taxonomy (NCBI): domain Eukaryota; kingdom Metazoa; phylum Chordata; class Mammalia; order Primates; family Hominidae; genus Homo; species Homo sapiens. The sequence goes on from NC_000012.12 coordinate 20,052,053, forward strand.
GACTGAGGTGGCATAAGAGTCAGAGAGCCTTGAAATTCAGCTGGATAGTTAAGTAGGGGGCAGATTTTAGTGACTTTGGGAAGGTGGTTGGTGACCTTTAGAGATGGTGCTTGTACTTGAACCAAAGACAATTGCGAATTCTCAAATTCACAATTCCTATTATACTATAAAGTGTAAAAGGAATTGAAATTACATTATACAGTATTACATTATTGCTATTACACTATAAACAGAGATTCATTGAGATGTGAGACATGGAGAGATTTTGCCTTAGTACCCAAAAGCACTTCATTGTGATGTGAGTCTAAGGGGTACAGTCTGAGTGATAGCAGTAGAGTAATGCCAGGATATTTCAGGGCTGAATGTAAGTCACTTTTATGTATTTAATGGCCTGCTATAGCTCCAAATTCCAATAGTAATAAAGGACTATGAAACGGCCTTTCCCATTGTTTGTTTAAACATAATTTTTAGCACCTTCATCGTCTAGTAAAGTCCATTGTAGAAAATAAGTAATTAGTTTCCTTCTTATATTTGCATTCAAGATGATCAAGTGAAATTATTTTTTAATAAGTGTAGTGTGAATATAACACGTTAAATAAAATCCAAAGTTAATATAATACTTTAATTACAAAAAGCTATTTATTTGGGAAAAATAGTCAATATTTCGGGGGGTCTACTCCCATCATACTAAATTCAACAAATTCTTCTTCTCTTTTTTTTTTTGAGACAGTGTCTCACTCTGTCACCCAGGCTGGAGTGCAGTGCTGTGATCTGCACTCACTGCAACCTCCACCTCCTGAGTTCAACCTCTGCTTGCCGTGCAGCTGGGATTACAGGTGTGCACCACCATCCCTGGCTAATTTTTATTTATTTATTTATTTTTATTTTTAGTAGAGAAGGGGTTTCACCATGTTGGCCGGGCTGGTTTTGAACTCCTGACGTCAAGTAATCCACCCACCTCGACCTCCTAAAGTGCTGGGATTACAGGCTTGAGCCACCACACCAGGCTTCAACAAATTCTTATTAAATTTCTACTTGTGTGTATGTGTGTTGCTTAATGTGACTTTTCATATAGTTAAATGTTCAAACTGCAGTTTAGTCATGGAGAAGATTATTTTGTGGAGTATCTAGAGTTTTTATTTCTCTAGTTCCATATATTCATTTTGTTTACAGATATTTATTGAGCATCTGTGTTTTTATTGTTTCTGCTGATTGTTTTTAATTCATGTAATAAACAATAAACAATAACTATGTACATTGACTGCACAGCTTAGTTAGGGAATCAGGCATGAACTGGAGGAATAAAACGGACAAATAAAACCCACTTAGGAATCATTAACACTCATTTAAAGACATGGTCAGCAGGAAGAAGATTAACACAAACACACATTTATTACCCTCCATTTTTTATTATTTATCTATTATACTCTTTTATATATTCAAGCCTTCTATTAAGAAAGACAATTGTAAGTTTTCCTAGTCTTTTAATTTAACAACCTGGATTCAGGTTGTATTTCTGTAGTTAGGAAACACTTTTAAATGACTGTAAATCATGTTTAATTGTGTGTCTTAATTTTCTTTCCCTATACTTGAAAAAATCCAATTCTGAATATATTTCATTGACTTAAAGCAGTTCTATATCATTATATCATTTATATATAATATATAAAACTGGCAGAGTCTTGTGACTAAAACTAATGAATACTAATCTTGTAATCTATATGCCCTGGAGACAATTCTATATAAGTCAATATAAGCCTATATAAGACAATTGTATATAAGTTTTTCTTATATACAATTAATACCTTGTATAATTTTCAGACAGCTTAAGTCCATTGATCACCATTACAGGCTAATCTAATTTAATTCATTTGCTCAGTTACAGAAGTATGCACACATAAAATGATGTTGCAATCACCATTTGCTTTAATTGCTTCATTTGTTCTTCTATACAGTTACATTATACAGAAGCCTGTGGTTCCTGAGACACTTGGCCTGATTTTAAGAAGTTTTAAGATGGAGTTTTCTTGATTATGTTGAACAAAGCCTTTCTAAACTAGAAGAATCAACTTGCCTTCATGTTTACTGAATTTCCGTTCCATGATAATTCAATGCATAAAATTTACAGAGCTTTCAAAATAGGGAAGAATTGAAAATATATTTATAATTTATGATTTGCTTGGCAGGATAATTATTGTTCTGTTCTCGGTCATGGAATATGTGCAGTAACACTGATAACACGAAGATATATTTTCCCAATAAGACTCTTTGATATGTTGCTAAATGACTATTTGCTTTTAAAGAAAGGGGAGAACAACAACCAAAAAACTAATCCTCTAGTGTTTTTGTTTTCTGTTCTAGTATATTATTGTCAGTTTTAGTTTAACCTTGACAGAGAAAGCATGCACTTCTTTGTGACCACTCTGTCCTATTTGCTTATAGAGTATGGGAAGGGGGAGTCTGTTTAGATGTTATCCAAGTTCACGGAAAAAAAAAAAGTTAAATGTTTTAATCATTATATCTAATTGTACTAGAAAATAAATCACTGAAAGCAACGTGAGAAGTTTTTCAAACCCAATCTAAAATAAAGACTGGTAATAAGAAAACAGGAAACTCCCTGGAACATAATTTAGTAGTAAGTCAAGATGTGATTTAGGACTTGTAGGTCCCAGCGCTGGAATGACGACTGCTTTTCTCTGATTATTTCCGTGCTTTAGTTTCCTCGACTACAAATTGTTAATAGCATAGACTACTTCAATTACTCTGAGGCCATTAGAGTCCAGTGCCCTTCTCAGAACTGATCAATTAGCTACACTTATTAATGGAGACCAGTTGATTCTATTTATCTTACTTACTCACTTGGCTGGGAAACATTACAATCAGTTCACACATGATATTTGGCCATATAGGGAACTAGAACTTTTAAGAGTCATCATGACCTCTTTATATTTTCATACTTTGAAAGATGTTCTTGACATTCATCTAGAGCATTTCTTACCATGAATTCATTATTCAAATAAATATGGTGTTTACATTTACTTGGTTATAATTAGCCATAGTTGCTTTTATAGCAATCATGACCGTAACTGTACAATGTAGAGAGTTTGGATCATTAAGAATCAGCTTTCTGGAAACACAGGAATTAGCCATCAAAACGGCATAATTTGTAAGATAATATGCAATTTTCTCTTTCATGTTGGCTTTGGAAATCAGTTCTTCCTTTATTTTGATACATAAAAATAAGCAAAATTTTACAATTCTGTGACAATCAAAATAAGAAATATTTTGTTTTTGTTTTTGTTTTGAGATGGAGTCTCGCACTGTCGCCCGGGCTTGAGTGCAGTGGCATGATCTTGGCTCACTGCAACCTCCGCATCCTGGGTTCAAGCAATTCCCCTGCCTCAGCCTCCCGAGTAGCTGGAATTATAGGCGCATGCCACCACGCCCAGCTAATTTTTTGTACTTTTAGTAGAGACTGGGTTTCACCATGTTGGCCAGGCTGGTCTTGAACTCCTGACCTCATGATTTGCCCCCGACCACATATCCACTGTGATTTGGACCATCATATTTCCCTAGGAAATTTTATGAAGAATTATCTCCAAGGCATATAGATTAGATTAGTATTCATCGGTTTTAGTCACAAGATCCTGCCAGATGGGATACCAAAATAACTTGAATCCTATGCCTACAACCTGTTTAATGTTCTAGTAATAAATTACTTACTTTTATTGGGCACGTATCATGATTCCACTTTTGGAAAGACAAAAAATTAAATAACATCACAAAACAAATTTTGTTTACTGGGTTTCTTCTGCCTATGTCTTCTCTTATTTATTAAAATGTTCTTTAATCTTAAATCCTCATCCCTGAGAATAAAATAGGGCTTCCTGGGCATATTTTTAGTATATGATTCTCGATAGTTGCTATGTCTTATGGTAATTAGATACTGCTTTGCCTTTTTTGGAATAGAAACTCTGTCTCCATAAAAGTCATGTCAAATATTTGAGCTCAATTCTATTTTGGATCCCAACAAGATTTATGTGTCATTATGTGTCAGATCCCTCTAAAAAGATCTGAAGTTAAATTCACAAGAACCGGTGTAATAGACCAAATAACATTTTGATGAACAATAGCATATTATTTCTAAAAGCTGTACATTATGACACGATTCTTGAGACACTTAATATGCTGAGTTTTCTTAGTTAATTTATTAACCAATTGTGATGAAAACATTTAAAACCTCATTAATCTTCTATTCATTAACCAAGCTAGATCTTTCTAAAATCTAAGGATTTTATAGATATTATATAGAACTTTGATCATAGTTACATGGCTTTTTAAATTGTGCCCTTTGTATGATTCCCTCAGGGAATAAGGACAATGAAAATTATTTTCACCAGTGACATGAAATACATGCAACACCATGAAATCACCAGTGGTATCCCTTGATAACAGACTGGTTCTTCCATGTGAGGCACAAACATGGCGGCCAGATTTGTTCTGCAAGTGTCTTTTGACACCAGTAAGCTCATGACCAGGAATGGTTTGTTGTTCCAGGTATAAGGGCTACAGCCCAAATGACTCTAAGTCTTTAAAAGTTTCACTCATCCTTATGTATTTATTTAAGGATATTTGACCTCTCCAAAATATGGAAGGAGTTCCAGCTTGGTTTAGTTCTCAAATATAAGTTTAGGCAACTTATCCATGTTTCCGATTTTGAAAAAGCAAACCAACATTTCTTTGTTTCCAGATTTCTGTGTCAAGGTTTATCATCGTAGGTTGACATCATATGAATGCATATCATTATACAGGCTTTTCTTTCGGTATCTATAACTTCTATTCAGAATTCATTCCACAATATTTATATTGAGAATATTATTTTTAACAACTAGAGATCAACAAAGAAATAATGCAGTTTCTAGCAATAAAGTCTGAGTCTGCGAAGTATCATGAGCACCTTTTTTTTAAACTACTATGAATTTAACTCGCAAAGATGGCCCCTAGATGGTAATGCCCCTTTGCTTTCACAGTAACACTGTTGAGCTCTCTGTGATGAAGTGATAGTGATGTAAGCCCATCAAAAAGTAATTTGTATTTCGAGATACCTCTTTTTTTGATGAGTAATAAAGTTGGTACAATTGAACATGTTAACTGGAGTTGTGAGAAAGATTGTAGTAAAATGCAAGGTGGTTTTGTGTTTCAGTCTTCGTGATTACCTTTAACTCCCTCATATTACAAATCTGGAGGAAATGCAGGGAAAAAAGGAGTCTGTGAGAAAAATCTCAGAATATAACCCTGCCCTCACTTCCTAGCAACATCAATGGCAACAGTGCTTAAATGTGTAACCTATTCATTGTAAGTCAGACGTTACTTTCATGTAGATCAGTAAAAAACAGTGTGAGAGAAAATGAAACCCTCATCCTAGTTCCTATTGAAGTCAAAATATTAAACCTAAACAAATAAAAATAAAAAATCTAAAATACTGCTCAGAACCTACGTTCTGTCATTGTCAAATTTGCTTCAATCTTCAAAATCAATTTTTCGCTCACTCCTCGCTTCGCTAGCTTCCCTCTATCTGCCCTTACTTCCCTCCCTCCCCCCTTCCCCCCCCCCCCTTCCCCCTTCCTTCCTTCCTTTCTTCCTTCCTTCTTTCCTTCCTTCCTCTCTTGTTTTCTTCCCTCTCTCCTTCTTTTCTTCCCCCTTCCTCCCTTCCTTCCTTCTTCTTCTTTCCTATTTTCCTCCCTTCCTTCCTATTCTTTCTTTCATGAAACATTCTTTGTGTGTCCACAAATGCCAGCTGTTAGTATATACATACAGTGAAACCAGTTCCTGCCCTCAAAGAGCTTGCAGTCTAATGTTGGAAATAGAAGAGACCACAATATGCAATGACAAGAGTTCAGGTGAGGTTGGGAGATGGGGAAGGAGGATAAAGCAGAAAGGAGTAGGACTGTATTCTAGACAATAAGAAAAAAAAAATTAAGAAGGTGAGTTTTCCAAAAGGCCTTTCCTAAACTACTTTTCTCACTTTTGAAAAGAAAGATAAGCTAGTTTCACCTATAGGGATTTTAGCTGCACTAAAAATAACTTTTTATCCTGTGGTTTCAAAATCAGACTAAAGTATCTCCTTGGTTGCAGTTGTTTTGTATTTTTGTGTTCAAAATGGCAGGAGTCACTTCATCCCAGATGGCATTTCACAAGACTGCAAGCTCCTTTTTCAGAGACAAACCACCTTGGACAGGAAAACTTACAGCTGTTGGTTCTGTCCTCTGGGTGAATTAGTGTCCTCTGTTTCTTTTATGTAACTTGATAAAGAGATTGAATTTCAGCTGCATAAAGCTATAATTATGTTGTCACTACTTTCATGTTCTTTTATCTAAAATAATTAAGGCTGGGGGGAGGGAAACCCAGTTCCATTCAAAGCGTTTTAAGGAAAATGCTGCTTAACATCAGTGTGACTACAGAATATGAAAATTTCTGGAAATGATTGGTTAGGGCTAAGCTGTACTTTAATGATTAAACACAGTGAGGAGTGATACATTTAATAAACATATTAACTCTAGGGACATGGGCATAGTAATGTCACATAAAAGTTATTATGTGGGTCAGTTAAATTTTTGTTTATAAAAACAGTATTTACATTTTTTAGGACTTCACACGTTTCTGGAACTTTTGAAGTTCCAGAATTGTGGAGTTCCAGAATTTAGGTAATTGTGCAATTACCTAAAATCTTTTTTTTTTTTATGCTTTAAGTTCTGGGATTTGTGTGCAGAATGTGCAGATTTGTTACCTAGGAATACACATGCCATGGTGGTTTCCAGCACCCATCAACCCGTCATCTACATTAGGTATTTATCCTAATGCTATCCCTCCCCGAGGCCCCCACCCCCACAACAGGTCCCAGTTTGTGATGGTTCCCTCCCAGTGTCCATGTGTTCTCATTGTTCAGCTCCCACTTATGAGTGAGAACATGCAGTGTTGGGTTTTCTGTTGCTGTGTTAGTTTGCTGAGAATGATGGTTTCCAGCTTCATCCATGTCCCTGCAAAGGAAATGAACTCATCCCTTTTTTATGGCTGCCTAATATTCCATGGAGTATATGTGCCATATTTTCTTTATGTTCTTTTTCTTTATATTCTTCTTTATCCAATCCTATCATTGATGGGCATTTGGGTTAGTTCCAAGTCTTTGCTATTGTGAACAGTGCTGCAATAAACATACGTGTGCATGTGTCTTTATAGTAGAATGATTTATACTCTTTTGGGTATATATCCAGTAATGGGATTGCTGGGTCAAATGGTATTTCCGGTTCTAGATCCTTGAGGAATCACCACACTGTCTTCCACAATTGTTGAACTAATTTACACTCCCACCAACAGTGTAAAAGCATTCCTGTTTCTCCACATCCTCTGCAGCATCTGTTGTTTCCTGACTTTTTAATGATCACCATTCTAACTGGAATGAGATGTTATCTCATGGTGGTTTTGATTTGCATTTCTCTAAGGATCAGTGATGATGAGCTTTTTTTCATATGTTTGTTGGCTGCATAAATATCTTCTTTTGAGAACTGTCTGTTCATATCCTTTGCCCACATTTTGATGGGGTTGTTTGTTTTTTTCTTGTAAATTTTTTAAAGTTCTTTGTAGATTCTGGATATTAGCCCTTTGTCAGATGGATAGGTTGCAAAAGTTTTCTCCCATTCTGCAGGTTGCTTGTTGACTCTGATGGCAGTTTCTTTTGCTGTGCAGAAGCTCTTTAGTTTAGTTAGATCCCATTTGTCAATTTTGGCTTTTGTTGCCATTGCTTTTGATGTGTCATGAAGTCTTTGCCCATGCCTATGTCCTGAATGGTATTGCCTAGGTTTTCTTCTGGGGTTTTTATGGTTTTAGGTTTTATACCTTGAAGTCTTTAATCTATCTTGAGTTAATTTTTGTATAAGGTGTAAGGAAGGAGCCCAGTTTCAGTTTTCTGTGTATGGCTAGCCAGTTTTCCCGACACCATTTATTAAATAGGGAATACTTTCCCCATTGCTTGTTTTTGTCAGGTTTGTCAAAGATCAGATGGTTGTAGATGTGTGGTGTTATTTCTGAGGCCTCTGTTCCATTCCATTGGTCTATATATCTGTTTTGATACCAGTACCATGCTGTTTTGGTTACTGTAGACTTGTAGTATAGTTTGAAGTCAGGTAGCATGATGCCTCCAGCTTTGTTCTTTTTGCTTAGGATTTTATTGGCTATATGGGCTCTTTTTTGGTTCCATATGAAATGTAAGGTAGTTTTTTCTAATTCTGTAAAGACAGTCAATGGTAGCTTGATGGGGTAGCATTGAATCTATAAATTATTTTGGGTAATATGGCCATTTTCACGACATTGATTCTTCGTATCCATGAGGATGGAATGTTTTTGCATTTGTGTCCTCTCTTATTTCATTGAGCAGTGGTTTGTAGTTCTTCTTGAAAAGGTTATTCACATCCCTTGTAAGTTGGATTCCTAGGTATTTTATTCTCTTTAGAGAAATTGTGAATGGGAGTTCACTCATGATTTGGCCCTCTGTTTGTCTGTTATTGGTGTATAGGAATGCTTGTGATTTTTGCACATTGATTTTGTATCCTGAGACTTTGCTGAAGTTGCTTATCAGCTTAAGGAGATTTGGGGCTGAGACCATGGGGTTTTCTAAATATACAATCATGTCATCTGCAAACAGAGACAATTTGACTTCTTCTCCTCCTATTTGAATACACTTTGTTTCTTTCTCTTGCCTGATTGCCCTGGCCAGAACTTCCAAAACTATGTTGAATAGGAGTGGTGAGAGAGGGCATCCTTGTCTAGTGCCGGTTTTCAAAGAATGCGTCCAGCTTTTGCCCATTCAGTATGATATTGGCTGTTGGTTTGTCATAAATAGCTCTTATTATTTTGAGATACGTTCCATCAATACCTAGCTTATTGAGAGTTTTTAGCATGAAGGGATGTTGAATTTTATTGAAGGCCTTTTCTGCATCTATTGAGATAATCATGTGGTTTTTGTCATTGGTTCTGTTTATGTGATGGATTACATTTATTGATTTGCATATGTTCAACCACCCTTGCATCCTAGGGATGAAGCTGACATGATCGTGGTGGATAAGCTTTTTGATGTGCCGCTGGATTCGGTTTGCCAGTATTTTATTGAGGATTTTTGCATGGATGTTCATCAGGGATATTGGCCTGAAATTTTCTTTTTTTGTTGTGTCTCTGCCAGGTTTTGGTATCAGGATGATGCTGGCCTCATAAAATGGGTTAGGGAGTATTCCCTCTTTTTCTATTGTTTGGAAAGTTTCAGAAGCAGTGGTACCAGCTCCTCTTTGTACCTCTGGTAGAATTCAGCTGTGAATCCATCTGATCATGGGCTTTTTTTGGTTGGTAGGCTATTCATTACTGCCTCAATTTCAGAACTTGTTATTGGTCTATTCAGGGATTTGACTTCTTCCTGGTTTAGTCTTGAGATGGTGTATGTGTCGAGGAATTTATCCATTTCTTCTAGATTTTCTAGTTTATTTGCGTAGAGGTGTTTATAGTATTCTCTGATGGTAGTTTGTATTTCTGCGGGATCAGTGGTGATATCCCCTTTATCACTTTTTATTGCGTCTATTTGATTCTTCTCTCTTTTCTCTTTATTAGTCTGGCTAGTGGTCTATCTATTTTGTTAATCTTTTCAAAAAACCAGCTCCTGGATCTAAATTCTTGACTACCTCACCAAGTTATTCTAGGGTGGTTGTTTGGGAAAATGGAGGCTGGAAAGGAGTTGGAGAGGATAAACGAAGATAAGTTCTGCCACTGAATTATCCTATTTTACTCTAATTATTTAAATTGCCTAAGTCTTTTTCTGATTTCTACCTTCTTTCATGTGGGCCTGACTTTTGGGAGGGATTTCCTTTCCAGCAACTAATATGTCTTCTCTGAATCTTGTTTATTATTAATACCTAATCCACATATCATACTATAGCTATTCACAGATCTGGGTTATCTGAGTGAATCACTAAACTGTGCTCCTACAATGCCGTCTTTTCCTTTTTACCACATTTATGTAATTCCATTGTAGTTATTTTTTTCTTGTGAAGGCTAGGTGCCATTTATCTTTTCTTGCTCACTCGTACATCCCAGAGCATAAAAGAATATTTGGCATAATACATTTCTGTTCAATAAATGAATAAATGAGTTTGCTTGAATACACACAGAAAAGTGTGCTCAGGATAAATACAGCTTTTAAATGTCATTGTCATACTGTTGAAGAAATTTTTTCATGTTGTTTTTGCTTTAAGTCTAATGGCTTATATGCAGAATCTCAGGGCTTCCATTTTGCAAAATTTACATTGAGTAGATTATACCTGTTTTTCAGGAAGATATGATTATTAAACACCGTGGCAGATTTTGTTTTCAAATATAGCCTATTCCTGTGCTTTTCTTGCAGTGTGATATTGACATTTCTCCAAAGAAAGAAGATATTTTTATATTCCCAGTACTGAATATGCACTAGCCTTAGTGACTTGCTTCTAAGGGATGGCATGCACTGGAGACAGGAGGTGACTTCTGACAGGCTAGGTCACAAAAGGTGAAGCAGCTTCCACCTGGCTGTCTCTTCTCTCTCTATTGAGACATTTGTCCTTGGAACCTGGCCACCATGCTGTGAGAAAGCCCAGGCCATAGGAAAGTGCTACAGACAACATCCCCAGCTAAGGTCTCAGCCTTAACATGTCAACCAAGCGTCCACTGCCAGACATGTGAATGAGTGAGCCTGCAGATTATTTTACCCCCTTGAAGCCTTCCAGCTGAGGTACCAGACATCACAGACCAAAGCCATCTTACTCTGTCTTATTTGAATTCCTGAACCGCATAATACATGACCAAAGTAAATGGTTGTTTTCCGCCACCATGTTTTGGGGGTAATTTTTTAATGCAGCCTTGGTGACTAAAGATCTAGCTTTTGTTTTTGTATTACTTGTTGAAATTATTTTTATTAAGCTATACTTCACATATCATAAAAACTCACCATTTTAAAGTGGACATTTCAGTGGTTTTGAGTATATTCACAAGGTTGTGCAACTATCACCATTCTCTAATTCCAGAACATTTTCATCACTCTGAAAAGAAACCCCTTTACAATATTAAAGTGGATGACTAAAATCCATCTCCTTCAGCTATTCACGGAAAACCGCCCCCACTCTTGAGTAGTTTCATCTTGCCAGGACTGTGAAATCTTATGTGCGTATCTAGGGCTGACATTCTGAGGCTGCTGCCAGGGATTTAGCATTTGGAAGCACTATAGGAACCACGCATATGACCACTGTGAGACAAAAATGTTGGCAGGAGAATGACCCTGGAAATTGTGACTGATTAGTCAGATGAAGCTTATGAGATAACATAGAGCTTCCTCTCTACCAGGCACCGACATAAAGTCTTTACGTATATTAACTCATTTAATTCTCATAGTAAACCTGCACAATAGATCAACTGGATATTGGGGGAAGGCTGAGAGTTAACCTCTGAAATCCTTGTTATAGATTGTCATTAGGCTCAGTTTGTTCCAAGGAGACTCTTGGTCACCATACTGGCCAAAATCTACGGCTATTCTGCAATTTCATGTGACTAATGAAAGGATCACCCCTACCTCCTACAAATATACTCCAAATTGTTTGGGATGACAAAACACTTTCTTTAGTGCACAAGTATCTATCAACCCTAAGAAAATCTAGACTTAAGTTTAGAAATATTTAAGAGAATTGGCCAGGCACGGTGGCTCACGCCTGTAATTCCAGTACTTTGGGAGGCCAAGGCGGTTGGATCACGAGGTCAGGAGATTGAGACCATCCTGGCTAACACGGTGAAACCCCATCTCTACTAAAAATACAAAAAATTAGTCGGGCGTAGTGGCGGGCGTCTGTATTCCCAGCTACTCGGGAGGCTGAGGCAGGAGAATGGTGTGAACCCGGGAGGCGGAGCTTGCAGTGAGCCGAGATCACGCCACCGCACTCCAGCCTGGCCCAAAGAGCGAGACTCCGTCTCAAAAAAAAAAAAAAAAAAAAAGAGAATTAAACCTTTATATCATTATGTTTGTGTTAAGGAACCTATTCATATTTACAGATATTTAAGACAATTTGGACTTTGAATAGATCAGTCTTGGAGTTCTCATTCGAAAGTTTTACTAAAATGTATATACAATATTAAAATAGTTTAAGAACATATGTATGTATTTATATATATATATGTTCCTAGAATATATATATTGAAATATTTTAAGAATATACACACATATATATAATACACCGTATTTTTAATTTTTTTCATTAGATGCATAAAACTACTTGAGTACCTGAGAAGGTTCCTTAGTCAGTCAAATGAACTACTCAAAAAAAAAAAAGAAAGAAAGAAAAGAAAAGAAGTATATTAAATTTACAGATGCAGTGTTGATTTTGCCTTCAAATGGCAGAGTCTCTACGGTTGCTTCCCTAGAACTTAAAAATGACTTCCTCCCATGCTATCTCTTTTGTTACTGGTCTATGCTGAGACTCAGGTCAGTTTTTCTCTCCAACCTAAAAATGCTACTCCTTAGTATCCTGTACTACCATATCTCACACAACGTGTATTAAAAATTACAGATTTAACATCAAATATTGTGGTGTAAGTTGATTATGCAGTTTCTGAAATTTTAGCACAAAGTTATAAAACTCTTAACTGAAATAAGTGCAGTTGCAAAGATTGCATTTCTTTTACTAAAGCACACACACATAAAACTAATTTTAAAATCATGAACTGTGAATGTTTTCATTTTCTTTACTGAAAATCGGCCCTCATGCAAGAAAAGATGCTCACGAGTGCTAACTTGAGGGCTACAGTGTAGAGAAACATTTTTTCACATTATGTGTGTTTTGGGTTGATACACTAAATTACTTTTTTTTTTTGTAGAAAACATGGCCAAATATAGGCAATTTCAATGGTTCAATCTACTAATTAGGTAATTCCATGCTTACTAGTGTCTGTAAACAGAAACGTAGTCATAATTGTCACAATTAATTAGTTTTTAAACTGTATTTGCATTTCTAAATTATCTTTAGAGAATATTTTGAATTGTACAAGGTTTATTGTTACTATATTTGAAAGAATAAAATGGCAATATATCTTTTGTAAGCGTAAATGACCCAAGAAGTTAAGTAAAAAATTACTCTTCTTTGTATTCATTGTAAATTATAAGTCAGTCTCTGTATTAGTTAGGATTAGGTTTAACTACAAGTGTCAGAAAATCCAAATTAACAGTGACTTTTGATTTTAACTCAATATATTTAGTAATCAAATAAAAGCAAACTGGCCGGGTGTGGTGCCTCATTTGTATAATGCCAGCACTTTGGGAGGCTGAGGTGGATGATTGCTGGAGCCCAGGAGATCGAGACCAGCCTGGGCAACATGGAAAAACCCCATCTCTACAAAGAATTTAAAAAAAAAAAAAATAGCCGGGCTTGGTGGTGGACACCTGTAGTCTCAGCTACTCAGAAGCTGAGGTGGGAGGATTGCTTGAGCCCAGATCATGCCACTGCACTCCAGCCTGGGTGACAGAGTAGACCCATCTCCAAAAAAAAAAAAAAAAAAAAAAGAACAAGTCTTATTTATTTCCCTTTAAAGTCAACAAATCTAAATTAAAAGCAGGAACAACTCTAATATTTTGTATTATAATGTAATTGGTATGATCATTTTGGAAGGCAATTTGGAAATTAGGGTGCTCTTGCATTGTTATAAAGAAATACTTGGGACTGGGTAATTTATAAGAAAAAAGGTTTAATTGGCTCACACTTCCGCAAGCTCTAGAGAAAATGTTGTGCTGACATCTGCTTCTGGGGAGGCCTCAGGAAGCTTACAGTCATGGCAGAAGGTGAAGGGGGAGCACGTATCTCCCAGTGCAGAGCTGGAGAAAGAGAGTAGGCAGGGAGGTGCCACACCCTTTTAAATGACCTGCTCTCTGGAAAGAACCCACTATCAGGAAGACAGCAGCAGGATGTGAGGGATCTGTCTCCATGATCCAAACACTTCTCCAGGCCCTACCTCCAGCACTGAGAATTATGATTCAGCATGAGATTTGGGCAGGGACAAATATCTAAACTGTATAAGGCAATATGTATAATGTAGACAAACCTTTTAATTAAGGGAATTTGTCCTGTGGAAATACTCTAAAAGAAATAAAAATGTATAAAATAACATATTTATTGCAGCACTTTAAATAGCAGTCCCAAATTAGAAACCACCCAAATATTGAACTATAGAAGAAGAGTTATGTAAATAATGATACATCAGTAAAGGAATACTATCTAACTATTAAAAGTGGTAATTGAGAAATTTTATAAACAACATTAAAAATTATAGTAGTATATTAAATTAAAAAGACACAGACGATTATACGTAAAAACCTATACGGGGACAGGACCAAGATGGCCAACTAGAAACAGTGGCATTCAGAGGCTTCCATCGGAAAAAAACATAATAAGCATGTGAATCCTTCACAGGCAACCAAAGCATCCAAGTTTTCTCATCAAAACCGACTAGAAGGCTGGTGTGACCCACGGAGAGAAGGAAGAGCAGCGTGGTGTGATGGCCCACTTGAGAACCACTTGGGGAAGAGGAACTCCCTCCTCCCAGCCAAGGGAGGTGGTGAGAGAGCATGCTACTCAGCTGGGGAGCTGTGCTCTTTCCACAGAACTGTGCAACCCATGAATCAGAAGATCCCACTAGCGAACTCATACCACTGGGAACCAGGGTCCCAACCCCAGAACATGCAGATTCTTACAGCCTTTCAGCTGGAATCTGCTTAAGCCTATGGAACTCCTTGGGGAGAGGTGACCAGCACCAGGCATGTCTGCCTGCTATCTAAACCATTTGAGCTCCTTGGGGAAGCAGCATCCAGCACCGGGACTTGCAACTGCCTAACAAGCTAAGCTCCCTGTGCTGGGGAAGGGCGGCACCCATTTCTATAGCTCCAGGCTGGCCTTTTCCCCTGCTGGAGCCAGGGAGGCTGGACGGCTTGGTCCCAAGACTTGTCCCCACAGCCCAACACACCAGCTGTGGCAATCTGTGGCCAGAGTGCCCCTTCAGGCCTAACCCTGACCCATCCTTCCTCATTGGATGGGGCTTCTTTGCAGGATCTCCAATAACTCCCACCAGAGGCTCAGGGAAAGAATTTGAATCTCCCTGGGCTTGAGCCTCTAGGGGAGGAGTAGCCTCAGTCTCTGCAGACCAGCAGACTTAGCCTTTCCTCCTGGTTGTTCTGAAGAATCTGGGGAGCCCAGGTGAGTGGGTTTCCCCGCAGCAAAGCACACCCTCTCCACCAAGGGACAAAGTGCTTTGTTAAATGGGTCCTGCTCCCCATGCCACCCAACTAGGTGAGACCATCCAACAGGGGTTGTCAGACACCCTATACAGGAACGATCCTACTGGCATCAGGTTGGTGACCCTCAAGGTCAGAGGTCCCAGAAGAAGGAGTAGGCACCCAGCTTTGCTTTTCTCCAGCCTCCTTGATTGACATTTCCAAGCACAGGAGCAAATCAGATGAATAGGGCCTGAAATGAACCACCAGCAAACTGCAGCAGCCCTACAGAAGAGGGACCTGACTATTGAAAGAAAAATAAACAAGCACGAAGTGACCACAATACCATCAACAACAACAACAACAACAAAAGACCCCCACAAAAACCCCATCCAAGGATCAGCAGCCTCAAAGACCAAAACTAGACAAACTCATGAAGATGAGAAAGAATCGATGAAAAAAATGCTGAAAACCCAAAAGGTCAGAGTGCCTGTTTTCCTCCAAATGATTGCAATGTCTCTCCATCAAGGGCTCAGAACTGGGCAGAGGATCAGATGGACGAATTGACAGAAGTAGGCTTCAGAAGACGGATAATAAAAAACTACGCTGAGCTAAAGGAGCATGTTTTGACTCAATGCAAAGAAGCTAAGAACCTTGATAAAAGGTTAGAGGAATTGCTAACTAGAATAACCAGGTTAGAAAGAAACATAAATGACCTGATAGAGCTGAAAAACACAGCACGAGAACGTCATGAAGCATATGCAAGTATCAACAGCCAAATCGACCAAGTGGAAGAAAGAATATCAGAGTTTGAAGACCACCTTACTGAAATAAGACATGCAGACAAGAATACAGAAAAAAGAATGAAAAGGAATGAACAAAGCCTCCAAGAAATATCAGACTTCATAAAAAGACCAAACCTATGATTGATTGGAGTACCATAAGGAGAGGGGGAGAATGGAAACAAGCTGGAAAACACACTTCAGGATATTACCCAGGAGAACTTCCCCAGTCTAGCAAGACAGGCTAACATGCAAATTGAGAAAATACGGAGAACACCATTAAGATACTCCATGAGAAGATCAACCACAAGACACATAATCATCAGATTCTTCAAGATCGAAATGAAGGAAAAACTATTAAGGGCAGCCAGAGAGAAAGGCCAGGTCACCTACAAAGGTAAGCCCATCAGACTAACAGCGGGCCACTCAGCAGAAACTCTACAAGCCAGAAAAGACTGGGGTCCAATATTTAACATTCTCAAAGAAAAGAATTTTCAACCCAAAATTTCATATCCAGGCAAACTAAGCTTCACAAGTGAAGGAGAAATAAAATCCTTTCCGGACAAGCAAATGGTGAGGGATATTGTTACCACCAGGCCTGCCCTGCAAGAGCTCATTGAAGAAGCACTAAATATGGAAAGGAAAAACTTGCACCAGCCACTGCAAAAACACACCAAAATATAAAGACCAATGACACAATAAAGAAACTGCATCAACTCGTGTGCAAAATAACCAAATAGCATCATGATGACAGGATCAAATTCATACATAACAATACTAACCTTAAATATAATGGGCTAAATGCCCCAATTAAAAGACACACAATTAAATGCCAATTGGATAAAGAATCAAAACCCATAGATGTGCTGTATTCAGGAGACCTATCTTACATACAAAGACACACACAGGCTTAAAATAAAGGGATGGAGGAAATTAACCAAGCAAATGGAAAACAAAAAAAAAGCAGGGGTTGCAATCCTATTCTTTGACAAGACAGACTTTAAACCAACAAAGATAAAAAAAAGACAAAGAGCATTACACAATGGTAAAGGGAACAATTCAACCAGCAGAGCTAACTATTCTGAATATATATATGAGCCCAATACAGGAGCACCCAGCTTCATAAAACAAGTTCTTAGAGACCTACAAAGAGACTTAGACTCCCACACAATAACAGTGGGAGACTTTAACACCCCAGTGTCAGTATTAGATCAACAAGACAGAAAATTAACAAGGATATTCAGGACTTGAACTCAGCTCTGGGTCAAGTGGACCTAGTAGATGTCTACAGAACTCTCTACCCCAAATCAACAGAATATACATTTTTCTCAGAGCCACGTGGCACCTTTTCTAAAATCGACCACATAATTGGAAGTAAAACACTCCTCAGCAAATAAATGCAAAAGAGCTGTAATCATAACAGTCTCTCAGACCATAGTGCAATTAAATTAGAACTCAGGATGAAGAAACTCACTCAAAACTACACAATTTCATGGAAATAGAACAACCTGCTTCTGAACGACTCCTGGGTAAATAAGGAAATTAAGATAGAAATCAAGAAGTTCTTTGAAACAAATGAGAACAAAGAGACAACGTACCAGAATATCTGGCACACAGCTAAAACAGTGTTAAGAGGGAAATTTATCGCACCAAATGCCCACATCAGAAAGCTAGAAAGACACCCTAATATCACAATTAAAAGAGCTAGAGAGGCAAGAGCAAACTAATCCAAAAGCTAGTAGAAGACAAGATGTAACTAAGATCAGAGAAGAATTGAAGGAGATACAGATGTGAAAAACCCTCAAAAAAATCCATGAATCCAAGAGATGGCTTTTTGAAAAAATTAAAAAAATAAATAGACCACTAGCTAGACTAATAAGAAAAGAGAGAAGAATCAAGTGGACACAATAAAAAATGACTAAGGTGATATCACCACTGACCCCACAGAAATACGAACTACCATCAGGGATCACTACAAACACCTCTATGCAAATAAACTAGAAAATCTAGAAGAAATGGATGATTTTCTGGATGCATAACCCCTACCAAGAATAACCAGGAAGATATTGAATCCCTGAATAGACCAATAACAAGCTCTGAAATTGAGGCAGTAATTAATAGCCTACCAGCCAAAAAAATCCCAGGACCAGATGGATTCACAGCCAAATTCTACCAGAAATACAAAGAAGAGGTAGTACTATTCATTCAGGAACTATTCCAAACAATTGAAAAGGAGGGACTCCTCTCTAATTCATTTTATGAAGCCAGCATCATCCTGATACCAAAACCGAGAAGACACAACAAAAAAATAAAACTTCAGGCCAATATCTCTGATGAAAATCGATGCAAAAATCCTCAATAAAATACTGGCAAATTGAATCCAGCAGCACATCAAAAAACTTATCCACCACGATCAAGTCAGCTTCATCCCTGGCATGCAAGGCTGGTTCAACATATGCAAATCAATAAACATAATCCATCACATAAACAGAACCAAAGACAAAAACCACATAATTATCTCAATAGATGCAGAAAAGGCCTTTGATAAAATTCAACATCCCTTCATGCTAAAAATTCTCAATAAACTGGGTATTGATGGAACACACCTCAAAATAATAAGAGCTATTTATGACAAACCCATAGCTAGTATCATTTTGAATGGGCAAAAGCTGAAATCATTCCCTTTGAAAACCAGTCCAAGACAAGGATGCCCTGTCTCACCACTCCTATTCAACATAGTATTGGAAGTTCTGGCCAGGGCAATTAGGTAAGAGAAAGAAATAAAGGGTATTCAAATAGGAAGAGAGAAAGTCAAGTTGTCTCTTTTTGAAGATGACATGATTTTATATTTAGAAAACCCTATCATCTCAGGCCAAAAGCTTCTTGAACTGTTTAACAACTTCAGCAAAGTCTCGGGATACAAAATCAATATGCAAAAGTCACTAGCATTCCTTTACGCCTACAATAGGCACGCAGAGAGCCAAATTAAGAACTCCCATTTACAATTGCTACTAAGAGAACAAAATACCTAGGGATACAGCTAACCAGGGATGTGAAGGACCTCTTCAAGGAGAACTACAAATCACTGCTCATGGAAATAAGAGAAGACACAAACAAATGGAAAAACATTCTATTCTCGTGGATAGGAAGAATCAATACCACAAAAATGGCCATACTACCCAAAGTAATTTATAGATTCAATGCTATTCCCATCAAACTACCGTTGACATTCTTCACAGAATTAGAAAAAACTATTTTAAATTTCATATGGAATCAAAGAAAACCCTGTACAGCCAAGACAATCCTAAGCAAAAAGAATAAAGCTGGAGGCATCACACTACCTGACTTCAGACTATACTACAAGGCCACAGTAACTAAAACAGTATGATGCTGGTACCAAAACAGACATTTACACCAATGGAGCAGAAAAGAGACCTCAAAATAACACCACACATCTACAACCATCTGATCTTTGACAAACCTGACAAAAACAAGCAATGGGGAAAAGATCTCCTAGTCGGTAAATGGTGCTAGGAAAACTGGCTAGCCACATGCAGAAAACTGAAACTGGGTCTCTTCCTTATACCTTATACAAAAATTAATTCAAGATGGATTAAAGACTTAAATGTAATTCCCCAAAACTATAAAAACCCCAGAAGAAAACCTAGGCAATACCATTCAGGACATAGGCATGGGCAAAGACTTCATGACAAAAATGCCAAAAGCAATTGCAACAAAAGCCAAATTTGACAAATGGGGTCTAATTAAACTGAAGAGCTTCTGCACAGCAAAAGAAGCTGCCATCAGAGTGAACAGGCAACTTACAGAATGGGAGAAAATTTTTGCAATCTACCCATTTGACAAAGGTCTAATGTCCAGAATTTACAAGGAAGTTAAACATATTTACGAGAAAAAATAAACAATCCCATCAAAAAGTGGGCAAAGGATGTGAACAGAAGCTTATTAAAAGAAGACATTTATGTGGCAACAAACATACGAAAAAAAGCTCAACATCACTGGTCATCAGAGAAATAGAAATCAAAACCACAATGGGATACCATCTCACACCAGTCAGAATGGCAACTATTAAAAACTCAGGAAACAATAGATACTGGTGAGGCTGTGGAGAAATAGGAATGCTTTTACACTGTTGGTGGGAATGTAAATTAGTTTAACCATTGTGGAAGACAGTGTGGCGATTCCTCAAGGATCTAGAACCAGAAATACCACTTGACCCAGCAATCCCATTACTGGGTATATACCCAAAGGAATAAAAATCATCTTACTATAAAGATACATGCACACGTATGTTTATTGCAGCACTGTTTACAATAGCAAAGACATGGAACCAACTCAAATGCCCATCAATGATAGACAGGATAAAGAAAATGTGGTACACATATGTCATCAAAAACTATGCAGCCATAAAAAGGAATGAGATCATGTCCCTTGCAGGGACATGGATGAGGCTGGAAGCCATCATCCTCGGCAAACTAACACAGGAACAGAAAACCAAACATTGCATGTTCTCACTCATAAGTGGGAGCTGAACATTGAGAACACATGGACACAGAGAGGGAAACAACACACACCAGGGCTTGTTGGAGGTGGAGGGGGAGGGGAGGCAACTTAGGGGATGGGTCAATAGGTGCAGCAAACCACCATGGCACACGTATACCTATGTAACAAATTTGCATGTTCTGCACATGTGTCCCAGGTTTTTTTTTTTTATTAGAAGAAGCAAAAGAGAGAGAGAATCACATACATCATACATAGCTAAAGCCTTTGTAAGTAGGCTAGTTTTTGGTAGTATAATCTGAATGGTTCATCAGAGTTTATATTAGTATCATTCATTTGTTGACCTAAAAGGGAGAAGCTGAAGCAAAATTAACATGGAGAGAGTATTTGGGACAAGATTGAGGACTGTGGCCAGGGACACACTTCCAAGTTGCCTTGGGAAGGGCTCTGGCAAACAAAAGAGGGGCTCAAGTTTTTAAAGAAAAGGCAGGCCAGGCACAGTGCCTCATGCCTGTAATCCCAGCACTTTGGGAGGCCGAGGCAGGTGGATCATGAGGTCAGGAGTTCGAGACCAGCCTGGCCAAGATGGTGAAACCTCACCTCTACTAAAAATAGAAGGTGAAACCTCGCCTCTACAAAAATACAAAAATTAGCCGGGCGCGGTGGCGGGCACCTGTAATCCCAGTTACTCAGGACGCTGAGGCAGGAGAGTTGCTTGAACCCCGGGAGGCGGAGGTTGCAGTGAGCCGAGATCGCACCACTTCACTCCAGCCTGGGCGACAGAGCAAGAGACTCTGTCAAAAAAAAAAAAAAAAAAAAGGAAAAAAGAAAAGAAAAGGCAAATCAGGAGCGGGGGCAATTATAAAAGTAGTTCATCAGGAATTCTTAGTCTGTTACAGAAATAGGTTTGATTAGCAATTGGTTATACATTGTTAGACTAAGGGTAAGAGTTATGGTGGTAAGAGTATGGTATTTTATGGCTACTTGCCATCAGTAGTCACAAAATGCCCACATAGCAAGTGGTTTCAAGAGGTAATTAGTTCAAGGGAGAGTGAGACTTGTTACATTTTAAATGCCTCTTTGGGACTGATAATTTAAAGGAGCTCTTATTGCTCAGATAATTTTTTTCTTTCTCACATTCAATATTTATTCAACAGATGCCTGTTGAATGGATGGATAGATGGTGAATGATAAAATGAAAAAAAAATTCAATGGTATACAATTTCAAAGAAACTCTGTGATAGCATAATTAAAACATCAGCTTAGAGCCAGACATACAGGGCTTCAAATCTATCTGCCACTAATGAGCTGTGCAATCTTCGGAAATAACTTAGATTCTCTGAGTTTCACAGTTGTTTTGTGTACGTGTATGTGTGTCTGTAAATTGATGACAATAATATCTGCTTTGTAGGTTGCATAGGAATGCTAAATGAGCTAATATGCCCAAAATAAAATACCAACTACTACTCTTAAAAATAAACCTATATAAACTATAGTTACATACTAATACATAAAAGCAAAAAATGCATTGAGTATTATGTTTTTTTCCTACATTTTAACTTATTGAAATATATTACTTTTATAATTTATTGGATTGGATGTATATGCATTTTAAAATCTCTAATAGAGGGGCACTAAAGCACTATATTTGTCTTCAAGGAATCTCATATATTTTTATGTAATATCTGTACAACTAATGAAAATACCTAAAAGAAAGCATTTGTTTGCTCAGAAAGCTAGTTGAGACAGGTTGACCTAATACCATTAGGTAAATTAACTTCAATGTTCTACTTTGTTGCAAAGTTTTAATCTCTGTATTCTAGGCAGGTGTTTTGGAACTCATCCATGTGTAGAATGATCAGTTTGTACTTTGACCCTCTCCACCCTTCCCATACAATATTGCTCAAATCAAAAGATTCATAATAAGTACTTTTAGTCTTATTTTTTCTAAGTCTTTACATTTAAATTTTTAAATGTGAGAAGAAAATAAACAATGAATAAAAACAAAAAATTCCTTCCACCTGGATATTTAGTAAAAGTAGCCCTTCCTATATTCTCCCCTCATTCCTACACACACAGTTTTCCTGAATATTTTTTGCATTATGGTACAATACAAATAATATAAAATTTGCCATCTTGGCCATTGTTATAAACAGCATTGAAAATTATAGTTCAGCTCAATGGCATTAAGTACATTCATTCCTACACACATTTTAAAAAATTACAAGGAGTACTTTCTATGGCCTTAATACTTTGTTAATTTACTCAGCAGTTGGCTTAAACTGGAGAAAAGCAAGTGTCAAAAGTTGCATTCTATGAGTTTCCAAAGGGTACTTATCTCCTTTGATGTCAAAAACTAGCCAACATTTCAGGAAGATTTCTTCTATTTCATTGAAACTAGTAGACAAATCCTTCAAGCACAGTCATCCTGCTTTTACTAACTCTTTCTCGAAGAGCAAAGGCAGGGTTGAAACTTTCCCAACCACATCATTTAACATTTAAGTACCTACTATGTGCCAAGTTTTGCGTACAAAGCCTAATTATAGCAACAGTCTTCCAATATGGGTGGTATTACACGCAATTTTTAGACAGGGAAATTGAAGCTCTATTTTAAGAGGCTTAACTAGAGCAAGGTAGAACTAGGATTACAATCTAAATATTTGGTCTACCTGCCCACTGCTGATTCTACCCACCACAACTACCTTCTGAATGTTTGCAGCATCTTTCAGACAAACCCAGGTGTGGCTATCCCACAGTCTGACTCCCAAAATGCCACACAATGCTGAATGTTCCTGATACAACTATTTATCTCAACCACTCTTTGGCATTTATTGCTTAAAAGAAGAACTCTTGAGTGGAGATGTGTTACATTCTTATGATTATATTTTAGACACGATTCCATTCTGGGTTATATTATTGGCTCTGGTAGATGATTTTCTCGTTTGATGGTGTAGCTGCTAAACTAGCACATAAAGAGCAAGTCTGGAGTAAATAGGTATAGGTATAGCGTATATAATATACAGACCATATCTAGTGAGAGTAGAGTATGTAAAATGTATAGAAGGTTAGTGCCAATGCTAGGGCTGGGGTGCTCACACTTACACTGCCGTTCCTCAGATGCTAGAAAGACCAAAGCCTTAGAGCAATAAGGAAGAACTCTTCAGGATCTGAAATTTGTTGAAAGGATAGAGTTTAAATAGTTCTGTGAGTGAATACAAAGAAACAGATAGATGATAGAGGAAAGATAGACAGACAGACAGACACACAAACACAGCTTTGCTATTGGTAACCCTGAGAATAACTGACTTTCATTTGACTGAGGGATTGGGATTGATCCTCCTTCTTTCTCTCTCTTTCCCTCCCTCCCTCCCTCCCTCCCTCCCTCCCTTCCTTCCTTCCTTCCTCCCTCCCTTCCTCCCTTCTCTCCTTCCTTCCTTCTCTCCCTCTCCCTCTCCCTCTTCCTCACCCTCTCCCTCTCCCCTCCCCTCTCCTCCCGTTTTGGACAAAAATCTAAAATAGACTGCATATTTCCTTGTGTTCTGTTAAACTAACATTTTTCAATGATTATGATATGTCTGTCACTGAGATAAACACACTAACTGTACTCACATTTCATCCTCACAGTCAACCTATGGAGTAGGCATGGTCAACCTCATTTCATAAAAGAACCTGTGGCCTAAAGAAGCCAAGAAACGTGGTCCACTTCTCATAACTAGAAGGAAGAGGTGAAGCCAGGATGGAAATGCAGGTCCTTCTGACCCTGTCACCCCAAAACTTATTTCATTACCTCACTATATTATCTCTCTGAATAATTTAAGTCTTTGTGATAATTCTGTATCCTAAACTTTAATATTGAATTGACCTGTCATAATAGAGTGGGCAATCTGGTCCCATTTATATATATGTAGTATTGTAGTCTAGGACCACGGCATACATACGTATTATCTAGGCCACTGAATATAAATTCAAATGGTATTGTGGAAGACAGTGTGGTGATTCCTCAAGGATCTAGAACCAGAAATACCATTTGACCCAACAATCTCATTACTGGATATATACCCAGAGGATTATAAATCATTCTGTGAAGACACATGCACACGTATGTTTATTGCAGCAGTCCAAAGACATGGAACCAACATAAGTATCCATCAAGGATAGACTGGATAAAGAATATGTGGCACATATACACCATGGAATACTATGCAGCCATAAAAAAGAATGAGTTCGTGTTCTTTGCAGGGACACGGGTGAAGCTGGAAACCATCATCCTTAGCAAACCAACACAGGAACAGAAAACCAAACACCACATGTCCTCACTCATAAGTGGGAGTTTAACAATGAGAACCCAAGGACATGGGGAGGGGACCATCGGACATGGGGAGGGGACCATCACACACTGGGGCCTGTCGGTGGTGAGGGGCAAGGGGAGGGAGAGCTTTAGGATGAATACCTAATGCATGTGGGGCTTAAAACCTAGATGACAGGTTGATAGGTGTAGCAAACCACCATAGCACATATATACCTATGTAACAAACCTGTACACTCTGCACATGTATCCCAGAACTTAAAAATAAAACAAAACAAAACAAAAAAAAAACAAATGGTAAGCATTTCTACCTATATTTAGTGGCACAAGACTACAGTGCTTTTTTGGGTTCATGACAGTTAATTTTTTTCTTTTCTGTGCCCCCTTTCACTGAGAAGGCAGGCTTTTTTGGTCAAAGAGATGTGGTTCATGGAGTTAGAGAGGTGTATTCAACTCTAGCTCTGACACATACTATCATTGTGATCTCATTTTCTTCATCTTTAAAATGGATGTAACATTGCCTACTTTGAAGGGGATGCGAGGGGTAAAGTAGTTAAGTGTCTAACACTGCGACTGGCAATAGTAAGTTCTTGACCAATGTCAGTCATTATTATTATAGCATATCACTGCTGTCAGGTGGCTAACCATATTTTCTCACTGCTATCAGTGTTCCTGTTATATCTGGCTCTTTAATAATTTGTAGAGTCTAATCTGTTTGGGCTTAGAAAACAGTTCCTGTATTGGTAACCCTGCAAAAGGGACTTGTGCAGGGTATTGGCACAGAGATGGCAGTACAAAGTCAAGCCAGGAACAAAACGGGTGGAAATGCTGAGAAAACATGGTCACTGTTCCAACGCTCAGTCTGTAGATTTGAAACAGAATCAGAGACATGACTGTGGCCAGATATTGGGGTAGCACAAGAGATAACAATAGGAATGCCAAAGTCCATGGCTCCGTCTGGGTTTGCAAGCTGACAGGAGAAAATCAGAAGACAAAGCCCAGGGCCTCAGGAAAGACAGGCTTGCCTGGGAGCACTTCTTGTAGCCACTAGTTTGTGCTAATCCTCCTTTTGGAGCCTGGAATTTTCCCACAGCAACTATACTTTTATATTTTTTGTAAGCGCAATTCTCCAAAACTAGCATCTCTTACTTAGAAAATAAATTGTTGAGATCTGAAGTTAAGGTTCGTAGATACTGAGTGAAGGCATAGGGAGCCTTTCCTTTAGCAATGACCATGAATTTTAATGTGTACATTTTGTTTGACTGCCTTAGGTATCTTAGTTTTTATCAATACATTCTTAGCTAAATGATAAATAAATGAATTTTCTTGACCACATTTATGTGTAAATAAGGTTGCCAGATAAAAGGCAGGATCTTTACTTAAATTTGAATTTCAGATAAACAATAATTCAATTTTTAGAATAAGTATGTTTCAAATATTGCGTGAGACATACTTATTCTAAAAATGTATTCATTGTTTACCTGAGATTCAAATTTAACTGGGAATTCTATTTTTTTTCTAAATCTGGAAACTCTACATATGAATGACTACAATAATGTGAACACTAGTAATTACTGAGCACTTTCAGGAACAGTGATACTATTTTAACACACATTATCTTAATTTTTACAACAATGGATCAACACAATTATTATTCTCATTTTCCAGTTATAAAACTGGGACTAGAAAGATTAATTTCTAACAGTTTGCAAATGGTAAAGCTAAAATTCAAACTCAGATCTGTCTGACTCCCTAAATAACACACACGCATACTCTGTGTATGTGGATGAGAAAAATGCACCTGTCCGGGCATTCTGTCATTTTTGGATATTTGGATTCCAGATGCAATTGTCATTTATTATTCCTTATGGTAAATTCATAAAATGCAACCATTTTATCTCTCTGTATGTTTTCTTTGATCAAAAGGAGAAAACCATTTTCTATTACTTGAGTTCAGACAGGCATGTGGCTGAGCTTTCTCAGCAGGTGCCGGTTTTCCTGTGCAGTTTGAAGCTGTGTTTAGGTAACTCAGAGAAAGCCTTCTGGCCACCCTGCTTCTGATGGTGTCCAGCGAATACCTCATAGCAACAATGTCAGTTTCTTACTCATTTTTGTTACTTACCTAGCATTAGGAAGTTTGCTGAGGTGAACATTATTTTAATGTTGTCAATTGGCCACTCTCCAGGAGCTAATTGTTGACAATTCTCCCTTGCCATTAAATAGTAAATATTACAAATCGTTGAGGCTAATAAACCACTTAAGAAAATGAATGTCATGTTATTGTGACATCTAATGATGAACGTCTGAAGCCATGAAGGTTCCTAGACTTCTTTGCGTTTTGGGATTTGGGAAGTTTTGCTTTTTTGCCTCAACTAACCTCTTCTAAATGGTTATTTAATCACTAGAAACTAAACTACTACCATCTAAATTAGAAAACTGTATTGACTTTTAGAGAATATATTATCAAGGACCAGAATCGAAAAACTATAATTTACATTCCCTGTCGCCTCTTCTGTGGTTATTGAATTCTATTGGCAAAGCACTCTGGAAGCATTTGCTATTAACATGACTAAAGCAATTATATGAGGCTTTTAAATAATGTCCAGCAACGGTATTCTTTATTGCATTTAACATTAAGAATCTTTGGCAACTCAGGAGCTTATTATCATTAAATAAGAGATCCTCATCCTCACATATTATACAGAAATATTAGTTTTAAAATATTTTTCAAAAGAAGTAGTTTTTAGCTAATTCTTTTAAAAATAAAAGCAGTAGAAAAATGTAATCTGTTAAAAATGATCTGTGGTTTTTGTCTGCACGATATTCATAACCATTTAAATCCTTTCGTATAAAAGTTGGTCAGTATTCCAGTTATTTTATTGCTATTGTCTGTCTTCACATAGATCACAACAAAAATATCAGAATTTTATTTATTGAGTTCAGATTTCATATTTGAAAATATATGTAATTGAACTGTATTATTTTCAACTACCTGAGTCCTGTATAGAAATATTCAAATGATTCATTGAATTTTTCACTTTTCATCTGGATGTTTGTGTTTTATGTCAATACAGTCACAGATTGAATTTACTGTGATAAACCGTGGCAAGAATCAACTATCTCTCATATGACATCAAAGTGTTTGAAGGGAAATGAGTGTACCAGTTTCTTTGCAAAATCTGCAAAAAAAAATTTGCAAAATTTACAAATTTCAGATGCAAAAATCTGACTGGATCTGAGATAGCAATTGTGATCCCATGGTAAAAGAAAAATAATTTCTCAAATTCTTGAGGTACAAAGTAAGCAATAGTCTTAAAAGTCTTAAAAGTTTCAAGTGTCTAGAAACTTGTCGGCATGATTATCAGGAGATTGGGAACACATGTATTCCTGTTATGATTACCTCAAACATCACAGAACAGCTAACAAGCTTCTCAGAGGTCATCCCTTGCATTCTTCTTAAGGTACATTTTTATACTCTAAGGATATTGATGTTTACACACTAAAGCACATGACATTTAGTTTCATTAGTTTAACTTGACACAATCCAGTGGAAAGCAATACTTTTTAATAAGCAGTGTATAAGACTTTAAAGAAAAAATTACCAACTGGTGCCGATATGAGAAAATGGAGAATAGCAACAACAACAGCCAACACCACTGTGGTTACAAGTCAGTAATAGAATAATATTAATACTTTCTGAGAGTTTACTATTTTTTTCTTTCTTCTCTGCCTTTTATTTTAAACAATATCTTTATGAAATTGCAAATTGCAGGACCATAGATATTATTACAGTTTTTGGAGAAACCAGAAAGATAGAGAAAGGATATATAATAAATTCCTGCCATGATCTTAATTTTTTCAATGTAACCTTTTGAGATAAAGAAGTCTTAACCTATAGATCATGTTTTATTTCACATAGAATGAATTAAATACTCAAGAGCTCTCTATGAAGGAGGCAAATATTCCCACATACTTAACCTCATATATCTTTATTCTCTCTTTGTTTTCTTGAAATAAGAGTGCGTTTTTAATAACAATTGTGTTATGAAGAATCTCAAACATACACAAAAGGAGAGAATTGTATAGTGAACTACTACGCACTAATTGTGAACTTCCCTGTTGTCAATAGGACATGACTGATTATTTTGTTTTTATTGTCAATTACTTACCTCCTTCTTGCTCCCATTAGGTTGAGTTCCTGATATCATACTGGCTTTTTTTGGGTAAGTATTTCTTTATGAATTTGTAAAAAATAAAGAAACCCATTATTCTATTATCACACCTTAAAAATAACATTAATTTGCCGGTATTGTCAAGTGTCCAGTTAGTACTCACATTTTTCATTTTTCTCCAGTTTGTTTATTTGAAAAAGGGCCACATAAAGCCTATACATTGTGGTTGGTTAATTTGTCTTTTTAATTTTCTTTAGTGTAATTTCTGGAATAAAGATGATCATTGATATATACTCTTCTATAGTGACCATTGCCTTACTGCGAGGGTAGTTAAGGTAAAACACAATGTTTTAAGATTGATGCTATCAATCTATGTAATGCCAAGTAAAACTATAAGTAAAATGGTCAATTTTATGAGGTCTGGGTCTAAATATTGTTTACTTTAAAAATCTGGTGATTTATTTCTTTCCATTTTTATTTCACATATTTTCTTATTTTGTACATGTAGCAATGTTCTAAATATAAATTTAAATGTTGACATTTTAAAAGTTTGCCATTGATAGTGATCTTTAAAAAAACAACTTTCAGATTGAAATATTCAATTAAAGCAATAATCGGTTGCTGTTGGTTCTTTGTATGTCACGCTAATTACAGATTTTCTCCTACTTATATCAAGATGTTTAATTCAGTACCTAGTTTATCTTGATTATAAATTTAGATTCTTTTCCTGAACCATGGAAGTTGAATATAAAACTGTCAGAAGATATTTATGTACTTTATTTAGACATAATTTATATAATTAATTCTAATTGGTACTATAGTTGTTAGAGAGAAACTAGTTAAAAGCAAAATAATCCACCAGTCTCTTAATTTACTTTTTATAAAATAATCACATTATACTTGAATTTGTTCTAAATATGCATTTGATTTAAAAATGTCTTTTGATTGCACAGTTTCTACTCACAAGAAGTGACTTGAGATAATTTTCCCCTTGAATTATTTAATCTACTTGTCCAGGGCATTAATTATGAAAATGACATTTAAGACTATCCTGTCTTATTAATGATGCTTACTTTTTTGCTCATAAGTATGAAGAGTGAGAATTGGAAGTAGATACTATTACTGTTGTTATCACTTAACAGGTACCTAATTTACTTAGAACAATGGAAAAAAGTTAGAGTTTTCTTGTTTGCTTGCTTGTTACAGAATGTGCTAAACAATGCAAACTACTTTTTTTGGCTCTTCTGAATAAACAGGTGCTCTTAATAACCCTGATTCTCCAATAAATATACATTTTTTTGCCTTTGTAAAGGAAGTAGAATTGCAACTCATACCTTCAGTTGAATATTATAATATGCTTAGCAATTGAAGTTGCTTTCATAAATAAATTTTCTGTTAAAATTCTGTACAGGGAAAATAATGAACCATGCTATCATTATTGCCTCCTTCATCTAACAATAGGTCTCTAAGCAAAGTTCGTGTGGGCAATGGACGTCTTTACCCTAGGAACACAGCTAAAGCCTATATGTCACTTAGTATGTGCTAGGCACAGTTATAAGCACCTACGTACATTAACTTATTTAATCCTCCTAACAACCTTAAAGGAAGTTACTATTATTATGATATCCATTTTACAGAAAAGGAAATTGAGACATAGAAAGGTTAAATGACGTCTTGGCTGGCATACAGCTAGCTGTGGTGGGACTAGGGTTTGAATTGAGGCAGTCTGACTCTATAGATTTATTTTTATCCACTATGCTATACTGCCTAATAAGCATAGAGCATGTCAGTGGTTGCCTGGGAGTTAGTTGTTTGATGTAAATAATGGAAATTTTCTAAATCTTGATTGTGGTGGTGGCAACATGAGTGTATTCATTTGTCAGAACTCATCAAACTGTGCATGTGAAATGGATGCATTTTATTAGATGTAAGTTATATCTCAAAAAAGTTGATTTATTAAAAAAAAAGTGTTAAGACTCACTTGACAGTCCTTCATACAGTGAATTTTGGTAACCTTTACTGGATGGTAGATTTTGTTAATTTTTTAGTACAGTGCACTTTATATGACCTAACTGATATATAAAGAATAAGGTACTCAAAAATCAACAAATACACATCACTTTGGAATGGTATGGAATAATTAGTGAAATTTACCACATAGGGGGATCATACAGTGTGTCCACACTATAGATTAGCTTCAGATCTTTTATATCCTTACTAGTTTTTTGTCTGCTTGCTCTATAATGACACAGAGACCAACATTAAACTAGTTATGAGTTTGTTTTTCCTTTTCATCCTGTCTCTTTTGTCTTCCTATAATTTCAGTCATTTTTATTAGTTACAAATAAAAGTTGTATTAGTTACAAATAATAGATTTTTAGCATTGTTATGTTTTATACTGGGTTGATTTCTTCATCATTAAGAATAATTAAAAATAATCTCTGTTCTAGTCATGCCTTTTGACGTAAAGTCTTTTAAAATTTTATTAATATAGCCACACCACCATTCTCTGCTTAATATTTGCATGGCATATCTTTTTCTGGCCTTTTGCTTTCAATCTGTTTTCTATTTTTATTAGGGATATGTGCTTGTAATTTTTTTTTGCTCTTGTTTTTGTTTTTCATAGTGCGGCAGTCTCTCATTTATTTTTATTCAGTTTTATTGCTGATGTAGTTGAGTTAAAACCTACCAGCTTTCTATTCTTATTTTTAAATTAGTTCTTTAGAGAACTAATTTAAAGATGTAAAGACGGCATTTCATCGGGAGTACTTTAAAGATGGCATTTCATTACTTTCTGGCTTTCATCATTTCTGTTGAAAATTCAATTAGTTTTATTGTTGCTCCTTGTAATAATGTATCTCCCTCCAGTCTCCCCAACCCCCTACCTCTGAGTGCTTTCAAATTTTCTCTTTGTTTTTGGCTTTGAGAAGTTTTGCTATGATGTGTCCAGGTTTCATCTCACCTGTATTCATCCTGAGAGTTCAAAGAGCTTCTCGAATCTGTGGCTTGATGGCTTTCATCAATCATTTTCTCTTCAAATACGGCTTTTGCTTGATTCGCTCTCCTCTCCTCTGGTATTCCAATAACATGTGTCTGACATTTGGATTATTTTTCTTATATATATTTTTGCATTTTTAAAATCGTTTATCCTTCTGAGCTTTAGTCTAAAAGATTTTATGTTAATCTGTATTTCAGTTCACAAAGTCACGATTCTACTCTGTCCAATCTGCGATCATGTCCCTTTATCAAGTGTGTTATTTTGTTTTTCATTTCTAGAATTTCCATGTGAAATTCTTTACTCATTTTATTCATTTTTTATTGTTTTTCAACTTTTATTTTAGACTCTTGGGGTACATGTGCAAGTTTGTTACCTAAGGATACTGCATGATGCTGAGGTTGGGGTATGAATGATCCCACCACCCAAGTAGTGAGCATAGTACCCAACAGTTACTTTTTCAACTCTTGTCCCGCTCCTCACCTCCCGCCTCTAGTAGTCCCGAGTGTGTATTGTTGCCCTGTTTTTGCCCTGTGACTTTTTTATTGAGATTTAAATTCTCTGGTAAAATTTTCTATCTTTTCATCTATTTTTCATCTTTCTCTTTGTTTTCTTGAGTGTATTAGTTATAATGATTTAATGTCCTTATTGAATAATTCCAATATCTGGATCACCTGTGGATCTCTTTTTATCGGCTGTTTTATTCTCATGGTGTTAGGTCATATAGTCCTGTGTTTTCGTACGCCTGGTTCTTAGTCTGTTTAGGCTGTTATAAGAAACTACCATGGACTGGGTAGTTTAAACAACAAGCATTTATTTCTTACAGTTCTGGAGGGTGGACGTCCAAGGTTAGGGTTCCAGCATGGTTGGGTTCTTGGTAAGTGCCCGCTCTTGGTATGCAGATGGTTGTGTCCACACTGTATTCTCACATGGAGGGGAGAAGTAGCTCTAGGCTCTTCATCCCCTTATAAGGATCCTAATTCCATCATCATGACCTAATCACCACCCAAAAGCCCCACATCCTTATTCTATGACATTGAGGGTTAAGATTTCAACATACAAATTTTGAAGAGTACAAACATTAAGTTTATAACAGCTGGTAGGTTTTTTATTCAATGCCTGACATCATATATAAAAAATTATAAAAGACTGATCATATTATCATCTCCAAAGAGCAGAAGGAGTGAGGGCCTGATCCTCTTAATCCAGTCAGAAACTAAATTGAAGGCCAAATTGAAGTTGTGTTAAGGCTCTATCTAGATTTCTTTCATCCCTGCTTCTAGGATGTAGTTCCCAATGTGTTCTGACTGAGATTCAGGATGCTTCCTGGGTTCCATCCCTTCATGTGTCTAGAACTTAAAGTCTGTTTCCTAAGCACTGTGAGACTGCTAAAAACTCCTCGTTTTCCAAAAGCATTTTGCTTGGCTTCTTAGATTCCTTTCCTCACATAGCTGTAGAATTCAACCAACATCATCAACGAAACCCAGCAACGTACTGGATGTTGTTCGCCGCCCTCCAATTTCTCACTAGAATCCCATCCCCTCAAGCATCTAAATTGTGTCTCTCCAACCTCATGAGATGGCCTGAGGTTCTGATGGTCTTTCTGCCTCTTTAGCAGGGGCAGCTTCTTGGCCTTTTCCCTGAATCTTCAGCCTCTTGCTCTATGCACAAAACTAACAAGTGCTCTAAGGGGGAAAACAAAACAAAACAACAACAACAACAACACTCAGCTGTGAATTGTCCACTTGGCTCCCCAAGCCATTTGTCCTTCCCAAGACCTCGAACTTTCATGTCCTGTTTGCCCTTGGCAGCAGTCTGATGGCCACAGGCTTATTCTACTGCTTGGCTATCTAGTTGTGTTCAGCAGAGGCTTTGGTTTAATGCAAGATGCTCCATCATGCCCTATTATGAATCTTTGCATTCCAGAGAAAACAGCATCAAACAATTCAAAGCAGCAATATATAGAACAACAAACAATTCAAAGCTGCAATATATAGAAACAATAATAGTAGGAGATTTATAACTCACCTCACATGACAGGCAAATGAAATAAGAATATAGTGGATCAAAATAATGGAATTAATTAAATGGAACTCATAGATGTACATTTGGCTATATTTCAAAATAACAGTATTTTAGTCAGGGTTCTCCAGAGAAGCATATATATAGCTATACACACACACAATCTCCAGGTATTTTGGAGAATACACAATACTGCAGTATTTTGTTACAGCAGCCTGTGTGAACTAAGACAATGAAGAAAAGTTAGCAAAAGATGAAGCAATTTCCTAACCATTTAAAATTTCAAAATATAATAATAAGTTTGTAACTTTTTTCATTTATTATACCTAAACAAATTTCAAGTAGATCCAATATTTAAAGAAAATTTGAAAATCACCAAAAAAGAGCATAGAATATTATTTATAAGTGTAAAAATCATTACTATGCATCATGAAATAATCAGGAAAGGAAAAGATGGATGCCTTGACTATTAAAAATTGTAAACTGTTCAATTGTAAAAATTATAAACAAAGTCAAAGCAAAATGACAAAATGGGAACAGTTATGTACAGCACATATGATGAACAAAAAGCTAATTTTACTTAATATACACAAAACTGAAAAAATTAACAATCATCCATAAAATGGTAAAAAAAAATGTATGAACAGATATTTCACCAAAAAGGGAAAGAAATACTAACAGTCAAAAAACATATAAAAGAATTTTTTTTTAGTCTAGATTTTTTAAAAAACTAAACAAGAATATATTATGATGCTCAAACACTTAAAAATTAAATAAAATAATTCAACTTTTTAGAGAGCAGTTTGCCAAAATTACTCAAAATTAAAGGCATATATTATTTGACTCAGAGATTTCCCTTCTAAGAATTTATCATGCAGATATATTCCCAGAGATTTCCCTTCTAATAACTTATTACACAGAACTATTCCCGTAATTCTACAAAGTGTATTCAAATATTCCAATTACAGAGTCATGTGAAATAGCAAATGAATAAGCAACTTACATATCTACCAATAAGAGACTGGTTAATAAATAATAGTATATTTATTAATAGAATGTCATGCAGTCAGTAAAAGGAATGAGAAATGAGTCACTGAAGAAAACTATCAAAGCTAAATTGTTAATAAAAAAAGCAAGTTGCAGAAAAATTTGTATACATGTTTTCGTTTTTTCTTTTGGCAACAAAAATAAAAAAACCTTATTAGGCTTATATGTGCATAGACATTTCCTGAAAACAAGCATGAAAAATGGTAAACACTGCTTTTTGGAGACTGAGCTTTGGGGTTCAATAGTGGAGGACAATATCTTCTTTTGTACTTTGCGTTATTCTATAGCATTTGAAATTTTCTAAAACACATATTTACTTTTATGATTAACTTTTCAAACTATCTTAAAATGATATGGTAATGCTAAGTTTCAAGTTTTATGCTAATTTTAATCAATAATTTATTCCTTTCATCATTATCCTTGCTT
Organism: Homo sapiens; assembly: GCF_000001405.40. Classification (NCBI taxonomy): domain Eukaryota; kingdom Metazoa; phylum Chordata; class Mammalia; order Primates; family Hominidae; genus Homo; species Homo sapiens. The sequence continues at coordinate 20,087,637 of NC_000012.12, forward strand.
TAAAAGAAATCTCAGCGCTCCCCACATGTGTGAAAAATTTCTGATTTAAAAAACATGAAAATCAAATGATGTAAATGGAGAAGTGCCTTTAAAATTTTAAGGGAAGAAAAAGAGATATGTTGATTTTATTTAAGTTTACACACATTGCTAGACAGTTTTTAAATAACTGGATGACATTAGGGCTTGCTTGTTATTGCCATGTCTAAGACCACCTAAAAGATTAGAGCCTTCTGAGAGCTAAGCACCAGCAACTAAGGTCCTTAGTAAACTGAGGGTTCCAGTAGATAACTCTTGTCTTTATTGGAGTCCTAGCTATGAGGCTAAGCTTTTTACTTATTATTTTTCATTTATTTAACCAATAAGCATTCAGAGCTTGCTTGTGTAATATATTAATACTAGGCCAGACACTGGGTATATAGTGCTGAATATTAATAAAGGTGTCTACATTAAGATCTCTGACAAAGTCTACAAAAATAAACAATGGGGAAGGATACCCTATTTAATAAATGGTGCTGGGAAAACTGGCTAGTCATATGCAGAATGAAACTGGACCCCTACTTCTCACCATATACAAAAATTAACTCAAGGTAGATTAAAGACTTACGTGTAAGACCTCAGAATATAAAAATCCTAGAAAAAAAAAAAACAGGAAAAACTCTTCTGGACATTGGCCTAAGCAAGGAATTTATGACTAAGACCTCAAAAGTAAATGCAACAAATATAAAAGTTGACAATTGAGACCTAATTAAACTGAAGACCTAATTAAACTGAAGTTATTAGAAGGGAAATCTCTGGGAATATATCTGCATGATAAATTCTTAGAAGGGAAATCTCTGAGTCAAATAATATATGCCTTAATTTTGAGTAATTTTGGCAAACTGCTCTCTAAAAAGTTGAATTATTTTATTTAATTTTTAAGTGTTTGAGCATCATAATATATTCTTGTTTAGTTTTTTTAAAAATCTAGACTAAAAAAATTCTTTTATATGTTTTTTGACTGTCAGTATTTCTTTCCCTTTTTGGTGAAATATCTGTTCATACATTCTTTTTTTACCATTTTATGGATGATTGTTCATTTTTTCAGTTTTGCGTATAGTAAGTAAAATTAGCTTTTTGTTCATCATATGTTGCACAGCCAAAGAAACTATCAACAGACTAAACAGACAACCTAAAGAATGGGAGAAAATATTTGCAAACTATATATCTGACAAAGGTCAAATATCCAGAATCTATAAGGAACATAACAAATCAACAACAACAACAACAAAAACAAATAACCTCACTACAAAGGGGGCAAAGAACATGAACAGACACTTCTTCAAAAGAAGATATACAAATAGCCAACAAACATGAAAAATTCTCAACATCACTAATCATCAGAGAAATGCAAATCAAAACTACCATGAGATATCATCTCACACCAGTCAGAATGGCTATTACTAAAATGCCAAAAATTAACAGATGTTGGCGAGGATGTGAAGAAAAAGGAATGCTTATACACTGTTTCTGGGAATGTAAATTAGTTCAGTCCCTGTAGAAAGCAGTTTGGGGATTTCTCAAAGAACTGAAAATAGATCTACCATTTGACTCAGCAATCCCATTTCTGGTTATCTACCCAAAGCAAAATGAATTGTTCTATCAAAAAGACACCTACACTCAGCTGGGCGTGGTGGTTCACACCTGTAATCCCAGCTGTTTGGGAGGCCAAGGTGGGTGGATCACGAGGTCAGGAGTTTGAGACAAGTCTGACCAACATGGTGAAATCCCTTCTCTACTAAAAATACAAAAATTAGCTGGGCGTGGTGATGCGCGTCTGTAATCCCAGCTACTCAGAAGGCTGAGGCAGGAGAATCGCTTGAACCCAGGAGGAGGTTGCAGTGATCCGAGATCGCACCACAGCACTCCAGCCTGGGTAACAGAGCAAGACTCCATCCCCCATGCCCCCTCCAAAAAAAAGACACCTACACTCATATGTTCATTGCAGCACTATTCAAAATAGCAAAGTCATGAACTCAACCTAGATGCCGATGAATGGTTGACTGGATAAAGAAATGTAGTACATATACACTATGGAATAGCCATAAAAATCATGTCCTTTGCAGCAACATGGATGCAGCCAGAGGCCATTATACTAAGTTAATCAACACAGAAACAGAAAATAAAATACTGTCCAGTTATAAGTGGGAGCTAAACAATGGGTACACACTGACATAGAGATGGAAACAGTAGACACTGGGGACTCCGAAAGAGGCAGGGACGGTGGAGAGAAAGGGTTGCAAAACTACCTGTTGGTTACTATGTTTACTGTTTGGGTGATGGGTACAACAGAAGCCCAATCCCAAACATTATGGAATATATCCATGTAACAAATGTGCTTATGTATCCCCGAGTCTAAAATCAATCAAACAAAAAAGAAAACAAAAACGTTAAGCATAGTACTAAGCATATTTCATATATTATCTTATGTCTTCTCATAATGATTCTGTGATATGGATTCTATTTTTACACTTTTTAACAAAAAAAAATTAGGGCTGAGACAGGTTGTGTAGGTTGCTCATGATTACATAGTTAATAAGTGATGATCTTGGAGTTTGACATCAAATTCCAGAACATGTGCCTCTAAATATTATTCTGCACTGTCTTCAAAAGTGCAAGTAATCTCCCTGAGTAAGAGATGTGGCCTAGAGAGTACATGTGCACAGGATACTAAGGAATGTACAGGAAGGGGAGTATGCACAGGATAGTAAAGGGTGTACAGGTTGGTGAGTTTGCAGAGGATAGTAAGGGATGTACAGATTGGTGAGTTTGCACAGGATGGTAAGGGATACACAGGAAGGTGGGTTTGCACAGGATAGTAAGGGATGCATAGGATGGTGGGTTTGCACAGGGTACTAAGGGATGTACAGGAACGTGAGTTTGCACACGATATTAAGGGATGCACAGGTTGGTGAGTTTGCACAGGATAGTAAGGGGTGTACAGGCTGGTGGGTTTGCACAGGATAGTAAGGGGTGTACAGGCTGGTGAGTTTGCAGAGGATAGTAAGGGATGTACAGATTGGTGAGTTTGCACAGGACGGTAAGGGACACACAGGAAGGTGGGTTTGCACAGGTTAGTAAGGGATGTACAGGTTGGTGAGTTTGCACAGGATTGTAAGGGATGTACAGGAAGGTGAGTATGCACAGGATAGTAAAGGACGTACAGGTTGGTGAGTTTGCAGAGGATAGTGAGGGATGTACAGATTGGTGAGTTTGCACAGGACGGTAAGGGACACACAGGAAGGTGGGTTTGCACAGGATAGTAAGGGGTGTACAGGATGGTGAGTATGCACAGGATAGTAAGGGATGTACAGGATGGTGAGTTTGCACAGGATAGTAAAGGATGCACAGATTGGTGAGTTTGCAGAGGATAGTAAGGGATGTACAGATTGGTGAGTTTGTGTAGGATACTAAGGGATGTACAGGATGGTGGGTTTGCACAGGATAGTAAGGGACATGCAGGAAGGTGGGTTTGCACAGGATGGTAAGGGAGATGTACAGGATGGTGGGTTTGCACAGTATAGTAAGGGACGTACAGGATGGTGAGTATGCACAGCATAGTAAGGGATGTGCAGAAAGGTGGGTTGGCACAGGATAGTAACGGATGTGTAGGATGGTGGGTTTGCACAGGATAGTAAGGGGTGTACAGGATGGTGGGTTTGCACAGGATAGTAAGGGATGTGTAGGATTGTGAGTTTGCACAGGATAGTAAGGGGTGTACAGGATGGTGATTATGCACAGGATACTAAGGGATGTCCTGGAAGGTGAGTTTACACAGGATAGTAAGGGATATACAGGATGGTGAGTATGCACATCATAGTAAGGGACGTTATCTCCCTAAGTGGCAGAGGTCACATAGTCGTATGCACTGAAACCCATTTCCTTGGCCTTCAGAGCTCATAGCTAAACACCATTTCTCAACCTCCTGTACAGTTAAATGGGGCCAACAGAATGTGGGCAAAATTGACAAACTCCCCTTCAATCCCTGGTGCTACCTCTCTCCTGTGACCCTCCACACGTTTTTCCCTCATATCCCTGCTGCATACAGCAGATACAGTCCAGGAATCTGAGGGCTTGGAAAGTGATGGAGCCACTTCATTAGAAGAGGCTGGGCCCTGCATCCCCACTAGGAAGTCTGCCCCTACAAACCTGAGCTGAGCTAATTGGACTGTGTATGACTCTGAAATAAACTTTTTTTAGTGTGTGATAAACCTCTGAGATTTTTGTGGTGTTAGGGCAATTAGCATACCTGACAAATTAAACGCTATTATTTAAGCTGCGTCTTGAGGCATGAGATGGAAGTATTATGTGAATGGGTGTTTTAAAGAGAGGAAACAGCGTGTGCAAAAGATCTGAGGCAGGAAGGAAACCACCATGTACAATAAGCTGAAAGTTGCCAGTGTGCCTGAAACTTTAGTGAGTGAGGGTGATGAGGCTGGAAAGAGAGGGTTGCTGCCTGACCAGGCAGGTCTTTGCAGATCATAAGAGTGAGAAATTTATTCAAACGCAATGGAAAGAGATTAAGGAATCATGGTGGATGGGAGGCAGGACTAGATTGCAGCTGTGGACAGAGCAGCATGCAGAGGCGTGCATTGTGAATTTTAGCTGCAGATTGACTGCAAGAACAAACCAGCAATCCCAAGAGAACCCACAGACCCTCTGAAGGAAGTGGACTGCTCCTGCAAGACCCGCTCTCAAGGTGGCACATCTGGAGTTGTTCGTTCCTCCCAGTGGGTTCGTGGTCTCACTGGCTTCAGGGGTGAAGCTGCAGACCTTCGCAGTGTTACAGCTCATAAAGGCAGTGTGGACCCAAAGAGTGAGCAGTAGCAAGATTTATTGCAAAGAGCGCAAGAACAAAGCTTCCACAGTGTGGAAGGGGACACCAGTTGGTTGCCACTGCTGGCTTGGGCAGCCTGCTTTTATTTTCTTATCTGGCCCCACCCACATCCTGCTGATTGGTCCATTTTACAGAGAGCCAATTGGTCTGTTTTATAGAGAGCCGATTGGTCCATTTTGACAGGGTGCTGATTGGTGTGTTTAGAATCCCTGAGCTAGACACAAAAGTTCTCCAGGTCCCCACTAGATCAGCTAGATACAGAGTGTTGATTGGTGTATTTACAAAACCTGAGCTAGACACAGAGTGCTGATTGGTGCATTTACAAAGCTTGAGCTAGATACAGAGTGCTGATTGGTGCGTTCACAATCCCTTAGCTAGACATGAAGGTTCTCCAAGTCCCCACCAGATTAACTAGATACAGAGTGCAGATTGGTGCATTCACAAACCCTGAGCTAGATACAGGGTGCAGATTGGTGTGTTTACAAACCCTGAGCTAGATACAGAGTGCCGATTGGTGTATTCACAATCCTTTAGCTAGACATAAAGGTTCTCCAAGTCCCCACCAGATTAACTAGATACAGAATGGCGATTGGTGCATTCACAAACCCTGAGCTAGACACAGGGTGCTGAATGGTGTGTTTACAAACCTTGAGCTAGATACAGAGTGCTGACTGGTGTATTTACAATCCCTTAGCTAGACATAAAGATTCTCCAAGTCCCCACCAGACTTAGGAGCCCAGCTGGCTTCGCCCAGTGGATCTCGCACCAGGGCCATAGGTGGAGCTGCCTGCCAGTCCCGAGCTGTGCACCCGCACTCCTCAGCCCTTGGACGGTTGATGGGACCGGGCACCGTGGAGCAGGGGGCGGCACTCGTTGGGGAGACTCGGGTTGTGCAGGAGCCCACGGCGGCTGGCGGTGGGGAGGCTCAGGCATGGCAGGCTGCAGGTCCCAAGCCCTGCCCCGCGGGGAGGCAGCTAAGGCCTGGCGAGAAATCGAGCACAGCAGCTGCTGGCCCAGGTGCTAAGCCCCTCACTGCCCGCTGGCCGCTCCGAGTGTGGGGCCGCTGAGCCCACGCCCACCCAGAACTTGCTCTGGCCCGCAAGCAGGTGCAGCCCTGGTTCCCGCCTGCGCCTCTCCCTCCACACCTCCCGGCAAGCTGAGGGAGCCGGCTCTGGCCTTGGCCAGCCCAGAAAGGGGCTCCCACAGTGCAGTGGCGGGCTGAAGGGCTCCTCAAGCACCACCAGAGTGGGCGCCAAGGCCAAGGAGGCGCCGAGAGCCAGCGAGGGCTGTGAGGGCTGCCAGCACGCTGTCACCTCTTAAAACTATACTATAAGGCCATAGTCACCAAAACAGCATGGTACTGATATAAAAAGAGGCACATAGACCGATGGAACAGAATAGAGAACTCAGAAATAAACCCAAATGCTTACAGACAACTGATCTTCAACAAAGCAAACAAAAGCATAAAGTGGGGAAAGGACACCCTTTTCACCAAATGATGCTGGGATAATTGACAAGCCACATGTAGGAGAATGAAACTGGATCCTCATCTCTCACCTTATACAAAAATCAACTCAAGATGGATTAAGGACTTAAACCTAAGACTTGAAACTATAAAATTTCTAGAAGATAACATTGGAGAAACCTTTCTAGACATTGGCTTAGGGAAGAGTGTGAGGGGGATGAGGGATAAAGACTACAAATATGGTGCAGTGTATACTGCTCGGGTGAGGGATGCACCAAAATCTCACAAATCGCTATTGAAGAACTTACTCATGTAACCAAATACTACCTGTATCCCAATACCCCAATAGCTTACAGAAAAATAAAAAAATAAAAACAAATGCAATGAAAAGCCATCAGTATGTTTTACGCAGGGAAGTGTCATGATTAACATTACTAAAATATTACCCTGACTTCTAGCATAGAGTGGATAAGAAGAAACAAGGCTACAAATGGGAACAGGACATGTTACATAATTTGTGAGTTCTAGTGCAAAATGAAAATGTGGTCCCCTTGATCAAAAATTATTAAAAATTCAAGACAACAACAGCAGAGCATTAAACAAAACTCAGGGCTCTTTTAAGTGCAGGGCCGGGGTGACTGCACAGGTCTCATGCCCATGGGGTTGTTCTGAATAGGTAGCTCAGTTAAGAGGCTCATAGAGAAATCTAGAAAAGAGATGTTAGTGACTTAGGCTATCTTGTTGGCAATGAAAATGAAGAGAAGTGCGTGGATTTAAGACACATTTTAGTGAAAGAATAGACAGATTTTTTAAATTCATGAAATGGTGACATGTCCTGAGAAAAGGAAGAGTCAGTGATGACGTTCCATGTTTCTGTGGCCTGGCTTTGGGTGTTTATGCACTGGGAGAAGTAGGCACCTTTGCCAATCTTTACAGACTGGCTTTGGAAGAAAGAGCCCTTCATCTGTCAGCTCATCTAGAGATTCGAGGTAGGTTAGCTGGCAGGGACCACGAGCAAGCTTGCTTTTGGAGTTCTTGGGCAGGCTGGCCCAGTGTCTGGGTCAGTGGGCAGGTGGGCCTGGAGCTTGTATCCACAGGGGCTGGCTCGGTGTTGGGATTTTCTGGGTCTGGTCCTGGGGTTGGTGGTGAAGTTGGGTACTCATTTCACTCTCTTTTCCCCATGAGAAGGGTATGTCTCTCTGAGCTGCACTACATGGGCTTGGAGGAGGGGGTGACATGGGTAAAGTGAAATTGTGTCCTCTGCTATCTTCAGTGTTTCTTTTCTTATTGCTGTGTTCAATTGAGGTGATATAATCTCTCACCTGGAATCCTTAGCTCTCATGAAGGTACAGCCTGCATGGATGCTTATTCAAACTGATGCTTCCGTTAGGGGATGAGCACCAAAAACTCCTATGCTGCCATCTGATTGAGGTCATTTTCTTTAGAATCTTCTTTGTATGTAGAAGCGGTGGTGAAGGGCTGAAGAATTTCCCACTGGCCATTCTTACTTTCTCTATTGACATATAAGGCGAAGTCTTCAGCTGAAAGGATAACCAAGGATACCTTAGGATGAAGTTTGAGGAGACAAAACAGGTGTGAAATAATCATCTTGGGATAGAAAACCAAGCCTATAAGAAAAACACAACAGATTGCTCTTGTTATTGAACAGTCAACTTGTTATTGAATTTGACTTTTTAAAAGAAAATGCACTTAAAATAAAAGCACTCTTACTGCAGCAGTATTCACAATAGCAAAGATATGGAATCAACCTAAGCATCCATCTTTGGATGACTGGATAAAGAAAATGTGGTGTGTGTGCGTGTGTGTGTGTGTATAATGAAATACAATTGAGCTGTAATAAAGAATGAAATCATGTCTTTTGCAGCAACATGGACAAACTGAAGGCCAGTATCTTAAGTGAAAAACTCAGAAACAGAAAGTCAAATACTGCATGTTCTCACTTATAAGTGGGAGCTAAATAGTGTGTATACATGGACAACAGAGTGGAGTAATAGACACTGGAGACTCAGAAGGGTGGGAGAGTGGGAGAGGGTGAGGGATAAGAAATTACTTAATGGCTACAATGTCCATTATTCAAGTAATGGTTATAATAAAAGCCCAGACTTCACCACTACAAAATAAGTTTACATAACAAAACTGCATTTGCACTCCTTAACATTATTACAAATACAAAAGAAGAAAAAAAATAAAGTAAAATAAAAAGTCAGTTTGGTCATGTAATTTTTCTGTGCAATATTCACTGGCAAGGAGAACATAAATGGTTTAATCCATACTGGATTAGAGTTTTAGTAAGCTGGTACGTAAGGGAAAAGTGGCAAAAGGGAGTTAAAAATAATTGTGAAAGAGAATTCATAAAGAAGGACCACATCATCTAAGACAGAGAAGGAGGAAATGGAAGCGTGGAGGGGGGCTGAAGGTAACTGCAGAAAATGGTAGATTGGCTCATTGACATCGAAGGGTGAGGCATCTAAGATATATGGGTGGAAAGCTAAATGGTAGCGGTGAGAGAAGGGAGCATCTGCGATCAAAGTTTTAGGGATGGGCATTTTTGCGTAAACAAGTGAAGAATGAGCTCTTTGAAGTAAGTGGCCAAATGGACCAGAAGGGAACTATTGGAGTGAGAAGGTCAAGAAACTGAGAAGCCAGACTGCTGAGTGAGTCATCTGTATTGATGTTGGAGTCATTGTGCATGATGAGAGATAACCGGAAGTTAACATCTTCAATAAATGAGGGGAGATAAATGGGAGACTGGTAGATAACAGCCAGGATGAAGGAGTTGGGTATTTTTTCCAGTTGGCGTGAAACTAGAAGAAGCAGGGGATTTACAGATGAAATAATGGTGTGGAGACAGCAATGGTGTTTGCAAAGATGCCTATGGTGGTTGCAAGGATGCCTTTAGTACTTCTGAGGAAAACAACCTTCATGTGAGAGGGCCACAGGGAGGCTGAGCCCATAGACGAGATCCAGAATTCAACAAAGGCAAGGGGCTTCAAGGACTTTCAGGGGAGAGGTTCGGGATATAGGTTTGTTTGCTGAGCAAACTGTGGGAATTCAAGGGGGCACAGTGTGATGGTAATGAGGGTAACTGACATGGTGGCTAACGCAGGACATTCAGCTTTTGTGACCGCCTCTTGCATTCTTTCCTTGATGGTATATTGGTGGTGAGTGTGGTGATGAGCATAGTAAAGAGTGTGTCTCCCCATATTAATATTGGCTCTCTTCCCAATTAGATTCCAATAAAGCAGCTAATGATCCTAAAGCAGAGGGGACACTCTATTTAGAAGGTTTGATTATTCCCAGAATCCTGGATAAGTGCTTATCTAGGGCAACACTGGACCTCCCATAGTAACAGAGGCTTTTATCTTCCTTTCTCAGTGCTTCGGTGGCTAGTGTCTCCTAGACTTCTGAGGAGCACTTGGTTCAACCAAAGTGTATTTTCAAATCTATTCCTAAAACAACTTTGAAGACTCCAAGTTATGACTTTATAATCTGATAGAAACAAAACAAATTTGATTATTTTCTGAGTTAGAGTACACCTTTGAACCTGTACATTATCTCACAGAAAGAAGGTAAATCTGTACTAACCCAAAGCAAAATTAAATATGCAGATAAAATGCTGGTGAAATGCTATTTTGCATAGATCTAAATAGTGTAATTTGCCAGTTTTGTGAGTCAGGCAGATGCAGTTCATTTTGAAGCAGCCTTTGGGTCTTTTCACATGATTTGGCTATTCTTAGATTTCTGAGTCATTCTGTCCTCCATGCTAGTCATTTTTCAATCCCATATCCTCTATTCATGAGGGAGATACAGATACAACATTAACGTATCCAAATTTGGCTATGTAGCTTAATACTCCGAGCAAACAGGCTATATATTCATTTCTATTCTTAGCAATACCTTGGGACAAGTTGAATGTAAATAAAATATTTGGGCAATACACTGTAACACTGTAGATTTTTGGTAAGTGATGCCAGGAAACCTTGGCATGCACATTATTGAATAATTGTTTTGATTCTATTTGACTATCCTCTTAACAACTAAAATCCCAAAGCAATAGGAATACTTACAAAAGGAACAGAAATGTGGATAACATGGGATGAGCCAAAAGACTCTGCCAATGTTTTAGCCAACAGAAACAGCATCTCTTAAAGACTAATGCAGGCAGTACATTGATACCCATAATAATAAATTCACAGGAAATGAAATTTCCTTTAACAAACAGAGGATAGTAATAAAATCTTTATCCAAGGTATCATTAGGAAAGAAAGCTCAGAAGCATAGGTACAAACAGGATTGTCAGGGCACTGAGGAGTGTAATTGGGTTGGTGAATTCAGCAGAGAAGAATGGGGAGAATCCACCAGATGAGTTAAGGATCCTGATGTTTCACTGGAGAGGAGCCTCTCTGATCCTCACCTGATGAAATCAAGTGTTCACCAAACTGATGCTCCTTGAGGATACAGGTTGTGCCTTCCTTGTCTTTGTGACCCTATTGCCCATCAGAATGCCTGGCATATAGTGGACATTCAAGGAATACCTGTTGAACTGAAAGAAACTTCAGTGGGAGGGTAAAGCAGATCTGACACTTACCCTTCCACTCAGAAAAGCCAGCATATCATTGAAAGCACCTCGTTCCCTCCAGCCAGCCTTCAGCCCTGCACCTCACATCAACCACTCTGAAAATTACAGTGGAGACAAAGAATTGAGCCTGTCCAATTTTTCACTTCTTCCTTCATTTTATTTTTCTTTTTCTATCAGGAAACTTCAGGCTACCATACCTGCTTCAACTGTAGGAGAATCTTAGTTCTGGAGAGTTGACCCTCCAGGCGAAGCATTAGGCTTTGATACAATTTGTCTGGTACCGGCTGTAGATCTGGTTTGGGCCCCAGACTATCTTCCCTGTCCTCAAGAATCAAAACCAACTTGGAATGACTCCTGGCCCACTCAGCACCTTTCCGGTAAAGTGAAACAAGTAGATATTGAAGACCGACATGTAGCACCTGTCTGCAGTTTTTGCTGCTTTGTACTCAATGTGTAGTACTATTAAGAAGTTTCGTATTACGATCTTCATACTTTTATGAATGTTTGAGATAATTTTCATTTGTACTTAATGTAATTATTTTTTCCAGGAAGCCAGAAGAATGAAGTGCCACACATATCATCAGAGAGAATTCCAAGGAAGAGGGAATGGTCTATAGTGTCTCAAGCCACAGTGAGTTTGAAATAAATTTACAAGAGTATCCCCTGGAGCTAGTGATGTCGCCAGTGGCATCCTTAGCAAGAGCAAGCTCTTTGTGCTGCTGGGAACAGAAGCCAATGTTCTGGGGGTCGTGAAATAGAGACTGAAGTTCAGGCTATATTTTCAAGGAGCTTGATTAAAAAGAGAAGGAGACAGCGGGATTGAACCTACAGTAGGAACTTAAGTAATGAAAGATTTTTTTAGATGAGACAGACTGAAACATATTTAAAAGCTGTAAGAAAAGATTCGGTTTCTGCTAACTCCATGTGTGGATAAAGAGTAAAGCGGGGCCATGGACAGGCCAGGCCCTGAGGTGAGCCCAAGACCCAGAAAACAGTCAGCAGAGTGAGGGTGAGACTGGCCTCTGGGCTGCAGAACAAAGGAAAAAGTCCTCCAAGAGGGGAGAGAACTAAAAGGCAGGTGGAGTTTTCAACTGTCATGTATCTAAGGGAGACCCTCAATTGGAGACGATGGAAACAAAAACAAACAAGAGTAAATAAAGCTGTCATGAAAAGCCTTAAAGTGAACCCTAGGAGGTAGATCCTGAAGTTGCTTATGCATTGAGAACGTAGTCACCACTTTTCCTATAGAGCTTCTGTTGCCCACAGAGAAGAAACAATTAAGGGTGCCAGTCTGCCTGGGTAAACAAGAGATGTTGAAGGTATTGGAGAAAGAGTTTGTAACAGATAGAATAAGATCCCTGAGGTCATGGGGGTGGGTTCGCATCCTGACCACAGGTTTGTAATTAACTTCATTAACATCATACATACTATACACAGGATTCTGAGCCAAGAAAGAGAGTAACTTAAAGGCATTTTGTGTATGCATATTTACATATCTGGGTGGAAATTTAGTTTGCTTTAAGAGTCTGAGGGGAAAATACATATATGCATTAAAAAGTTTGCATATTGTATTTTAAAAAAATCCCCAAAAGTCTTAAGCCTTCCAGAAACTATGGTCAAATGGACTTAATATAATATTTGTATTTAAATGACCTTGAATAGTTTTTAAGTGGTTATTATTCTTTTCAACTGAAAAGACACTTTTTAACCTGGCTTTCTCTGTAGCAGTCTCTCAAAGCACTGCTCTTAATTTCAGTTTAATGAAACTCTCTACACTTACGGGTTTGTGTTTTCTTTGGATTTCAGTTAATCCTTCAAGAACAGTGTTAACTTTCTCAGGCTACTGGAACTCCACTTTTTGGAACTGTTATATTTACTGTTGGGGAGTGACTTTGGCACCAAGGAGAACTTGGCTCAGTAGGTATTTTCAACAAAATTACTAATATTGTAAATTTTATATTTATGAATCATATTTTATTATTCCATTGTGTTTCTCTGAGAAGTCCTGATGCATTGTTATGCCTGTTTAGAATCACTGGTTCCATCAAATCCAGCATTATTTGAAATCAAAATCTTTTATAATGATGCAACCATTTGGCTTGATGAAATTAAATACCTGGACTCAAAAAGAAAATAAACCGAGTGGAGAGAACAAAAGCAACAAAGAAATAAAAATTGTACTAAGGGTATTTTCTTTCCTTTTCCTTTTCTTCTTTTTGGATAAAAAGTAGTAAAAAGCAGGAAGTTTTTCTTAAAAACTGTCTTTTAATGGACCTTTTGTTATGGGATGCTCATTTACCTACATTATTACATTTTTGGAAGTAGTTATTTACTAAGTGAAATTAAGAAGCTAAAATATTTAATCAGACTTTGAAATTATTTACTAAGTGAAGTTAATAAGCTAAAATATTTAATCAGACTTTGAAATTAGCTTTTCGAAATCATAAAGTTTTTTTTTTTCAAAATTTATATCAGGACCTTCTAAGAGTCTCCCATATTTGCCAATGTCATTCTGCTTGCTATCTCTCTAGAATAAGACAGCAGAGTTTGCTCACTTTGTAAACATCTGTTATGAGATTCTTTGGGGTGTTACTTCACCAGCTGGAAACCTCTGTAGCTGGCGGGGCCTTCTGCCTGAGTATTGCTGGGTCTCGCTGGGCTCCTTCCGCCCACTCTGCCTGGCAGGCTGCACTCAGCTTGCACTACTGGCCTGAATTCCACACCTGCCAAGGGTGAGCCAGGCATGGAGTGGCAAGGGGTATGTGGGTGAGTGAGCACGGGTCTGGCCACTGCACACAGCCAGGCATGCTGGCTCCTGCGGAGGGGTGGGCAGCTCCAGGTGCCAGCACAGGTGCTGGATCACTGATAGGCTGCAGCTGGACCAGATGTACCACATGTGGCTCCCACTGTGGGCACCTGCATCTGGACAAGGGGAACACAATGTTGCCTGGAAGCTTGGAGACATCAGGAACTGCAGAGCCCCAAGAGGGTGCCACAGCCCTGGCTCCGGGAGCCCTTAGGTCTGGGCTCCCCAGAGGGCTGCAGCTCTTGTCTCCTTCTCATCAACTGCAAATTGATGAGCTGGGGGGCATGTTTAAGCCCTGTTTGTGTTACAGCTCTTTCAGTCCTGCCCATTTAGTGGGTCCCAAGTTCTTGTCCCGCACCCAGGAAGGATGAGGTACGTGGACAACTGGAGGGTGAGCAAGGCGGAGAGGAGCTTCATTGTGCACAGGACAGTTCACGGGAGACCTGAAGTGGGTAGCTCCTTTCAGCAGGCAGGTTGTCCCAACAAGTACCCAACTCTCAGCAATCAGTGGAGAAGAGACTGCAGTGGGTAGCTGTTTTCTGCAGGCAGATCATCCCAACAGTCAACGAGACCCAAAATGGGTAGCTCGTTTTTGCAGCTGGTAGTCCTGAAAGCTCTCTGAGTTTGGCTGAGTCTGGGATTTTTTTAATGGGCTCAGAAGGGAGGAAGTACATGTCGACTGGTCCACGGATGGCCATGGGTGGCTGGAAAAAAGCACCATAAGTTCTCACTATGGGCTGCAACCTCCACCTGGAGCTGGCAGCCCAGCCCCCAGGCTTCAGGCCATCCCTGGCTTGAGGGTGGGGTTTCACCAGGAACCCACCCCTTTCTCCCCAGGAGTCTGTGTGCCTCCTGTTGTCCACCATGCCCAGGCTGTTCATACAGAGGGGCACCTGCAGGCCTGTGCCAAGCTGCCCTCAGCCCCCAGCTTGGCCTCCCTCCCATGCTAGGTTAGTGCCCAAAGTCTGGAGGGGGCCAAGGCAGCAGGAGGCTGGTGTGTCAGTCCCACCCCAAGTGTGTGCACAGCCAGCAGGGTTGCAACAGTGCTCAGGCTCAGCCACGACTTCATTCTGTCCTGGAGCGGGTGCAAGGAGTGGGGAAAGGCCAGGGAGCAGGAGCAGGTACCTCCAAGCCTGCCTAGGAAAGAGGGCTTCCTTGCCCCTAAGAATGCAGGGATGCCTGGGTCGAGAGCCACAGCTGAGCAGCTGCAATTGTGCCTGGGAGTGTGGGGCTCCCGCTCTGCCAATTGGGTAGGGGGCTGGGTTCCACCTATTCCCAGCCCTGCCAGCTCCACAGGGCATGCAGCCCCAGCCATGCCTCCCCCTGCTGTAGTCGGCATCTTTGCAGAGACCACTCTGGATGGGACACCGCTGCCATCACTTTGACCTACATATGTATGGAAAACATGTTATGTATTCATTTTATATTATTTCCAAAAATATTTTTATTATTTTGTCTTAAAGTTTCAATAGGATCTGAAAAGAGATAGCTAAGAATTTGGATTTTTGGGCCAGGAGCGGTGGCTCACGCCTGTAATCCCAGCACTTTGGGAGGCCAAGGCAGGTGGATCACAAGGTCAGGAGATCGAGACAATCCTGGC
Source organism: Homo sapiens (assembly GCF_000001405.40). Classification (NCBI taxonomy): domain Eukaryota; kingdom Metazoa; phylum Chordata; class Mammalia; order Primates; family Hominidae; genus Homo; species Homo sapiens. Next base: position 20,102,981 of record NC_000012.12, read on the forward strand.
TAACACGGTGAAACCCCATCCCTACTAAAAAAAAAAATACAAAAAACAATTAGCCGGGCATGGTGGTGGGCACCTGTAGTCCCAGCTGCTCGGGAGGCTGAGGCAGGAGAATGGCATGAACCCAGGAGGTGGAGCTTGCAGTGAGCCGAGATCACGCCACTGCACTCCAGCCTGGGCGACAGAGCAAGACTCCGTCTCAAAAAAAAAAAAAAAAAAAAAGAATTTGGATTTTTGAAAAAATGCTGCTTGTTAGATAAATCTGAGCTCTTGCCATTTCCTAATCACATTGATGATTTAGAAAATTAGTAGAGAATCTATAGACGGGGTCACACTCCTGTCACCCAGGCTGGAGTGCAGTGGTATGATCATGGCTAACTGCAGCCTTGAGTTGCTGAGCTCAGGTGATTCTCCTGCCTGAGCCTCCCGTGTAGCTGTGACTTGAAGATGTGCCACCATACCTGGCTAGTTTTTTATATTTTTAGTAGAGATGGGGTTTTTCCATGTTGCCAGACTGGTCTCAAACTCCTGGGTTCAAGTGTTCTGCCTGCCCTGGCCTCCCAAAGTGCTGGGATTACAAGTGTGAGCTACCGCACCCAGCCATATTTTTATTCATTCATATAATGAATGGCATCTCATTTATGTTTCATGCCAGACCAATGTTCCAGGGTCTTGCACTGATTCCCACATACATTGTGTCAATGACTGGCATAATAACACTGTCTTATAGTAATAATAATAGAATCTATTTATGAGGATATTTTAGAAAATCAGTGAGCTATAAAATCTACTTGATTGGAGCAGATTGTAAACCACAGCTATTGTTTTGTTGGGTTAATCAAAGCATCAAAAATTATAGATTAAGGACTTCTCTATTTTCTGTCAAAAGGGAACTAAGAATATGTTCTCATGGGTATGAAGTGAACAATAATTCTCTCTCTTTCTCTCCCATATTCACTTTTCTATTTGTCTCTGAGTAGAAAATTATCCAGTAGACACTAATGGTCTACATGGCTGTTTAGAGAATTTTTTTTTTTTTTTGAGATGGAGTCTCACTTTGTCACCCAGGCTGGAGTGCAGTGGCGCGATGTCGGCCCACTGCAACCTCCACCTCCTGGGTTCAAGCAATTCTCCTGCCTCAGCCTCCCAGGTAGCTGGGATTACAGGCGCCTGCCACCACGCCCAGCTAATTTTTGTATTTTTAGTAGAGGCAGGATTTCACCATGTTGGCCAGGCTGGTATTGAACTCCTGGCCTCAGGTGATCTGCCCGTCCCAGCCTCCCAAAGTGCTTGGATTGCAGGTGTGAACCACTGTGCCCAGCCTTAGAGAAAAATTTATGCCAACTGAGTACAAAATGATCGGAGGTAACACCATCATCCAGAGAAGAGTAAAACCAACATGTGAAGGGCATGAATTCTATCTGGATGGATTTATTGGCTCAACCAATACATTACAATTACATATTTGGCATTTACCATGCATTCAGTGTGGGAGCACTTATAAGATAACTTACTGACCATATACTTGCAACTTATTTGGATAGATGAATGTGGTAAGATGTCTTAGTCTGTTTTGTGTTGCTTATAACAGAGTACCTGAAACATGGGGTAATTTATAAAGAAAAGGAATTTATTTCTTACAGTTAAAAAGACTGAGAAGTCCAGGGTCTAAGGGCTGCATTTGGTGAGTGCCGTCTTGTTGGTAAGGACTCTGCAGTCTTGAGGTGGTGCAGGGCATCACATGGTGAAGGAGCTGAGTGTGCCAGCTCAGGTGCCTCCTCCTCTTCTTACAGAGCCACCAGTCCCACTCCTGTGAAAACCCATCCATTGACCCATTTATCCATTAATCTATGAATGGATTAATCCATCCCTCATGACCCAGTCACCTCCTAAAGGCCCACCTCTCAATACTGCCAGGCTGGGGATTAAGCTTCAACATAAATTTCAGAGGAGACAACCATTGAAACCATAGTGTAGGATAATGTGCAAACAACCAATGTATTTCCCATTCTCTATTCACTCTCATTCGTATACTTTAGACTTGTGACCGGACTGCATTTTGGCCAGCCAGAGGTTTTTCAAAGGGAATCTGTCATGAATAGCTTTAAGACAGGAAAAAATTAGGAAAAGAGGTGACTGGGCAGAAGCAGCCACCCACTCCACCACCGTATAAGCTAATCTTGTTAAGCTGTAGAGGGAAGGAGGGAGTTAGACAACCATAATCTTAGAAAACATAGAAAAAGGGAATATTACAGCATTTCTTATTAAATGTAGGAATGTAAGTCTGAGAGTAGAGAGACTAAATGGCTCTTTTCACTGGAATGCCAGAAAGTGTAGTCTTACAGATGTGTCCTGGCCATAGACGTGACAATAGGCAATGAAAAGAGCTGTTTAGAAACTATAAGTGGCAGAGAGGGCTAAAAATAGCCCTAAATTTCTTTTCATCCCAAGAGAGCAGCTAAATTTTCTCAGTACTTTAGTAAAAGGCATAGAAGTTTGCTCAGCAAGAAATCCTACTTCCCAGAAAGGCCTTACACAGGTGACGTGGGTTATAGAATTATATTCTGTCAGTCATCTATTGCTGCGTTACATTCCTGCCCTCCAAAACCTAATGGCTTCAAACAACAACCATGTATGTGCCCATGATTCTGAAATTTTGCCTTGGGTAAGCCAGGCTGTTTTCCGCAGGCCTCACCTGGGCTTGCTCAGGTAGTAGCAGTCATCGGTGGCTTGACTGGGGCCGGGCAGGGAGGCTGCATCGAAGGTAGCATCCCTCTCATGTCTGGGGTGTTGGTGTTGGCTATTGCCTTTGTAATCAATGATCTGTGAAATCTCTTATCCTTCAAAAGTTGGATCCAGGCTTCCTTAAACAACAAGGGTAATTTCCAAGCATGTAAAGAAAAAGCTGCAAGACTTATTGAGAATTAGGCTCTAGAACTCATACAACACTTTTTAATCACGTTCTGTTAGTCAAAACAAGTCAGAAGGTAAGCCTATTTTCAAGGAATAGGTAAATAGATTCCACTACTTAATGACAGGAGTTGCAATGTTTTTGTGGCCATATTTAATATATCACAGTCCTCTCTCTGGCTACCATTATTTACATTCTTCCCAAGCAACACATGCTGATCTCTCTTACCAAAGTCTCATCTCTTGAAGTGTTTAGACTTGTGCAATGCATTACCATGGCTATGTGCCACATGTGGCTACTGAGCACTTGAAATATGGCAGGTATGAATTGAGTTGTGCTGTTATTGGAAATACACACAGGATTTCAAAGACTTAGTAGGAAGATTGTAAAATATCTTTTAAATACCTTTTTATATTGATTATGTGTTTACATCATAATTTGGACATATTGGGTTACATAAAATATATTTTAAAAATTATTTTCACCTGTTTTTAAGTTTGCTTACTTTTTTATGTACCTGCAGCAAAAAATCACATAAGTGGCTTGTATTATATTTCTATTGCATAGCAGAGATTTAGACCAATGGTTGGTGAACTTTTTTTGTAATGGACCAAATAAATATTTTTGGCCTTGTGGGCCACACAATTTCAGTTGCACCTATTCAACTCTCATTGTCATACAAAGCAGCCATAGATAATATATAAACAAATGAGCATGGCTGTGTTCCAATAAAACTTTATTTACAAAAATGGGTGGCAGACTGGATTTGGCCTGTAAGGCAGTATTTTGTTTCACTTGTCTGACATCTTTAACATTTAATGTAATTATTAATATGGTTGGATTTCAGTGTACCATTTTGGGGAGCGGGAACGGGCTTGTTTTTTCTGTTTTTTGTTTCTTCTTTTTCTGCCTTCTATTGGATTGACAGTTTTTGTTTTAATATTTCATTTTAATTTATCTGTTGTCTTTTTGGTTACATCTCTGTATTTTTAAAGTGGAATTATGAGGATTATCATATACATACTTAAACTTTTATAAATATCTAGGCCTAAATACACGTCTTTGATCTTTTTGTGTTAATCCATAGATCCTTTAGGCTATAGATATTTTAAAAAACATTTTTTCTCTCAGTTCTTCATATGGATACTTTTTATTGACATATCTCCAAATTCACAGAATCTTTTCTTTGTCACTTCATTCTACTTTCAAGACCATTAATTGACATTTTTATTTCAGGCATTGTATTTTTTTAGTCCTTAAGTTTTCACTTCTCTTTTTTATAGTGTATATATCTCTATTGTGATTTTCTATTTTTCATTTATTTTTTGTTTTCCTTTTTGTATGGATGTAGTTATTACAGCTGCCTTTCCGTTAAGAATGGGACTTTGGGGCTGGGTGTGTTGGCTCATGCCTATAATCTCAGCACTTTGGGAGGCCGAGGCGGGCTAATCACAAGGTCAGGAGTTTGAGACTAGTCTGGGCAACATAGTGAAACCCCGTCTCTACTAAAAATACAAAAAAATTAGCCAGGTGTGGTGGTGTGCGCCTGTAATCCCAGCTACTCGGGAGGCTGAGGCAGGAGAATCACATGAACCCGGGAGGCGGAGGTTGCAGTGAGCCGAGATCGCGCCATTGCACTCTAGCCGAAGTGACAGTGCGAGACTGTCTCAGAAAAAGAAAAAAAGAATAGGTCTTTGTCAGGTAATTTGGATTTTATGCAGCACATTGTAAATGTTATGAGTGTAGACTCTGGCTTCTGTGAGATTCCATTGGAGGATGTTGTTTTTGCTTTAGCAGGTAATCAACCTAATTAGTTGCATATTATGAGCTTTGACTCATTTTCTGTGCATGGTGCCTTACATCTCTGTTCAGTTTTCTAAGCCTTTGCTATCCTGATTTCTGTCTGTCCTGTGCATGTGTGGTTCAGAACCTAGGACAAGACTCTTGTGAGTTCATAAACAGAATTAGGAGAAACTTTTTATGGCTCTGTCTCTTTTACTCTCCTGCCTGCTAGAGCTTTTTTTCATGACTAATCTGGAAAAAGAGAAGGTGGGGTTTTGAGTTTTAGATGTCTGCATTGTACTACTGTCCAACGGGGGTCCACTCTTGGAGCAGAAATGGAAGAAAAAAAGTGAAACTTACTCCTGTGTGTGGATTACTTCTTCAAGTTTTGTTTTGTTTTGTTTTTCTTTTGAGACAGAGTCTCGCTCTGTCGCCCAGGCTGGAACACAATGGTGCGATCTCGGCTCACTGCAACCTCCGCCTCCCAGGTTCAAGCAATTCTCCTGCCTCAGCCTCCTGAGTAGCTGGGATTACAGGCACACGCCACCAAGCCCGGCTAATTTTTGTATTTTTAGTAGAGGCGGGGTTTCACCATGTTGGTCAGGCTGGTCTCAAACTCCTGACCTCATGATCTGCCCACCTTGGCCACTTCTTCAAGTTTTAACTCCCTTCCCCTTTATGTTTCAGAGAGCCTCAGACAGTTCCTCCTGCCCACGCAGAGTTTTCAGTTATAATCAGCAGAAAACGGGCTGTAGGAAACTTACACTGCCTCTTGAAGCCAACATCAACTTTGATTATTGTTTGATTTTTTTCATGATTCATCAACCTTCATGTATTTTCATTTATATATGTCTTTAGCTAAAAAGAATTGTTCATATCTACTCTGAAAAAATTGTCATTTCACTGTAGCGTTGTTTACATTTAATGTAATTATTTATTTATACATTTAGATTTAAATCTACCATCTTATTTTCTACTTTCTGCTCATCTCCACTGTTCTTACTATTTCATTTCCCTTCTCGCTCAGAAGTTACTTATTCATTTTCTACTTATTTGGCATTACACTTGAAATTATAAGTGCTATATTGAACTATCAATTCACTTTTTTATTTTTTTAGACGGAGTCTTGCTCTGTCACCCAGGCTGGAGTGCAGTGGCACGATCTCGGCTCACTGCAAGCTCCGCCTCCCGGGTTCACGCCTTTCTCCTGTCTCAGCCTCCCGAGTAGCTGGGACTACAGGCGCCCGCCACTACGCCCGGCTAATTTTTTGTATTTTTAGTGGAGATGGGGTTTCACCATGTTAGCCAGGATGGTCTCAATCTCCTGACCTCATGATCCGCCCACCTCGGCCTCCCAAAGTGCTAGGATTACAGGTGTGAGCCACCACACCTGGCCAGCCCTTTGATATTCTTGAGAAAAATTTTGTCTATAGTCCTATGATTATCATTCCTCCTCAGGTTTACATGTAGCATAATTTTACTATCCTTTTACATCATCTTCAGGTTAAGAATTCCATTTATAACTTGAAAATTTATGATAAAATTTAGTGTTAGGGAAATATCACAGTGACATTGGTATCCAAGTTCACAGAATTATTTTAATTAGAGAGCTTCACAAACAACTTTATTATGCACATCTGTTTGTAAGATTTCTTTCTAAGAATTGTTTAAAATATTGAACAATCTAGAATTTATGCAAAAAACTGAGACACTGGGATGTAAACTTTCACATATCACAGGTTCTTTAGGAAGGCAATGCGTAGGTATTTCTAATAAACTCATATATTAAAGTAAGTTTCTAAATTCAGAATTTTAGGCATTCTTATTAGCTTTTCATGAACATTTTAGATCAATGCATTGGCACAGTTTTAGATATTTGAATGAATTCTCTTTCCCTTTTTGTGTTAAATCTATTTCTTTCATTCTAAAGGAGCTGAACTGTAAGATTTTATCCCATTTTTAAAAAAACTTTAATTTAAATTCTATCATAGTAGCAACAGATCAAGTAAATTGAATTTTGAGAAGAGTTTTCACTATCTGCTTCTAATGGGCAAAATACTGCAATGCTACCTGGACAAAGCGAAACACCAGAAAGCTACTTACCATAATAACAAGCGAGGATTAAGATAGGAGCTTCGACTTGCCACTGCTTTTGAATAACACATATGGTGCATTCAAAAGGCACTGTCTCTTTTAGCAATTCTTTAGCACAAGACTGCCTTGCATAGAAGTGGATTGTAAATGTTACGTGATTCCCAATATAGCATCAAGCTACAGTCCTGGAAAAGCTTCTATTTATATCTTTTAGAAACAGCTTTTATCAGGAAATGGTTTCCCTTCCTCGTTTGCCTTCTTATAATCTTCATGAAAATATATTTTCTTCTGTGACACAGAGAAGGCCTAGAGCTTGCTTGTTAAATGAAACGTATGATAGAATGATTAGATACATATACTGTAATTAGGAAATTTTAAAAAAAAGGTAGAATGACTGCCAGCTGCTACAGAACCCCAAACTGAGAGATCTGAACTGAGATACCGCATTCATTTAAAACAAATCTTATTCTGTAGTGGACTCATGAGAGCATTCAGTCCCACGTTTCTCTTGCTTGGGCTTGGTGAACTCCTTTAACTTTTTCCTTACTGTTCATTCCCTTAAACAAAGCTCAAGTCAACTACTGAGTTCTGAGGATAACTTTGTACCAAAACAGTCATGTCTTAATTCAATCAGGCAAGAAGAAAAAAAAAATCACTTTTATGACACTTGGTTGGCCCTGTTGGATTTTAAATAGAATAAAAACCATAACTCAAATTCTGCTGGTTCCTGATCATTATAATTTTACAAGAAATGTAAGCACAATATATTTAAAATAAAAACTTGCATCAGTGTTTTTTTCTGACCCATTTTCCCTTTACTGATCTGGATTTCTCTTTCTTTTAGAATGAATGGTTTTGGATCACACATCTTCATGATTTGGGAATGATATGTGTGTTTATTTTATGAAAAATGTTAGTAATGAAGCATTTAAAATATATCAAAAGGTAAGAGTTGAAAACAGAATGGAAATATCCTTTTAGAATTTAACATTGAATCAGCATAATTAAAAACTAAGCAAGGGGAAAGATACAAGGGAATAAAGAGTTAAACTCTGACCCGTTTGGATCAACTGTGCACAGAGTGGAGACTTCCAGAGAAGAATGTTTGTCTTATGTATAAAAAACAGTTGGGAAGAGGGGGTGAGCAGGAGAAGCCACGAGGGAAGGAGGGCTACGTGATATATGCACCAGTGAAATTTTAGCATGTAGAAAGTGCATAACCATTCTTAATCACGTAAAATAAACACTTGGTACTCAGGCCAAGACAAACCCTTTTAGCTTTAGAGAGAGTAGGTCAGCATGGCACTTTTGTTTTTTCTTCATCTTTCTGCTTTAGTAGTCTCATTGGAATTATAAGCCAGAATATTCAACATATATTAAGGCTTTCCATGTCCCAGCCAAGCTTTAATGTATCAGTTCTTTAACTCTTCATAACAAACCTATGAGGCCAAAACGATTTTGGAGGTGATGAAACTGAAGCATATGAGAGGTGAGGGTCTTTTCCCAAGATGACATGGCTACAAGTGGTATCCTAGCTCTAGAGTCTGTTTCTTCACCACTTATGTCAGACTCCAGGCAGTGTACCCTACTTAGCCTCAGTGACTGCAAGATCATGTGGGTCATTCTTGCTACATCTTTCAGAATTGCCTAGAATCCTTAGGACTTAAGATTTAGAGAACCCTTCAGCCTTAGTGAACAAAACCTTACTTGCCTTTGTGTCTTGTGACTTAAAAACATAATTGAATACTTCGTTCGTATTCTATTATAAGGAATTTCATGGTCTTCTATATCATGTCTTACACCAGAGGAATAGTATTCCCCTCATGGGAATCCTATTTCCATACCTTCCTTTATCCTAAGAAAAGGACGAGAAGGTAGACCAGCCTACAGCTAAACTTAATAGATAAATATCTTCTGCCTTCAGGTGTAGAGTGCATTTCTGATATCACTATTCTCTCAGTAAAGATATACTCATAGGAGACACTAGTGGTGATCTTAAATATTCTCAGAAATCTACAATACCACACAAATACACACACACGGAGGGAAGCACTAGGTAGTAAGAAAAGAAAAATCAGATAATCTTTAGAAGATAATTGAAAGCAAAGGGGAGTCAATGCACTTGAATTCTCAGTATTGACTTTCTTAAAAAGCTGTTGGACAAAAATGGGGAATAACTGTCATGAGAGAGTGGTATGAATTGTATCAAGTAGATTTGGTGGCAGAAGCTCAACTGTTGTGTAGATGAGTCAAAAAAGAGGTAAAAATGGAGTTGCTAGTGCGCTTAAGAAAAAACTGATTATGAGGGAAAACTGTTAGCTTTTGGTATAATATTTGTTGCCAAGATTATAGTTAGATACTTTCAACAGCCCAACTCTATCAACAAGTCAAGTATTGCATCAGGAAAACGGGCCAAGTTATGATAAAGGCACTGTGGGCTTACCTTCTACACAGATAATGAAATGAGAATACAACAGGGAGACATTAGAACCAACAATATATTTTTTTTCAGAATATATGTTACCATTAGAAGAAAGGGACTATAGCGAGTCCCATGAAGGGGTCAGGGAAAAATCCTGCATCATAAGTATCTGTGCCTTTACTCACATTGCTCTCTCTACCTGGAGTGTCCTCCCTCCTTTGTCTACCTGCAAAACAACACTAATTTTTCAAGTCTATCTTCTTGTGACACTTCCTTTATGAAGCCTTCCTATTTTTCTCTTGGACATTCTCTTCCTTGTACCTCATGATTGCCTATAAATACTTCTGTTGAAATGTTACCGCTTGCTGATTCCTTACTAAAGATCAGGCAGAATGCAAAATACTTTTCACAGACATACAATCCTACGATAACCCAACAGTTTACTCCAGATTACAGATGGAGAATCTGAGCATCTCACAGACATGATGTAACTTCTCCAAAGTCTGGCAGTTAGAAATTTAAGGCCTGGGACCGAATCTACATATATCTCCCTCCAACATTTATGTGGTTTTAAAACCACCTAAATCGTTCTATATACAGGTTTTTTTTTTTTAAATAAACATAGAAATTGACCATATTTAAACATGGAAATAATTCTGGTCTTAATGCTTGAAATTTACATTTGTTTTATCTGAGTTCCTTCCTCAGGAAAGGACTACTAGATCTCTCAAAACGTATCAAAGAACTGAAACTCACCAGGTCCTCACATCCAGACCATGAGAGGCCAAGCTCCTCACTCATCATGATTGCTTCCTGCCTAGTTCCTGTTTTCCCACAAAGAGTTACATTTCTTCCCTACTACATAAACCCCCAATTTTATTTGGTCAGGGAATGGAGACTGATCTTTCATCTCCTCAGCTGCAGCACCCAATTAAACCCTTCTTCCCTAGCAACACTCATTGCCTCAGTGATTCGCTTTCTGTGTAGTGAGCAGCAGGACCTAGGCCAAACCCCTGGTGTTTCAATAACAGCTTTCTAATGCCAAATTGCTCTATTTCTTTCCTATATCTTATACTGTGAGAAACTGAGAACCAAAATGCCACCTATACATTCCTATAATGTCTAGAAATTTTAAAATGGGTGTTCAAAAACTATTTTTTTGCATGAATGAGTGTTTGGAGGAGTACTGCTATTCCAGGTAGGTACTGTAGGAGCTGGAATTCCATATAACTGCAATGGGGCAACGTATGGTCAGATCAACTGTTTTAAGAATGTATTGAGGAAACATGACAAAATCAGATTCAATTATAGAATCTCAAGAAAAAAGAAAAGAGTATAATGGCATACATTGTAGCACATCTTTTTAAGGACAGGGCTATCTGAAATATAAAAAGTTTACCATAAACAGTCTAAAGAATCTGAAAATATTGGATGAAATCTCTAAGAAAAAACACCAACTGATATGGTTTGGATCTGTCTTCACCCAAATTCCATGTTGAAATGTAATCCCCAATACTGAAGGTGGGGCCTGGTAGGAGGTGATTGGATCTTGGGGGTGGTTTCCAATGGTTTAGCACCATCCGTCTCATGGTATAGCTTTCATGAGATCTGGTTGTTCAAAAGTGTGTGGCATCTCCCCACCTCTCTCTTCCTTCTGCTCTGACCATGTAAGACATGCCTGCTTCTCCTTCACCTTCTGTCATGATTGAAAGTTTCCTAAGGCCTCCCTAAGTGTCATGCTTCCTGTACAGCCTACGGAACCGTGAGCCAATTAAGCCTCTTTTCGTTATAAATTACCTAGTCTCAGGTATTTCTTTATAGCAGTGTGAGAACAGACTAATACATCAACTATAGTAATAGAGTGGCAAAAATGCATTATGCTGATAAACGTTCAAATTAAGTCACATCTTTATTTAAATTATCATATAAACACTACTTTTAAATATCAATTTACTATGTCAACATTTAAATGCCTACTCTATGACAGTTGCAACTAAGATTAAGTCTCCTACGTGACAGTCTGTATTAGTCAGGGTTCTCTAGAGGGACAGAACTAATAGTGTGTCCGGAATTTGTGGGTTCTTGGTCTCACTGACTTCAAGAATGAAGCTGCGGACCCTTGCAGTGAGTGTTACAGCTCTTAAGGTGGCGCGTCTGGAGTCTGTCCCTTCTGATGTTCAGATGTGTTCGGAGTTTCTTCCTTCTGGTGGGTTCGTGGTCTCGCTGGCTCAGGAGTGAAGCTGCAGACCTTCCTGGTGAGTGTTACAGCTCTTAAGGCAGCGCGTCTGGAGTTGTTCGTTCCTTCCGGTGGGCTCGTGGTCTCGCTGGGCTCAGGAGTAAAGCTGCAGATCTTCGTGGTGAGTGTTACAGCTCATAAAAGCAGCATGGACCCAAAGAGTGAGCAGTAGCAAGATTTATTGCAAAGAGCAAAAGAACAAAGCTTCCACAGTGTGGAAGGGGACCCGAGCAGGTTGCCAATGCTGGCTCGGGCAGCCTGCTTTTATTCTCTTATCTGGCCCCACCCACATCCTGCTGATTGGTAGAGCCGAGTGGCCTGTTTTGTCAGGGTGCTGATTGGTGAGTTTACAATCCCTGAGCTAGATACAAAGGTTCTCCACATCCCCATCAGATTAGTTAGATACAGAGTTTCAACACACAGGTTCTCCAAGGCCTCACCAGAGCAGCTAGATACAGAGTGTCGATTGGTGCATTCACAAACCTTGAGCTAAACACAGGGTGCTGATTGGTGTGTTTACAAACCTTGAGCTAGATACAGAGTGCCGATTGGTGTATTTACAATCCCTGAGCTAGACATAAAGGTTCTCCAAGGCCCCACCAGAGCAGCTAGATACAGAGTGTTGATTGGTGCACTCACAAACCTTGAGCTAAACACAGGGTGCTGATTGGTGTATTTACAATCCCTGAGCTACATATAAAGACTCTCCATGTCCCCACCAGACTCAGGAGCCCAGCTGGCTTCACCTAGTGGATCCCGCACCGGGGCTGCAGGTGGAGCTGCCTGCCAGTCCTGCGCCGTGCGCTCACATTCCTCAGCCCTTGGGTGGTCCATGGGATTGGGTGCCGTGGAGCAGGGGACGGTGCTCGTCGGGGAGGCTCGGGTTGCACAGGAACCCACGGAGGCAGGGGAAGGCTCAGTCATGGCTGGCTGCAGTCCCGAGCCCTGCCCCATGGGAAGGCAGCTAAGGCCTGGCGAGAAATCGAGCGCAGCGCCGGTGGGCTGGCACTGCTGGGGGACCCAGTACACCCTCCGCAGCCACTGGCCCGGGTGCTAAGCCCCTCACTGCCCAGGGCCCGCAGGGCTGGCCGGCCGCTCCGAGTGCGGGGCCCGCCAAGCCCACGCCCACCCAGAACTCCAGCTGGCCCACAAGCACTGCGCACAGCCCCAGTTCCTGCTCGCGCCTCTCCCTCCACACCTCCCTGCAAGCTGAGGGAGCCGGCTCTGGCCTTGGCCAGCCCAGAAAGGGGCTCCCACAGTGCAGCGGCGGGCCGAAGGGCTCTCAAGTGCCGCCAAACTGGGAACCCAGGCAGAGGAGGCGCCGAGAGTGAGCGAGGGCTGTGAGGACTGCCAGCACGCTGTCACCTCTCAATCCCCCCTCTAAACAGGACACCCCAACTGCTGTTGGGAATTTGGCTGATGACCACTCTAGCTACTTCCTGCTGGATAGGGGCGAAGAAGGGGCCCTGCAGTTGTGGTGTCCTTTAGAGGGGAACTCTTTAGGCCAGGTGAAGTGCCAGTGGGTCGGTCCAGGGGTCCTCGGTAGAAGTTGTTAGTTGAACTCATTTGGGGTTCCATTTGTAAGACCATCTGTAGTTTGATGGCCTTGATTCTAGAGGAAACAAATTTGACAAGAAGGTTAAAAATACAGGGCCCAAAGGCGAGTAACAGCAAGATGGGTGCCACAGGACCTAGAAAGGGGAGAAGCCATGTTGCCCAACTCCAGAGGTTGGTATAAGAATTTGAAAGGCGTTGTCTGATTCCAGAAGCTTTTTCCTGTAAACACCAGGTGGCATCTCATATTATCCCTGACTGGTTAGTGTAAAAACAACACTTTTCCCCGAAGAAGGTGCAGAGTCCTCCTTTCTCAGCAGTGAGGAGGTCTAGGCCTCAGCGGTTTTGGAGAGTCACTGCTGCCAAAGAGTCTATTTGGGATTGTAAAGTAAGGATAGATCTCATTATTTCTTGCAAACTGTTTGAGAGGCCGATATGGGTTGAAGATCCACATAAGTAGAATATGCCTTGACTGGGTAGATAGACATTTACCCTGGCTTTTAAAGGAATGGGGTACACTGTTTTTTCTTTACTACTTCCATCTCTCTCTTTCTCTCTTGGACTTCTTCTTTGTCTTTTCCTCTCTTCTTAACTTTTTCTTTGACTTTCTGTGTCCGTCCCTCTTTCTCTCTGACTCCTTTTCTTTGTCTCTGTTTCTGACTCCCTCTTTGACTTTCTGTCTCTTTGTCTCTTCCTCTCTCTGTCTCTTTCTCTGACTTTCTCTTTCTCTCTCTTCTTCTTGCTGGTCTTTCCCTACCTCTGCCAGCCGCTTATGCTGCTGTTCTCCCCTCTCCTTCCCATTTTGATGGCTTTGTCAGTGTAAGAATAGGATAGGTATTTATAAAGGGAAATTTATTAAGGAGTATTGACTCTCATGATCACAAGATGAGGTCCCACAATAGGCTGTCTGCAAGCTGAGAAGCAAGGAAGCCAGTCCAAGTCCTAAAATCTCAAAAGTAGGGAAGCCAACAGTGCAGCCTTCAGTTTATGGTCGAAGGTCGGAGAGTCCCAAAGCTGAAGAACTTGGATTCTGATGTTCAAGGGCAGGAAGCATCCAGCACAGGAGAAAGATGTAGCCCGGAAGACTAAGCCAGTCCAGTCTTTCCACATTCCTCTGCCTGCTATCATCGTACCTGCGCTAGATGGTGCCCACCCAGATTAAGGGTGAATCTGCAACTCCCAGTTTTCAAATGTTAATCTCCTTTGGTGACTTGCTCACAGACACACCCATGAACAATACTTTGCTGTTGTAATCCGATCAAGTTGACACTCAATATTAGCCATCACAAATGCAAATATAATTCTGCTTTCTAAATGACAATACCTACAATATAAATGATTACATATATGATTGTATCTACTAGATGAGTTATATATATGACCATTACAAAGTTAAGTGATAGATTTCTTGCCACTAAAGAAACTAAAGTTTTGTAATAGATGTCAAACATACAAAGTAACAGAGGATGTAGGCTAGAGTTGCGTGTTGCACCATTCTGAATCTGTATAGAATAGAAGAATGAGATTATCCTGATTTAAACCAATTATTTGGGGTGACATTAATGTTGGTCAGTCGTTCACATTGTCACAATATCTCCATAAGAGAAACTAACAGAGGGCATCACCAAGGAGACACCATTTGACATGATGAAATTGGGGAAAGCAAAATACATTAGGATAATTTAAGTAGCTGAACAAAGTTGTAGAAACAAGAAAACCCTTGACATGTTCATGGAAGACTGAGTGGTTAACCATAACTGGAGAATAAGGTACAGGTGTGGAATGCCAGGAAGAGCTAGAAGGGCTTGGATCACAGGGAACAATATGTCACATGCTAAATGAAATTGAAATTTATCTTGTGAGGTGTCACTCAAGAATTGTGTGTGTGTGTGTGTGTGTGTGTGTGTGTGTGTGTACATGAAGTTAGTTTTTCCTTTTAGAAAGTTTGTCTATGTTAAGGAAGATTTATGATGGGAGGATTGGTAAGGGTTAGTTGATTTGAGCCTATGTTGCCTCATTTCAGTTATGTGGAATTCTAGCTCCTGAAGTACCTACCTGGAATAGTGGAATTGCTCTACACACTCATCCATTAATAAAATAGTTTTTGAACACCTGTTATTTAATTTCCAGACATTATAGGAATGTATAGAAGATTGATGATGGAGGGGAAGAGGAGAACTTCAATTGGGGAAAAGCATGAAGACTTTATCTAACATGGTGGAAGAAGAAATGGAAATAAAGGGTCAGGCACCAGGAATGTCAAAAAAGTAAACTCAGCTCTTCTGAGGGCCTAATTATAAATGTCCTCTGAGGGAGAGAGAGCAGTCTCAGATGGTGTCTTAGTCAGTTCAGGCTGCTTTAACAGTGTACCATGGACTAGGTACCTTATAAACAACAAAATTCATTTGTTACAGTTCTGGAGATTGAAGTCTAAGATCAGAGTGCCAGCGTGGTTGGCTTCTGGCGAGGGTTGCAGACTGCCCTATTCTCATTGTATCCTCACATGGTGGAGAGAGTGAGAGAGCTTTCTGGGGTCCCTTATATATGGACACCTATCCCACCCATAAAGGTCCGCCCTCATGACCTCATTACTTTCCAAATAGCACTGTATGAAGGATTAAATTCCAACATGAGTTTTGAGAGTCACAAACATCCATTCCATTAGAGATGACTTTTGGTTTTCTGACTTGAGTGACTTAGTAGATTAGGTTGCTCGTCACTTATATAGAAATATAAGAAAAGCAGTAGGATATGGGGGAGGCAGGGACAGTGTGTTGATGGAATTCTGTCTCATGTGGAACGTGCAAGCTTTTCAGTTATACAGATCTTAATCCATTTCTAGGTTGTTGTTGGCTGTGTCACCTTGGGAAAGTTGTTGAACACATTGAGTCAAATTGAGAGAGACATCAATTCAGCATTTTAAGGAATAGATACAGTTATCAAGTTACCTAATGGAACATTGAATAATTAGAGAAGAATTGAGGTTAATAAGATTCTTTTATTGAGCCCTTAACACTTGTTTGTATATGTCCACAGTCTAATTTCATAAGCATTCTCTGTAGACTAATATTTAGAGAAATTCAATTCCAGAGTGTCAATCCTAGAAAACCTTAATTAATTAGCTATTTGGAACATTATAAAATCACTACTGTCTACATTAATATTAGTAGATTGGTATAATATAAACATGTCTATATTAATCTGCATAATCTGCAGAGGCATACTAAACTGATGAATTATGGTTTAAAAATATTTTTTGTTATAATGCAAAATACAACCATAAATAAGATCATTGCCCTCAAGTGCAAGTAAAGCAGATGAACAAAAAACAGATATATGCTCAGAACAACGAAAAGAAATCACAAATTTCCATTCCTAAAAAAGTTTTCCCTTTTCCAGGAAACTATAGTAGAAAAGATAAAAGGAAATAAGACCATCTCTTTAAAAATATTAGGAAAAGTTATTGCAAAGTCGATATTTAAAATAGCAAAAATTGGCCGGGCGCAGTGGCTCATCCCTGTAATCCCAGCACTTTGGGAGGCTGAGGCAGGTGGATCACCTGAGGTCAGGAGTTTTAGACTAGCTTGGCCAACATGACGAAACCCCATCTCTACCAAAAATACAAAAAATTAGCTGGGCGTGGTGGTGCACGCCTATAATCCCAGCTACTGGGGAGGCTGAGGCAGGAGAATCTCTTGAACCTGGGAGGCAGGGGTTGCAATGAGCAGAGATCGTGTCACTGCACTCCAGCCTGGGTGACAGAGCGAGATTCCGTCTCAAAAATAAATAAATAAATAAATAAATAAATAAATATAAATAAATAAACAGAAATAAAAATAAAATAAAATAAAATAGCAAAAATGAAGGAATTTGTCCTGAAAGCCTATCAGAACCTGTCAGGAGAAGGTGTTGAAGTTCTCATTAAGTCCGTGGTAGCCAGATAAAAACAGCTTTACAGGAGAGTAGATTCATTTTAATTGGAACAGGTCCCTGAGGAAAAAAGAAGTGCGTCACTGAAGTTACTATCTAGACCAACGGTGGCTTTGAGTCTAGACTACTCAGTGAAGCAATCATTTTCTTATTTCATTAATTCTTCTTAAAAATAAACTTAGTCTGGATTCTCTGGAAACAAAAACTATAAAACTTGTGTATTTAACGGGAAGCGAATGTGTATGTTATGAATTCATTTGTCTGGAAGTCTGGAAAGTATTACTGAATGTGGTGAACATTTATCAATTTCAGCAACAACAAAAAAGCACACAAGATCAGCAGTGAATGAGACGAAAATCTTTTAGGGAAGAGATTAGATTTCATCACCTATTTATGATCATTAACTTGCTACAAATTGAGTAAAGTCTACCATATAGTACATCTTCAAATAGTCACTGAATGAATGCAAGATTTTTAAAAATAAGTAAAGGGCAGTGTTAATTAAGCTATATGTGTGGCATTTGATTATTATTTATTCACAGGAATCTGTTCCTTGGCTGTTATCCCATTTATTCAGTCATGACTTTTATCTGGCCATTAGTCATGGATTGATCTCATGTTTCAGAGCTTATAGCATATCTAGTATGATACATTAGAAAGACACCTTCCATTTATAATCATGTGTTTATGTCAGAAATTTATGACTGCCTTATCAAATAATAAAAAAATTATACTTTTCCTTTTGTTTCAATATGTAAATCCTTTTTCCTTGCTCCAGATACTATAGGTTATAAATCTGGTAAGACATGTATATACATAAGTAGGGGGTGTGCTTGTTTTCTAGGTTGAATTAGTTTATGTAACCATCTATATTTAGAGATTTGGGGGACCTCCTTAAGAAGGAACATTCTAAGCAATCATTTTCTTGTAAATAATTTTCCAGGAGGCAAAACAAGGTTTTGGCCTGTCCTGTACATAATAGATAAATTATGTTTTGACTAGAAGTTTTTTTTTATTCATCAACTGGTTCTACCTCCGGAGTTATGACTTTTAAATATTATCCACGCACTGAATGTTCTCAATATTCAAAATAAAATTTAATGAGATACAACGTGTAAGTTTCTGGTTTGTAAGATGTAGAGCAGTTATTCTCATTGTTTCTGAGAGAACAGTCTTATTGCTCATGCCTTGTGTATTCCCATTTCACTCATTCTTTTGGATTTATATTCCTTTTAGTCTGTGTTCTTTTCTCCTGTCAAAGAAACCAGGCAAAATAAAAACAAGCAGTGACTAATTTCATTTTAATATAATTCTTACACCAAAAAGCATGAGAAACATTTAAATGAGGAGAGAAAAAAAATCAACCTTGCTTTGACAACATAGGAAAGTGAATTTGAAAGTACATGGGGCTATGAAATCAGTAGTCATATTTTATTGTTCTCAGGTTCTCAAATCATTTTATTTCTCAGACGTAGGACTTAAAGAAAAACTTATGAAAGCAAGTGGTAAGTTGTCTTGCTCTCTAGCCTGTTGACCTCATGAAAACTGTGAATACAAAATTCAAATTGCAGAGTGTCCCAAATATTTGGATTCTATAACTATTAAGATGCCTTCCAACCTGAAATTCTGTGATTCTACAGTGGAACCACTTGAATTTGATTTGAGAAAGGAGATATCTTTACACCTTGTATATGATGTATTAAGTTGATGGTAAGTAGTTGTTGTTTGACAGGGGGACATGTTGACCATGAGTGTGTCTGGAGCTATATTTGAAAAAACGAGTTTGTGCTGGGATTCCAAGTATATCTGTTTTGGAATCAGTAAGTAGTGTGACTGTAGTTATATTAATTTACATTGATTGTAGATTTATACCACAGACTGTCCTCCTAAAACATAGCCTGAGGAGGAAAAACACTTAGCTAGAATTAATAGCTTGGGAAATTGTCTGTGGTTTTTGGCACTTAAGGGGTAAAAAAGGCAAGGTGGAAAAGAAATCTCCTCTCATTCCTCCACCTCCATCACTTCTCACATCCAAACAATGACAAAGTCATGCTAATGCTTCCTAAACATTCCATAAATCTGGCTTTCCTTTTTAGTCGTCATCTCTACAATTACTGTTCCAGTTCAGTCTCTTATCCACCTCTCCCCTGGACTCTGCACTGTCTATATAAGTTCTCATTTCTTTTTCTTTGCTTATGTTACTTTCTTTGCCTAGAATATTTCCTCCTTTCTAATTACCTCATCCTGTGTCTGATTAATTCCTTTAATCTTTTAAGTCTCGATTCAGGACATTCCTCTGAGACTTAGTGTCAGTTCTTTTGCAAAAGACTCTCTGTGTCCTTTAGGAAGTTTGGGGGCCCCTTTTCCGTTCAATATTATGGGTATAGCATGCTCACTGCACTCACTACGTTGCATTCGACCCTTCTGGAGAAGAGGGGATCTATCTTAGTTATCTCTGTGTTCTCTGAACATAACAAAGTACTTGCTCCATAATAGTTGCTCCATAAAATATTTCTAGAGGGCCTGAAGCTTGCTCTGAATTTCCACTCTATAGTATCACTAGAGTCCGCTGTTCTTCCACAAATATTTCTTGTCTAAGTTGCATTATCATTCATCTCTACACTGTTATCTAGCCATATCATCTCTCTACTTTCATTACCTTTTCATAATTTTCAAGGAACATTCAGGGTGAATTTAGAACTCTGGTTTACCCCTTATAATACCCGTGGATCTGGCCTTTGCCTATTTCCCTTTCCAGCCTCCTCATTCTTCACTCTTCCACATGCATCTCTGACACAAATAAATAGAACTACTTGTGCTTTCTCATAAGAAACATGTGTTTCAAGCTTTTATGACTGCACATACAATTTCTCTTTTGCCTAAAACACCTTCCTTCCAATGCCTCCTTCCTTCATCTAAATCCTGTCCCTTTCTTGAATTATCAACTTTCTTGGGAAAGACTTCCCAGAGCCACTTCCACTCACATCACCTCCCCAAATCTTAGCTACTGCTCTCTTGTGTATTCTTATTGCACCCTGTGCTTTTTCTGTGAAATGCCTATTACACTTCTATTACTTCACCAACCTTGTCATTTTCTGTTTCTATTTCTTCTATGTAAGTATAAGCTCCTCAAGAGAAGAGACTGTGTCTGCTTGGATCTGTGTTTTTGGCACTCAGTACAGTATTTACCATATACTATAAGCTCAGTTGTAAAGGAGAGAACAGGAACAGAGAAAAAGAGAAGGAGAAGAAGAGAGAGGAAATGGCAATAGGCATGTACTAATTTCCAGATATTTGAAATCATTCCAAATAGTGAATTTTTTAAAAATAAACAAGGATCTCAGTAGCTGACTGAATACTGTTCTCTCTGTTTCTGTAATGTTTTATAAAATAAAAATTAGTTTTATAATCAAAATATGTTTGATCGTCACAAATGAGTAAAAAAATTTTGATATTTCTATCGTTAAAGCTCCTAGAAGTTCATGAAGCTAGGAAGTAAGAAAACCAGAATGTCAATCCATCTGATTTACACAAATTGGGATTATCTGATAGCACAAATAGGACTGGCTATGTAATTTGTGGGGCCCAGTGAAAAATGAAAATGTGAGTGCTTTGTTCAAAATTATTAAGAATTTTAAGACAGCAACAGCATAGCGTTAACAAGCTTAGAAACCTCCTAAGTGCAGGGCTCTGTGCAATGGCAGAAGTCATACACTAGTGCAGTGGCTTTGACATGCCTTTCCATAGTTCTAAGGTGCTCTGCTGTTGAGTGCTAAGAATGCCGCTGGCAGCACATTTGCCAAAAGCAAACATTTTCTTGTTGGATTAGGCAACATCTGCCTTGTTGGACTAAAGAGCGAACGTATTAACAGTTAAGGACCAAGCACAATGTGGGATAAATGTTTTGATTATCTCATGAATCCTCACAATAACCTTGCTCATTCACTATCCCTTCTGTCTAAGCCACCTTTCTTTCAAAATCTTCTTCACCCAGGTGAGTCCTATACCTCTCTTAAAGCATCAACTACTCTGGGAAAGACTTCTTCAAGCCCATTCTTCTGCCTGGTCTAAATCATTGCCCTCCTATATATTTCACCCTCTTCTGCTCTAGTGGGTCACTCATGTTGATTTTACTCTGTTTATGTAAGAGTAAATTGAGGCTAGGAGAGTAACATAGCTAGGAAATAAATATTGTTGGCTTCTAGCTCCTTTCACGACTAACTCAGCCTTCTTTTATGCTACTCTAACCTGCTGGAGGTCACTTGTCCACTTAGTGTTCAGCATTAGGCATCCTTGCCATCTTACCTTTTATGCCCCTAGAAGAAACACACTGAAGGCTGATGGAATGATAGCCTTCATCTAGGTAGAAAGTGACACACCATCACACATATGTATCTGACCTGGGTTTTGTGATCTGGTGAAGGTATATGACCCAGTGCATCTGAGCGTAAGTAGGCATCATTATCTCTCCAGAGTTGGGAGCAAAAAGATGAGCTTAGAACACTCATCTATCTCTTTTATCTAAGAGTAATACTTACCAAGCTTTCACATGAATCTGAAAAGGAAGGCCAATATTCCACACTTTCTGGGAAGCTAGAAGACAATATTAGCATTACTTACAAGACTTGATTTGCTGAAACGCTAAGTGCTCTTTTTTTCTTTACTTTTTTAAAGTGACAAATAATTGTACATATTTGTGGGGTTCATAAGGATGCTTTCATACGTTAATGTCATATTGCAACTGTTTCAATGGCAAAATAGGCATTTTACTATGATATAATTTTTAAAAAGCTTGACTACAATTTAAATGTAAAAAATACATATTAAGATGTAATGTATGGGTCTCTACCTTTAAAAATTAGGATTAATATAGAGAGGATCGGGGTAGAGATTAGTACTTGGCATGTAACAGAAGATATGTGAAAGGCAAAACAGCTTCTTGAAATGTGTTAACTGGGGAGCCATCATCACGTGAACATTTTTCATAGTTTAATTGGCTTAATTAATTGAAAATGAGGTAATTGATTTTTAGAAGGTGTTTAAAAAGTATGGTTAAGGATGGAAATTTTATAAAATGAATTCATAAATCTTTGATAATCCTTAAACAGAATAAGGAAGTGTTGGTTTCAGTGAACTTTCCATTAATCCTGTAAGCCCACATGAGGTTAAAACAATGAGACCGTTGTTTGCAACCAGATGTTAATTATCCATAAACGGTAGTGTGGTTCATAGTAATACAGAATCTAATGTGGAATTAATTTAAAAAATCAAAAAAATCAATTATCTGAGTATATTGGGAGGAAACCTCAATGAAACGAAGGAGATTCTACATGGGTAGTCCAAGGAATCTCACTAGTTGTTAAATAGCCTGTCTCTAGAGGTTTTTCAGCACTTATCTCCATTGTGACTAGAGGAGGAGCATTTATATCTTAACTACAAAGATATGTGTGCAGCTGAGACTGACACATCTAATAAAGGACTGCTTCGCTGCATCTGCCAAGGTCTCTTGGCAAGGGCTTTGGATCCAAATACTAAGATTTCCTAATATTTCCTGAATGGGTACTCTTTCAGAAGCATAGCAATATTATCGCCTATCCTTCCAATTCAACCACTTAGCTTCTCCTTCAGTATTAGTGTAATGGGGGTCATACTTTGAAAAATTTAACTATGCATTCTTCTTTAGCTTTCCAAGCAAATAACATTTATTATAGTTGTCCCAAGAATTTATGAAACCTGGAGAAGATTAAAGTATGTTATTGCAAATGGAATGATGTAATAGCTTCTGACATGGAAAATAAGATTTTTCAAATTTCTTGTTACATTTCAGTGTACCAAGAACACTGGTGGATGAAGACAAAGGAAAGATGTTACTAATCCAGCCAAAAATGTGTGTCCTTATTTTTCCTTCCTTGGGCTCCTGCTCAAAGACCTAAAAAAGAGTAAATAAATGAGAGTAAATGAGGCCAGAATTGGATTTTTATGCCCACTTCTTACTTGAAGCTCTGAGCTTTGCAAGCTATTCCTTACATGATCTTATGAGATAAATGTTATTCTTATTTTTACAACTGAGGCAAGTGGAGATGAGTAATTTATTCAAGATTACACAGATGGCACAGAACCTGGATTTGAACCCAGGACAGTTTGATTAACCACTCTTAATCGCAATACCATAGTGCTTCTCTGTGCTGCAGTGGGGAACACAGAGATGCTAACATTTTTAAAACTTACTTAAAATTATAAAAAAAGAAAGTCCATAAATTTTCACACTTTTATATTTATGAAATAAGTGAATTTCTGATCATATTTTTTTTTAGCTGGTGTGATACCAGGGTATAGCATTTGCTATTCTGGTTTAGTAATGTATTAAAATCTATTAAAATTGTGTGTAGTAGAATCAAAAATTTTAAAATGTAACTTGGACTTCTGTGTATCATGCTAAAAAACAATTTGAAACATACTTTTGCTCAGTTGCATCTCAGCTAAAAGTATTTTTTTCTTATGTGACTCTCTTGAATAGTTTTGTAATTATTGATGATTGTTAATGATGATAACATTTCTGGTCTTGATTTATCAAGTACCATAAACATTCACAATAGATTTGTAATTTCCTCAGAGTTTCAGGAATTAAATTAATTGCCACTATAAAAATGATTTTTGAAGCTCTTCTAGGAAGGGTACTTTGTTTATATTCTAGCTATTTCCTGAGGAATGGTGTAAATATTTCATAAATGTTTGGGAACCAGACTTTTTACGCCCAGTCTCACTATCCAACACATAAATTATCTCTTTCATCTAGATATTATTTTTTACTTTTAGGTACTTAGCTCTTTATTTACATGTTTTAAAGTGTGTTATTTCGCAGTAGTTTATTTGAACTAAATGAGATATTTCTGACATCAACTTTTAAAACTTGATGGTTTCTCTTGGATTTTTTTTTTTCGTAGACTTGCTGTCTCTAGTTCAAGGCTTGCTTTTGCTTGTAAACCTATAATGTTACAATTAAATGATGTAGCAGTTCAAGTAATGTTAACTACCCTGGATTAAAATGCTCTCAGGCAATTAAACGGCAGTTGTAAATCATTGGAATTTGGAAAAATAATCAGTGTCGTATGATAGTTGCATGACACATGATGGATCTGATTTTTAATATATGCCATCTTGATTAGAAAATGAAGATGAGCCTTCTGTAAAATGTCATGCATAAGATAGAATTAAGTAGAGGAAGGAAAAAAAGAACAGAGAATATGTGAATTTTTATTTTCCAGAATAGTTAGGGGAGGCAAACTTTAACTCAGAAAAGTGATAGAACTGCAACAATTCCATTAAATCAGTTATACTCACTGTGAAACACAAGTCACAGTTTTCGTTTTACTGTGGTTAAATGAAATAAACATTGTATTTGATAAAAGCAAGTAAAAGTCATATACACAACTTGAAATGACTCAATTAAATACTCCAGCATTGCCTTCCCCGTGCTTAGCTGGTATTGGTGGGGCTTCCTCTTACCTTTTTAGCTGTGTCTCTCTCCATATAGATATTTTTATTATCACCAGTTATTCGCTATTTTGTTCAAGATTGATTTGGTTTACTTCTATATATCTGTGATTATATACAAATAAGGTCATAACAAACACTAGTGTTTTTATTTTTCAGGAAAATCTCCAAGAGTTGGTGAATCATGCTGTTGCCAATAATAGGCATGTGACATAACTGAACATTTCATCATCTTCAGTAAATAATCAAGATGGTAAGAATTATACAGGATGTAGCATAGATTGTTAAATTTGTGAAAGTAAGTTGTAGGCTATGTTAGTTAGAATTAGGTTTGCCTGCTACTGACAGAAAACTCCAAATAACAACGTCTTAAACAATATGGATGTCTTCTTCTTCAAATAGAATCTAATGTCACCTTTGCAGAGATGACATGCTGGGTCTGTGATCACCAGGGATCCAAATGCCTTCGATCTTGGTGCTGGCTCACAATCACCAAGTGGCTTCCACCTCACAGTCTGCTGTGGTTGATTAAACTCCAGCATCTTATTGATGTTCTAGCTGGCAGAAACGAAAAAGAACCCAACAAGGGCAAGGTTGAATTACAAAGAAAGGAGAAAATATCCATTGGAGGACTACTATCAACCTCTGCCACAATTTCTACATTTTCTCAACGTATGAAATTTTAAAGTATACTACTAAATTTTAAAAATTATTCGTATTCATATTTTCAATGGTAAAACTATCGAGCATTCTGTTGTTTGTGCCAATTGTTTTACCAAAAATTTTAGATACAAGAAGAGACATTTATAACACAAGGTGTTTCTAACTGGAAAGTAAGCCCTGGAAAAATTTAGGAAACAAGAGAGATGTGAAACGTGCTTTATGTTATTGTGATTTTGAAATCTATTTTTTGGAAAAACTATGCTTATAAATAATTGAAACTTTAAGAGAGGTTGAAGACAGTGGAGCACAATTAAATTTTGTGGTTAGAAGGTTGCATTTCTAAAAAAAAATGTTTACTATTGAGAGGGCATTACAGTGCTATGAGGGCAGGAATTTTCGTTCATTTTCTTCACTTATATTTTTTGCAACCAGAGTAGTGTGTCGAACACAGTAGGGGCTAGATAAATGTTGAATTAATGATTGATCAATTGGTGGATTAAATTAGAGTAAAAGATGAAGAAACATTTCTTTTTATTTATTTATTTATTTTTATTATACTTTAAGTTTTAGGGTACATGTGCGTAACATGCAGGTTAGTTACATATGTATACATGTGCCATGTTGGGTGAAGAAACATTTCAACACATGAATTACAAGCAGATTTTTACAAAAGAGCACACATTTAATACTAAATTTGAAAATTCACCAAACATAGTAATAACATCAGTTTTTCCTTAGCTTATTCGATAATACGAGAAAACTGTGTAGGGAAAGAACAACTTGAGTACATATAAAACCCACTGAAGATGTCAAAATGTATCCAAATTTAAAAGAGGCTCTTAAATTTTATCAAGCTAAGAGAAGTCTGGGACTAAGCAAGAATTTATTTGTAGCAAGTCACAAAATAAAAATAAATTATGTGGCCTAGACTGCAACAGTCATAAAATTGTGGGAATTTTAATGAAGTTCTTTCTGAATTTAAAGAAAACCACAGAGGTTTCCTTATCATTATGCATGCCTTTTGCATTTATGAGTGATAATGTTTCATGAGTAAGTAAAAAAGTTGTAAAAATCCTAAATACTGTATGTCTTTATATGCTATCACTCAGAAATATGCAAAAAGATAAACACTTCCTCACAATATGTAAGCAGAACAAAGGCATTAGAAGTAAGCTATGCAAGTTGTAAAACATGGGTTGACATGTACTTAGTCTTATTTTATTGGTATAATTGAGACACATCTGGAGATTACTGAGTCTTGAAATATGCAGATGACTGATGAATTAAGTGTTTGGCTGACAGATTTCAAATTTGAAATTATAATTTCTTTAAAATGCTTATTTAAAAAAAGTCTTCTGTTGTGATTAGAATTCTTTTTCAAGGATGGAAATGTAAATATATTATGGATCCTTTTCCTTGGCCTTCAACAGAGAGCCATGATTTCATTTTTTTGTCAAAGAGAGACAATAAATATTTTAAATATATTTGGGAAAGAGAGAAACTATATGTCACAAACCAATCTCTATCTAAATCTTTCAAAGTACACATGCCCTGTCTTTAAAACAGGCAATTCATAATGAATTTTTCTTACTTCAAGGAATGAACTCATATCAAGTAACATGAAGATGTTCATTGAGAGCAGGGTTCAGTCTGTTTATTCACTGTATTCTCTGAACCTGGAACAGGTTCCTGGCACATAACAGATACTTAATACATATTTGGTATACAGGTGATTGAGTGAATAAATTAATAAATGAATGAACAACTAATCATATGCATATGTAATCCTAGAATTCCAATTTTACTAAAATTCTGCAAATTATGACTTCATCTATTATGTCAACATAATTTTTTCATTTTATGTATTTAAGGTGGCATTCATCATAACACTCAGAGCTGGCATTTAATGTTTTGAGTTGGCCAGTCATTACAGCAGGAACAAATGATTCACTTCCATTCTACTTTATCCTTAAGAGTACTTTAAGAATACTATAGAGAAAAATAAAATTAGTGCCTGCCATTAATGGATATTGGGAAATAATTGGTAACCAAACTGATGAACTCAGAAGGGCTCAGTGGCTCTGGGGTGAGACTTGCCACATGGCGGATGCTTCATTAATCATACCTCTAATAACTTATTGTTGCAATTTCATATATTCCCATAATTCACATTTCTGATTTTAGCTGGTCACTTCTAATATATATTGCTTTGGTTATAAGTTGATGCTATAATAACACTGTTGCTGAGAAGGACATTAGCATGATTTTATTAAAACCTTCCAGTATTATTAATTAATAATCTATTTGAAAGATATAAGCCAGAAATTTCTCATAAAGCTTTTGTTTTGTTTAAAGTCCTTGCTTAGAGTAACCACTATTACCAGTTCCAAGCAATCACCACTATCTCATAGACAAACTTGAATTTTAAGTATTACAGTTCAGCCCATTAGGCATCTTGGGGATGAGAATATAATCATTTTAAATTGGTTGGAGAATTAAAGTTACAGAATAAGACTGATGGCCAGTTTCTAGAAAGTAGCATTCCAGGATATCTAAAGGAAACCTAATGAAATTGTGGTGCAGCCCTCTGCTGAAATTATTCTCCTGTCATTATCAATGGATGCTGTGCCAATTTCCCTCACTTCTAGTCATTTATAAAGTCTCTGTTAATTTTATAGTATTGCACTTCCACTCTTCACTCAAGATTTATGTTCTTCTTGTCCCTTTCTCTCTGGCAGCTTTTACTTTTACCCTTCACTTTTGGCACTTCTGTTTTTTAGTAGTCAGTATTTTTTGGTACTCAGTTTCTGGCTCCCTTTACATGTGTTTTGGGTTTGGAGTGTTCCTTTCTTCTTCCGAACTCCTTCTCCTCCTAGGACAGTGTGGGTCTCACCCTGAAAAGGAGAGGCTGTGTATCGTTCCCATCTCATAACATTTTTCAAATATACATCTTCTCAAGTCACACTCCTATACACAATCCTTTCTACCTCCTCAGGATGAAGTTGAAATTCCTTAATATTTTTTCTCTCTCTTTCTCTCTCTCTCTCTTTCTCTCTTTTTGAGATGGAGTGTCGTTCTGTTGCCTGTTGCCAGGCTGGAGTGCAGTGGTGTAATCTTGGTTCACTGCAATCTCTGCCTCCCAGGTTCAAGCAGTTCTCCTGCCTCAGCCTCCCGAGTAGCTGGGACTACAGGTGCACACCACCATGCACAGCTAATTTTTGTATTTTTAGTAGAGACGGGGTTTCACCATGTGGGCCAGGATGGTCTCTATCTCTTGACCTTGTGATCCGCCAGCCTTGGCCACCCAAAGTGTTAGGATTACAGGTGTGAGCCACAGCGCCCGGCCTAATATTTTCTATAAAGCTTTTATGATAGGTTAAAGCTTACCTCTCTCAGACTACATCTCATCATTTAATATCTAACAATGTTGAAATATCTTTAGTTCTCCAAACATACTCACTTTTCTCTCCTTTCACATTCTTCTCCTTGCGCTGAGAATGCTCTCCTTCCTGATGGATAATGCTGTTTACCCTCAGGACTTAGTTTATGTAACTTGTCCCTCAGCAAACCATCACTGCTGCATTATGGCTGGTAGGGGGTCCAGCTACCTTCTCTCTGTTGCCTGTACTTATTACTATCAGGGAGCTTATCACTTATATTTTAACCATCTAGTTACATAAAGGAAGTAAATAAATAATAAATCCTTGCTGAATTTAAATTTCTTGAGCACAAGACCTGTGAATCTTGCCTATTTTATGTATAGAAAAATGCTGAGCACAAATTAAGCAGCCAATAATTTTTTTCATAAATAAATGAAAAGGTAGGTATTTTGATTTATCTAGAATTGTATTCCCAAAACTCCAAATTATTAATATTTTCTTTCTGATTTCCTTAGATTTCTATGGATTGTTTTCCAAATTCTTGGATTTAAATTATGAAATAAAAGACAATTCATTTTAAATGATTTTAAATCATAATTAAAAACAAAATTGTCTTGACCATCTCCTGAAAATGTTGGAATAGAGGTCACTCATCATCATTAGTTCCTGAATAGTTTATAATTGTAGATTGATATTTTTGTTCCAATATTTAAGAAATGTTTCAAATTGTCAACTGACTTGGGTCTTTCTTCAGTATTTCATTTGTAAATATCTAGTTTTACTAGAGAAAGAATATAGGTAGCACATTTTTGACACTTTGGAATTTATCTAGTTTTTTTGCAGATTAATATTATATAATAAATAAAACATTATATCATACATAAAATATAATATATATAACATACTATATGTTTTATATATATTATTTATTTTATATATAATACATATTTTATAAACTATATATAAAACTATACTATTTATATATAGACTTTATTATTATATATATAGTTTTTTAAGGACTATGTGCACTGGTTAACTCTGTTTAAATGCTTACAAAATTTGATATATATAAAATTCTGAATTTCATTATTCTAATTTTTAATATATATTCTGTATAATTGTTTAAAGGACAGAAAATATGTATAAAATTGAATAATTCTATGTCAAATTATTGCTAAATACCAAGAATTTTGCTTTATGAATTTTGATATATTTTATGAGTTTTACCTCATATTATCTTAATGACCCTTTTTTTACTCATGTTAAAAAAAGCTACTTTCAATTCTACTTTCTTCAAATAATATGGCTATTGTTATATTTTTCTTTATTTTACCTAATACATTGTGGCCAATTGCTTTGTGTTTACCTTTTCATGCTATTTAGTTTTAATTATATCTCTTTAAGTTGAGATTACTTGAGTTGGACTGCTATGAAATGTCTCCTTCAACTCCCCTCCAGCTGAGTAAGAGGGGATTCAGGGTAAGAGGTTGCTTTGTGAGCCTGGGGTCATGGAGCAGAAATTGCTGCTAGAAAAGCCTAAAGGCACAGGCTGCCCTGACCAGCCCAGCAGTTGTCCAGAGAGGAGGCTGGTTGCCTTAGGAACAGCCTGTGTTGCCAAAGGTCTTCGGAAGGAAGGCTCCTGAAGGCCAAATGGAAGAGAGAAACACACCTGAAGTCACCTTGGAGTGGTGATTGTCTCCTTGGAGAGTGTAATGGACCTCAAAAAATCAGAGTGAAGTTGTAAATGGCCAGGCAGAAGAGACCTCAGCTGTATTTAAACAGCAAGAGTGGGAGAGGAGATTCCATTGCCAGTGACAGGGTTCCATAGGAAGTAAAAAATGCTCCAAGAATCAGGAGAAACCAAATCCAGACCATATTGGTGCATGTCAAGTGAGAACTTTCTTGGACCTTACTGCTTTTTAATATGCCTCCCACAGATCTAGATGATCTGAAACCAGTTGTTGAGAGAGGGAGGTGGGGTGAACGTTTTAGGCAGTGAAAAAAAACACCTAAAACTTAAAAAAAAACAAACCCAAAAACGTTGCCCTTTCCACTCTGCAGTCTAGCAACCTATTCCTTAGCCTGAGCCAGGAGAGGATAAACTTTAAATGAAGTTTGGCGCTTTAACTATTACTTCAGAATATTTTGAATACCGAAATCAAGCTTTTTGTAACTAAAAGTGATTAGAGGACTTTATATTTTCTGAGTGATCAGAAGAGACATGGCATCTACCTAGGTTTTGTTAAAATGATCCAAAGAGCCTCAGAAAACAGATTCGCATGGGCACCGAGGGAAAAGAATAGTTTTCTGTTCTATCTTTTGGGGAATAATTACAGCTATTGGTGACATTATGAGTTTTCCCTCTGTGTATTTTCTGAATAGCTGGCTTTCAAACTTTAGTACATATCACAACACCAGAACTCAGAAAGAACAGAGAGGGGCAGGCTTATTGAAGAGGATAGACCTGAGGCTCTGAGGGTTAGACCAGGTTCCCAGGTGATTATGATTTCAGCTAAAATTTGAGGACCACTGTCTTGGCTAGCTTAGTGGTAAAGTGGATGAAGCTGTGTCATGAAATGCTTGCCAAATGCAGATTAAATTAGAATACTCTATGGCAGAGGTCTTTAATTCTATTCACTTGCATGTTTCTCATATTGTTGATTCTTCCTGTTTATGTTTCAACAATCGTATTCCTGTTTCTCATTTCTTTACATCCTGAAAAACTACTGCCCTTCTTACCATTCCAAATTCATTCTATTTTATTTTACATGTAGTTACTGCAATTAGGACACCTCATATTTCATTATAATCCCGTGTGTCATCAGGCAGTACAATGAAAGCCACAGAAAAGATGACTAGCCTTGATACTGTGATGTCTTATTATTATTATGTTTTAATTTCGAGATGAGATCTCACCATGTTGCCCAGGCTGGACCCAAAGTCTTGGGTTCAAGTGATCCTCCAGCCTCACCTTCCTGAGTAGCCAGGACTACAGGCATTTCTTTTTTATATGTTAAAAAAACCCACTTTATTGAGGTACAATTGACATACAAAAAGCTATATATATTTAATGTATACAACATCATAAATTTGGATATAAGTAGACACTGCAATCTGTCATAAAGATATCTATTAACTCCAAAATTCCCTCACACCCTCTTCACTTATTATTATTACTACTACCATCATTGTGATGAGAACACTTAAGAACTACTTTATAGTTTTAGTAAAATTTTAAGTATGTAAGACAGTATTGTTAACTATAGGTGCTTTACAGTAGATCTCTTACAGAGGTTCTCTGTATTTCCTGAATTTGACTGTTGGCCTCTCTAGTGAGGTTGAGGAAATGCTCATGACAATATCCCGTAATATGTTTTCCAAGTTTTTCACTTTTTCCCTGTCCCTTTCAGGGATGCCAATAATTTGTATATTTGGCCTCCTTACACAATTCCATATTTCTCAGAGGTTTTCCTCGTTGCTTTTTATTCTTTTTTATTTTTGTCTGTCTTATTTCAGAGAGCCAGTCTTCGAGTTCTGACATTTTTTGATCTATTCTGCATTAATACTTGTGATTTCATTGTGAAATTTTTGTACTGTATTTTTCAGCTCTATTAGATCAGTTAGGTCCCTTTTTTATACTGGCTATTTGTTTGTCAGCTCCTATTTTGTCTTATTTTGATTGTTAGTTTCCTTGGATTGGGTTTTGCTATTTTCCTGAATCTCAATGATCTTTATTCCTATCCATAGTCTGAATTCTATTTCTGTCATTTCAGCCAACTCAGGCTGGTTAAGAACCCTTTTTGGAGAATTACCGTAGTTGTTTGGAGGACACAAGACACTCTGGCCATTTGAGTTGCCAGAATTCTTGTGTTGTTTTTTTCTCATCTCTGCATGTTGGTATTCCTTTAACTGCTGGGCTGTTTCTAATTGAGGTAATCAGGCAGGGGCAAGGCAGTTTTACTGAAGTCCCAGGTCAGGCAGCCCTGCCTAGTGAGGAGAAGTGTGGACTGGGACCTGCACAGAGAACAGTCTGGCCACTTTTCTGTGAGGTGGGTGCTCTGTGCTGGGGATCCAGACCAGCCCCTGGGCTTCATGGACTCCCCAGAGCCTGGAGGCAGCAAGGGTGTGGGCTGCAAGACAGCAAAGATAGCAACCTGCCCCTCTCACTGGGAGCTCTGTCCCAGGGAGTTGTAGAGCTCCTACTGGCTCAATAGTCCCAGCAGGGGGTGGCTGGAGACCCAATCCTGGAAGACCCGCCCAGTAAGAAGATACAAAATTTGGGACCCACATAACAACCAGCCTGGCCACTTTTCCCTAGGGCTGCTGCAGTATGCTGAGGGTTCACTTCAGTCCCTAGTGACCTTGGGTTTTCCTGTGCTTGAAGGTGTCAATAGTAAAGCCTGCAAAACAGCAAAGATGGCAGCCTGCTCTTTTCTCTGGGACCTCCATCCCAGGGAGGTACGAACCTATTTGCTTGCCTGAACACATCTATGGGGGTGGTTGTCGTCCTCGGTTTGGAGATTCTGCCCAGTAAAGAGAAACAGCATAAAGGACTTGCACGAAAAATCAGTCTGGCTGCTTCTCTGTAGAACTGCTGCACTGTGCTGGGGAGCGCTTCATTCCCTGGTCTCCTCGGACTCCCTAGAGCCTGAAGGCAACAATGGCTAAGGCTGTTAGACAGCAAAGATGGCGGTCCATCCCCCCAGCTGGGGCATCCGTCTCAGAGAGACTCAGAACCACTGCCAGCTGGAAAACACCAGCAAGAAGGGCTGGTGACCCATCAGGAGGTCCCACTGAGTGGGGGTCATGGACCTGCATAAAAAACAGTCTGGCCACTTTTTCACAGGACACCTACACCGAAGGCAACGATAGCTAAAACTGAGAAACAGCTAAGATGGCAGCCACCCCTTACTCTGGGAGCTCCCTCAGAGAGGTGCAATGCTGCTACCAGTGGCTTACTGGAGTTCCAAGTCAGCGGGTCCTGTGAAGTGTCACGGAAGTGGGGCCTGCAGATCATCACTGCTCAGCCTTCTGGAATCAGCTGCTTTCCAAGGGGTATGTATGAGGGCCTAGCCTCCCACTTTGCCAGAGTTGCAGCCACTTTTGCTGGGAAGCCTGGCTATCCAAAGCTCCCAGGGATTCATGTGTGCCCAAGTGGCTGCTGTAAAGACTCCTTGTAGCTCTGTGCATCAGATTGCAAGCCCTTGTGGAGTGGTTTCCTGAGGGGATCTCCTGACACAGGGGTGCAAAGATCCATGGGAGAAGCATGGGTGTCCGGGGTTGCTCGCTCACTCACTCACCACTTCCCTGGGCTGGGGAGCCTCCTCTGGCTTGATGATTGTACTGCCTTGCGTTTCTCCATTCTTCATCG
Source organism: Homo sapiens (assembly GCF_000001405.40). Taxonomy (NCBI): domain Eukaryota; kingdom Metazoa; phylum Chordata; class Mammalia; order Primates; family Hominidae; genus Homo; species Homo sapiens. The sequence continues at coordinate 20,136,815 of NC_000012.12, forward strand.
CTTGAATTGTTTTCTTGATGAATCCCAATGCATCCACCTGGATGTTTCAGTTGAAGGCACTGTATTCACTTGCTCCTTCTATTTCTCTCCATGAGAGCAGCACACACTAGCTGCTTTTAATTGGCCACCTTCCCCAGTTTTTACATTTTCAATCCTTATTCAATTCAGAGTTTTTTTAAATTATGACATGATATGCAAGTCAAATTTATCTTTTCTCATAACTGATAACTGTTTTTTTAACTCCATTTATTAAAGAGTCCCTTCTTTTCTCATCTCTGCGTATACCAAATTTCCATACTTGAATATTTCTGTTTCTGGGCTTCTGAACTCTATTCCATTGGTCAACTTGACAATCACTAGGCCACCCACTCTGTTAATTATCATAGTTTCATCCCAAGCCCCAATTGTTAAAATTTTTAAAATAATTTTTTAGATTAAAGAGATACTTCATAATATGATCCATAGATGAAGTATATTTTGAATGTGGTATTATCCATCTTAATTATTTTCCTTTCAAAATACATGTTTCAAAAGTAGTGAAATTAATTCTGAAATCAAATATTTATTGAATATTCTAAAATGGAAGAAATTAAAATATTTTCTTAGTATTGGTACCTTTGGGATTTTATTTATAGAGTGATTGATTTTTAAATTAAAAAACCCACAAGTTTTAAATTCTAAGTTAATATCCTCTAAGGCTACTGCTCGCTGCCTATTTCTCCAACTGTAAAATGGTCTGATGCAGTATGTACCTCAAAGTGAGTTTTTGGTAATAAAAAATGACAGATTTAATATCTTTCAATTAAATGGTATTTGCTTATTTAGCATTTACATATGCTTGAGATTTTAATGTATTTTAGATATTCAAGTTTCAGCACATTAAAAAATTTAGTTTTTTTTAGGATTACATTCAATGTACTTTCTGATAAATTCATTTGCCTGGAGAGTATCCTCATAAAGAGAGGAAAATTACTGTAATCTGATAACTGTACTTTTACATATCCAGCATCACTTGAGGGGAGCCCAAATATGCTTGAGGATGGGCAGTAGAGTATGGCTTCATGTCATTAGTGTAAACATTCCTCTAGCCTACCCTATAGACTAGGACAGCCTAAAAATTACAAAAAAAATTGCTTTTGGACTTAATCAGCACTAACTCTGAGGTAAAAACTAATTGTTTGGAACCTTGAACACTGTTGAATCCACTTTTTTGAGTGACAGTTTTTGAGATGTCAGATGATAACTATAATTTTGATATAAAAATCACACCCTGAATCCATCCCATTTTTTTTCCCTCTGTTTCTCAATATAAAGCTGAAATAGATATATCAACAATCAGCTAAATTCTCAGTCGGCATTTTGACAATAAGATAAAAGTCACGTGGGAGAAATAGCCAAATGGAAACTCCTGGAACTTCCATCCTGACCAAAAGAGTACCACCATTGCAATTCCCATTGACAAAATGAATTCCACTCTCTCTTTGCCTGTTTTACTCAATCCAAGTTCAGAGTCTCAGATGGAAGCACTTGCTTGGAGAAGCCCAGATTTTGTGCCAACGCTCTTGGTGCTGGTGGTGGGAGACAGAGAGACAAGTAGGTTTTGGCTCTTTTCAGGTTCTGTAGAAGGAGATTGTTCAACAGAACACATACCATTGGGAATTCTCCAGAAATATAAAGGTAGGTCAGATTCTAGGCAGCCAAAGTCATACAAGTGTAATTGCCCAAGATCACAGAGCTAAGTGAAAGAGCTGAATTCATTAACTCCAAATCTTTCTGCTCCACAACACTGTCACCTTTATTAACTAAAAGACCAATAGTAGATATTGTATATGATTAGGTAAATCATGATAACACTTTGGATTTATATGTCAAAAAGTAACACGTTTTGAACTACTTTAACACTTCTATAAACTAAAAAACTTAGTAGTTTACAAAACCTTATTGCCTTATTTAACAGATACCCAAACTGAGTTAAAGATAAATTAAGTGACTTCCGCATGGTCAAACTGTGGTAGATTTAGCATTATTTGTTTTTCCTAACTCTGTTTCAACACCTTAGTATCCATTACCTGCCTTCTGAAAATAAAAGGATATGGCTACGAACTAAACACACTGAAGGTGAATGATATATTTTCTCCCCAGAAACTATTTGTATGATGTAGGGATTAGTAACAGGAAAACTAAAATTTAGGAGACATAGAAAATAATAGATTTAGTCAGACTGGGCTATGAGAAGATTAGAGCTGAATTTACTTACCATAGCTTTAAATAATACAAGGTCCAGCTTAATACGTGTCCCTCTCTTAAATGGAAAGGTACTTTTAAAACTTCTTGGCCTATTTCCACTTTAATAATCCAACACCATCTGTGAAAACAAAACTAGTATTATAGGTCTCCACTAAATGGATTATATGTTTCTTAGCTGACACCTGTTCAGAGCACTTAGGTATTAGGTGACTCAGAGATTGAAAACATATCCATATCTATTGATTGAGCCTATATAGAAAATTTAAATGTCAGGAAACAGTGGCAGTTTTACAGCAAAAGTATAATGAAAACATATTATATATTTAAAGCTCCTTGAATTCGAGATTATCAAAGAGAAAAGGAGACGGATTTGTATAGAACAATACGATTTATGAAATGCTTTCACAATACAACTGCATGGTGAAGCACTGGGATACTATTAGGATCATGTAGTTAAGTTGTCATATATCATAAAGCTAATAAGTCATGGCATCAGGGAGGATCCGTGGCTTTGCCGAATTGCACAACTTGAGGACTTTCTACAATATTGGGCATATGTGGCCTGCCTGGCTCAATGTGGTGGCCCTGGATTGAGCACTAGAACTTAAGTGTTATCACGCAGCCCAGGGGTTTATTTTTTTATCTTAATTTGGGCAATCCTTGGCCCAGAAAAGAATCCAGAATGAAAACAAGCAGAGACTTGAGGTTTATTATAATTTGACTTGTATGATAGAAATACACCGAATTTTTAAAAACGTTTAGTAATTCAAGAAACAACAGCAAAAATTATATAGGAAGGAATACTAGTTGCAAGAAAATGTAGCCCACACTCTAGTAATGCTTTGAAATTCAAAGAAACCAGAATTATCCTGGACTCTGATATAAAGGAGAATGAATGTTTTTTCCAAACTTGGATTTTATTGGATGCATGGACTGGCACACTTTCTAGATGGTCCAAGACCTAGGAGCCAACACTGCATCTCATGAAAAGGCAACATGTTTATGATAAAATGCAGCCTGAACTAAGAAATAGTGTAACTTATCATGTTTCTTAAATATTTAGGGAGCAATAGCATAAATATTTCAGTGAATATGGCTATAGAAAAATGCATGAAGAGGCCAGGTGTGGTGGCTCACGCCTGTAATCCCAGCACTTTGGGAGGCGGAGGCAGGCGGATCCCCAGGTCAGGAGATCGAGACCATCCTGGGTCACATGGTGAAACCCCGTCTCTACTAAAAATACAAAAACATTAGCTGAGCATGGTGGTGGGCACCTGTAGTCCCAGCTACTCAGGAGGCTGAGGCAGGAGAATGGCTTGAACCTGGGAGGCAGAGCTTGCAGTGAGTGGAGTTCACGCCACTGCACTCCAGCCTGGGCGACAGAGCAAGACTCCGTCTCAAAAAAAAAAAAAAAAAAAAAAAAGACCAAAAAGTACATAGAAAACTCTATCACAATGTGACTTTTTCTTTGTGGAAAATAAAACAGGACAATAATTTTTAAGACTGTTAATATATACACCATTGAATTTGCTTCCCAAGGAAATCAAAAGGAATAGAATGGCATGTTAGTGAAATAAAATACATTAGAAGAAAGTAAATAAAGAATAAATATGTTAGAATAAAGCATAGAACAAGGCCTAATGCAATGTGTTGCAGGGAAAAATAAAAAGTGTGTTGAAAGAAAAAAACAGAAGAAATATAAGAAATTTGGCAAGTAAAAGACAAAAGAGATTATTGAAAATAACCTTCTAAGTCCTCATAGAGAGATTAAGAATTTTCTCTGAAGATAGGAACCCATGGGGCAATTGGACTGGGTTGGTTTCAAGGTGAGGCCTTGAAGAAAAAGAGGAACAATGATTGTGAGATTATAGAGCTGGGAGAGGTTTGAAATATGAGTCACGTTCTGCTGACACCTCTCCTTGAAGCTGATGTGGTGCTGTCATAGGCGTCACATGGAAGGGGCTCTCTGGTCCCTACTCATAAATCACAGAATACATCGTTAATAATATCCCCCAGAACATTTAATTAATACCTAGTACATGTCCCACTCTATGTCCTGGTCTTAAACTTCATTACTTACTACCCTATTTTTACCTCAGCTTCATACTCTGGACTTAACAGTTACAGTAAAGCTTTGGCTTTGACCATGCTCTGCTCTCCACGCTTGATCCAGTCCTTGGTACCCTCATATCATGACACACGCCCAGCTGCTCGTGGCTAGCCCCAACCTACTTTGTTTTTGTCCTCTGAACAAGACTTACAAAAATAAGTGCAACCTATTGTGAAGCTAAATAAATGAAGCAATGTAGACGTTAGGTAGCTTACCAAAGCTACTCACCTTTGGGCCATTTCTACTTTCTCTGATTTTTTTTTTTTTTTTTTTTTTTTTTTTTTAAGGCTGAGGCGTGCAGAAGTGTCTCCTCTTAAACATGTTCCCCATCAGCACATTCAGCTGGTGAGCAGACTATCCTGGTCCAATTACATCCATTACAGTTATTTTCTCACCACAATTTTCTTTTCTTTCTTTCTTTCTTTTTTTTTTTTTTTTGAGATGGAGTCTCACTCTGTTGCCCAGGCTAGAGTGCAGTGGCGTGATCTCGGCTCACTGCAACCTCCACCTCCTGGGTTCACGCCATTCTCCTGCCTCAGCCTTCCTAGTAGCTGGGACTACAAACGCCCGCCACCACGCCCAGCTAATTTGTGTGTGTGTGTGTGTGTGTGTGTGTGTGTGTGTGTGTATTGTGTATTTTTAGTAGAGACAGGGTTTCACCGTGTTAGCCAGATAGTCTCGATCTCCTGACCTCAAGTGATCCACCCACCTTGGCCTCCCAAAGTGCTGGGATTACAAGTGTGAGCCACCACGCCCAGCCTCATTTTAAGTCTAATATTGTCTTAACATACCTTGTGGATACATAAGTTCAAAATCTGGTCCTCCTAGCAAAAATTAATTTTTTTTATTATTTGCAATTCCCAAATAATAACGTTAGCCTTTTTTTTTTTTTTTGCATACAAGTGCTACTGGGTGAAATGTATGCTCATGCCTCCTCTTTTCTTAGGTACTACTTGCTGTTATTTATACCACTGAAAGATTTAAAGGCATTCTGACTTACTGAAGAGAACAAGTTTAGGATGTGTGAAATATGTTGCATGTTTTAAAAGCCAGAATAATGCTGGAATGAATAAACATGCTTAGTATAAACAGTTCACAAAGTACAGTATTCCTGTTTTGTTCACCAGTAGTTAAGCTCATAAAATGCACACTACATAGCCCTGGTATCTAAAACTTAAGAAAAAGATGGATAACCTGAACGGAATTGCATAGGGCTGAATGAAAATGGCTGTCCATATTGTGAGGGCTGATAGAAATTGGCCATTTCAATTTTACTCTGCACCATATGGGCTCAGAGTTAGCAATGTCTTCTGAAGTGACATCATCTTAAATGGCTGTGTCTGTTTGGCATTCATGAAAGCATGAAGGTTCTCAATTGAGGTCTGGCCATGCTATCTTGATATACATGTTGCAGATGAGAAATTATGGCATACAGCCTCTGCCAAGGTGGAGGGAAATTGTATCTCTAAAATAATAAAGGCAAAGATGAAGGCATGTCTGAAGCACTTTTGATATATATATCCAATGTTTTAAAATTCTGGGCAGACTGTCAAAATGTAACCCTATACATAATCCTAAAAAAGCATAAACAGACTATTTCTTTTTGTTACCATTTTCAGTTATTTTCTTCCAACCTATAAACACTAAGAACATTTTCCGGGCTTCAATGTTTATAAAATTACATATCCTAGATGCTTTCAGTGTAAATTAACCTCTAATAGAATCCTAGAAGCCCAATTTAAGTGCTCAGAATTCTATTCTGGGTTCTAGTAATATAAAATATGAAGTTTCCAGTAAACTTAAATGATTGCTATTGTGTGTACCTGAGGTATAAAAGTCATTGCCTTTTATGCTCAGGTTTAGCTTTCATTAGTTTTAGCCCATCTGCAGAATTTTGGAAAGAATGGCATCACAGAAATGCCACTCGACTTACAAGGTTTGACCACTTGGGGGAAACGATCTGAGGCAGAATGAGAATGAATGTGGTGGGGTGGGGTGGTGCGGTGGATGAGAGACTGCCTGGAAACCAGAGAAATGAGAATATCTGAAGGAGAAACTTTCCTGTGTGCTTTAGCAATTACTGCCAGAGCAATTGTTCCACATTTGCAGTTTATAGATGTGAGACTTCAGGAACATATACATGAGAAAGTGTTACTGCAAGTGACAGCTTAAGCCACATGTACCTACATTTTCACCAAGTCCATGCATTCAAAATCAAACCTGGCATGTACAAATTAACCCAAAATTGAAGAATGACACTTTGTCCTTAAAAATTATCTGCTCAGCTACTGATGACTTGGACCCAAAATACCACATGCACTGTGTGAAGAATGGCCACTGAGCATGTTTCATTGTCAAGCTGATGACTGCATTATTCAGGTAGAAATGGAGAAGCATTTCTAAGCCCCCAACTTAATTTTCTATACTGTTAATCATTTTCTAAACCAAATTATTTTATGACCCTAAATTCCAATCCTAAAAGTAATATATAAATCCAATCCTAAACGTTACAGTGCAGTATTGGAGGTAGATCTCAGGATATATATTATCCCAGCCTACTCACCCTGCATTTTTTGACTTCTCTGTGTCTCAGTGCTTTTAACACTGAACCCGTTGATAGTGTCCAAATCGAGCTGTCAATGGTGAAGCTGGGAGAGGAGAGTTATTCAAGATCTAGAGAAGTATTAAGGATCAATAATGAAATGACAAGATTGTGAGGAAGGCAGACAGTGGCAAACTGTCAGCATTTTTATCTTCAGCTGTGTTAGGGTGATGCAGAGTCCAGATGGGGATGAATGGAAGCCAATAAATCAACAGGCATAAATGGTCAAAATACTACAGAATATTTACTTATTTATGCTGCAAAGCTCACTATTTTTAGACTTCATCCACTTGGCCACTCACTAACATTCATGCAGTTGACTGATCTTTTTCAGAACCACAAGCATTCTAGATGATACTTTGCATACCTTATTTTATTAAATATTCCTAAGAAGACTATGTTAGCTTCTATTTTATCCCCACTTTTCATGTTAAAGAGACTGAAGCTCAGAGAGGTAAAGCAACTCACCCTGCATTACACATTCAGGTCTGTGGGACCCTAGAATCCTAGACATTGACCAATGTACTTGGTTGTGTCTTTTGTGTCATATTGGAAAGGAAGTGAAGACCGTAAAGGGGATATATATGGATGATGACAGGGATTAGTAGAGTGGATGTCTCTAGGCAACATAAGATCATTTTAAAGGAATAGTTAAGCAAGCAATCTAGAAGCACAGAAGCTTGAGGTCGGGTGGGAAGTATTAACAGATGACAAAAGAAAAGACCAGGTGCAGAGATAAAAGGAGAACATTGAGAACTGAAAGAACAAGAACTGAAAGAACATCAAGAACTGAAAGAGCAAGTTATTTGGTGCTTAATTCAGATGAATGGTGACATCACCTAGATGGTGTTCTCAAAATGCACGTATAAGATGAGCCATTGGAGTGTGAAGGAAATGTTAGAATGTTAATCTAATACTAGTTACATAATATTAGTTATGAACAATAAATATTTTATTACTATTAAACATATAAATTGATCCTAGTGGTGGTGTCAGCTGCTACTGTTTCTCCTCTTCTGATTTTTCTCTTCCTACTTCTTCTAATTCCTATTTCTGTTACTCTCCTTTTTCCTCCTCTTCTTCCTTCTCCTCTTTCTCCCTATTCTTCCCCTTTTCTTGGACCTACATGAAGCAGTCATGTATAATGTACATTTCCCAATATATCCTGAATGATAAGCAGAAATTTTACAGCATGGAAGGGTTGACAGTGTATTGTGGTTTACCTGAGCCTAATGCAGTGAATTTATAAATTACAATATCTGGTTTTAACTATAGTAACCCTTTTCCAAATTGAAAAGTGGTTCTAAAAGGTTACTGAAAAAAACTATGGATTCACAAAAATTAACAATGCAAGAGTGAGCAAAGAAGACAATGGCAGAGCTGCTGTAATTTCTGCTTCTACCACAAGTGCTTGGTCGGCCACATTAGAAAGTAAAATATGGATGATTAATCCCACCAACATATTCATACCACAATTCTCTTACTGAGAACACTAATGTTTTTGTACATTAAAAAATAAAATAATATGAATTTATGTCATTTTATTGCTTCTTGAGATTTAGATTCACCTGTGGCCTTGGAGAGAGGCCTAATAGATGTGGGATGGGATGGAGCATTCTGCATTGGGATGGTCCCATGGGCAGTGGCAGCCGTGGAGGCAGATTTCAGGAATCAGCATCCTTGGTCCAGTAAGTGGAATAGGTGGTCGAGGTAGCCAGTTAGCAACAAGCAAGCACATATAACATTTGTCATAGGGGGCAGGCTGAGGTGGTAGGCAGTGGTCCTGAGCATCATGGATGTGCTGGTCTGTGCTTCACACTTCACAGTGAGTCAGCAGTGGATTGTGTGAGAAGTTTGGATTTCCATTTTCCTTTAGGCAGAGAAAATTTGTTTCCCCCTATCCATGGCTTTTAGATGGTAGAAAAGTATACTGGTTTAAATTATTATCTTCTCCCTCCCTTCTAAAGAGATATTCAAGTCCTAACCCCCAGTACATGTAAATGTAACAGACACTTATTTGGAAATAAGGTCTTTAAAAATGTATATCAAGTTACAATGAGGTCAGAGTGGATTAGGGTAATCCCTAATCAAATGACTGATTTTCTTTTAAGAAAAGGAAAATTTGGACACAGAGACAGACATGTAGGGGAGAATACCATGCGAAAATGGAGGTAGATATTGGAGTGATGCATCTACAAGCCAAGAAATGTCAAAGATTGCTTGCACCCATCAGAAGCTAGCAGAGAGGCATGGAACAGATTCCCTCTCAGAACCTCCAGAAGTAACCAACACTCCTGACATCTGGATTTAGGATTCTAGCAGCCTCTGTACTGTGAGAGAATAAGTTTGTTTATTTTATTTTATTTTAAGTTCCAGGATACATGTGCAGGATGTGCAGTTGTTACATAGGTAAACCTGTGCCACGATGGTTTGCTGCACCTATCAACCCATCACCTAGGTATTAAGCCCTGCATGCATTAGCTGTTTATCCTGATGCTGTCCCTCCCCACCTCTCCACAGGCCCCAGTGTGTGCTGTTCCCCTCCCTGTGTCTGTAGTTTCCATCGTTTTAAGCCATTCAGTTTGTGGTAATTTGTTTTGGCAGTCCTAGGAAAGTAATATAGAAAGGTAGAGATTAGCTCTCTATTTTAGGAGGAAGTTAATTGATTTGCCCATTAAACATCACTATTAAAGGGCAGATTCAAGGCTAGCTATATGAACTTGGATGTGTTACTACTATACTTGGATTTTAATTTCATCTAGAAAAGGAATGGGCTAGAACCTTGGGGCAATTTCAAATTTCCATACATTTCTTCAAGTCAAAAATTGTGTACTTAAATGTGCTCCTCTTTCTCTTCTTTCCTCCTAATAATAAAACAATGAGTTATTATATGCTACTTTGTTTTGAGCAGGAGTTAAAACATAACTAGATCCATACATTTTAGACCAGGGGTGCTCAAACCTTAGCATGCATCCGAGTTACCTGTAGGCCTTCATAAACACAGAGTACTGGTTCCCACCCTCCAGAGTTCCTATTTAATAGGTCTGGGAAATTGCATTTATAACAAGTTTTCAAGTGATGTTGATGATGCTGGTCTGAATGCCACATTTTGAGAAACACTGCTCTAGTATCATGTTTTCTAAGCATCTTTCTGATTTTAACCAGGGTCATTGTGATGTTCTTGTATGATAGTGAAGTGAACTAGTAGCAAGGCAGGTTTGAGCTGCATATACGTTGGTAGAGTTGGTGGGAGAAGATGATGGCATTATCTTCTGATTGTTTCTATTTGGTAGTAGAATAGGGAGCCATCAGATGAGAGTGAGGAGGGCAGGAAGAAGTACAGGATGTTTGAAAGTAGAGGACTGGCTGTGAAACTGTCAACATGAAGAGGGGGAGAATCGACCGATGAGAAAATGTGGTAAGTTTTCTGGGCAGTTCCAAAGGCTCACAGTTAGTGGTTTAAAGTGAGACTGGTTAGCAGTGTGGCTGGTTTTTATCAATCATGGGAGCTGCTTATGTGCAGTCATGAAGTGTGCAGAGATTTAATCTAACTAGAGTTGGGCTTTTGTCAGGCAAATGCAATGAAGTATGATGCCAAAAGAGTTGAGGATATACATAAAGAAATGACAATGGTGATAGACCATGGGCTAAGGTGGGAAGGAAGGGAAGTGAGGTCTGGGTGGACAGTGAAAAGGTGACCAAGTTAATGGACTAGATTCAAAGTTGGGATGAACAGTTGTTGAAATTGGGGTACTGGAAATATAGGAGTCAATGGTTAGATGCTTAGATTGTGATTTTTGTAGATAAGAGAATAATGTCAGTAAATAAATCACTTAGTTGCCTATAATAGCAAACCTAATTAAGGCTGTCTTTATAGTTAAGTCTTGTTATTTATTTATTTTTTATTTATTTTTGAGACGGAGTTTCGCTCTGTCACCTAGGCTGGAGTGCAATGGTGTGATCTTGGCTCGTTGCAAGCTCCGCCTCCTGGATTCATGCCATTCTCCTGCCTCAGCCTCCTGAGTAGCTGGGACTACAGGTGCCCGCTACCACACCCGGCTAATTTTTTTTTTTTTTTTAGTGGAGACAGGGTTTCGCCGTGTTAGTCAGGATGGTCTTGATTTCCTGACCTCATGATCCCCCCGCCTCGGCCTTCCAAAGTGCTGGGATTACAGGCGTGAGCCACTGTACCCAGCCAAGTCTTCAATTTTGATACTTATCAAGAAGCCTCCAGGTAGACAATCCAAGACAGTTACTTACTGTTGCCATCAATAACTCAGTTTTCCCTCCCTGGCTCCCTCTTTTTATATAGTGATGGATGCAGTTTGTTTACATATTTATTTTATTTTATTTATTTTTAGGACTTTGGGATCTATGTTCATAAGAGTGATTGAACTACATATTTTTTCTTTTCCTGTAATATCCTTCTAATGCTTTGATTAGTGATATACTAACCTCATCAAAGAAGCTGTGCCGTTTAGTTTTTGTTTTCCCCTATTCTCTGGAAGGGATTGTATAAGATTAATGTATTTTTTTTTCCCCTGAGTGGCTGGAAAATTCCCCTGGTAGAGTCATTTGGGTCTGGAGTTTTCTTGGTGTAATGTTTCTGAAAGATTCAAATTTATCAATGCATTTGACTCTTGAACAATGTGGGGGTTAGGGACACCAACCCCCATGTGGTCAAATAACTATGTATGACTTCTGAGTCTCCCAAAACCTAACTATTAATCACCTACTGGTAACTGGAAGCCTTACTGATAACATAAATAGTTGATTAACACATGTTTTATATGTTATATGTATTATATACTGTATTCTTACAATAAAGTAGCTAGAGAAAATAAAATGTTATTAAGAAAATCATAAGGAAGAGAAAATGTATCTACTATTGAGTGGAAATGGATCATTATAAAGGTCATTTTCATCTCTTCAGATTGAGTAAGCTGAGGAGGAGGAGGAAGAGTTGGCCTTGTTGTCTCAAAGGTGGCAGAGGTGGAAAGAGAGGTAGGAGAGGCAGGCACATTAGGTGTAACTTTACAGAAGTACAGTAATTTCTGTCTGACTTTGCACTTTCTTTCTCCTAAAATGTTTCTATATGGTACCAATACTTCATCCACCATTTGCTTTAGTTTCTGTGCCTATATCACGGAAGGGTCCATGTAGTGAAAGAAGTCAACGGCAGTCTTGAATAATTGGAACCCTTCTGCCAAATTGTCTGATGTCCATTTGTTTTCTGGCATCACTTCTTCTATGACTTCTTCCCCACCATCTGGTACGGTTGAGAAGCATTCATCTCCATAATGTTGTCTTCTGTTAACTGCTTGCATGTGGTGTCTATTAGCTCTTGAATTTCTCTAAAACCCGTATCTTGAAATCCTTCCATCCATATCTGCTTTCCATATTCACAATCTCTTTAATGATTTATTTGATTGGTTCTGTCATAAATCCTGTGAAGTCACGCACAACCCCTCAACAAAGTTTTCTCCAACAGAAATGTATTGTTTCAGGCTTGATGGCTTTCATGGCCTTTTCTAAAACAACGATGGCATCTTCAATTGTGTAATTCTTCCAGACTTTCATGATGTTTTCTCTATCAAGGTTCTCACCCATGGTGTTAAAATTTTTTCCATAGAGTGCCATGGGCAATGAGCCTTAAAGATCCTGTAACCCCATGGTCTAGAGGCTGAATCAGAGACATTGTGTTTGGAGGTACATAGACCACTTTGGTGCCTTTGGTGTTAAACTCATGGAGTTCTGAGTGGCCAGGGGCATTGTCTAATGTCAAAAGAACTTTAAAAAGCAGTCTCTTACTCTCAAGGTACATCCTGACTTCAGAGACAGAGCACTGACAGAACCAATCCAGAAAAAGGGTTCTCATCAAGGCCTTCTTGTGTACAACAAAAAGACTGGCAACTGGTGTTTATTTTCTACCTTCAAATCTCAGGGGAAGGCTGAGCATGGTGGCTCATGTGTGTAATCTCACTGCTTTAGGAGGCCAAAGTGGGAGGATTGTTTGAGGCCAGAAGTTCAAGGCTGCAGTGGGTCATGGTTGAGCCACTGCACTCCAGCCTGGGGAACACAGTGAGACCTTGTCTCTAAAACAAAACAAAGCAAAACGAACAACAACAAAAACAAAAACCTCAGGGGTTAGCAGCTCTATAGATAAGGATAGTCCTGATCATAAACCCAAATGTTTTTGCACAAAACGGTAGAGTTAGACTATCCTTTTCTGCCTTAAATCCTGGCATTCACTTCTCTTCCTTACTAATTAATGTTCATTGTGATATTTCTTTTTTTCTATAATAGGGCACTCTTATCTGCATTAAAAACCTGTTTAGGTAAATGTTCTTTATCTTCAACCATTTTCTTTCTTTTTTTTTTTTTTCTTTTTTTTTTTTGAGACAAGTTCTCTCTCTTTCCCAGGCTGGAGTGCAGTGGTGCGATCTGGGCTCACTGCAACCTACGCCTCCCAGTCTCAAGTGATCCTCCTAGCTCAGCCTCTTGAGTAGGTGGGACTACAAGTGCATGCCACCATGCCTGGCTTCATATGTGTGTGTGTGTGTGTGTGTGTGTATATATATATGTATGTATATATATATATATATGTATGTATGTATATATATATATGTATGTGTATATATATATGTATGTATGTATGTGTATATATATATATATATATATATATATACACACACACATTTTTTTTTTTGTAGAGGCAGGATTTCACCATGTTGCCCAGGTTGGTCTGAAACTCCTGGGATCAGGTGATCCACCCACGTTGACCTCGAAAGTGCTGTGATTACAGGTGTGAGCCACTGTGCTTCGCCTATCTACAATCATTTTCTTAATGGCATCTGGGAAGTTATCTGTTGCCTTTTGACTGGCAGAAGCTGCTTTTCCTATTATTTTGACATTTTAAAAGCCAAACTTCCTTCTAAAATTATCCAACAATCCTTTGCTGGCATTAAATTCTCCAGCTTTAGATCCTTCTTTTTGCTTTAAGCTGTCAGCTGCATTTTCAATATAAGATAAAAGGGTATCTGACAAAAAGTGTAAGGCTTTTGCACCTGCTGGTGTAGCTGCAGCTATGGGTTCACAAGTTTCCTTTCCATTTTTTCAATGGTCGTTATTGCTGGATTTATTTCTCTTGAAATGGCAGGGCTACTGCAGTTACAGATCTCAATCTCTGATGCATATCCGGCAATTCAACTTTGTCTTGTAATGTCGTGACTGCTGTGTGCTTCTTGGGAGCATTGCCAGCATCACTAGTGGCACTTCGTATGGATCACATGGTGTGATTCAAGGTTTAAAGTATTGCCCTAAACACAATAAAAAATATGAGAGAACTGCAAGAGGCCATTTTTTTTCTGTGATGTGCAATTTACTGTTGAGACAAACTGCTCATGCAGAGATGATTAGCATCACAAGTCATTTAAAATGGATATTTGCAACACTTGAGCTCACTGCAATAGCCATAGGAGGTAGCTATGAAACTGTTACAGTAGTACAGTGTGAACTACAGTTAATTTCATGCCATTTTAAAACCACATCTTTACATTTGTTTATGTTTCTCTTGACTGCAAATGGTACCATGTATGGCGTATGTTTGTGTACGTAACTTTAGTTAAACATAAAGCTTTACTTTGATAAACCTAAACTTCTTATAATAGCTTTCTGTATGTTTTATGGTAGTAAATAAGTAGACTAGTATCTACATATATTTCATACATTCAAGACATATCCAACTTTTTCTTATATTTTTTAAATATTTGAGAGCTTTTAATAAATTGTCACAAATCTCCAAAAATTTTTTCAGTATATTTACTGAAATAAAACCAGTGTATGTGTGGACCCATGTAATTCAAACCCGAGTTGCTTAAGGGTCAACTATAGATAAAGCTATGAAGATTTCATATTTGTTTTTGTGCTAATTTTGGTAAATTTTGTTTTTCTAAAAAATATTTTTAAAATAAAATTTATTGTCATAAAGTTGTTTATATATCCTAGGATAAGATGTGGTTCCTTAACCAAAAACATCAGTATATTCTGGGATATTGTTAGAAATGCAAATTCTTAAGCCATGTGCCAGACCTACTGAATAAGAAGCTCTAAAGATGGGGTACAACACCTTGTATTTTAAGAAGGCCTCAGGTGATCCTAATGGGTGCCAACGTTTAAGAACTGCTGCTCTGTTAAGCTTCTGCAGTAGCCTGCAATGTTGGTATGCAGTCTTTTCATTATTATTTTATCATAATATTATTATTTTATTTTAATTTTCTACTGTGATTTCTTCTTTGATAGAAGGGTTATTTAGACAGGTTTTGCTTAATTCTTAAATCTTTGTGGGTTTTTTTGTTTTTTATTTCAAACTTAATTTCATGATGGTCAGAAAGTAAATTTTGTATGATGTTAGTTCTTAGAAATTTGTATATATTCATTTTTGATACTGGTTTCATGTGAACCAGAAAAGAATGTGCACACTGAAGTTTTTAGTACAGCGCTGATATATATTAATTAGGTCAGGTTTGTTAATGATCAAATCTTATTCATGCTTACTTGTTTTACCTCTTATATGTATTTGCGTATCTCTTTTTGAGATAATTATGTTAAAATTTCCCATTACAATTAGAATTTGTCTTTTTCTGGTTTTAGTTCATTAAATTGTATTTATTTGAAGGCTACATTATTCATTGCATAAAAATGTAGAATTGTTATATCTCCTTAGTTGATTGACAGTTTTATCACTGAAATGGTCCCCTTTATGTCTAATAATGCATTGACTTATCTTTACTTCACCTGGTATTAACATAGCTATAACAATTTTCTTTAAGTTAGCGTTTCATGGTGTATCCTTTTGAGGTTAAAAAAAATTTTTACATGTCATAATTAAGGTGTGTCCCTCAAAAGCGGTGTATAAATAGGTTTTGATTTTTGTCAAGTTTAAAATTTTGTCTTCTAATTGAAGTGCTTATTTCATGTTCATAAATCTACCATTTTATATCTGTTCCCTATTAATTTCATGTTTATAAATCTATCTTGTTCTACTTTCTCTCTTCTTAGCTATTTTTTTTAACTTAGGTTTTGCCTAATTTTATTCGTATTTTTTTCTGCTGACTTCTTAGTTTTGCTTCTTAAATTTTCACTGCACTTTTAGTAGTTAACCTATTGCAGTGTAAATCCTTGATTTATTAGAATCGTCCTCATATTGGTACTTAAGGCAATTTCCCGAAAATGTAAGAACATTAAGTACTGTAATTTCATTTACTCCTTGCAAATTTTTGCATTATTATTATGTATTTAATTCTATAAACATTATACATTCTACAAGGCATTATTGTTTTATATGCATTTAGATATGCCATATATTAACTTTATTAATGTTGATTTATTTATTTAAATATCTGCCTCCCAGAAGAACTTCCTGTAGTGTTTTCCTTATATTTGCTTAGAGTAGGTTTGCTGAAGACAATTTTTCTTTAAAAAAAAAATTATTGAGATAAAATACAACTTACCATCTTTACCATTTTTAAGTATACAGTTCTGTAGTAATTAATATATTCTTTTTCTTTATCTTGAAATTTTCATATGTTAAAATTTTAAATATTTAATTTTTTTTTTTTTTAACAGACTTTCGCTCTTGTTGCCCAGGCTGGAGTGCAATGGCATGATTTCGGCTCACTGCAACCTCCGCCTCCCAGGTACAAGTGATTCTTCTCTCTCAGCTTCCCAAGTAGCTTGGATTACAGGGCATGCGTCACCACGCCTGGCTAATTTTTTTGTGTTTAGTAGAGATGGGGTTTTACCATGTTAGTCAGGCTGGTCGCAAACTCCTGACCTCAGATGATCCACCCGCCTAAGCCTCCTAAAGTGCTGGGATTACAGGTGTGCACCACCGTGCCTGGCCTAAAAGATTTTTTTAAAGATAGTTTTGCTGATTGTAGATTTCTAGGTTGGCAGTTATTATCTTCCAATATTTTGGCATAAATTTTACTTTCTCCTTCAGCTTCCATTGTTTCTTTAGAGAAGTCAGCTAACATTCTTATTGTTGCTTCTTCGAAGGTATTATGTCTGGTTTTTCTGGCTGATTTTAAGATTTTTTGCTTTGCTCTTGGTGTTCAGTAATTCTACTGTAATGTTTCTCAATATGGTTTTCTTTGTATTTATCACAGTGGAATAGTAATATTTCTTATATGCGTGGCTTCTGTTTTCCCAGAGATTATTACTTCTCATATCTTTTCTTCCATGTCTTCCATCAGTTCTCCCCCACCCTCATCTTATCCTGCTCTTCTAGTTCTCAGTTTGACAATTAGACTGATACAAATTAAACCATGGCCAGAAGTGGAAGGCTTAGACATTTTTCAATGTTTTGCTCTACTACCTTCAATATATTGGCTTTGATCCTTATGATTCTTACCTCATGGCTTCCAGTAACTGCTGCAACTCCAAGTCACATGTCTGTGCTCCAGGCAAGAAGAAAGAGAAAGTGAAAGAGGCTGTGGACTTTCATTTATATTTAATGTGGTCACCATGTGGGACCCTAGAATAAAGCTTTTAGCTTTTGCACTGTCTACTGTAGATGCAGGCAAGGGAGAGTTAAAAATGATCTTTGGATAGCTAGTTGTCAACATCTGCCACAACAATTACTGGCAATGACAATATCTAGGTTTCAACAATGCGAATGGGTGGCTGAATTGGGATAGCAGGTAAGATCATTGAGAGTAAGAAAGTTGAGAACTGAAAGGCTAAGATCTAAAATGAACATTCTAAATGAATATTGAAATCAGCATTGGGGAATATTGAAATCAGCAGTGAGGAAGGTAGGATGGAAGTAAGACTTGAAAAATTACCTATTGGGTACAATGTTTACTATTTGGGTGATGGGTACAGTTAAAGCCCTAACTCCAGCACTATGCAATATATCCATGTAACAAATCTGCACGTGTATACCCTGAATCTATAAAAAGAAAAAAAAGCAAGGAGAAATTTGTATAAAGGTAGCAAAAACAAAACTGGCCGCTGATATAAGTGGCAATATAAATGCCACCACATCGCTGACTCCTGGGTGGAGCCACTCTGTTATATTCAGTATGGTTCCTCAGTGGGTCTTTAGAAAGATTGTGTACAGTAGCTCACAACATAACTCACGCGTTTGCATCCTTCACTGGCTTTCTTCTTTCCCTGTCTCATTTTGCATACTCTCTAAATTGTGTTTTCTGCAATCTCTGGAATAAACTACATGTAAAGGAAGAGGAAGAGGAAGAAGAGGAGGAGGGAGGGGGAAGAGAAAGAAGAAGGAGGAGGAGGAGGAGGAGAAAGGAAAAGAAAAGAAATCAGCAAGAGTCAGATGTAGTAAGGAAGAGAAAACAGTGATTTGGTGCTAACACCTTTAATACCTATGATGGGAGATTACTTGAAAAAGAGGAGTAAGAGATGGCATTGTCTGATGCATATGTTTATAAGTAGCTGTGTGTGTGTGTGTGTGTGTGTGAGAGAGAGAGAGAGAGAGAGAAATAGAGAGAAATAATGGCCTAGAGCAAGAAAGATACTATGTATTTATGTACATTTTCTGAACATTATGTCACTTACTGTCCTAACTGAATAAAACCTGAGTCTCCTTGAAGACCCTACTTCTCTTACAGTGCTCTCTTAATTAAAGTCTTCCTCAAATCCCCACCATTGATGTGGAAGTAGCAAAGTTTCACTTTGGTTTTTATTGCTACTTTTCTTATGTCTCCCTCTTACACTAAAAGTCACTAATATTAAATCTGTCAAACTAAACCACATCCTACCTCAACTTTTTGGAGACAACTGCAGAACTCACTAATCACTCTTCGTTATTTCCTGAGTGGTTGAATTTCAGGTTTGAGGATACTGCCCCCAACACTGCTCCTGTCTGTATTTCATCTTAGTGACTGTAATATCAACATAATCTTTCAAATATCCTGGTTTTTCAATTCCTAAATCTCCTTTATTCTAATTATTTTGTCCTATATTCTATCTTAGCCAACTATTGTTCTCTGGGCCATAATGTAAGACTTATTACCAATAACTAAAAGCTTTTCATAACCATAACTTCAGTTATTCTGTTTTCTGACCACAACTTCCCATCTTTCTAGTTTACTTCTGCTGTTATTCCAACTCCCAAAATTATTTCTACTCCACCTAAATCTACCACCTTCTTACTATCCCTCACTTCACTGAAATCATTTTTCTCTTTTTTTTTTATTATACTTTAAGTTTTAGGGTACATGTGCACATTGTGCAGGTTAGTTACATATGTATACATGTGCCATGCTGGTGCACTGCACCCACTAACTCGTCGTCTAGCATTCGGTATATCTCCCAATGCTATCCCTCCCCCCTCCCCCCACCCCACAACAGTCCCCAGAGTGTGATATTCCCCTTCCTGTGTCCATGTGATCTCATTGTTCAATTCCCACCTATGAGTGAGAATATGCGGTGTTTGGTTTTTTGTTCTTGTGATAGTTTACTGAGAATGATGATTTCCAATTTCATCCATGTCCCTACAAAGGACATGAACTCATCATTTTTTATGGCTGCATAGTATTCCATTTTTCTCTTTTCTTTAGCATAATTTTGATTGTCATTCACTATAAGAAATGATGCCCTTGTCTTTCTGTCCTTTTGCTGTGCTTGCCAGCCATAATCCTCAACTCTCTGTTTAGACAGCACATATCCATGTGAATGTACTGGAAACAATAAGAAACTGTGCAGACTGCTCTCAGTTGAAATTCATGACCACAAAATCATAAGTATATCCTTAAAGCTGCCCACAATCTTAAAACATTTCTATAAACCATTCATTCCACTAAGCTAGATTTTGATTTTACATCTTTTCTCTGCACCAATCTCCAAAACTTCCTCTCCTGCCTTACTTTTAGCTAATGATGTTGCTTCCAATTTCACCAAGAAAATAGAAGCCATCAGAAAAGAACTTCTGCACACTCCTAACACCACATCTCCCAATCTACCTATATTAGTTCCCATTATTCCTTTTTTCCTGTTACTGCCAAAGAATTATCCACATATCTATCAAAGGTCAACATTTTCACCTGTGTACTGGATTTCATCTTTCTTGCTCAAAGACTTCACTCCAGCAATTTTTCTTTTTTATTTATGAATATTGTTATCAGCATAAAATATATTGAAGTTTCTCACTTTCAAAAAAACTTTCTTGATACCACACTCTTTGTATCAGTTAACTTTTAATGTATGAGAAATTATCCTGAAATGTACTGGCTTTTAATGTATGAGAAATTATCTTGAAATGTACTGGCTTAAAACAATACTCATTCTCTCTTGAACCTACCCTACTCAACACTTTGACCCACCACTCCACAGATGCATTTTGCCAAAGTCACCAGTGACTTCCATGTGAGTAAATCTATTTTCAGTTATTTTCTTTCTTAACCATCAGCGGTTGATTTATTACATTTTCTTTTTAAATTACTTTCCTCACTTGACTTCTAGGATATCACATTCTACTGTTGTTTTTTTTTTTTTCATATCATTGAATACATTAAGTTTTCTTTGCTGGTTACTTCTCTTCACTTTCTAAATATGAAAGTGGGCGAAGGTTCGGCCCTTGGACATTTTCCCTATCTGCACTAATTCTCTGTGTGACCTCATTTAGTTTTATTACTTAATCAGTGTTCTCTTAACTCCAACATTTATATTTCCAATCTGGACTTAATGCCCGAATTCTAGACACTTTTATCAAGCAGTTTACTTTTATATGTCTAATAGGTGCTATAAATGTAACATACACAAAATAGACCTTCTTATTTTCTTTCAAACCTACTCCTCCAGAGTACTCCCCTTCTATCTTCTTTATAATCTTCTTTAAAAATTATTCAGAATTCAATGTTTTCTTAACAACCAAATTTATATATCATATATTGCCTGGACTATTACAGTCCTCTCCCAGTTGGCTTCTCTGCTTCTGGATTTACCCTCTTTTGGTCTGTTCTCAGCAAATCAGAATAATCCTTTTAAAACTTAATTATATCTCATTAACAATTTGCTCAAAACCCAATAAATATTTGTTGAATGAATGAATACTAGGAAGACTGAATAGATTTTCATATTTATTGGACATTTGGATTGGTACTTCACAGAATTGCTAATTCATATCCATGATCAATTAAAACTTTTTTTTAAAACAAAACCTCTTTAATATTAATCAATCCTTTATCTTTAAAAAGCATTACAAATATATTTGCACAAACTATGGTTTTCCTACTGACTTTTTAATTGAACTTTTTTACCCGTATAGTTAAAAATATATATAAATTGGCCAGGCGCAGTGGCTCACGCCTGTAATCCCAGCACTCTGGGAGGCTAAGGCAGGCGGATCATGAGGTCAGGAGATCGAGACCATCCTGGCTAACACAGTGAAACCCCGTCTCTACTAAAAATACAAAAATATTAGCCAGGCGTGGTGGCAGGCGTCTGTAGTCCCAGCTACTTGGGAGGCTGAGGCAGGAGAATGGCATGAACCCGGGAGGCGGAGCTTGCAGTGAGTGGAGATCGCGCCTCTGCGCTCCAGCCTGGGTGACAGAGTGAGACTCCATCTCAAAAAAAAAAAAAAAGTGTATGTATGTGTGTGTGTGTGTGTGTGTGTGTGTATATATATATATGTATATATATATATATATATAAATCGTCATCCCAAATCCTAGATTATACATACACATTTTAGTTAATATTTTTTTTGAATTTTACATTATTTTAAAATTTTATTTGAAATTTTTTATATATGGTACAAGATAGGTAAGATATGAAGATAACTTATTGCACCATCATTATTTTATAAACTGTTCACGCTTAATTTTTCATACATTTATTTCTGATTATATTGGTTTTATCTTTGTTAACTGGTAATGTCAAGTTCCTTTTCAATACTCTTAGAATTCATGATTACTATTTCAGAAATTTGTTCTTTCTCTAAAACCTAAGATAATTTTATCTAGCTCTTCTTCCCCTCTCCCAAAATAAGAGAGTTGGGATTAAAATTGGGGAGACATTACATTTTTACGTTAATTTTAGGATAATTCATATTTCCCATTCAAGAACATACTTAATTTTGTTCAGATAATATTTCATATCCCCAATAAGACTTTATACTTTTGTTTGTAACTCTTTTATTGGAACTTTTACCATTTACATTTTTAGATAGTTATTGCTAACATGGAAACACTTTTATATATTTACCTTGTATCTAGCCACCTTACCAAATTCTTTTACTAAATATTATCTACTAAATTTTTAAGTATGCAAGCATATTATCTGCAAAGTAGATCATAGTATCTCATTGTTTCTAATATTTATATTAATTTTTAAATTTTACTTTTTTATTCCATTCAGTAAGACCTCCCCAAAAGTTTAGTTAATGATGGTAATGGCAAACATCTCTATGTTTTCCTCTGCATTTAATAAAAATGCAACCACTCAGATTGATGGCTACCTTTCTGTAAAGCTGAATAATCTTTTCCCTATATATTAATAGTTTTTTTATATTTAGTTTTTTTAGTAAGAATGTCAGCTGATGACATTTCTAGTTTTGTGTTATTAACTTGATTATATTGACATGATTATGCCTTCCATTCATTATTGTCCTTGAGATATCCAAATTTATTCCACTTTATTAATAATTTTTCATAATTAACACAAAAATACTATAATTAATTAGAATTAATGTAGTTCTTTCCAGTCCCTACTTCCAAACTCAGCTTCCAGCTCATTTTGCATATTTCCAAATAATCTTGCTCAGATAAAAAAAAAAATGGCCAGCTCATGAGAAAGTCTTTTTTAAAGACTGTAAACATTTTTGGAAGGCAAATGTGGTTTAGCATTTTTTTCTTGGCTAACTTAATAAAATTATTTAATACAGAGCCTCATACATGGTAGGTACATAATAGTCATTTTTTCCTTTCTTCTTCTTCTGGACAACTATTTCTGGTTTCTCCTATCATTCCTTCTATAGCGTGACTTCAAGCTCCTACACTGTGCTGTTACTCTTTTCTGGATTTGTTCTAATGATTTATATTTTCTCTTTAAATATCACTTCTAGAATGAAAACCAGAGCTCTAGATGTGGTGTGATCAGCAAGAGTAATGTTATATAGATGTAGATCTATATAAACGTAGATCTATATAAACATAGATGTAGATCTATATAAATATCTACATAGATGTAGGTCTATATAAACATAGATGTAGACATAAAGCTATATATCTATATGATGTCTATATAGACATATAGATGTAGGCATAAAGATATATGTCTATATCATCTATATAAACATAGATGTAGACATAAAGATATAGATGATATAGATATAAAGATATAGGACTGCAAGTAATATTCTTAGCATCATTCTGGGACATAGTAAGCTGTGAATAAATATTTGTTTATCAGAAGCAGCAGCAACAGCCACATTATTATCATCATTATGTTTTTAATTCACTACCTATGCAATTTTTTCCTAAAATCAGTATCTTGTATACTTTTTGAATTTTATTTTACGCTTTCTAGTATCAATGGGGCATTGTAAAAAAATCGGACAGCTGTTTGTTTAAAGTTGTATCTAATGTTCTAATGTTTACAGGTTTTCATATTGAGAAATGATACTGTCTTCTCTTTCAGTTATTTTATCAGTGGAAATGCTTCAGATCTTTCTAAAATGGTGGTGCAGGTAAGATAACTGAAATTAGCTTATAATTAGACCTAACAGTTTTTCCTGTGCACATATTTTATCAAGGATTTGAAATACAATCTTGGCATTTGTTTTATATTGGTGATAGTTATACTAAGTCTCAGCAAGTGTAGATTTGCTATGTTAAAGTAAATACACATCTTTACACCTGGAATTTAAGATCCCTTTTAGGTTATTAGTTAGAAAGTGTAAGTTGTTTTCTCCCCATCTTCAAGGATTTATCTACCTTTGGTCTTTGATGTTGGTGATCTTCAGATGGGGTCTCTGAGTGGACATCCTTTTTATTGATGTTGATACTATTCCTTTCTGTTTATTAGTTTTGCTTCTAACTGTCAGGCCCCTCTGCTGCAGGTCTGCTGGAGTTTGCTGGAGGTCCACTCCAGACCCTGTTTGCCTGGGTAACACCATCAGAAGCTGCAAAACAGCAAAGATTGCTGCCTGTTCCTTCCTCTGGAAGATTTGTCCCAGAGGGGCACCCGCCAGATGCCAGCCAGACCTCTCCTGTATGAGGTGTCTGTCAGCCCCTACTGGGAGATGACTCCCAGTCAGGATGCACGGGGGTCAGGTACCCACTGACGAGGCACTCTGTCTCTTATCAGAGCTTGAACGCTGGGCCAGGAGATCTGCTGCTCTCTTCAGAGTTGTCAGGAAGGGATGTTTAAGTCTGCTGAAGCTGCACCCACCCACAGCTGCCCCTTCCCCCAGGTGCTCTGTCCCAGGGAGATGGGGTTTTATCTGTAAGTCCCTGACTGGGGCTGCTGCCTTTTTTTCAGAGATGTCCTGCTCAGAGATGAGGAATCATAAGCAATTAGATCTTTAAAATGACTTTACATTAGCCTACTTTCTTCCCATATGTACCATATATATGGTATAATCTGTATGGGAAAGGAGGCATTTCAAGGTTTAAAAGAATATAAATTTTGGATTTAATGTTTTTGATCTTAACATATTTGTGTCTCAACAGGGAAGACAATTAGAAATGTAACAAGAGGGTTCTATTTGATTCATTTAAAAAATGGAAAGTGGCACCCAGGGTGAGGCTGGCATGTCAAACAATTACTGAGAGCAATGCCACCATTTGCCTTTGTGTGTGTGTGTGTGTGTGTGTGTGAATTAGGATCTGTTTTTTAATGGTCACTCTATTTACATAGTAACATTCCTTGAAGCAATATATGCAGATTCATTCTCGACATAAGTTTTTTTGCTTTTGCTAAAATAGTTTTTGCTTAAAATTACTCCCTCTCTTTTCTGGCTACAACTACTTCCCATCTTCTCCTTGATTTTTTCAATGACTTAGGAAAAGATTAACATGATTTAAGTCCCGTTTCTCATGACTGTAATTACAAGACTAGTTTAGTTCCACTTTCTTGTAGACGAATTCCTACATTTTGCTGATGTTTTGGCCCATTCTTATAAACTCCACTGTCTGGGGAGCAGGAAGCATTCTGACAAATTGTCTCTTTGGGAACAGAAGTATATTTTATTGAGTCAATTATCTTGATAAATCACGTTATATTTGAGTTTTTGTAGTTTTGTGGATAAACATTTTTACTTGGAATCCCTTTGTTGTTCACTGTGTTAGCACCCATGATTCAAACAATCCTTGATCTTGTCATTAGTAGTATATGTAGAGAAGAATTCACTGTAGGAATTTAAGAAGTGACTTTTCAACACAGCTTCTCTAATACAGTATTTAATATCCCACACATAATTCAAAATAAAAGTAAGAAATAAAAGTCTATTGGAAAGACTTAGCACAAAATTCAGTGTAAGATTCCATGTAAGAAATATTGATTAGAACATATTCTACGAGAGTCTAGAGATGAGGTTTATGTCTCAAATGTTTGTTTTAAGCTTATTAGAAATACCATCTATTAGTAAAAATTACTTCTTTGGAATGAGATGAGAAAATTCTGAATATGGACTCAGATGCCAAAATATGTTAATAGCATAAAATACAGACATGAACTGAGAAGGCGGTTTCACCAAAGACACAAGAGAAATTAAATCACATACATTTTACAATGTAAACTAAAATAGACTATACAAAAATACCTTGCTAACAGAGAAATGGGTCATCAGTCTGTTGTTGTTACTTTTTTTGTTGCTGTTTCTTAATGGTTACTTAATACCTACCTGTAGTGCAATTATATGTTGTAGAATTCTGTCACAAAAAAAAGGCCTAAACCAACGGGATGACTTAAAAGAAAAATAAACATTTCAAAGATTCAAGTAATTTATCAGGAAATACTGAAAGTACATCCTATAATTTTTTTTAAAACTTGAAAATTGCACCTCACATTTTGTCTGGAGAGTTAGGCAACATCTGTATTTTTCAACTTTGTCAGTTATTCAGGACCTATTACAGACCACACAACTTTGAGCTTTGAAAGAAATCCACAGATATATAATTTAACTCATTGTGTAGCTAAGGAAATAGGACTGAAGAAATTAATGATTTACTGGACATCAAGTTACATGTAAGCCGATTTTTAACCTAGATTTCCAAATGTCCACTCCAATGCTTTCACCACTATTGCCTGGTAGGTATCACATATTATTAAGTTTGTTTTGTGTTTTATGGATTATATTTAGCATAATTCTGAGACTTAGAAGAGGTTCAATAAATGCTTATTACATGTATAAATGAAAAATGGCCTGGAGGTAGCATAAGTCAATATTCCATTTTTCATCATAGCTTTCATCAAACAAATCTTATATTTATTCCTGGAATCTATTGCACACCACAAATCAAATGTGCATAGCAAATAGATTTTTTTTAAACCTAGCCCGGCCAAATTGATCTTGAACTTCTCCGTGCTTGTTCAACAATTCTGGTGCAGAGTTTAAAAAACTTGTAGGTTTTATTTTGAGGTTACAAGTTTCAGTCTGGGACTGAAAAGATATAATAGTAATCTGCAAAGTTCAAGGATGTGTAATTCTGGGAGCTCAGAAAGAATTCATAGCTCTTGTTCTCAGGAGCTCTGCAAACAAAGATGCCAAAGGCATATCAGATTGCCTTCTAATACAGGGAGTAACAAGTAACAATGACACATTGATTGCTTACTTATGAAAATTATTTCCATAATGATATAATATTAGAAGACAAATTCAGCTGCCTGACCTGCACAGGAGATTGAATTGAACGTAGGGTGTTAAATCAGAGTGGAGTAGGGTTTGAAAAAACAGAATAAAAGCAATACCTAGGAAAACTACTGGGGTAGGGCAGAACATGAGTTCTGAAATAAGAAGATCTGAACTTGAAATGCTTCTTTACTGTGCAATGTAGACAATATAATCTGCTGAGCTCAATTAGCTCATGTATAACCTGGAGTGAAGATGCCTGTCTTGTACGGTTATTGTAAGGATAAAACAGGATTCGGGGGAGAACCAGCCAGTGTAGGCATTACCCATTTTTGTGTTGTTTCAAATATATTTTTTATATTTTAGATACGTGTGTGTGCGTGTGTGTGTGTGTGTATGTATGTGTGTGTCTTCATTGCTACATTGAACAGTTTGACCCTAAGTAACTCACAAATAGCATTCTAGAGGTGCTTCAAAAATACTAAGGAAGTCTAACCTTCTAGATGTTAAAATACAACTTTTATACTGGTTCTACTTGCCTTCAATGGAAATTATTGAAGAAAAAATCAGCTGGGAATGAGAAAATAATAAAACTGCTTTGAAATGATGAAGTAAAGAAAGTAGCTTGGAAAAAACATGCCTGAAGGCAGGTCACAACTTGAAATACAGTTACTATGTTCCATAATGGGCAGAGTAATAGAGTGTGTCTAAAGTACAACCAAAGTAGTCTAGTACACCACAATATCACAATATCCAGTAGTCCCCCCCACCTCTCTCTTTAAGCTCCCTCTGTCCTTTCTCTCTCTTTTCTGTCTTCTCTCTCTCTCTCTCCTCTCTCTCTGTACACTCTCTTTCTTCTCTCTGACTCCTCCCTCTCCTCTCTGACTCCTCTCTCTCCTTTCTCCTCCACCCTATTCACAGGTTGGATAACGTTTCTGATTTATTTGACAAAGGATATAGCTATTCAGCTAGAATGCATGAGCCACTGAGAGCAAGTACGAAGCCAGTACACCTTGGCGGAGCTTCGTGAGGCCCATCAGATTCTCAGGTTGGAATGCCAGGAAGTGTTGTTAGTGTTAGGAAGATTCCATGTGTAAGGCAGGAGCTCACTAGATCTGAAGAGCTTAACATATGGCTGTACCATAACTCTTTTTCAATAGGGCTTACAATGTTCTTTAGGGCAGCATGTAGATTTAATATTTCTATTAAAGGGAATGCTTGCAGACATTAGGAGCCTCCAGGTTTTTAAGTCAACACAGCATCAGGACCATATTGTTATCCTGTGAAGAGCAAGGTGGCTGATTTCTCTTCTTATATCCAGATACATTCTGGATAATCCATTCCCCACAGTTACAGTCTGACTCTGGATTTTGGAATATCTTTTTATGAAATGGATAGGTCTGATAATGAATTGGGTAATTGGGTCTTAGGACTAGAATCTTAAATCCATTCTCAATTTTTATGAAGTCACCAACCTTTTACACACATGCTTTAAAAAAACCTGTCTACGAACAGAAACTCACTCCTGTGCTTATCACCTGATAGAAGAACAAAACTGAATATAAAACTCACATAATTTGTATTGCTCAGTGTATAACGCATTAAAAACAAATTTATTTTTCTTTGAGGAAACTTTGTACTGCATTCCCCTTTTTAAGATCATCAACTCGTTCCCCCTTTAAATGCCTAAATCAACACTAATTAGATTCGAGCAGCCATTTCTTCATGCTGGCCTTTTATTTTTGTCCTCTTATTTTTTCCCTTAACTCACCTAAATCTTCCTCTCCTTTTTTATCTTTTCTCCCTTCCTCCCTCCTTATTGCACATAATTCAAATATCAAAAATATAAAGTTATTTAATGAAACATTGCTTCCCCACTAGCTCTCTACTTTCTCAGTATATATCTTGCCTCCTTCATTACTCGGGTAATCACTATCACTTGTTTCTTTTTTCACTTATAAAGAATTTTTATATAAATGCAAACCAATAAAACAGGAAATTTCATTTCGTCTTTTAAAACTACAAGTAATAACATATTATACACGTTTTATTCAACAACAGATTGTATTCAACCTTCTGCTGTTAAGAAGAGTTGCAATAAATAACCTCATACATGCATCACTTCACACATATTAATTATATCTCAAGATAATTCCTAGGTGTCACTTTGATAAATATTACCAAAATGCTCACCAAAGATGCTGTACCAATTTATACTCTCATCAGCCATAGATTAAAATCTATCCCAAAATTCTTCCAGTTGAATATGTCATGAACTTTTGGATTTTTACCAATCTGAATGGGAAGAGGGAAACATGTTTTTTCAGTGTTGTTTAAATCTGTATTTCTGTGTTGTGAATAAGGTTAAATATCTTTTAAAATATTTTTAAAAAACTATATTTGCATTCCTGTGAACTGTCTTTGCATATTCTTTGCCCACTTTTTTCTTTTGGGCTGTTGATGATTTTCTTATCAAGTGGTAGGTCTTTATATGCCAGGAAGATTAAGCTTTTGTGACAAAAATTGGGAATATATTTTTAAATTTAGTTTGCCATTTGCCTTTTTGACTACATTGATAATGTTTATTTTATGTGTTGCCATGCAAAAATTTAATTTTTATGTAGTCAAATGTATTCATTTTTTTCTCCCTACAGCCTCTGAATATTATATCATAATGAGAAAGTTTTTGTTTCTAAACTGAGGCTATAAATTAATTCTTTCATGTTTTCTTCTATGATTTTGTATTCCATAATAAATATTTAACTTATTTAAATATTTCTTCTAGGCCAGGTGCGGTGGCTCACACCTGTAATCCCAGCACTTTGGGAGGCTGAGGCAGGTGGATCACCTGAGGGCAGGAGTTTGAGACCAGCCTGACCAACATGGTGAAACCCCGTCTCTACCAAATACAAAAAGTCAGCCTGGTGTGGTGGCACATGCCTGTAATCCCAGCTACTTGGGAGGCTGAGGCAGGAGAATCGCTTGAACCTGGTTGGGGAAGTTGTAGTGAGTCAAGATTGTGCCATTGCACTCCAGCCTGGGCAACAAGAGCTAAAATCCGTCTCAAAAAAAAATAAAAATAAATAAATAAACAAATGTTTCTTCTAGTATATAGTCCATATTCTGAGATAGGCACCCAATTTTATTTTTTCTCATTGGCTATCTAGTTATACCTACATCTTGGTATTATTAAAAAGTCTATCTTTTGGAGACTTCCGCTCCTGGGAAGATGGAATAGAGGTACATTTCCCCCTTTCTCTCCCTAAGGAAAACTAAAATTCTTGGACATCATTTGTAAAATAAACATGAGAAGACTCTGACAAGCAGAGACAAAGATATAATAATAATGTCATTGGAGCCCTGGAGTGAAGGATAAAGAAGGCATTGCTAAATAATTAATTTAAGAAATAATGGCTGACAATTTCTCAAATTTGTCCAAAGCCATAAACCTACAGAATCAGGAAGCTGTGTGTATTCCAATTAGGGTAAATCCCAAAAAACCACACCAAGACACATGATTATCAAGCTTGTAAAAACTAAAAACGGGAAAAAATCTTGAAAAGACCACAGTTACATTATCCCATTGAGGGGAGACTTCTTATCAGAAACCATGAAGGCCAAAGGGGTGATATTTTGTTTCTCTCAGAATTCTATAACCAGCAAGCATGTAATTTGGGCTTTTAGATATATTTAAGATATATTTTATCACATTAAGATGAGTCTACCTAATACTGTATTTTAAAAGATTATATTCCAAGAGTGGATTTTTAATTGTCAATCTTTGTGGAACACTTAGTTTAATGTTGTGGTTCTCAAAGTTTTGGCTTCAGAACAACTTGTTTATAACCTTAAAAATTATTGAGAACCCCAAAGGCTTTTGTTTATTTAGTCTGTATCTACCAATATCTTCTATATTAAAAATTAGAACTGAGATACTTAAAAAATATGTATTAATTTATTTCGGAATAAAGATAATAAACTCATTACATATTAACATAAATTCATATATTTAAAAGTACACTTTTCAAAGCAGAAATGTCTCATGAGAAGATTGGCATTGCTCTACATTTGCTAATCATTTCAATGTCTGACTTAATAGAACACAGCTGGAGTCTCATGTATGTTTCTGCATGCAATCTGTTTTAGTATATTATTTTGGTTGAAGTTTATGTAGAAAATCTGGTTTCACGCAGATATATAGCTACAAAGTACAGAGTATTTGAATAGATTTTTCAGATAATTGTAAATATCCTTCTTTGACATGTCACTGAAACTCAACATTAAATATTAATATTTAAATATTTTTAAGTATTAACATATATATGGAATATTAAACCATATCAATGAAATTTTGGTATTATGTTACATTAAAGTCCATTGTCCATTTTGTACTTCAAATAGATCTTTCCTCTCTTTGTGCTTTTGTGAAATCACACTTTGGTCATTTGAAAAATACAGGTTCACTGACTTACACAGAGTTTCTAAATATTGACATATTTTATTAAATAACATAAAGGAGGCTTTACTGACATCATCAATGATCTCATCAGAAAAATCTTCGCATATTGGAAAACTGAGAAGCTCAAAGTAGTATATAGAATTTTTTCAAGATTCTAATTTCTGCTTAGTGTTTTTTCTTTAAGAGGCTCACTTGGTTCATTTTTGAAAGTATGTCTCCTAAATATGAGAATCAGATTAACCATGGGCTGTCAATTATTCTTTCAAGTAAAGATGGTGCTTCATGAAAAGAAAATCTGGTTCCACTTACAGCTGAAACAATTGTCCAAGTACATTTCCTT
The DNA here is from genome assembly GCF_000001405.40 of Homo sapiens. Taxonomy (NCBI): domain Eukaryota; kingdom Metazoa; phylum Chordata; class Mammalia; order Primates; family Hominidae; genus Homo; species Homo sapiens. The sequence goes on from NC_000012.12 coordinate 20,168,395, forward strand.
AGGATAATTATCATTCCTTGGTATGTAGAAGTATTCCATGGACCTCCATTTTGTTATACAGAATTTTGAAAAGACATTCCTCAAGGACTGAAGTATAATAAGGTTAGGATTTTTAAAAATTTTTAATTTTAGTGGGTTTATAGTAGGTGTATATATTTATGGAGTACATGAAATATTTTGATACAGGCATATAATGTGTAATAATCGTGATAATAAAGGAGCTATCCATCCCCTCAAGCATTTATCCTTTCTTTGTGTTACCAATCCAATTATACTCTTTTTGTTATTTTAAAATATATGATAAATTATTGTTGACTGTAGTTACTCTGTTGTCCTATCAAAAACTAGATCTTATTCATTCTATCTAGCCATATTTTGTACCTATTAAACATCTCTACTACCCCACCCTCCCTGGCCCCACTACCTTTCCCAACCTCTGGTAACCATCATTCAACTTGCCATGTCCATAAGTTCAATCGTTTTAATTTTTAGCTCCCACACATAAGTAAGAACATGCAAAGTTGGTCTTCCTGTGCTTGGCTTATCTCATTTAACATAGTGACCTCCAGTCTCATCCACTTTTTTGCAAATGATAGGATCTCATTTATCTCATTTTTTTTAATGGCTGAATAGCACCTCATTGTATATATGTACCACATCTTCTTCATCATTCATCTGTTGATAACATTTAGGTGCTTCCAAATGTTGGCTATTATGAATAGTGCTGTAATAAACATGGGAGTGCAGATAGCTCTTCGATATACTGATTTTCTTTCTTTGGGGTATGACACTTAGCAGTGGGATGATGGATCTTTGGTAGCTCTATGTTCAGTTTTGTGAAGAGCCTCCAAACTGTTCTCCCTAATGGTTGTAATAATTTATATTTCTACCAACAGTGCTCAAGGGTTTTCCTTTCTCCACATCCTTGCCAGCATTTTTTATTGCCTGTCTTTCAGATAAAAGCCATTTTAACTGTGGTGAGGTAATATCTCATTGTAGTTTTGATTCATATTTCTCTGATGATCAGTGATGTTGAGCACCTTCCAATACACTTGTTTGTCCATTCGTATGTCTTCTTTTAAGAAATGTCATTCAGATTTTTTGCCTATTTTAAAATCAGATTGTTCCATTTTTTCCTATATCGTTGTTTGAGCTCCTTATATATTCCAGTTATTAATCCTTTGCCAGATGGCTAGGTTGCAAATGTTTTCTCCCATTCTGTGGATTTTCTCTTCACTTTGTTGATAGTTTCCTTTGCTGTGCAGAAACTTTTTAACTTGATGTGATCCCATTTGTCCATTTTTGCTTTGGTTACCTGTGCTTGTAGAATATAACTCAATAAATTCTTACCCAGTCCAATGTCTTGAAGGCTTTCCCCAAAATCTTTTTTTTATAGTTTCATAATTTCAGGTATTAGATTTAAGTCTTTAATCTATTTTGGTTTGATTTTTGTATATGTCATTTTTTTTTATTATACTTTAAGTTTTAGGGTACATGTGCACAACGTGCAGGTTAGTTACATATGTATACATGTACCATGTTGGTGTGCTGCACCCATTACCTCGTCATTTAACATTAGGTATATCTCCTAATGCTATCCCTCCCCCCTACCCCCACCCTGCAATAGGCCCAGTGTGTGATGTTCCCCTTCCTGTGTCCATGTGTTCTCATTGTTCAATTCCCACCTATGAGTGAGAACATGCAGTATTTGGTTTTTTGTCCTTGCGATAGTTTGCTGAGAATGATGGTTTCCAGCTTCATCCATGTCCCTACAAAGGACATGAACTCATCATTTTTTATGGCTGCATAGTATTCCATGGTGTATATGTGCCACATTTTCTTAATCCAGTCTATCATTGTTGGACATTTGGGTTGGTTCCAAGTCTTTGCTATTCTGAATAGTGCTGCAATAAACATACATGTGCATGTGTCTTTATAGCAGCATGATTTATAATCCTTTGGGTATATACTCAGTAATGGGATTGCTGGGTCAAATGGTATTTCTAGTTCTAGATCTCTGAGGAATCGCCACACTGACTTCCACAATGGTTGAACTAGTTTACAGTCCCACCAACAGTATAAAAGTGTTCCTATTTCTCCACATCCTCTCCAGCACCTGTCGTTTCCTGATTTTTAATGATCGCCATTCTAACTGGTGTGAGATGATTTTTGTATATGTCATTTTTCTGCATATGGATATCCAGTTTTCCCAGCACGATTTATTGAAGAGACTATCCTTCCCCCAGTGTATGTTCTTGGCAACTTTGTTGAAAATGAATTCACTGTAGATGTATGGAATTGTTTCTGGGTTCTCTATTCTGTTCCATTGGTCTCTGTGTCTGTTTTATGCTGTTTTGTTGCTATAGCATTGTAGTATAATTTGAAGTCAGGTAATGTGACTCTTCTAGTTTTCTTCTTTTTGATCAGGATAGCTTTGGCTTTTCTGTTTTTTTTTTGTGGCTCCATAAAAATTTTAGGATTGTTTTTACTATTTCTGTGAAGAATGTTATTATTATGATAGGGATTGCATTGAATCTGTAGATTGCTTTAGGTAGTATGGACATTTTTGACAATATTGATTCTTCCAATGCATGAAAGTAGAATATCTTTTTATTATTTATGTCTTCTTCAATTTCTTTCATAAGTGTTTTATAGTTTTTATTGCAGACATCTTTAATTTTCTTTGGTTAATTCCTATTTAAGTTTATTTGTAGCTATTGTAAATGGAGTTACATTCTTGATTTCTTTTTCAGATTGTTCATTGTTGGCATATAGAAATGCTACTGATTTTTGTATATTGATTTTGTGTCCTGCAACTGTACTGAATTTGTTTATCAGTTCTAATGTTTTTGGTGGAGTCTTTAGATTTTTCTAAATATAATATATTATCTGCAAACAAGGATAATATGACTTCTTTCTTCCCATTTTGAATGCCCTTTATTCCCTTCTCTTGTCTGATTGTTCTAGCTAGGACTTCCACTACTATGTTGAATAACAGTGGGTGAAAGTAGGCATTCTTGTCATGTTGCAGATCTTAGAGGAAAGACTTTCTGGTTCTCCCCATTTAGTATGATACTAGCTGTGGGTCTGTCATATATGGTGTTTATTATGTTGAAGTATGTTCCAGTTTTTTGAAAGTTTTTTGAAAGTTTATACCCAGTTTTTTGAAGTTTTTATCAGAAAGAGTTGTTGAATTTTATCAAATACTTTTTCAGCATCAGTTGAAATGATCATATGGTTTGTGTCATTCTGTTGATATAATGTGTCATATTAATTGATTTGCATATGTTGAACCATCCTTGAATCCCTGGGATAAATCTCATTTGGTAAAGATGAATGATATTCTTATGTGTTGTTGAATTCTATTTGCTACTATTTTGTTGGGGAATTTTGCTTCAATGTTCATCAGGGATATTGGCCTGTAGTTTTCCTTTTTGTGATGTGTTTTTGATTTTGGCATCAGGGTAATACTGCACTTGTAGAATGAGTTTGGAAGTATTCTCTCCTCTTCTATTTTTGGGGATAGTTTAAGTAGGATTGGTATTAGTTTGTCTTTAAATGTTTGGTATAATTTATCACTAAAGCCATCAGGTTCTAGGCTTTTCTTTGCTGAGAGACTTTTTCTTAAGGCTTTGATCTTGTTTCTCATTATTGGTCTATTCAGGGTTTTGATTTCTTCATGGTTCAATTTTGGTAGGTTGTAGGTATCTAGGAAGTTACTCATTTCTTTTAGATTTTCCAATATATTGTAATATAGCTGCTTATATTAGCCTCTAATAGATCCTTTGAATTTCAGCAGTATCAGTTGTACTGTCTCCTTTTTCACCTCTGATTTTATTTATTTGGGTCTTCCCTATTGTTTTTCTTAATTAGCCTGGCTAATGTTTATTGTTTATGTTTTTGTTTAATTGATCTTTTGTATTGTTTTTGTTTCAATTTCATTTATTTCTGCTCTGGTCTTTGTTATTTATTTTCTTCTACTAATTTTTGGTTTGATTTGTTACTGCTTTTCTGTTCTTTAGGATGCATAATTAGTTGTTTATTTGAAGTTTTTCTATTTTTGATGTAGTTACTTGTAGCTATAAACTTTCCTCTTAATACTGTTCTCCCTGCGTCACATACGTCTTGGTGTGTTGTTACCATTTGCTTCAAAAATGTTTCAATTTTTTTCTTAATTTCTTCATTGACCCACTTCATTCAGGAGCATATTGTTTAATTTCCATATGTTTGTATAATTTCAAAAATTCTTCTTGTTATTGATTTCTAGTCTTATTATGGTCAGAGAAGACGTTTCATATAATTTCAATATTTTGAATGTTGTAAGACTTGTCTTGTGACCTAACATCTAGGCTATCCTTGAGAATGAGCCATGTGCTGAGAAGAATGTATATTCTGGAGCTATTGGATGAAATGTTCTATAAATATCTGTTAGGTCTATAATGCACATTAAGTCTGCTGTTTCTTTGTTGAATTTCTGTCTGGATTACCTGTGCAATGCTGAAAGTGGGATATTGAAGTCTCCAGCTATTATTGTATTGGGGCCTATCTCTGTCTTTAACTGTAATGATATTTGCTTTATACGTCTGGATGCTCCAGAGTTGGGTGCATATAAACTTACAATTGTTATATCCTCTCTTGAATTGGCTTCTTTATCATTATATAGTGACCTTTGTCATTTTTAAAGTTTTTTTCTTGAAATCTACTTTGTCTGTAATAGATATAGCTGCTTTTGCTGTTTTTTGGTTGCCATTGGCATGAAATATCTTTTTCCCTCTCTTTATATTCGGTCTATATCTGTCTTTATAGATGAAACGTAGTGTGTTTTTTAAAGGCAACAGATCATTAGGTCTTATTTTTTTAATCCATTCTCTGTCTTTTGATTGGAGAGTTTTGTCAATTTATATTCAATATTCTTATTAATAAAGTTTTGCCATTTTGTGATTTGTTTTCAGGTTGTTTTGCAGTCTGCTGTTTCTTCCTTCTCTCCTTCCTATCTTCCTTTTAGTGAGGGTAACTTTCTCTGGTGGTATGACTTAATTTCTTGGTTTTTATTTTTTCCATATCCACTGTATTTTATTTGTAATTACCATGAGGCTTGCACATACTGTTTTATAACCCATTATTTTAAGCTGATAACAACCTCACACTGTTTGCATAAAGAAATAGACAAGTAAAAAGAAAACTAATAAAAGCTCTATACTTTAACTTTATCCCCTTGCTTTTTAACATTTTGTTTCTAGTTATATTTTATTGTACTGTCTGTGTCTTGAAAAGTTGTAGCTATTTTTTGATTGGTTCATCATTTAGTCTTTCTTCTTGAGAGTAATTTACATACCACAGTTACAGTGTTATAATATTATGAATTTTTCTGTGTACTTACTATTACTAGTGAGTTTTGTATCTTTGGCTGATTTCTTATTGCTCATTAACATCCTTTATTTCAGATTGAAGACCTCCCTTTAGCATTTCTTGTAGAACAGGTCTGGTGTTGATGAAATCCCTCAGCTTTTGTTTGTCTGGAAGTCTTTATTTCTCCTTCGTGTTTGAAGGATATTTTCACCAGATATATTATCCTAGGATAAAAGTGTTTTTTTTTTTTCTCCAGCACTTTAAATATGTCATGCCACTCTCTCTTGGCCTGTAAGGTTTCCACTGAAAAGACTGTTTCCAGATATACTGGAGCTCCATTGTTTGTTATTTGTTTATTTTCTCTTGCTGCTTTTAGTATCCTTTCTTTATCCTTGACCTTTGGGAGTGTGATTATTAAATGTCTTGAGGTAGTTTTATTTTTGTTAAATCTGCCTGGCATTCTATAACCTTTTTGTACTTGAATATTGATAACTTTCTCTAGGTTTTGGAAGTTCTCTGCTATTTTTCCTTTGAATAAACTTTTTCTCTCTCTCTGTCTGTCCCTCATTCCCTCCCCCCCACCCCTCCCTCCCTCCTATTTAAGACTAATAACTCTTAGATTTGTCCCTTTGAGGCTATTTTCTACATATTGTCCAGGGCAGTTCATCCAAGACCAAGTTATTGTATCAGAGACCCCAAGCACCTGCTTGGTGCTCTACCCCTCTGTGGCCGAGATAGTACCAAAGCTTCAAGACAAAGTACCCTTTACTCTTCCATCTGCTTTTTTCAAGTAGAAGGATTCCCTCCTCGTAGTCAACACAGTTGGGAATGTGCTGGGTCACACTCGAAGCCAGCAAGTCTCTGAGTCTCATCCAGGGTACTATCTGGGTAACACTGCTGATTATTCAGGACCAAAGGGCCCTTTAGTCAGCAGGTGATGAATCCTGCCAGTACTGGTTTCTGCCCTTCAAGGAACCAGGTTTCCTTCTGGCCTAAGGTGTGTCTAGAAATGTCCTGGAGGTAAAGCCTGGAGTCAGGGCCTCAGGACTCTGCCTAGGGCCCTATCCTACTGTGGCTGAGCCTGTATTGGAGTTGCAAGACGAAGTCCTCTTTACTTTCCCTTCTCTTCTCCTCAAGCTGAAGGAGTCTCTCCCAGATCTGTGGGCTGCACCGCCTGCAGTTCTGGCACAAGCACTCCCTTGGCTACCCTAGCTGGTGTCTCACTAGGTTGCATGACTCCCAAGTCCACTGGCTCCAATCCCAGCACGGCACCAGGACTTGCCCAAGAATTGCGGTCCTTGTGGGCTAAACTGCCTTTCACATGTGATTAGGACCCCAGAGCACTTTAGCTTATGGTGGTGAGGCTTGCCAGAACTCAGTTCCCGACTGCTAGGATGGGCAATTCCCGTCTGGCTAGCGACAGTCTAAATAGTCCCTCCATTGGCACTGGCTGAGTTGTGCCCAGTGTTTCCACTGTGGCAAGGCAGCCCTGAGTTCCAATGCAAATTCCCACAGTCACTGGACTCTCTCTCCCTCAACTGCACAGATTTTCTCTCTATGCCATTTGGCTGCTGCTGGCGGATGGGAGAGGGGTGGCATCAGCAATTCAAGACTGTTTTTCTTACCTTCTTCAGTGCCTCTTTCAGTTATGTGAAGTAAAAACCAGGTACTGTGATCCCTCACTTGATACTTGGTTCTTATGAAGGTGCTTTTTTGTATGTAGATAGTTGTTCAATTTGGTGTTCCTGTGGGGAAGACAACCAATAGAGGCTTCTATTTGACCATCTTGCTCTGCCTAACCTCAAAGTTCAGAATTTTAACAGCTTCAAGGACATACTTAAGTACATCTGAAAGTTTTTTTTTTTTTTAACTAAAAACTCATGACAGTGAAGAATGTAATGAGTACTATTCAGTTAGATGTCACTGCTTTTATTTCTGCGAAAATGTAAGACATTATTTGGCAGTACCAGTGCAAATATCTACCCAGTTAGAAGAGTAAATACCATCTTAGTGTTATTATCAAAATATTTTGAACTCATGAACCTCCTCAGACTGTTGCTGGGACTCCCAGATATCAATACTCTGAGAACCACTGATCTAATGTTTCTTTAGTCAGTTTCTATTTGTTCTCTAGTATAACCAAGCATAAAAGTAATATACTTCCGCCTCTCTCTCCCCCAACTGACTTTAGTCAATAGTACTATCTTTCTTCATATTTACCTTTGTATTGTTAAATATGCTCAAACATCTATTAATTGATCTGCCAGCATGAAATGATATCCTTTGACTCTAGAGATTACGTATGAGGTAATCAGCAAATTTACTATACCTTCAACCTTCATCCTTCTTCCTCCCCAAATTTCCATTAGTTCTATCATTTCTACATTGTCAGAATGTAAACATTACATTCTGTTCTGTTCCTTCAATTCCTACATTTGTTTTAACTTTAGTGTTTGTTGCCCATTCATTTGCCATGGTTTCAATATTTGCCTTGTCTGGCTGAACTTCAGTCTGTAGTTGTTTTCCATAGAAATACTTATGAAAACACTACTTCTGAGATTTTATATGTGTCTTTTGAAATATGCTTTGGCTATATATTAAAACCTTTGTGCAAACTTTCTTTTCTTGAGTATCATGTACTTACGATACTTCCTTGAGGATTTTTCTTCATTTTTGAAGTCTAGTATCTTTGAGAGGATAGGTTGGGTTGATAATTCTAGTCAATTTTGCCTGGTCCATTACTTTATATCTCTTCTTTGAATCTCAGTTGTATATATATTGGAACTTTTTAACTTTATCTTCTGTTTCTATGTTTATCTCCAAATTTTTATACTCTTATTCTTTTCCCCACTTTCCCAATTTGTATTCTCGATATACCACGTTGTATTTTTCCTGAAAAGCTTAGAGGAACACTGTACTTTATTTATCAGGGAAAATGCTTACAGTCATAGGGATTTTTCTTTCATCTTTTTTTTTTTTTTTTTTTTTTGAGACAGGAACTCACTTTATCACCCAGACTGGAGTGCAGTGGCATAATCGTGGCTCACTGCAGTCTCAAACTCCCCATCTCCCCACTTCAGCCTCCCCAGTAGCTGGGACTACCGTAGTGTACTACCATGCCCAACTAATTTTTGTATTTTTTGTAGAGACTAGGTTTTGCCATGTTGCCCAGGCTGGCCTTGAACCCTTGGGCTCAAGTGATCTGCCTGCCTTGGCTTCCCAAAGTGCTAAGATTACAGATGTGAGCCACCGCACCTGCTCACTTTCTTTATCTTAAGTCAAGCCCAGCAGAAACATAAACCATAAGAAGTCTTAGGAAGAAGGAATTAGTCAGTGCTAAGTAGTATCTGACATCCTAGACAATTCAGTTTCTTAATGATGTCATGAGAGATCCCATTTCTAGGAACTCAGAAGCAGATGTGGAGACTCATTTTTTTTTTCCCTCAACATTGATGGTGATAGTAGTAGTGCTGGTGGGAACATTAAATATGTTGAAGCCGCAATTCTGGTAGGTTTTTCAGCTTTGCATATCCAATTCTTATTTGGGTATGAAATCCAAAGGTGTAGCCTTGTAACCGTAGATCCAAATTCAAATCTCCAATCCAGTTTAGCTATAATAAAGCTAGTATTTAGGTCTGTCAGACTCTTGCATTGATATCTCAGTTGTTTCTGAACTTACCTGAGTATAAGAGGTAAAGTGAGAATCCCACTTCCAAACCTCAAAACTCCTCCTCAGTGTAACTGCTTTCTCTGAAGCCTCAATTTTTTCAGGTGTAAAATGAGACTTAATGTTTAGCGAGCTAAGGAATATATAGCTCTTATTCCAATGCCAAATATGTATTTTCTTAACAAAATATTAGCACCACCTGCCTCCTTACCCCAAATATATACCATACTTTCTCTCGAAGAAAAGAGAAAGTGTTTTTAGGCTCAGCTGTGGTTTCAAAAGTTGAGTTGTAGAACTTTTTTAATAAATTTTTTCTGAATATTATGTTCAGGCACTATCTTTCAGGCACTATGCTAAAGTCTTAGAATTGAGCGAAGAAAATTAAAACAATTGAACTCATGGAGATAGAGAGTAGAATGATAGTTACCAGAGGCTGGGGAGGGTGTTGCAGGGGAAGTGGAGATGGTTAATAGGTACAAAAATATAGCTAGAGAGACTAAATAAGACCTAGTATTAGATAGCACAACATGGTGACTACGGTCAACAATAACTTATTGTACATTTCAAAATAAGTAAAGTACGATAATTAGATTGCTTGTAACACAAAGAAAGAGTAAACGGTGGAGGTGATGAGTACTCCATTTACCCTGATATGATTATTACACATTGTATGCCTGTATCAAAATATCTCATGTATACTGTAAATATATATATGTATTAGGTACCCACAAAAATTAAAAATTAAGCGTTTCTGTTGGTCTAAATTCTCACCAGTGACTGGTATTATCAGTTTTAAAAAAAATTTAGTTGACCTTTTCTAACAGGTATGTAGTGGTATCTCGTTGTTATAATTAGCATTTCTCTAATGACAATGTTGAGAATCTTTTCATATCTTTATTTACATCTGTATATCCTGGTATGGAGTTGATCAGATCAATTTTAATGAAGTTGTTTGTTTTCTTTTGTTGAATTTTAAGACCACATTCTATATTTTGGATATAATTCCTTTGTCAGATATGTGTTGTGCAAATATTTTCTTCCAGTCTGCAGCTTGTCTTTTTATTCTATGCCAGTGTCTTTTGCAGAGATGAAGTTTTACATTTTAATACGTTTTTTCTTAACAATTTTTTATTCCATTGATCCTTCTTTTAGTATTGTATCCAAAATCATATCATCAAACCCAAGATTGAATAGATTTTCTCCTAAAAGTTTTATAGTTTTGTATTTTACATTTAGGTCTGTATTTGGATTTGAATAAATTTCAAGATAAGATATAAAGTGTATGTCTAGGTTTATTATTTTGCTATGGATGTGTAATTGTTTCAGCATCATCTGTCAAAAGGCTGTCTTGTCTCCAAAGAATTATCTTTGAAACTTTGCCAAAAATAAGTTGACTATATTTGTGTGATATGTCTAGCTTCTCTCTTGTTCCATTGATGTATGTACCTAGTCTTTCACCAATACTATGCTATTTTGATTATTATATCTTTAAGTCTTGAAATCAGATTGTGTGAGTCCTCTTTTTTCTTCTTCAGTATTATAGAAATTTTTTAGGTGTTTAGCCTTTTCATATAAATGTTAGAATCAATTTGTTTATATTTACAAAATAGTTTGCTAGCCTTTGGATTTGAATTGTATTGAATCTGTAAGTCAGCTTGAGAAAAAACTGACATCTTACCAATCTTGTATATTCCAAATCATTAAGACAGAATATACTCCCATTTATTTTAACCTTCTTTGATTTCTTTCATGAGATATTTGTAGTTTCTGCATACAGATTCTGTATATATGTTATTAGATTAATGCCATCTTCAGATGGCTATTACAAATGGTATTTTTAAATTTCAAATATTAATTGTTCATTGTTGTATAAGAAAACAGTTGACTTTTGTATATTGACCTGCTATTTGATACTGGCTTACTAGTTTATAGAGGTTGTTTTGTAGATTCTTTCAGGGTTTTCTACAAAACCATGTCATCTGCAAATAAACAGTTTTATTTCCTCTTTCAAATAGGATATTTTTTATTTCTTTTTCTTATATTAATGCACAACAAGGACCTCCAATACAATATTGAATACGAGTGGTGACAGGGGATACCCTTGCCTTATACCCTGTCTTAGGGATAATGCATTTAGTCTGTCACCATTAAGTATTATGTTAGCTGTAGGATTTTTTGTAGATGTTTTTCAAGCTGACAAAGTCCTCCTCTAGTCCTAGTTTGCAAATGATTTTATCATAAATTGGTTGGATTTTATCAAGTGCTTTTTCTCTGTCATCCCTTGACATGATCATTTGATTTTTCTTATTTAACTTGTGAATATGGTAGACCACATAAATTGATATTATAATGTCAATTTCAGCATTGCATATTTGGAGTAAATCCTACTTGGTGATGGAATATAATTGTTTTTATACACTGCTGTATTAGATTTGCTAATATTTTGTTGAGAATGTTGGCATCCATGTCCATGAAAACTACATTAATCTGTAGTTTTCTTGTTGTGTTTTATCTGGCCTTGGTCTTCTGATGTATTGCTGCCCTTATGAAATGAGTCGAAAGTATTCTCTCTGCTTTTATGGAAAAGATTGTCGATACTTGGCATTATTTTTTCTTTAAATGTTCATGGGAACTCATTAGTGAAACCATATGGGCTATTGTGCTTTATTTTTAGAAGGTTATTAATTATTGACCCAATTTATTTAATAGATATAGCACTATTAAGGTTATCTATTTCATTTTGTGTGAGTTTCAGCAGTTTGTTTTTCAAGAAATTGGTCCATTTCATCTAAATTAACAAATTTGTTTGTATAGAATTGTTCATATAATTTCTTTGTAATCATTTTAATGTCTGTGATATCAGTAAATGATTTATCTTGCATTTCTGATCTTGGTAATGATATTGGTAACACAAATACCAATCACAGACATTAAAATGATATCATAGACATTAAAACACTTTAGTGCATATGTATGCATGTGTGTGTGTCTGTCTGTCTCCATCTCTTTCTTGGCTCATCTGGTTAGAGTCTTATCAATTTTATTTATCTTTTTAAAGAACCATCCTTTGGTTTAGCAGACCATCTATTTTTTTCTCCTGTTTTCAATTTCATTGATTTCTGCTCAAATTTTTAGTATTTTTCTTTGTGATTTATATTTAAATTGTTCTTTTTTCTCCAGTTTTCTGAGTGGAAGCTTAGTTTATTGATTTTAGATTTTCCTTTTTTATAAAATATGTCACTAATACTATAAGTTTACCTCCAAGTACTGCTTTTGCCACATTAAACACATTTTGATAAAAGGTATTTTCACTTTCATTTACTTGAAAATATCTTTAGAATTTCTCTTGAGACTTCATTAACCCATGAGTTTTGGAAGTGTGTCGATTAACTTCCAATTACTTGGGTTTTTTCAGCTATCTTTCAGTTACTGATTTCTAGTTTAATTCCATTGTGTTCAGAGAGTATACATTCTATGTTTTCTCTTCCTTTAAATTTGTTAAGGTATGTTTTATAGACCAGAATTTGATCTATCTTGGTAAATGTTTCATGCGCACTAAAGAAGAAGGTATATTCTACTGTTGTTGAGTCAAAGAGTCTATAAAAAAATGACAACTAGGTTAAGGGAAATATGAGGATGTTTCTGAAAAGAAACTGAGATAGAATCTGATAATATGTGCAATGAGGCTAGTAAATGAATAAATCAGGACCCAAAATGAAATAAGTCAGGAGCCAAATTGTGGAGCTCGTGGTCACTGGCCTATGATTTCTCCCAGAATAAGGACTAGAAAAAAAGAATGGATGAAAACTGAGAGTTTTCAGAATTGGAGAGTGGCAAGTGTATTAACAATGATACATTAAGAGAATGATGACACATTTCATGTGTGAATGTCAGTGTGTGTGTATTTCATGTTTGACAGAATTTGGAAAAGAAATACGTTCAAAAAGTTTTAAAAACATTGGCTTCTGTTTGTGTTTGTAAATGACCTAAATAATTCCTGGGCTACAAACTGAGAAATTGATTTATTATCTTTCCCACACCTTTATGTCCATTTGATTGCCAGTTTGAGATAGAGATCACAGATTATTAGATAAAGTGCAGCAATATGATTTAACACAAATTTATTTCTGCCTTGGGGCTGGATACAAAACTTTTGCCCCATCATGACCTTTTACCTCTGAGCCCTTGGCATTCTTCTGTAATCCCAGTCCACAGTACACTCTCACACCCCCCGTTTTTCCACAGCCTTATTGCAGTTAGCTTCAATCTTACTTCTTCTCTGGTGGTTCTTCTCACTAAACCTTCAAACATTTTTCCCAGAACTTTTGAAAACCTCCATTTTGCTAGCAATCAATATTCTCTTTAATCTCAGTCTAATGTTTTCTTTAAATAATATTTCTACCTCTTACACTAAACTGGTACTTGGACTACACAGATTATACCACCTTTTGGGGTCTGCTACTATCCATAGCCATTCTCTAATCTAGAAAGTTCATACCATTTGATGATAACTGCATTTCCCATCCTTATCTTTATCACAGTGATTAGGTGCTGTCTTTCCTCTGATTTATCAGGGACTTTAACAACTAAATCACTGTAATCCTCTCTAGTCCATGATACTGGACAGCTTTCAGCATGTCTACAGCTGGTACACTTGATACCCAATCGTCTCACTTTTTGTGACCTTCTCTATTTTAATGGTCATTGCCTCCTCTCCATGTTAGCAATCCACATACTTGGCTACACCTTACAAGTTATTTTCATCCCAAAATAACTTTAAACAAGTTTTAACATATGAAATTCTCCTGGCCTTTTATTTTTCTGCCTGTGCCATGACTCCGCTTCCCCTGAACTTATCTTTATTTCATGTCAACCTCCAGGACCTTGGCTTCTTACTCATTTCCAACTGGAGTAGAGTATATCTACTCCAATTATATTCACCTTTTTATCCATCTAGCCTAAGCTTTTTGACTTTCCATTTCAACCTTATTCTCACTTTCACCCTTGCTATTTTGATTACATCTCTTATCCTACCTTCTGAATCATCAGCAAGGGGCAAAGCAAGCTACCTCCTTTCTCCTTGCATGGCACTGATGTTGACAAACATTACTAAACGGGATAATTGGTTTCACCTAAAATCCCCTAGGGATGCTCAATATTTATTTTCCTCTTATCCAATCCAATTCCTTCTTGCCATCCCTGTCATTTTGTCATTGTATATATTACACATTATAATTTTCTTTTACTTTATTCAAGTCCCTAAGCATGACTCTTATTCACAACTGATATCTTCCTAATTTTTTAGAGAGAGGATGACTACAGTGCCTAATATGGCTCTGTATTTACTCACATATTCTTCCATCTTTTCCAAAAATGAATCATTTCCACTTCCCTGATTTATCCCCCTTCAAATCTTTTCTCAATAGCATTAATTTAAAATGTTAATTATTATTATTGTCATTAATTATCTAATCTCACCTTTAAATCTTTTATTCCATTTTTCTCTTGATTCTTTTTCTCAAACTACAAACATATTGAAGTCTCACTTTGTTTTTAAAGAACACTTCTTTCCATGATCTTTCTTTCCTCTTACGCCACCTTTCCTTTTCTTTTCTTTTGTCTTGGAAGTGTTATCTACATTTTCTTCTGCCACTGAAAGAGAGAGAACTCCGACACCAATGTGTGGATTGGATGAGTTGTCAGTGATAGTTACCTTGGTTTTCTGTCACTGTTTATTGAGTCTCCAGTAATCGAACTTCAACTCCTACAACTTTGTTGTAACTGGACTCTTGATAGTTGCCATTAATCTCCTAATTTGTAAACATAATGATGAGAAGATAATGTTTTGCTACTATATGCTGATTTTTCTATTCTTCTAAGTTCATGTGTGAATATAGAGTATAGTCACACAAGGCAAAAATATAAAGAAGCGGCCTACCTCATGAACTAGAGATTTAAATATTGCTGTACTTGACTTCTGTGTGATAATCACTTTAACATACCTTTATTCTCAGAACTGTAAACAGGATCCCAAAAGCAAGACAGACCTGGGCTCAAATCCCTGGCTCTGTCACTTACTACTTTTGACTTTAGCTAACTACTCTTACCTTTTGTTTTCTCATCTGTAAAGTGTTTATAATATCCTTTCCCAGAGTGGCTGTGATATTAAATAATGTGCAAAAATGCCTTGCTCTCCAAGTAAGCACTGAACAGAAGTTGTTTCCTTTTTTATCTCCTGCTTTTACCTCTCCCTTTAAGATGGATTTGCTTCCCGTGATATGTCTTATCATGTTTTGTACACTCTACTTTTTAAGCAAACAGTGAGTGACCAATGAAGAAGTTTCTACAATTTCCCCTGAGATAGTGTTTTACAGATTAAGAGATCTCATTGCTGTGGAATGTTTCCTGATCTTTGGCTGAAGTAAATAGCTCACTAGTACCATATATAGAAAATTATGATGAGCAGAGTTTATGACTTGATACTTTACCATCAACTATGGACAAAGAAATGTTAGGTTGCATTTTAAATCACTGTCTTGAACCACTATCACCCAATTTTTTTTCGTATGGTATTTATTTTGTTTATTCTCATTATGAGAACTAGCTATTTCCCTAGGTGAATTTTAAATTAACATGTAAGATTTAATCATTTTAAGTAATTTTTTAAGATGTCTCTTTCTCTTGATCATTATAGCACCCTCTAGAGAATATCTCATATATTGTTTATCCCTTGTTTATTATGTTCAATAAAACTTAACATTATGAATATGATTCTAAATAAAAACTAACAGAAGGCATTTCATTATTTTGTGGTATAAGGTTTTAAGATTTTGTGTACGATATTGTATTTCAGCCAGCAATTATTGGCCAGTATTCACTGAATATATATTTGTTCCTTTATATTTATTAATCTCATTTAGACTTCTGGCTTTAGAATTCTGGCTTTATGGAGTTGTCCTTTAACTTTAAATAAGAGAGGCTTAATGGTCAACTTTTTGCTATGTTGGTTTTACTATACAGTTTCACCATATTTCCCTTTCAGTATGTCCTGAGATAAAATTTGTTATGGACTTATGTTTAATTAGACAAAGTGAAATGAGGTAATTATTTTGTGACTTCGATCAATGGAAATAAACACCCTGGATAATTGAAGGCCCATTTCCCACTTTTTCTTTAATAACATTTACTGAAAAGTCACAGTGAATTTTTAGGTAATTGTCTCAATCTTCTTCCATGTGCCTGAGTAAACATAGCTAATGGGTCTGTTTTACATAATAAAATGTTACAGAAAATTCAAAACATAAGCCTGGCAGGGACTTCCAGAGGTCATCTGGAGCACCTCGCTTCCTCTGAGCAGGCTTCCTATACATTTTTCTTCTAAAGAGAATGCCTGTTTCTTGGTTCAGATTTGCAGATGACACACAAGGCTGAAAGATCTAGAAAAAAATAATTGTGAGTTAAAACAACGTTTAGGAAATGGGGATGCTCTATCAGCGTTATAAAGATGAAATTAATAGGAATAAATAAGTTCTATATGTCACTTCAAATTTCAGTCGTATATGTACAAAGTGTGGGACAGGAATAGGGAGGAATAACAAGGTAGGGGGAAGAAGGCGGCTGGATCAAAGCTTGTACTGTGGCCATGTTTCAGAGTATTAAACTGATGTGCTGGTTTCCACCTCACCTAAGGCGACCATTTATCCTCCCAATCTAGCAGTAGAATGAATGATCGTCTACTGCTGTAGAGACAGACAGTTCACCAGGGAGAGCAAACGTGCCATATACTTAGCTTATATGTTCAAATGACACTATTAATAGAGTGTGAACTGAAGAACAGTCTTTCTTTTGCTTCCTCTTTTCCCATATGAAAGACTCTTAGCTACAGGGAAACAAGAGCTCAGAGAGAAAAAAATAAGTTAGGGCTAGGAGCAACATGTAGATACATGAGTGGGTGATTCCCCATGAGATCCCAAGGATTGGTTAAACAAAAAAAAAAAAATTGGTGCCTTTGGGAGGCCAGGGTGGGTGGATCATTTGAGGTCAGGAGTTCGAGACCAGCCTGGCCAACATGGTGAAATCCTGCCTCTACTAAAAGTACAAAAATTAGCCAGGCATGGTGGTGGGTGCCTATAGTCTCAGCTACTCGGGAGGCTGAGGCAGGAGAATCACTTGAACTAGGGAGGTGGAGGTTGCAGTGAGCTGAGATCATGCCACCGCACTCCAGCCTGGGTGACAGAGCAAGACTCTGTCTCCAAAAAAAAAAAAAAAACAAAATTGGTGCCTTGTGCATCCCTTTGTAAACTCAGTGTAGTTGGGATCGTTGATTCTCTTATTCTTATTGGTATCAATTGTAAGCCAAGCATTACCTCTACTTCCTACACCCAAAAAATCATCTCACGTTTAAGAAGAAGGTAGGAGGTTGTCTAAATCCACCCTTGCTTACTGTTCTTCTGAATTATATGTTCCACCCACCTTGCCTTCATTTTTGTGGGACCAGACCACTATTGATTTTACTCCTGATCTTGTCCTAAATTAATGAATAGCAGAACTTCTAACGGCAACTATTTATATGCTGCTACTTGCATAATAGCATCTGTATCACACAGTCATCATGGGGCAAGCTTCCCTTCTCTGAATACCCCTGTCTTCTCTTCACCACACCATCAGGTAAAGTTGTATGGTTTAATCAGACCTGGCTGAATGGCTGGGGTAAACAAAGGAGGATGCTTTTCTGGTTTTTGCATCTTCCCAGATTTGCTTGACCCACTCTCCCCTTAGTTCTAGCCACTTGCTCAGTAGAGAACTTTAGCTGCCTTCCTATTTGCCTTCCTCATCTTCTACTGCCTCACCAGGTAAGGTCGGGGTTTTGGCACAACCTTCATCACGCCCACCAACCTGGGAACCATAGTGGCTTCGGCACCCAAGTCTAACTTAACTGGACCAACAGAGACTCTACCTCTTTATACCACTTTCCAATTCAGATGAAACACATCAACTCTGAGAGTGGGATCTGGCTTCCTGGAGTGCCCAGGTACACAAGTGGGAAATGCAGAGGCATTAATGCCCATGCAATGAATTGAACTTGGACTCACATAGTGCAGGACACTGAAAAGGCTAATATTAAAACTTTACACTTTTATCACATCTGTAGCCTTCTTTCCACCCTATCATATTCAGGAGATGAATTTTTACCTCTGCTTCATGTAGAAAATTCATTAATTTATTTTCAATGTTTCAAATATATGAGTACCCACTAGTGGCTGGCAATTATTATGTAGTAAGCAACAAATAGAAACTCTATCATATGGGAACTCCCTCAGTCTTCTACTACCAAATCTATAAATCTGGTTATATCTGCTGCCATTCACCCTCATGTCCCCTTATACTTCATCCACCATAGCTGAAACCGATGGATATGTGGAGCTGCAAGGAAGGCTGAGAAATTTAACCCTGGAAAGGCAAATGGGGTAGTCATGGTTGGTTTTAACCAAATGATATTTGTTTTCTGGGAATTAGTACATTGTTCCTATGTATAAAATCAGAGTTTTGTTACCAAAACAGGTTGTAGAACTATCCCTGTAGGTAATAACAAAGAGGGCATCTGTGGCTGAGGATTTGCATCACTGTTGCATTTTAGCAGCACGCTCAATCATGGCTCAGAGTCATTGTTCTATGAACCTTTGTACGTTCCATATATTTCTCCAATTTTAGAGACAGTGCTTTGAATGTTCCAAAGCTTGCAAAATTAAAAATCCTGGTTGGGTATAGTGGCTCACACCTGTAATCTCAGCACTTTGGGAGGCTAAGGCAGGAGCATCACTTGAGACCAGGAGTTGAAGACCAGCCTGGGCAACATAGTGAGACTGCACCTCTACAATTTTTTTTTTTAATTGGCCAGGTGTGGTGGTGCACACCTGTGGTCCTAGCAACTTGGGAAGCTGGGGCGGGAGGATCCCTTGAGCTCAGAAATTTGAGGCTATGGTGAGCCATGATCACACCACTGCACTCCAGCCTGGGTGGTACAGTGAGACCCTGTCTCTAAAAAAAGTTCTTTAAAAAAAAAGAAAATCCTAAAGCAACCATCAAAACTGCAGCAGATTTTGACTCCCAATTGAGAAAGATAAACATGGCAACACATCTTCCATCAGCTCTTTCTCTCCTCGAAAAATAATAATTTCTTAGGAATCTGTGAGGCTATTGCAGTTAAGACCGGAAAGCATTTTCTAGATGATGATGTAATGAGGACATTTTTAATACTTCCTCAATTTGGCAAATCCTTATAATGCTACATGCCTAGTTTTCCCACCGTAACAATCAGTTCAGAACTAGGAATTATGAAATTGTAACTCAAATTGTGGCAAGACTTCCACAATGATTTTCTGTATATTCCAGAAACCATAGTGGTTTGGGTCTACCGGACCACTATCACTTTTCTACCGGTTTGGTAATCATGGTGAAAATTTTTTCCTGATCCAACCTAATGTGAATATTTTAATCTGAGCTATAGCTGAGTACTTAACTGCAGACCTGAAATCTTGGTTGATAATTCCTCAGGGATAACCCTAGTAAAATTAGGCCCCCTCAATGTTCACTCTTCAAGTGGAGTCATATTAAAAGGCAACACACATGAATTCT
Organism: Homo sapiens; assembly: GCF_000001405.40. NCBI lineage: Eukaryota > Metazoa > Chordata > Mammalia > Primates > Hominidae > Homo > Homo sapiens. The sequence continues at coordinate 20,188,046 of NC_000012.12, forward strand.
GGAACCCTTGAAGAATAGTGTCAGTCTTCAAGGCAGATTTTTTTTTCCCAAGGGAGCAGGCAATATACAACACAGAAAAAGTAATTCTCTTGAGACATTACTCCACCCCTGCCTTTAATTTTCACTCTCATATGAACCAGTAAGAAATATTCCCTTTCTCTCTGGCCTCCAAGCAGATGCCCTTACTCATTTCTGCATTTTCTACAAGCATAGATATAGCATTATACTCAAACTCCTACTGCTCTGAAGTCTCATTATCTTCCTGGCTGCACTCATCACGTCTAATGTGGAACTGCTCTTGCATAGTACATTGATAGATGGGCCAGACACTGAGATGGCATTTAGGGTGCAAGATTGCATAAGAGATCAATGCCAGGGAAGGAAGGGTAAAGAACTAGAGTTGGGCAGAGAAGCTGAACTCCAGTACAGGCCTAACAAAGCCTCTGTCAGCCCGGTAAGGAACTCTGAAATAAGTATTTACCACTGGAGTATGCTTTAAGATGGCAAGGCCGATATATCCAACCTCAATCCATGACTAAGTGTGGAAGATCCTGGGAAAAACTATACGCCGGCAAGACAACTCTCTTCAGCTGGGGATAATTACAAAGGAACTGCAGCTGAAGACTGTCTGCTGCTCACACTCTCTTCAGGAGAACAAAAAGAACTTTCGTGAAGGGGAATTTGGGGAGTAGATCTGTGTCTCCCACAGTCAACCCTTGTGCTGCTCAAACCTCCTTCTCCACAGAAGTAAGTTGATGTTACAGCTAATGTTTTCTAGTCTTTTTCCTTTCCTCTCATGTTCTTAAACAACTAGCCAGGACATGCATCACTGCCTATGAGCCTATATATCCTAACCAGATTCAGTGCCCCTCCTGGTTCACAACCAGTGAAAGTTTAAACAGTCAGATTGCTAACTTGTGCCAGGGGCTGTCTGTGTTCCATTACTGTCAAAATGGGCTCCTCATTGTCAATCAGGTAATGAATGATCAGCTCCCAAATTCCATCTTATCAATTGCTTGTTGGGCCATTGCTAGTACCAATGATCACAGGTTGCTGTCTCTAGAAGCAGACACTGAGACAGAGAGTTCAAAGGGCAAGTTGTTTATCAATAACCATCAGCTGCGATGGGAAGGAATTTGGCAAAGGAAAAAGTCAAACCACAATGCAGAGCTGACAAAACCTTAATCCTGCAAGGAGCTCTTGAATGAATATAGCCAATCAGAGTGTCCCATGTTTGGGCCAAAATAGCGGGCCTTTCTACTCCTGCCTCACTCAGTCACCAGTTGCAGCCTGCTCCTGAGAAAGGCATGACTTTAGATGAGGAAGTCTCTTTCGCTGCGTCCAATTGGGAAGGAGGTGACAGCTGTAGGCTGTTGCTCACCACTCTCCCTTCAGCTGGTCAGTAAGTCCTTGAAAAGAATTCTGGTTCTTTGTACTTGTTTCTACTGCAGTTGTGCTGGGGCACAGAGGAGAAAGGAATGTTTGGTGAAGATGGTACAGATAAGATTTGTTTTTCATGAATTCAAAGTTCAAGAGGGTAATATCAAGGACCTGGGAAAAGGAACGGAGTGAAAATTTGAGTCAGAAAAAGAAAATCCAGAACATTATGGGTGTTAGAACACAGGAGAAGATAGAAGTTTTCCGTTTGGAAGATGATGAGAAAAGTAGAAATAAGGGGTATCGTTCACTTACACATTTCTAAGCCATTTGGCCCCATGATTTTAATTGCAGCTGTAAAGAGAGGTGAGACAGTTGTTTGTGGAGTTAGACCTATTTGCTCCTGATCTAAAAAAACTAAATGGCAGCAATGAGCAGCTGCAAATGAGCCAGTAATTCTGGGTCCTGCATGGATATTTAAACTGAGGGCACGGTGTTAATGTTTCTGTGTCCGTATTTTAATCCTCTTAGCTGACTTGGGAGACTTAAGTCTGAGACTTAACAGAGCCTGTCAGAGCTGATGGGATAATGTAGAGCAGATTTGCCATTCTCACATACAAGGGATGCCAGTTCTCTAGAGCCTTAATTTTAACACAGAGCTTAACATCCCTTAGGTCAGCCACTAATTCATCAGAATTAAGAGGAATGAACAGGTGCAATTTTCTTTGTAGTAAAAAAGTTAATAATAAAACTGTTAGTGTGCACTGTATGCAGAAATTGAGACCACTTGGATATTTGCCATGTGGCTTGTAGCCTCAAAAAAGTATTTTTTATTTTTATATCAAATATCACTTATATATATGTCTATACTTTCAAAAGAAAAATAGTATACTGCTCTATGAAGTTGTTTTCATTGAACAATAGGTAAATTACATCTTTCTATGTCAATGAATATATGACTAAATTATGACCACTTATATTTCATTGATGACCACTTGTATTTCATTATACAGTTTTGTCATAATGCGTTTAGGAAGTCCTCTGCATTTAAACATGTTATATTTTTTGTTTTTGTATTTTAAAAAAAAGGTCTCCAGTGACTCTTTTAGTCCCTTTATGCCTGTGGACTTATACAATTATTTCTTTACATTAAATATCTAGAAGTTGAATAGCTGAGTCAAAGTATCTAAATACATGTTAAAAGTTACCCAGTTGCTCTCCAGGAAAGCAGTCTAAATGTCTTACCTGACCCAAATCAGGTAAGAATGTTCTACAACCTTCCCAATATTGTAGTTAAGAGTTTATTTCATCTCTGCCAATTTCATGCTCAAATATTGTATCCCTTTTTAAAAATGTTATATTTTATTATTAGTGAAATTGACTATTTTGTTGTGTGTTTTTTGAAAATTTATTTTAATCTTTTGTGAAATTACTTCCATGTGGTCTTAGCTTATTTCTCTATTTGTATTTTTGTCCTTTTTTTTTTTTTTTTTTTGATACAGAGTCTCACTTTGCCACCCCACCCAGGCTGGAGTGAAGTGGCGTGATCTTGGCTCACTGCAACCTCCGCCTCCAGGGTTCAAGCGATTCAACTGCCTCAGCCTCCTGTAGCTGGGATTACAGGTGTGCGCCGCCATGCCTGGCTAACTATTTTGTATTTTTAGTAGAGACCAGATTTCACCACGTTGGCCAGTCTGGTCTTGAACTCCTGACCTTGTGATCCACCCACCTTGGCCTCCCAAAGTGCTGGGATTACAGGCATGAGCCACTGCACCCAGCCTTTTTGTCCCTTTTTTTAAAAAAGCATTGCATATATCAAGGATATTCACTCTTTGCCTTACTTTATGTATATATTATCTTTTTCATGACTCTTTTTATGTAAAAGTTTGTATTTTAAATTAAAATTTTTAATTTTCCCAATTCAAACCAAAGTTCCCTATGGTCTAATGCTCAAAATAATCTGCCACATTCTAACATAAATACTTATAGTTTGTTTTTCATAGTTAAAAATTGTAATACGTCTGAAATTTATTCTAATGCCAGAGTTTAAGACATCTGAACATATTTTTTTTCTTTCAGTTAGTGAGACACCTGACCCAATAGCATTTATTGAATAATTAATTTTTTTCTCATTGATATATACTCGGTATGATTGTGGTCTTTGAATCCTTTCATATTAATTTATCTCTATATTCTACCCTCATAATTATACTGCTTTAATTACTGTAGCTATATTATATATTTTAATATCTTAAAGAATGGCTGTTAATGCATTCTTTATATTAAAAGTTGCAACTCAAATTTTAGAAATTGCAACGCATACTAGCTGAAACAAACAGTTCAAGCTCATAGAATCTAAGAAAGGTTTGACAACCTTGCTTTGATACTTCCATCAAGGCAGCAAGGACTCAAGAACAAGGGAAACTGGAAGGAAACCCTAAGGCCCTTCCTCCCTGGACGTACCAGCCTCATTTTCTCACTATTCTTATTGTCAGGGTGGGAAACATGGCTATTGACGGCTTTTAGTTTAAGGCTTTAACTCTCAGATTGAAACTAATTTCAAATTCTGTCTATGGGCTGGTTAGAATTTTCTGGCAAGGAACATATTAGCTCAGCTCAGGTTTGGCATCCACCATTTTACATAGTCCATGCAGACAAGTACCTGTGAGGATGATTATGTCCTTGGTGGAAACTTTGTAATGAGTTTTGAAATGCATTAGTAGGTTCATAAATATAAACAAATTGTTTCGAAGTTATGGTTAGAATTGTGTTTGGTAAAATATTTTGACAAGGGAAATGCAAAATGTTTAAGTAATTATGACAATGCTTTTGTTTTCTCTTGTTTTAATGTTATATTAAGTTTGCTGTTTAAAAAGTGGGTCTGCACAAATGGTTTAAGTGTGTGAAGTACATGCTTGGTATTGCTTATGAAAGAGTGTCTTTAAGCTATGTGAATTTGTTTAGAAGTCCAGAAGTTTTTTATGACAGAACAATGGGCAGCCATGACCTGGTCACATAAATCAGGCATCCAGGCTCTACCTACAGTGGTGAGTAGTGAAGGAAATACTTCCTACACATAAAACTGGAAGATTGGAAGAGGAAATAGAGATTCTTTTATTTATTTATTACTGTAAAATAGGTTGGTGCAAAAGTAATTGTGGTTTTGCCATTACTTTTAATGACATGCAAGAAAATTCTGTTTTCATCAAATTAAAACAAGAAGTGAGATTTAATTATGACTTCCATTTTTACTATCATTCTATGATTCTTAACCTTCAGCAAGTCTTTCTAGCTCTCATAGCATTTGTTCACAGTCTAGTCTTTTTTCTTGTCAGTCTCACCTCCTAACCTGTCAGCTTCTTTAGGTCAGGGACTTTCTTATTTCTCTTTGAGAGCTAAGAAGCAAAACACTGTTTTTAAACATGTTGGTGCTCTATACATGCTTTTTATAAATAACTTAAAAAATAAAGATAGAATAGATATAACAGAATTTAGAGTGGACTAGAAACTAGGTTACTTATTTTTATATGTTCAAGTATTTTACATAATTACATTTTATATGAATTTTTTCCTTAGGCCTTTCTTTCTTTACTGTAGTTCTACCGGTTACTCATATGCTACATACCTTGTAGAGAGTATAACTCATATCTTCTTTTTCTATTGAACTGAGGCATTTTTTTCTCCCTGAAGTGTGTTCATGGAATAGACAAACTAAATATCATGTATTAATCAACAGGTGTTTTATGCAGGATATTATTTCATAGTATAATATTTCATAGTGGGAGAAGAGTTCACTAAGATATAATACACAATATTGCCAACTTAACCTCACATCAAATGAGCAAACAAGCATAGGCATCCAAAGGCTTTGGGAGGGTTTATATGCTCTGTGAAAATAAATGCCCTCAAGATTAATGTTCTATGAATTTGGAACTTAGATCGCGCTCCTAGAGGGAAAGTAGATAATCAAAAATGTACTTTCGATTATAAGCTTCATTATAGTATGTTCTATATACAAGCAAGTGCGCAAGGGTGCAACTGGGTAAGTTTTGACATATATGTGCACCTGTGGGACCACAAATTATCCCCCAGAGTTCCCTGGTGTCCCTAGTTCCCTGGTGCAACTCTTGTCTTTCCCAGTCCCCCTCCCCAGGCAACCACTTATCTGTCTTCTGCCACTGTTGAATAGTTTTCATTTTCTATAGTTTTATATAAATAAAACCATATGTTATATATTCCTTTTTTTTTTGGTCTGGCTTCTTTCACTAAGCATAATTATTTTACAATTCACCCATGCTTTTTATGTATTATTTTTTCAAGATTCACTCATGCTTCCTTCACTAAGTATAATTATTTTGAGATTTATTCATGTTTTTCATATTTCATTAGTTCATTTCTTCTTATTGCTAAGTGTTATTTTATTGTGTAGATATACCACAGTTTGTTCATCCTTTTACCTCTTTATGGACATTTGAGCTGTTTCCAGTCTTTGGCTATTACAAATAAGGCTGCTCTGAACTTCATATGTAAGTCTGTTGGAAGTTGACTTTCTTTTCTCTTGAATAAAATATCTAGGATTTGGATGGCTGGATCATACAGTACATGTTTTCTAAACAATTGATTTATTCATTATTTGTTGGTTTATTCATTAACGTCCTCCACCCATCCACCAACTACCACAATATTCGCCGTTCTAACAGGAGGATAGTGGTATCTCATTGTGGTTTTAATTTGTGTTTTCCTCATGACTAATGATGTTGAGTGTGTTTTCATGTGCCTTTTCACCATCTGTGTTAGTTTCCTTTGACTGGTGTCATAAACTATCACAAATTCGGTGGCTTTAAAACAGAAAGTTATTCTCTCACAGTTCTGGAGCCTAGCTGCCTAAAATCAGTTTGCCAGAGTCAAAACCAAAGTGCTGGCAGGACTGTGCTCCCTCCAGAGGCTGTAGGGGAGAATCCACTTCCTTGCCCTTCTCAGCATTCAGCGCAACATTCCTTGTATTCCTTGGTTTATGGCCTCTCCCTCCATTGTCAAGGCCAGTGGCGAAGCACCAATTCTCTCTGACTCTGCTTTCCTCTCGTGGCCTTCCTCTCTTCTTGGAGTCAAAACATCCTGTGTCTGCCTCTTATAAAGAACATGTGATTGCATTTAGAGCGTTTTTGGTTAATCCAGGATAATCTCCCAATCTCAAATTCTTTAATCACACCTGCAAATTTTTATTTTGCCAAATAAGGTAGCTTTCACAGGTTCCAGAGATAAAGATGTGGATAAATTTTATGAAGCCATTTTTCAGCCTACCATGCCATTTATTATTTCTTCTTTGGTAAAGTATATGTTCAAATCTTTGGCTCTTTTGTTTGTTTGTTTTGTTTTCATCAGGTTATTCCCTTTTAATTCTGTTTTGAGAGTTTTCTTTTATAGATTCTGGATATAAGTTCTTTACAGGATATGTACTTTGCAAATATGTATTTGTACTCCCAGTTTGGCTCTTCCTGAATTATCCTAAAAGTGTTTTTTGAAGAGCAGAAATTCTTAATTTTTTGAAAAAAATTTATTTCAATAGTTTTTGGGGTAAAGTGGTTTTTTGTTAAATATCTGAACTATAGAGTGGTGAATTCTGAGATTTTAGTGTACCTATTATGCAAGCAGTGTACATTGTACGTAATATGTAGCTTTTTATCCCTGGCCCCCTTTCTACCACCTCTCTCTGAGTCCCTAAAGTTCATTATCTCACTCCGTATGCCTTTTCATACTCACTGCTTACCTCCAACTTATGAGCAAGAACATAGTTTTTGGTTTTCCACTCCGGTGTTACTTCACTTAGAATAATGGCCTCTAGCTCCATCCAAGTGGCTGCAAAATACATTATTTCATTCTTTTTTTATGGCTGAGTAGTAGTCTATGATGTATATATACCACATTTTTCTTTATCCACTCATTAGTCAATGGGCACTTAGGTTGGTTCCACATCTTTGCAAATGTGAATTGTGCTGCTATAAACATAGGTGTGAAAGTATCTTTTTCATATAATGACTTCTTTTCCTTTGGGTTGATACCCAGTGGTGGGATTGCTGTATTGAATGGTAGATCTACTTTTAGTTCTTTAAGGAATCTCTATACTGTTTTTCATAGAGGCTGTACACATTTACATTCCCAGCAGCAGTGTATAGGCATTCGTTTTTCCCCATATCCACACCAACATCTCTGGTTTTTTTGACTTTTTATAATGGCCATTCTTGCAGGAGTAAGGTGGTATCTCTTTGTGGTTGTAAGTTGCCTTTCCCTGATACTTAGTGATGTTGAGCATTTTTTTCATAAGCGTATTGGCCATTGGTATATCTTCTTTTGAGAAATGTCTATTCATATCCTTTGCCCACTTTTTGAATTTTTTTTTTGCTTGATTATTTGTTTGAGTTCCTTGTAGATTCTGGATACTAGTCCTTTGTCAGATGCAGAGTTTGAAATTATTTTCTCCCATTCTGGTGGGTTTTCTGTTTACTCTGATTCTTATTTCTTTTGCTGTGCAGAAGCTTTTAGTTTAATTAGGTCCTATTTATTTTTATTTTTGTTGCATTTGCTTTTGAGGTCTTATTCATGAATTCTTTTCCTAGGCAGATGCCTGGAAGAGTTTTTCCAACGTTGTCTTCTAGAATTCTTATGATTTTAGGTCTTATATTTAAGTATTTGATCCATTTGAGTTTATTTTTGTATAAGGAGACAGGGATCAAGTTTCATTTTTCTATATGTGGCTTGCCAGTTTTCCCAGCACCATTTATTAAATAGGGTATTCATTCATCAATTTATGTTTCATAGGCTTTGTTGAAGATCAGTTGGCTGTACATATTTGACTTTATTTCTGGGTTCTCTATTCTGTTCCAATGGTTTATATGCCTACTTATTTTTAGCAGTACCATGCTGTTTTGGTAACTATAGCCTCACAGTATAATTTGAAGTTGAGTAATGTGATGCCTCCAGATTTGTTCCTTTTGCTTCTGATTGCTTTGGCTATTTGGGCTCTTTTTTGGCTCCATATGAATTTTAGGATTGTTTTCTCTAATTCTGTGAAAATAATGTTGGCATTTTAAGGGGAATTGCATTGAATCTGTAGATTGTTTTGGGCAGTATGGTCGCTGTCACAGTATTGATTCTTCCAATCCATAAGCATGGTTGTGTTTCCATTTGTTTGTGTCATCTATGATTTCTTTCAGCAGTGTTTTGTAGTTCTCCTTGTAGAGATCTTTCACCTCCTTGGTTAAGTCTATTCCTAGGTATTTTTTTTTTTCTTTTGAAGCTGTTATAAAAGGGATTGAGTTTTTTATTTGATTCTCAGCTTGGTCAATGTCGGTGTATAGCAGTACTACCGATGTGTGTAATTGATTTTGTAACCTAAGACTTTACTGAATTTGTTTTTCAAATCTAGGAGTCTTTTGGAGGAGCCTTTAGGATTTTCTAGGTATACGATTATATCATCTGCAAACAGCAATAGTTTGACTTCCTCTTTTCCAATTTGGATGCAATTAGGATGTTGCCTAATTGCTCTGGCTAGGACTTCCAAAACTATGCTGAAAAGGAGTGGTGTAAGTGGGAATCCTTGTTTTGTTAATGTTCTCAGGGAGAACGGTTTCAAGTTTTCCCCATTCAGTATGATGTTGGTTGTGGGTTTGTCATATATGGCTTTCATTATTTTGAGGTAAGTTCTATGCCTAGTTTGTTGGGAGTTTTTATCATAAAGGGATGCTGAATTTTGTTGAAACATTTTTCTGCATCTATTTGAACTGCATCTATTGAAATGATCATAATGGTTTTTTTAATTTTAATTTTAATTTTTTAATTTTTAATTTAATGTATTTTAATTCTTTTTATGTGATGCATGTCATTTATTGACTTGTGTATGTTAAATCATCCCATCATTCCTGGGGTGAAGTCCACTTGACCATGATGCATAATCTTTTTGATGTGGTGTAGGATTCAGTTAGCTAGTATTTTGTTGAGTATTTCTGCATCTATGTTCATCAGGGATATTTATTTGTAATTTTCTTTTCTTGTTGTGTCCTTTCCTGATTTTGGTATCAGGAGAATACTGGCCTGATAGAATGATTTAGGGAGGATTCTGTCTTTCTCAGTCTTTTGGAATAGTTTCTGTGGGAATGGTACCAATTCTTCTTTCAATGTCTGGTAGAATTCAGCTGTGAATCCATCTGGTCTTGGGCATTTGTTGTTGTTGGCAATTTTTAAATGACTGATTCAATCTTGCTGCTTGTTTTTGGTCTGTTCAGGGTTTCTATTTTTTTCCTGATTTAATCTAGGAAGGTTGTATGTTTCCAAGAATTTATCTATTTCCTCTAGGCTTTCTAGTTTGTGTGCATAAAGATGTTCATAGTAGAAATACAAAAATGATCTTTTGTATTTCTGTGGTGTCAATTGTAATGTCTCCAGTTTCATTTCTAATTGAGCTTACTTGGATCTTCTCTCCTTTTCTTGGTTAATCTAGCTAATGGTCTATCAATTTTGTTTATCTTTTCAAAGAGCCAGCTTTATGTTGCATTGATCTTTTGTATTGTTTGTTTGAATTTCATTTAGTTCTGCTCTGATCTTTGTTATTTCTATTCTTCTGCTAGCTTTGGGTTTAGTTTGTTCTTGTTTCTCTAGTTCCTTGAGGTATGACCTTAAGTGGTCAATTTGTGCTCTTTCAGACTTTTTGATGTAGGCATTTTATGACATAAACTTTCCTCTCAGTGCTGCTTTTGCGGTATCAGAGAAGTTTTGAATATCATTGTGTTATCACTAAATTCAAAGAATTTTTATATTTCCATCTTGATTTCATTGTTAACCCAGAAATCATTCAGGATCAGATTATTTAATTTCCATATATTTGTATAGTTTTGAGGGTTCCTTTTGGAGTTGATTTCTAGTTTTATTCCACTATGGTCTGAGAAGATACTTGATGTGATTTTGATTTTTAAAATTTATTGAGACTTGTTTTGTGGCCTGTCATTTGGTGTATCTTAGAGAATGTTCCATGTGCTGATGAGAAAAGTGTCTATTCTGTAGTTCTTGGTTAGAATATTCTGTAAATATTTGTTAAGTCCATTTGTTCTAGAGTGTCATTTAAATCCACTGTTTGTTGACTTTCTGTCTCAATGATCTGTCTAGTGCTGTCAGTGGTGTATAGAAGTCTCTCACTATGATTGTATTGCTATCTCATTTATTAGATCTAATAATAATAGTTTTATGAATCTATGAGCTGCAGTGTTAGGTGTATATAAATTTAGGATTGTAGTATCTTCTTGTTGGATTGATCCTTATGTCATTATATAATGACATTTGTCTTTTTTCACTGTTGTTGTTTTGAAGTTGTTTTGTCTAAGAATAGCTACTCCTGCTTGCTTTTGGTTTCCATTTGTGTGGAATATTTTTTCCACCCTTTACCTTGATTTTTTTTTTTTTTTTTGAGACATAGTCTTGCTCTGTCACCCAGGCTAGAATGCAGTGGTGCAATGTCGGCTCACTGCAAGCTCCGCCTCCCGGCTTCATGCCATTCTCCATCCTCAGCCTCCCGAGTAGCTGGGACTACAGGCATCTGCCACCATGCCCAGCTAATTTTGTTTTTGTATTTTTTTTTTTTTTTTGAGACAGAGTTTCGCTCTTGTTGCCCAGGCTGGAGTGCAATGGCATGATCTTGGCTCACTGCAACCTCTGCCTCTGGGGTTCAAACGGTTCTCCTGCCTCAGCCTCCCAAGTAGCTGGAATTACAGTCATGCGCCACCATGCCCAGCTAATTTTGCATTTTTAGTAAAGACGGAGTTTCTCCATGTTGGTCAGGCTGGTCTCGAACTCCCGACCTCAGGTGATCCACCCGCGGCCTCCCAAAGGGCTGGGATTACAGGCATGAGCCACCACACCCAGCCTTGGTTTTGTATTTTTAGTAGAGACAGGGTTTCACCGTGTTAGTCAGGATGGTCTCGATATCCTGACCTCGTGATCCGCCCACCTCGGCCTCCGAAAGTGCTGGGATTAAGGCGTGAGCCACCGCACCCAGCCTTACCTTGAGTTTATATGAATCCTTCCATATTAGTTGAGTCTCAAAGACAGTAGATATTTGGTTTGTGATTTTATTTTTAATCCATTCTACCATTCTGCATCTTTTAAGCAGAGCACTTAGGCCATTTTCATTCCACATTAATATTGAGATGTGAGGTACTATTCTCTTTGTCATGTTAATTGTTATCTAGATAGCTTGTACTTTTTCTTGTGTTACTCTTTTATAGACCCTGTACATGTTAAGCTTTCAAGGGGTCCTATTTTGATGCATATCAAGGTTTTGTTTCAAGGTTTAGAATTCCTCTTAGCATTTCTTGTAATGCTGGTTTGGGTGTGATTAATTTCCTCAGCATTTATTTGTCTGAAAATAACTTTATAGCGCCCTCATTTGTGAAACGTAGTTTTTCTAAATACAAAATTCTCAGCTGACAGTTATTCTGTTTAAAGATGCTGAAGATAAGAACCCAATCCTTTTTGCTTTGTAAGGTTTCTGTTGAGAAGTCTGCTGTTAGTCTAATAGGTTTTCCTTTATAGGTTACATGATGCTTTTGTCTTACTGCTTTTTATGTTGACTTTAGATAGCCTGATGACTATGTGCTTCAGTGATTATCTTTTTGCAATGAATTTTTCATGAGTTCTTTGAGCTGCTTAGACTTGGATAGTCAAATCTCTAGCGAGGCCTGGGAAGTTTTTCTCAATTATTCCCTCAAATAAGTTTTCTCTTCTTCCTCAGGAACACCAGTTATTCTTAAGTTTGGCTGTTTTACATATCCCATATTTATTGGAGATTTTGTTCATTTCTTTTGATTGTTTTTTATTTTTGCCTGATTGGGTTAATTCAAATGCTTTGTCTTCAAACTCTGAAATTCTTTCTTCTACTTGTTCTAGTCTATTATTAAAACTTTCTACTTCTTTTTATAATTCCCTAGTGTGTCTTTTATTTTCAGAAGTTCTGACTGGTTTTTCTTTATGATATCTCTATCTCTAGAAAACTTTTTATTCATACCCTGAACTGATTTTCAAATTTCTTTCTGTTGTTTTTCACCTTTCTCTGGTATCTCCTTGAGTAGCTTAATAATCAACCTTCTGAATGCTTTATCTTTTTTTTTTTTTTTTCTGCGATGGAGTCTTGCTCTGTCACCCAGGCTAGAGTGCAGTGGTGTGATCTCGGCTCACTGCAACCTCTGCCTCCCAAGTTCAAGAGATTTTCCTGCCTCAGCCTCCCAAGTAGCTGGGATTACAGGAGTGTGCCACCATGCCTGTAATTTTTAGTGTTTTTAGTGTTATTTTGTATTTTTAGTGTTATTTCAAAGATTTCATCTTGGTTTGGATCCATTGTTGGAGAGCTAGGAGCTAGTGTGATCTTTTTGGGGTGTTACAGAACCCTGTTTTGTCATATTACCAGAGATACTTTTCTGGTTCCCTCTCATTTGGGTAGACTATTTCTGCTAATTATTCTTGAATTTATGTTTTATTTGACTGTGTTGTTTTTAATTTATTTTTCCACTTAAGGATGAGAATTTAATGCTTATAGTTAAATATAGGCTAATTTGATTCTTGGTGCATTCATGGCTGAAGACTCTGTACGAGTTCCTTGGTTATAGAGAGTCTTTGTATAATGGCTTTCTCATGTGCTGCTTGTAGTAGCAATGTGCTCAGTGTGTGGGCAAGTTCACTGTCTCCTATGAGGTTGGAAGGGGAGAGGTCTCTTGAAGCTTATCTCATAACCCGTGGTGTGCACTTATTTATTTATTATTCCCCATTATTTTATTTACTGGTTTGATGGTTCAAGCTTCAGACTAGCAGGGGAGGTATCCCTGGATAGGAACTGGATGTGGCTAAAGCAGGTGTGTAAATGCAATATTCAAGGGTGAGCAGAGGTCCCAGCCTGGACAGAGGTAGCTGGAGGAGCTTTCAGTGAGTCACACCAAGCTCTTCTCAGGGTGAAGAGTTGGAACCACCTCAGCTCCCCTACCAGGTCAGTAGGAAAGCTATCTATCTCTCAGACACACTCCTGTCCCAGTGCTCTGGCTATTCGGATCAGAGAGGCACCTCTTTTCACCTGTAGGAATGTTGATGTTTCAAGTAGAGAGGAACTGGGACTCCGTCTCTCATGCAAGCCTGAACCTGGAGCATGCTCCTTCTGCAGGGATACAGTCATCCCGACATGTTCCGGAAAGGCTGCCTATAGTTGCACTCATGCCAAGCTCCCATGGGAGAATCCCCAGCTATGCCTGCGGTGTTGTACGTTGGGGGAAAGATATCCTCTTCTCCAAGACCCTTCACACACACAAGGACTGTCTGACTGTTGGGTTAGAGCTGCAGTTTCCCTGCTGAGTCCAGCACTGCAACTGTGCCTCTGCTGAAAGAAACTTCCTGCCAGCAGAAAGATCCATTGCTTAAGGCCTGCCATCCAAATTCTTTTGTCCCATGGGGTGTTGCCTTGATGTTGTGCACTCCCCCTTGCCCTAGTAGTGGGAATCCCTGTGAGCCAGACTACTGTGAGTGTTGTTGCTCCTCTGGGTCTAGCCACCCAATGAAATTGCCACACTCCAGGCTGGTGCTGGGGAATGTCTTCAAGGGATTCAGTGATGTGACCTGTCCTTAAGTCTCCCAGCATAGGTAACAGCACCAGCTCTAATGAAGGTGGCAGGAGAATGACACAGACTCTGTGAGATCCCTTGGTTATATACAGCCTTAGTGTTTTGGCTTTCTCGAACACTGGTTATAGTGGTAAAGAACTGGTCATGTGGACAGACTCAGGACCTCCTGGTTAGCCTGAGTGGTGCAAGCAGTGGTGATATTGAGGTTACATCATAGTCTTCTCCTTCTTGAGCACAGTGTTATTCTACCAGGAGATGCTGTAACGGACTTTTGTTAGCCTTCAACCAGGAGATGGTGCTTGCAAAAGACTAACAGCTGTAATAGTAGCAGTGGGATTTTTGCTTGCCTTGTGTTGTCTGGGATGAAGGGTACTCTGGTTTCTCAGGCAATGGGTGGGGCCATATAGCTCCCAGAAGTTTATATCCTCCTGGGACACAAAGGCAGGTGGCAGGGTAAAGCCAGGTGGGGGCTGGGTCCGGTGAGTTTGCACTCTGAGTCTCCACATGCAGGGCAAGTACAACCCCTCTGGGTGTTGGAGGATGGAGTTGGTTTTCAGGTCAAATGTTCCAGAGGGGATTGTTGCTGCCTCTGTGGCACAGAAGGGTTTGTGCAGGGAGTGGGGAATAGCAGGTATCAATAAGCCCCACACAGACCCCATGCATTGGGTGAGGCAGATCCACTCCTGCAGTGTTCCACTGGCAGCACTGAGCTACTTTCCAAACAGCCTGCACTCAAAACTTATAAATGCTCCAGGTCATAAGCTTTTCCCATGGAGAGAACAACCTGGCTTTCAAGCCACGTCACTCCCAGTCCATCCACAAAGCTGGGCACCCAGCTGCTGCACTCATAGCTGCAATCCACTTTTCACTTGCCTCCCACTGGCCCTGGCCAAGGGAGTTTGTGCCCACCAGAGATTATATCACGAAACCCAACTGTGGGCTTCTTTCAACCTGCAACCACTGCCTGAACTATTTGGTTGACCTCCACAGGGTTCCCTGTGAGAAACAATATGGAATGGCTTCCCTTGGTTCATGCTGGAGACTGGGAATGCATGCAACAGTTTTCCCACAGCTGCTCCTACTTTTATATTCCATAACCCTCTCCAAGTCAGTTCCTGCACTGAGTAAGGGTAAGGCCTTCTCCCTGTGGCCTGGACTTTCAGGCTCCCTGGTAGGAGTATGTATCCTAGAGAAAATCTCTTCCCACTCATACTCTGGGGACTTGTAGCCCTTTACCTGACTCACAGTGTAGACTGTGGTATAGACTGCAGCCTGCTGTTTCCTTCAAAGAGTCTGTGGATTCCTTCAGCTTTCCTGTTTAGTTCCTGCATTGCTTCTTGAAAAAAGGTTCACAGTGTGAATATTTACATGCTATTCTGTTCTTCCAAATGAGAGAGGCATGCTAGCAATGCCTCTAATCTGCCATTTGGGGCAAAAAATGAAATTTTTAATTTCATTTAAGCCCAATTCATTAATTTTTTATGCGGATCATGCTTTTGGTGTTCTAAGAAATCTTTGACAACCCAAGATCATGAAGATTTTCTTCTATGTTTTCTTCTAGAAATTTTATAGTTTTAGGTTTTACATTTAGATTGATGATCCATTGTATGTTAGCTTTCATATGTGCTACTAGGTAGGGATCTAAGTTCATTTTCTTGCCTATGGATTTCCAATTGCTTGAACACCACTTGAAAAGCCTGACCTTTCAGTATTGAATTGCCTTTGCATTTTTGTGAAAAAAAAATATTTCTGTGTGGGTCTATTTCTGGATGCTCTATTCTGTTCCATTGATATGTCTATCTTCATGCCAATGCCACACTGACTTAGATTACCACAACTTTATAATAAGTTTTGAAATCAGGTGTTATTAACCCTCCAATTTTGTTCTTTTTCAAGGTTTTGTCTATTCTATATCCCTTATATTCTTCAAGAGAATCTTATAATGTTTGTCAAATCCTTTCACAAAATAAAAGCAAAAGGAAACCCCTGTTGAGAATTTTATATGGTTGTGTGGAATTATAGATCAATTTGAGAAAAACTGATGTCTTAATATTATCAAGCCTTCTGACCTATTAACTAGGTATATCTCTCTAAATTCACTTGTAGTTTTCAGAGTACTGACATTTATTCCTTTATATTCTTTATACCAAATACAGTACCATGAAAGAAAATACGGTTGTGATACCAATATTAAAACTTTAAACCTTTTTCTGAATGTGTATATATCTCTGAAATTGTATTTTATTTGGCCAAAATATACACTTTGCCTTTCGGGATATCTTTCTATTATTTTAAAAGGATTTCTGTCAATATATATTTTTCCATTAAAATAACCATTTTCTTAAACTTGATTTTTACAGCATTTTACACAGTTCATTTTTTATGAGAATTTTTACACACTACATATATAATTCTCATCTATTTTTACATCATGTAGTTTGTGAAGTTAAAGATTTGGCAGTTAAATGGCTTAACAAGTTTTTCAGATTCACAGCTAGTCATCAAAAAAGCCAAGTGTAGAAGTATAATACCTATTTCTTAGCATTATAGGACACTTGATTGTGTTCCAGTAAATTAACTTTGAATTTTTTCCCATTTTTAGGGATGATGAATTAAGGTTTTAAACAATGTAACAATGAAGTGCATTTCTTATCTGCTTTGCAGTTCAGTTAGCATAAGGAAAAAACTTTCTTCTTACTGATTCTTAGAGGTTATCAAACAAAAATCTTAGGATAATTGCCATCCTACTTATCAAAGGGCAAAGCCCAGGGTTATGATCTTATGAACAAGTAGTCAGTTTTGAAGGGACTGATATGAATTTGTGTAATCATCCCTCTAATTGTTTTATTACAATGTTTATTTTTTCCAAAGAATTAAGATAAATGGTAATTGGTACTACCTAATAGTTAATTAATTTAACCTAATTAAATACCGTACATTTCAACAAAACATGTAACTCCTTCAGAGGTGCAGTTTTAGCAATATGCCTGAAGTTTCAAATATTATGCCATGATGCATGCAAAAATGATTAAATTCTTCTCACTAAAAGTGCTTTCTGTTTTATACGTTTCAAGGTAAATACCATTTTAGGTTGTAGCATCTTATGATTTCTAAGGTAATGTTGATTTTATCTTTGATGCAGAAAGCAACTGTCACTGGGAATTGACTAAGCTTTTTGTTGTCAAAGGTTACTACTATTTTTACACCACTCTGGTATGCCAGTAAATGTTTCTCACTTCATTATCACGCCGAGGCCTTTATAATATTGCTAATACAGGATGAAAATATTTATTCACATTTGGTTTGGATGTTTGCGAGCATGAATGATTGTGGGGAATCAAATGTAGTTGTTAAAAAAGGGTTTCCGCTGATGAACAACAAAATCCCTCAGAGCTATGGGTACAAGTATTTTAAAAAGGTACATTTATTTGATTACCACCAGATGTTTGTAGTGTGTTCCAGTTGCTTCCCTATTAACTGACTTAAAAAAATAGTCATTAAGCCAAGACTTCTTCAACTTTCTAAACAAGACTGAGTTTTTTTAAAATATAAATTCAAATGTATAAAGTATTTTAAAAATACTAAATTATGTTTTTAGCATTCAGCTTATTTTGGAGTTAAGGGTTGACTAACTTCAATTGTTTGTTATGTTGCTTTTTGCTAGGTTAGAAATAAGTATTTTAAATATGTGGCAGAAAACCTTCTAAAGCACCTAAATGAGCCATTATTAAAGATCTGACTTTATTATTATTTATTATTAAAGATTAGACACTGAATGTGTTTAGATGTATACTTCAGAGTTTTTCTAAAATACTAAATTCCCACATTTTTACTTTCCTAAAAACAATGTTGGACTTGTTCTAACCAGCTTTACTTGAGTTTCTTTCTAAGTTGCTTACAGGGCGAATGACTTAAATCACTGTTGTTCAGATTGATAGTATATGATGATTTAACCCTGAGAACTCTAGTGCTGTGTATTTTGGCTTCATTCCAAGTCACCCTGAGCTACACATAGGGTATACTTTGTCTCTTCTGAAATCATGAAAACTGCAGTTTCAGGTTATGTGCTACCTGCTTCAAAATAATAAACTGCCCTATCTATTGCCTTCATGCATGAACCTATAAAGTGTTTCCCATGATTCCTTTAAAACTAAATTGGGAACGTGTTCTGTCAGTGGATATTCATTTCAGTGGATATTCATTTAAGTGTATGGGTTTGCATGCTGTTGTTATATCTGTTTTAGAAGTGGATTTTCACAGGAAACTAGCAGTGTTTCCCTGTAAAATTTAGGTCTAATTTCATGTAGATAATTATTGCTGCCTCTACCTTTTCTCTAAGTGTGTATAATTGAACACACAATTACTTATTTGTAATCCAAGTTACTAAGTAGAGTTTCAAGCCAAGAGCTTCTAGCATAAAGCAGTCTCTTTGGTTAGCATTTGAATATGGAAGCCACACTACGTGAAGAGTATATTTTAAGATTAACAATGTTTTGGAAGCACTTTTAAAAGAAATCTTATGACTACGTTTACAACTCTCAGGCTTAAATCAAAGGACTTGCCTTGCTGGAGAAGATCTGAGAGATAAGAACACATAAAGCCTCAGTGGTAAATCAGTTTGACATAAATAAGGTTTCAAAATGTTTAAATTCAGTTTAACTGGGTTTTTCAGTTTACAGAATGCCAAATGATTTGTTTAACAAAACATTTCATGATATTTCTCTAAAGTTTCAGTAGAGAGAAAACCAGAAAATAAGAAACATGACTTTTGAAATTTAGAAAATCAAATCGAATCTGTATTAGCAGCTTTAACGGACATGAGAATTTTTAATTTTCTATTTTCAATCTTTCATGTATACTCAACAACTTTTATAATAACTGTAATATTTGAGATATTTGGGGTGTTATATTT
Source organism: Homo sapiens (assembly GCF_000001405.40). Lineage (NCBI taxonomy): Eukaryota > Metazoa > Chordata > Mammalia > Primates > Hominidae > Homo > Homo sapiens. The sequence continues at coordinate 20,206,982 of NC_000012.12, forward strand.
GAAAACTATCTTAAGGCCATTTTGGCAACATAGACATTTGTATCTCTCTCTCTCTCTCTCTCTAGATACGGGTAGGTAGAGTTACTTATCTCATACGTAAAATAGATATCACATATCTCTTGGTTGATCATTTTGAAAATTAATTTAGAAAACATAGTTTAAAATATGTGTTTTGATGACAGCCTATAGGTCCAGAAATAATATGTTATGTATATGTATATGTGTGTGTTTAAACACATGTAATATATATGCTTTATCTCAGAGAATATCCTTTCAAAAATATAGAAACTTAAAAAACTAAAGTTACTTTAAAAGAGTACATTTTTAAAAATAATAAACTATCATTCGATTTACTGAATATGTGTTAAATCCACATTTCAAATAAGACACGATGAGTTTATATTGTTTTGTGATATCTCATCCAAAAGAGACAAAGCAGACTAAAAGAGAGGATAAGGGTTTGGGGGGCAAAATGGTTCTGAGCCCCCAAAAGTCTTTGGAAAATTTTGATGCTCTGGGGTTCAGTAACTGAGCAGGAGGCTCCACTTTCTTGTGAAACTACCCACAAGATTGACTTGATTCTTCAAACCTTCATCTCTCTAGTTCTTGTGACTCTTGGCTTAGCATCAATGGTCAAATTAAATTCTTCAGGCCAGGAGAAATAGAGGTGGCCCTTACAGGCATCCCCCCAACAAACAATCTTAGACAGTATTTTATCAACCGGGAAAGCAATATTTACAGATGCTAAAAGATAAAAGGCTTTCTAAAAAAAAAAGAAAAAAATTCAAGTGTCAAACAAGCAAAGGAAAAGGAAGAAGAAAGTTACAGCATTGGCTGACTTGAGGGTCTTAGCAAGAATTTTCTAAATCTACAATAATGATATTTCAATAATAAGTTTTTGATTAGTTAGATGGTATAATGTCAGTAGGATAGAATAGCCAAAGTTATGCTGATAGCAAGGCATTAAAAGATATTTAGAGCTGGGACCAAGGTGGTGCCTCACGTCTGTAATCCCTACACTTTGGGAGGCCGAGGCAGGTGGATCACTTTGAGCCCAGGAGTTCAAGTCCAGCCTGGGTAACATGGCGAGACCCTGTCTCTACTTAAAATCCAAAACCAGCTAGGCATGACGGCAAGCGCCTGTAGTCTCAGCTACTCTGGAGGCTGAGATGGGAGGATGTCTGGAGCCCAGGAGGCAGAGGTTGCAGGGAGCCAAGACTGTGCCACTGCACTCCAGCCTGGGTGACAGAGCTATACCTTGTCTCAAAAAAATAATTAAAAAAAATACTTCATGGGCAGAATGTAGAATATTTGTTAAACTATTTGTTGGAGGAGTTTTAAAGAAAATGAAGGAAGAAAGAAAATAAGAAATAAAAACAGGCTTATTTAATGAGCCCCTTCTAGATGCCAGAACAAAATATAAATTGAATAAATAATAAAAATAAATACTACCTATTTTAAGACAGAAAATATATTTGAGATGTTTCTACTCATTTCTTACTAAGAATCAAGTCAGCAGTTGGGGGAAGAAATAGATATATCACAGAAATAATTCATTTATTCAAATTTATTTTTGTTAGTTCGCAGAGTAAGAATGCAAATGTCTTGGATTTCATTCTCCAGCAATTAGCAGTATATTTTTAAGCCAGTTGGAAAAAATGCTGTTTCTGGGATAACTAAAATCTTGCAAATGAAAACTCAAGATCAAATAATCAGCTGTGCAAGGTGGTTCATACCTGTAATCCCAGCAATTTGGAAGGCTGAGGCAGGTGGATTGCTTGAACTCAGGAGTTCAAGACCAGCCTGGGCAAAAAAGTGTGAGACCTCATGTCTACAAAAATAAATAAAATTATCCAGGTGTGGTGGTGCACACCTATAGTCCCAGCTACTTGGGAGGTTGAGATGGGAGGATCACTTAAGCCCAGCAGGTCGAGGCTGCAGTGAGCCATAATCACACCACTGTACTCTAGCAAGACCCTGTTTAAAAAAAAAAAAAAAAGAAGAAGAAGAAAAATCTATCCATATATAAACTTCACTATATTGCAACCAATGTTTTTGTTGGCAAAAGCAATTTTGATATAGACAAGAGATCCCTTCTCTATAGTTTTTCAGAGATTTTTCTCTCCAGGGATTTATATTCTAGAGGCCTAAAACAAAAGTAAAAGTAGACTTAATTCATTCTGTTTCCCTGTCTTTTCTCTTCTTCTTCCTTTTAGCCTAATCACCAAATATTTATTTTTGGGCACTGGGCTAGGTGCCATGGAACAAGAGATGAATAAGACATAGTCCCTGCGATCAAGAGGTTTATCATCCAGTGGGAGAGATAGAATAAATAAAAAAAAAAATAAAGTGTTGTGGCTTTTTCATAAAAATATGTACCTATGGGGAAAAAGAAGGAAGAAGTTAGTTATATATATTAGTCTGCTTTGTCTCTTTTGGATGGTAGTTTAGATAATTATGAGCTTATATTTGCAAAATGGGCAAAGTGAAAAGAGCGTTCCAGGTGGAAGCAACAACACAAACAAAAGCAAAGGCTTAAAATAACAGGTGTGTGCTGAAACCCACCCCATGGAAGGAGGCCATGCTTCATGGCATAAACAGGCCCAGGGAACTCAGTTTGTGACAGCAGGGAGAAATGGAGGCGTAGGTGAGGGTGGTTTTCCTTGCTT